>NC_000005.10:43905799-44538324 GCF_000001405.40 Homo sapiens
CCCACTCTTTCCCCCTGAGTCCCCAAATTCCATTGTATCATTCTTATGCCTTTGAATCCTCATAGCTTAGCTCCCACTTATGAGTGAGAAAATACAATGTTTGGTTTTCCATTCCTGAGTTACTTCACTTAGAATAATAATCACCAATCCCATCCAGGTTACTATGAATGCCTTTAATTCATTCCTTTTTATGGCTGAGTAGTATTCCATTGTATATATACCACAGTTTCTTTATCCAGTCGTTGGTTGATGGGCTTTTGGGCTGGATCCACATTTTTCTGCAACTGCAAATTGTGTTTTATTTCATTCTTTTAATTAGTAATGAGGCCTTTTAAACAGGGCTTTTATTTGGGGGAGCTGGATTTATTCTGGATTTGTACACTGGTGGTATTTCACATTCTAACATTTGACAAAATTGGTAACGATGTGAAGTTTTCTTGAAAAGTAGTTACAAAATTCTGGTGGGTCTTAGCATTTTACTGTAAATCTACAGTTGTTTCTGCTATTGTATTATCATGAATGGTGTCATTGCTCAGTGAATTCTTATTTTATTTATTTTTTTGTGCTTTTGCCTATATAATCTTCAAAGACAAGCCCAGACCTCTCCTTCTCCATGAGGCCTTATCCAATAATTCTGGTCCACACTGTTCTCTCTGTTATTTAAGAGAACAGTATGGACCAGAATGGTATGGTCTGTATCATATCATTTTCCTTTTGACTGCACACTTTATTGTATTACTCTTTGAGCATGTGGAAGACTCTTGAAGTACCACCTCCTGAACCCCCATGATATATGTCTTCTGATGTTCATGCTCTTGTATAATTTCTTCTCTTTAAGTGTGAGTGGTAACTGTGTTTTGCTACTAACAAATAGTATATGGAAAAGGTGATGGGTTGTTATTCCCTTGATTATGTTATGTTGTGTCAAACTCCATCTGGAATGAAGAATCACATTCCTAGAGCCACAAGGAAATAAATTATGCCAATAGCCTGAGTGAGCTTGGGAACAGGGTCTCCCTCAATTGAGCTTTCAGATGAGAAGGCAGTTTAATTAACATATTGGTTGCAGTTTTGTGTGACAATAAGCAGCCTAGCCACTTAAACTATGCCTGAATTCCTGGCCCACAGAAACTGTGAGATAATAAATGAATGCTGTTTGAAGCTGCTTAGTTTGCATTAATTCATTACACAGTAATATATAGAAAATACAGGCAAATCTTATTCTCCAAAGAAGGGTGGGAAGGCCTAAAGGACTGAAGTTCTTGGTATCTCAGGCAATATTATGCTGTGTGTAGTAGATGACAGGCAAATACTTGTTAAATTTTTATCACATAATTGAATCTATTGGATACATATTGATCTTTTGAGGAGAGAGACCCTGTAATATTCATCTTTGTATCTCCTTTACCTGGCAGATGTCTAACACATCATTGGCACTGAACTATGTTGTGTCAATCAAGTCTTAGTCAGGGAGATATAACTACTGTGTGTTATGGCATAAGTTAGCAAATGATAACTCACCAGTCAAATATGACCTACTACCTGTCTTTGTACAGCTTTTGAGCTAAGAGTGGTTTTTTTACTTTTAAAAAAATCGACAAATAATAATTGTACATATTCATGGAGTACATAATGATGTCTTGATACATTTAATTCTGGTGATCAGACCAGGATAATTAGTATATCCATCTATCATCTCAAATATTAATCATTTCCTTGTGTTGGAAACATTCAATATATCCCTTTTTGCTCTTTGAAATTATATATTGTTAACTATGGTCATTCTACAGTGATATAGAATACAAAAAATCAAAATAATATTTCATGATGTGAAAATTATGAAATTCAAATTTCAGTGTCCATAAGTAAAGTGCTATTGGAGGGCAGCCACGTCCATTCATGTACATATTATTGATGGGTGTGTTCATGCTATAGTGGTAGAGTTTAGTGGTTGCAAGGGAAACCAAATGTATTGCTCTCATTGGTTTGCCCTGCTGCCAATGGCAGGGATGCAATTATAACTGGACAGTGTTTCAATTGCCACCCATGTTGCCAGGTTGCAACATTTTGTTTGTTTTTAATTACCACTGCATATTCACTGAGCCAAAACAAGAAAATTAGACGTTGGATATTGTCCTTTAAGGGCCTGTGGAATGTATATTATTTTGTGATCAAATTAGATGGCAAAGCATTGTGGTTTCTGTGTAATAACACTATAGCTGTGCTAAGGCTACAATATGTATCAGCATTACGAGACTAAGTGCTCATTACAATATTTTCAACTCAGGAATGCAATGGACAGAAAAATTAGAACATTTAAAATGAAATATCTCATCACAGAAGAATTTGTTCACAAAAATAAAATTGAAAATGAGTCTAAAACCAAAGTGTCTGGGTGTTACATTTGTTGGCAAAGCAAGGAAAGCTGTTTAACAATGATGATTTAATTAAATGCTGTTTGACAATAGCAACTGAAGAAATGTGTTCACAGAAAATAACTGTTTAATACTACTAATTTTTTGACAAGAACAGTTCCTGAAAGAGTCAAGGACATTGGGAGCAACATCAACAGTCAATTAAAAAACAAGGCAAATGATTCTAATTGGTTTTCATTGGCTTTTGATAAGTCAATAGATGTTACTGATATTCCTCAGTTGCTTATTTGAAATAAATACCTAGTGAATGCCAAGTTTAAAGTGGCTAAATAATGAACTATTGTTAGCAGTCTGTGGGACAACTGTAGATGAGCATATTTTCAAAGAAGTTGAGAAACACTTATTCACTACAACTTGCAGTGGAATCTGCTAAGATGTGTTACATCTCATGGTGATAAAACACATGTGGATCAGAAAAAGAGTTGGACAAATGTACAAAATTTATTAAAAGGTAAGGTGTTTTGCTTCCGTTCCAAGATGGCTGAATAGGAACAGCTCCAGTCTGCAGCTCCCAGCGTGATCAACGCAGAAGATGGGTGATCTCTGCATTTTTGACTGAGGTACCTGGTTCATCTCATTGGGACTGGTTGGACAGTGGGTGCAGCCCACAGAGGGTGAGCCAAAGCAGGGAGGGGCGTTGCGTCACACAGGAAGCACAAAGGCCAGGGGATTTCCCTTTCCTAGCCAAGGGAAGCCATGACAGACTGCACCTGGAAAACCAGCACACTTCTGCCCAAATACTGCACTTTTCCCATGGTCTTAGCAACTGGCAGACCAGGAGATTCTCTCCCATGCCTGGCTTGGTGGGTTCCATGCCCACAGAAACTTGCTCACTGCTAGTGCAGCAGTCTGAGATTGACCTGTGAGGCTGCAGTGAGATGGGGGGAGGGGCGTCCACCATTGCTGAGGCTTGAGTAGGTAAACAAAGTGGCCTGGAAGCTCAAACTGGGCAAAGCCCACCACAGTTAAGCAATGCCTACTGTGTCCATAGACTCCACCTCTGTGGGCAGGGCATAGCTGAACAAAAGGTAGCAGACAACGTCTGCAGACTTAAATGTCCCTGTCTGACAGCTCTGAAGAGAGGAGTCGTTCTCCCAGCACAGCGTTTGAGTTCTGAGAACAGATAGTCTCCTCAAGTAGGTCCCTGACCCCTGGGTATCCTAACTGGAAGACACCTCCCAGTAGGGGCTGAAAAACACCTCATATAGGCAGGTGCCCCTCTGAAACGAAGCTTCCAGAGGAAGGATCAGGCAGCAATATTTGCTGTTCTGCAATGTTTGCTGTTCTGTAGTCTCCACTGGTGATACCCAGGGAAACAGCGTCTGGAGTAGACCTCCAGCAAACTCCAACAAACCTGCAGCTGAGGGACCTGACTGCTAGTAGGAAAACTAACAAACAGAAAGGAAGAGCATCGACATCAACAAAAAGGACATCCACACCAAAACCTCATCTGTAGGTCACCAACATCAAAGACCAAAGGTAGATAAAACCACCAAGGTGGGGAGAAGCCAGAGCAGAAAAGCTGAAAATTCTAAAAAGCAGAGCACCTCTTTTCCTCCAAAGGATTGCAGCTCCTCACCAGCAATGGAAGAAAACTGGACGGAGAATGACTTTGACGAGTTGACAGAAGTAGGCTTCTGAAGGTTGGTAATAAAAAACCTCTCTCAGCTAAAGGAGCATGTTCTAACCCATCTCAAGGAAGCTAAAAACCCTGAAGAAAGGTTAGACGAATGGCTAACTAGAATAAACAGTGGAGAGAAGACCTTAAATGACCTGATGGAGCTGAAAACCATGGCATGAGAACTTTGTGACGCATGCACAAGCTTCAACAGCTGATTTGATCAAGTGGAAGAAAGGATATCAGTGATTATCAAATTAATGAACTAAAGTGAGGAGACAAGATTAGAGAAAAAAGAGTAAAAAGAAATGAATTAAGCCTCCAAGAATTATGGGACTATGTGAAAAGACAAAATCTACATTTGATAAGTGTACCTGAAAGTGATGTGGAGAATGGAGCCAAGTTGGAAAACACTCTTCAGGATATTATCCAGGAGAACTTCCCCAATCTGGCAAGGCAGGTCAACTTCCAAATTCAGGAAATACAGAGAACACTACAAAGATACTCCTTGAGAAGAGCAACCCCAAGACACATAATTGTGAGATTCACAAGGTTGAGAAGAAGTAAAAAATGTTAAGGGCAGTCAGAGAGAAAGGTCTGATTACTCACAAAGGGAAGCCCATCAGACTAACAGTAGACATCTCAGCAGAAACCCTACAAGCCAGAAGAGAGTGGGGGCCAATATTCAACATACTTTTTAAAAAATTATTATTATACTTTAAGTTTTAGGGTACATGTGCACAATATGCAGGTTAGTTACATGTGTATACATGTGACATGCTGATGCGCTGCACCTACTAACTCATCATCTAGCATTAGGCATATCTCCCAATGCTATCCCTCCCCTCTCTCCCCAACCCACAACAGTCCCCAGAGTGTGATGTTCCCCTTCCTGTGTCCATGTGTTCTCATTGTTCAATTCCCACCTATGAGTGAGAATATGCGGTGTTTGGTTTTTTGTTCTTGTGATAGTTTACTGAGAATGACGATTTCCAATTTCATCCATGTCCCTACAAAGGACATGAACTCATCATTTTTAATGGCTGCATAGTATTCCATGGTGTATATGTGCCACATTTTCTTAATCCAGTCTATCATTGTTGGACATTTGGGTTGGTTCCAAGTCTTTGCTATTGTGAATAGTGCCGCAATAAACATATGTGTGCATGTGTCTTTATAGCAGCATGATTTATGGTCCTTTGGGTATATACCTAGTAATGGGATGGCTGGGTCAAATGGTATTTCTAGTTCTAGATCCCTGAGGAATCACCACACTGACTTCCACAATGGTTGAACTAGTTTACAGTCCCACCAACAGTGTAAAAGTGTTCCTATTTCTCCACATCCTCTCCAGCACCTCTCTGATGGCCAGTGATGGTGAGCATTTTTTCATGTGTTTATTGGCTGCATAAATGTCTTCTTTTGAGAAGTGTCTGTTTATGTCCTTCACCCACTTTTTGATGGGGTTGTTTGTTTTTTTCTTGTAAATTTGTTTGAGTTCATTGTAGATTCTGGATATTAGCCCTTTGTCAGATGAGTAGGTTGTGAAAATTTTCTCCCATTTTGTGGGTTGCCTGTTCACTCTGATGGTAGTTTCTTTTGCTGTGCAGAAGCTCTTTAGTTTAATTAGATCCCATTTGTCAATTTTGGCTTCTGTTGCCATTGTTTTTGGTGTTTTAGACATGAAGTCCTTGCCCATGCTTGTGTCTTGAATGGTATTGCCTAAGTTTTCTTCTAGGGTTTTTATGGTTTTAGGTCTAACATTTAAGTCTTTAATCCATCTTGAATTGATTTTTGTGTAAGGTGTAAGGAAGGGATCCAGTTTCAGCTTTCTACATATGGCCAGCCAGTTTTCCCAGCATCATTTATTAAATAAGGAATCACTCCCCCATTTCTTGTTTTTGTCAAGTTTGTCAAAGATCAGATGGTTGTAGATATGCAGCATCATTTCTGAGGACTCTGCTCTGTTCCATTGGTCTATATCTCTGTTTTGGTAGCAGTACCATGCTGTTTTGGTTACTGTAGACTTGTAGTATAGTTTGAAGTCAGGTAGCATGATGCCTCCAGCTTTGTTCTTTTGGCTTAGGATTGACTTGGTGGTGTGGCCTCTTTTTTGGTTCCATATGAACTTTAAAGTAGTTTTTTCCAATTCTGTGAAGAAAGTCGTTGGTAGCTTGATGGGGATGGCATTGAATCTATAAATTACCTTGGGCAGTATGGCCATTTTCACAATATTGATTCTTCCTACCCATGAGCATGGAATGTTCTTCCATTTGTTTGTATCCTCTTTTATTTCATTGAGCAGTGGTTTGTAGTTCTCCTTGAAGAGGTCCTTTATGTCCCTTGTAAGTTGGATTCCTAGGTATTTTATTCTCTTTGAAGCAATTGTGAATGGGAGTTCACTCATGATTTGGCTCTCTGTTTGACTGTTATGGGTGTACAAGAATGCTTGTGATTTTTGTACATTGATTTTGTATCCTGAGACTTTGCTGAAGTTGCTTATCAGCTTAAGGAGATTTTGGGCTGAGATGATGGGGTTTTCTAGATATGCAATCATGTCGTCTGCAAACAGGGATAATTTGACTTCCTCTTTTCCTAATAGAATACCCTTTATTTCCTTCTCCTGCCTAATTGCCCTGGCCAGAACTTCCAACACTATGTTGAATAGGAGTGGTGAGAGAGGGCATGCCTGTCTTGTGCCAGTTTTCAAAGGGAATGCTTCCAGTTTTTGCCCATTCAGTATGATATTGGCTGTGGGTTTGTCATAGATAGCTCTTAATATTTTGAGATATGTCCCATCAATACCTAATTTATTGAGAGTTTTTAGCATGGAGGGTTGTTGAATTTTGTCAAAGGCCTTTTCTGCATCTATTGAGGTAATCATGTGGTTTTTGTCTTTGATTCTGTTTATATGCTGGATTAGGTTTATTGATTTGCATATGTTGAACCAGCCTTGCATCTCAGGGATGAAGCCCACTTGATCATGGTGGATAAGCTTTTTGATGTGCTGCTGGATTTGGTTTGCCAGTATTTTATTGAGGATTTTTGCATCAATGTTCATCAAGGATATTGGTCTAAAATTCTCTTTTTTGGTTGTGTCTCTGCCCGGCTTTGGTATCAGGATGATGCTGGCCTCATAAAATGAGTTCAGGAGGATTCCCTCTTTTTCTATTGATTGGAATAGTTTCAGAAGGAATGGTACCAGTTCCTCCTTGTACCTCTGGTAGAATTTGGCTGTGAATCCATCTGGTCCTGGACTCTTTTTGGTTGGTAAGCTATTGATTATTGCCACAATTTCAGATCCTGTTATTGGTCTATTCAGAGATTCAACTTCTTCCTGGTTTAGTCTTGGGAGAGTGTATGTGTCAAGGAATTTATCCATTTCTTCTAGATTTTCTAGTTTATTTGTGTAGAGGTGTTTATAGTATTCTCTGATGGTAGTTTATATTTCTGTGGGATCAGTGGTGATATCCCCTTTATCATTTTTTATTGCCTCTATTTGATTCTTCTCTCTTTTTTTCTTTATTAGTCTTGCTAGCGTTCTATCAATTTTGTTGATCCTTTCAAAAAACCAGCTCCTGGATTCATTAATTTTTTGAAGGGTTTTTTGTGTCTCTATTTCCTTCAGTTCTGCTCTGATTTTAGTTATTTCTTGCCTTCTGCTAGCTTTTGAATGTGTCTGCTCTTGCTTTTCTAGTTCTTTTAATTGTGATGTTAGGGTCTCAATTTTGGATCTTTCCTGCTTTCTCTTGTGGGCATTTAGTGCTATAAATTTCCCTCTACACACTGCTTTGAATGTGTCCCAGAGATTCTGATATGTTGTGTCTTTGTTCTCATTGGTTTCACAGAACGTATTTATTTCTGCCTTCATTTCGCTATGTGCCCAGTAGTTATTCAGGAGCGGGTTGTTCAGTTTCCATGTAATTGAGCAATTTTGAATAAGTTTCTTAATCCTGAGTTCTAGTTTGATTGCACTGTGGTCTGAGAGATAGTTTGTTATAATTTCTGTTCTTTTATATTTGCTGAGGAGAGCTTTACTTCCAACTACGTGGTCAATTTTGGAATAGGTGTGGTGTGGTGCTGAAAAAAATGTATATTCTGTTGATTTGGGGTGGAGAGTTCTGTAGATGTCTATTAGGTCTGCTTGGTGCAGAGCTGAGTTCATTTCCTGGGTATCCTT
This sequence comes from Homo sapiens, assembly GCF_000001405.40. Lineage (NCBI taxonomy): Eukaryota > Metazoa > Chordata > Mammalia > Primates > Hominidae > Homo > Homo sapiens. The sequence goes on from NC_000005.10 coordinate 43,914,033, forward strand.
GTTGACTTTCTGTCTTGTTGATCTGTCTAATGTAATATTCAATATTCTTAAAGAAAATAATTTTCAACCCAGAGTATAATATCCAGCCAAAATAATCTTCATAAGTGAGGGAGAAATAAAATCCTTTACAGACAAGCAAATGCTGAGAGATTCTGTCACAGCCAGGCCTGCCTTACAAGAGCTCCTAAAGGAAGCACTAAACATGGAAAGGAACAACTGGTACCAGCCACTGCAGAAGCATGCCAAATTGTAAAGACCATCGGTGCTAGGAAGAAACTGCATCAATTAACGGGCAAAATAACTAGCTAACATCATAATGACGGGATTATTCACACATAAGAATAATAACCTTAAATGTAAACCGGCTAAATGCCCCAATTAAAAGACACAGACTGGCAAATTGGATGAAGAGTCAAGTCTCGTCAGTGTGCTGTATTCAGGAGAATCATCTCACGTGCAGAGACACACATAGGCTCAAAATAAAGGGATGGAGGAAGATCTACCAAGCAAATGGAAAGCAAAAAAAAGCAGGGGTTGTAATCCTAGTCTCTGATAAAACAGACTTTAGCTAACAAAGATCAAAAGAGACAAGGCCATTACATAATGGTAAAGGGATCAATTCAACAAAAAGAGCTAAGTATGCTGAATACATATGCACCCAATACAGGAACACCCAGATTCATAAATTAAGTCCTTAAGACCCACAAACAGACTGAGACTCCCACATAATAATAATGGGAGACTTTAACACCCCACTGTCAATATTAGACAGATCAACGAGACAGAAAGTTAACAAGGATATCCAGGACTTGAACTCAGCTCTGCACCAAGCTGACCTAATAGACATCTCCAGAACTCTCCACCCCAAATCAACAGAATATACATTCTTCTCAGCACCACATCACACTTATTCTAAAACTGACCACATAATTGGAAGTAAAGCACTCCTCAGAAAATGTAAAACAACAGAAGTCACATCAAACTGTCCCTCAGACCACAGTGCAATCAAATTAGAACTCAGGATTAAGAAACTCACTCAAAACCACACACCTACATGGAAACTGAACAACCTGCTCCTGAATGACTATTGGGTAAATAAAAAAATGAAGGCAGAAATAAAGATGTTCTTTGAAACAAATGAGAACAAAGACACAACATATCAGAATCTCTGGGTCACATTCAAAGCAGTGTGTAGAGGGAAACTTATAGCACTAAATGCCCAGAAGGGAAAGCAAGAAAGATCTAAAATTGACACCCTAACATCACAATTAAAAGAACTAGAGAAGCAAGAGCAAACAAATTCAAAGGCTAGTAGAAGGCAAGAAATAACTAAGATCAGAGAAAAACTGAAACAGATAGAGACACAAAAAACCCTTCATAAAATCGATGCATCCAGGAGCTGCTTTTTTGAAAAGGTCAACAAAATAAATAGACTGCTAGCCAGACTAATAAAGAAGAAAAGGAGAAAAATCAAATAGACGCAATTTTAGATCTTCCCTGCTTTCTCTTGTGGGCATTTAGTGCTATAAGTTTCCCTCTATACACTGCTTTAAATGTGTCCCAGAGATTTTGGTACACTGTGTCTTTGTTCTCATTTGTTTCAAAGAACATCTTTATTTCTGCCTTCATTTTGTTATTTACCCAGTAGTCATTCAGGAGCAGGTTGTTCAGTTTCCATGTAGGTATGTGGTTTTGAATGAGTTTCTTAATCCTGAGTTCTAGTTTGATAGCACTGTGGTCTGAGGGACAGTTTGTTGTGATTTCTGTTGTTTTACATTTTCTAAGGAGTGCTTTACTTCCAATTATGTGGTCAATTTTAGAATAAATGCGGTGTGGTGCTGAGAAGAATGTATATTCTGTTGATTTGGGGTGGAGAGTTCTGTAGACGTCTATTAGTTCTGCTTGGTGCAGAGCTGAGTTCAAGCCCTGGATATCCTTGTTAACTTTCTGTCTCGTTGATCTGTCTAATATTGACAGTGAGGTGTTAAAGTCTCCCATTATTATTGTGTGGGAGTCTAAGTCTCTTTGTAGGTCACTACGGACTTGCTTTATGAATGTGGGTGCTCCTGCCTTGGGTGCATATATATTTAGGATAGTTAGCTCTTGTTGAATTGATCCCTTTACCATTATGTAATGGCCTTCTTTGTCTCTTTTGATCTTTGTTGGTTTAAAGTCTGTTTTATCCGAGACTAGGATTGCCACCCCTGTCTTGTTTTGTTTTCTATTTGCTTGGTAGATCTTCTCCATTCCTTTATTTTGAGCCTGTGTGTGTTTCTGCATGTGAGATGGGTCTCCTGAATAGAGCACACTGATGGGTCTTGACTCTTTATCCAATTTGCCAGTCTGTGTCTTTTAATTGGGACATTTAGCCCATTTACTTTTAAGGTTATTATCGTTATGTGTGAATAATCCTGTCATTATGATGTTAGCTAGTTATTTTGCCCGTTAATTGATGCAGTTTCTTCCTAGCACTGATGATCTTTACAATTTGGCATGTTTTTGCAGTGGCTGGTACCAGTTGTTCCTTTCCATGTTTAGTGCTTCCTTTAAGAGCTCTTGTAAGGCAGGACTGGTTGTCACATAATCTCTCAGCATTTGCTTGTCTAAAGGATTTTATTTCTCCTTCACTTATGAAGCTTAATTTGGCTGGTTATGAAATTCTGGGTGAAAATTCTTTTCTTTAAGAATGTTGAATATTGGCCCCCACTCTCTTCTGGCTTGTAGGGTTTCTGCTGAGAGTCCACTGTTAGTCTGATGGGCTTTCCTTTGTGAGTAACACGACCTTTCTCTCTGGCTGCCCTTAACATTTTTTCCTTCATTTCCACCTTGGTGAGTCTGACAGTTATGTGTATTGGGGTTGCTCTTCTCAAGGAGTATCTTTGTGGTGTTCTCTGTATTTCCTGAATTTGAATGTTGGCCTGCCTTGCTAGGTTGGGGAAGTTCTCCTGGATAGTATCCTGAAGAGTGTTTTCCAACTTGGTTCTATTCTCCACATTGCTTTCTGGTACACCTATCAAATGTAGATTTGTTCTTTTCACATAGTCCCATATTTCTTGGAGGTTTTTTCATTACTTTTTACTCTTTTTTCTCTAACTTTGTCTTTTCACTTTATTTCATTAATTTTATCTTCAATCACATATAGGCTTTCTTTCACTTGATTGAATTGGCTATTGAAGCTTGTGGATGTGTCATGAAGTTCTCTTGCCATGGTTTTCATCTCCATCAGGTCATTTAAGGTCTTCTCTACACTGTTTATTCTAGTTAACCATTTATTTAACCCTTTTTCAAGGCTTTTGCTTCCTCAAGATGGGTTAGAACATGCTCCTTTAGCTTAGAGGAGTTTCTTATCACCAACCTTGTGAAGGCTACTTCTGTCAACTCGTCAAAGTCATTCTCCATCCAGCTTTCTTCTGTTGCTGGTGAGGAGCTGCGATCCTTTGGAGGAGAAGAAGCACTCTGGTTTTTAGAATTTTCAGCTTTTCTGTTCTGGTTTCTCCCCATCTTTGTTGTTTTTATCTACGTTTGGTCTTTGATGTCAGTGACCTACAGATGGGGTTTTGTGTAGATGTCCTTTTCAGTGATGTTGGTGCTGTTTCTTTCTGTTTGTTAGCTTTCTTTGTAGCAGTCAGGTCCCTCATCTGCAGTTTTGTTGGAGTTTGCTGGAGGTCCACTCCAGACCTGTTTGCCTGGGAATCACGAGTGGAGGCTGCGGAAAAGCAAATATTTCAGAACAGCAAATATTGCTGCCTGGTCCTTCCTCTGGAAGCTTTGTCCTAGAGGGGCTCCCACCTATATGAGGTGTCTTTCAGCCCCTACTGGGAGAAGTCTCCCAGTTACCCTACATGGGGGTTAGGGACCCACTTGAGGAGGCAGTCTGTCCATTCTCAGAGCTCAAATGCTGTGCTGGGCAAACCACTCCTCTCTTCAGAGCTGTCAGACAGGGACGTTTAAATTTGCAGAATTTGTCTGCTGCCTTTTGTTCAGCTATGCCCTGCCCACAGAGTTGGAGTCTATAGGAGCAGAAGCCTTGCTAAGCTGTGGTGGGCTCTGCCCAGGTTGAGCTTCCTGGCTGCTTTGTTTACCTAGTCAAGCCTTAGCAATGCCAGACGACCCTCCCCCAGCCAGGCTGCCACCTTGCAGGTGGATCTCAGATTGCTGTGCTAGCAGTGAGCAAAGCTCTGTGGATATGGGACCTGCTGAGCCAGGCACGGGAGAGAATCTCCTTGTTTGCTGGTTGCTAAGACCTTGGGAAAAGTGCAATATTTGGGTGGGAGTGTCCCTTTTTTCAGGTACAGTCTGTCACAGCTTGTCTTGGCTAGGAGAGGGAAATCCCCTGACCCTTTGCACTTCCTGGGTGAGGTGATGCCCCACCCTGCTTTGGCTCACCCTCCATGGGCTGCACCCACTGTCCAAGCAGTCCCAATGAGATGAACCAGGTACCTCAGTTGGAAATGCAGAAATCACCTGTCTTCTGCATCGATCACGCTGGGAGCTGCAGACCGGAGGTGTTCCCATTTGGCCATCTTGTAACAGATCTATTTTTGATTTTTTGAGGAACCTCCAAACTAATGTACATTTTTACATTCTCACCAACAGTGTATAAAGGTCCCCTTTTCTCCACATCCTTGCTAGCACTTGTTATTGCCTGTCTTTTGGATATAAGCTGTTTTACTGGAGTGAGATGATGTCTCATTGCAGTTTTGATTTACATTTCTCTAATAATCAATGATGTTGAACACCTTTTCATATGCCTGTTTGCCATTTTTATGTCATTTCTTGAGAAATGTCATTTCAGATATTTTGCTTGTTTTTAAATCAGATTATTATTATTTTTTTCCTATAGAGTTGTTTGATCTCCTTATATATACTCTGGTTATTGATCTCTTGTCAGATAGGTACTTTACAAATATTTTCTCCCATTCTGTGGATTATCTCCTCACTTTGTTGATTGTCTCCTTTGCTGTGCACAAGCTTTTTAACTTGAAGTAATCCCATTTGTCCATTTTTGCTTTGGTTGCCTGTGCTTGTGGGGTATTACTTAAAAATTTTTGCCCAAACTAATATCCTGGAAAGTTTCCCTGAGGTTTTTTTTGTAGTAGTTTCATAGTGTGACTTCTTAGATTTAAGTCTTAGATACATTTTTATTTCATTTTTGTATATGGAAGCAGATAGTGGTCTAGTTTCATTTTTCTGCATATGAATATCCAGTTTTCCCCAACACCATTTATTGAAGAGATTGTCTTTTCCCTAGTGTATATTCTTGGTACCTTTGTCAAAAATGAGTCCACTGTAGCTGTGTGGATTTGTTTCTGGGTACTCTATTCTGTTTCATTGGTTGATGTGTCTGTTTTTTATGTCATTATCATGCTGTTTGGTTATGTGGATCTGTAGTATAATTTGAAGTCAGGTAATGTGATTCCTCCATGTTTTTTTTTTTTTTAACAGAATCTCACTCTGCCACCCAGGCTGGAGTGCAGTGGGGAGATCTTGGCTCACTTCAACCTCCCCTCCTGAGTTCAAGCAATTCTCCTGTCTTAGCCTCTTGAATAACTGGGATTACAGGCACACACCACCATGCACAGCTAATTTTTTGTACTTTTAGTAGAGATGAGGTTTCACCATGTTGGCCAAGCTGGTCTTGCACTCCTGACCTCAAGTGATCCACCTGCCTTGGCCTCCCCATGTACTGCAATTACAGGCATGAGCTACCACATCCAGTCCAGTTTTTGTTTTTTCTTTTTGCTTATGATAGTTTTGGCTATTTAGGGTCTTTTGTGAATTCATGTAAATTTTAGGATTGTTTTTTCTATTTCTGTAAAGAATGCTGTTGGTATTTTGATAGAGATTGCATTGAATCTGTAGATTGCTTTGGGTAGTATGGACATTTTAACAATATTTATGCTTCCAATCCATAAACATGGAATATCTTTCCATTTTTTTGGTGTTGTCTTCAACTTCTTCCATCAGTTTTTATAGTTTTCATTATAGAGATCTTTCACTTCTTAGGTTAAGTTAATTCCTTGGTATTTAGTTTTACTTGTGGCTATTGTAAATGTGATTAACTTTTGGTTCTTTTTCACTTTGTTCACTGTTGGCATCTAGAAATGTTACTGATTTTTAGATGTTGATTTTGTATCCTGCAACTTTGTTGTATTTCTTTATCAATTCTAAGAGTTTTTTTTTTTTGGTGTGTTCTTTAGGTTTTTCCAAATATAAGATCATATCATCTGTAAAAGAGGATAATTTGACCACTTTCAGTGCAACTTTGAATGCCCTTTATATTTTTCTCTTGTCTGGTTGCTCTAGCTAGGACTTCTAGTACTATTCTGAACAATGGTGACAGTGGCATCCTTGTCATGTTCCAGATCTTAGATGAAAGGCTTTCAGTGTTTCACCATTCAGTATGACACTAGCTATGGGTCTGTCACATACAGCTTTTATTATGCTGAAGCATGTTCTTTCTAACCACATTTATTGAGGGTTTTTATCATTCAAGATGCTGAATTTTATCAAGTACCTTTTCAAGCATCACTTGAAATGATCATATGGTTTTTGTCCTTCATTCTGTTGACATGATGTATCACATTGATTTGTGTATGTGGAACCATCCTTGCATTCCAGGAATAAATCCCACTAAGTCATAATACATGATCTTTTCAATATATTGTTGAATTCAGATTGGTACCTTTTATTGAGAATTTTTGCATTAATGTTCATCATGGATATTGGCCTGTAGTTCTCTTTTTTTGATGTGTCTTTGTCTGGTTTTGGTATAAAGGTAATATTAGCCCCATATAATTAGTTTGGAACTAGGCCATCCTCCTCTATTTTATTTGGAATAATTTGAATAGGATTGGTATTCATTATTCTGTGAATTTTTGGTAGAATTCAGAATTGAAGTCTTTGGGTTCTGGGCTATTCTTTACTGGAAGAATTTTTATTACAGTTTCAATCTTGTTACTTGCTATTAGTCTATTCATCTTTTGGATTTCTTTCCAGTTCAATCTTGGTACATTGTGTGTGTCTAGGAATTTGTTCATTTCTCTAAATTTTCCAACTTATTGGCATATAGTTGCTCATGCTAGCCACTGATGATTTCTGTGGTATCAGATGTTATGTCTCTTTTTTTCATCTCTGATTTTACTTATTTGGATCTTTTTTTTTATTAGTCTGGCTAAAGGTTTGTTGATTTTGTTTAACTTTTCAGAAAAACAACTTTTGGTTTCATTGATCTTCTGTAATGCTTTCTTCATTTCAATTTCATTTATTGCTGTTCTGATCTTTTGTATTTCTTTTATTCTACTAATTTTGGATTTGACTATCTTGCTTTTCTAGTCTTTAAGATGCATCATTAGATTGTTATTTGAAGTTTTTTTTTCTTTTTGGTGTAGGCAATTATAGTTATACACTTTCCCCTTGGTACTGCTTTTGCTGTACTCCATAGAGTTTGGTATGTTGTGTTTCCACCATTATTTGTTTCAAGAAATTTTTAAATTTCCTTCTTAATGTTTTCTTTGACCTACTGATCACTCAGGAGCATATTGTTTCATTTCCCCATATTTGTATAGTTTCCAAAATTCTGCTTGTTATTACTTTCTAGTTTTATTCTATTGTGGTCAGAGAAGATGCTTGATGTTGTTTATTTATTTTTGAATGTTTAAAGACTTGTTTTGTGACCTCACATATAATCTATCTTTGAGAATGGTCTACATGCTAAGGAAAATAATGTGTATTCTGCAGCTGCTGAATGAAATCTTCTGTAAATGTCTATTATGTTCATTAGGTCTCTAGTACAGATTAAGTCCAATGTTGCTTTGTTGATTTTCTGTCTTGAAGATCTGTCAAATGCTGAAAGTGAGGTGTTGAAGTCTACAGCTATTAGTATATTGGAGTCTATCTCTCATTAGCTCTAATAATGTATGCTTTATGTTTCTGGGTGCTCCAATGTTAGGTGAATATATATTTAAAATTGTTATATCCTCTTGTTGAATTGGCCCCTTTATCATTATGTAGGGTTCTTCTTTGTCTCTTCTTATATTTTTTGTCTTAAAATCTACTTAGTCTGATATAAGTATAGCTACTCCTGCTCATTTTCTGGTTTCCATTGGCATGGAACATCTTTTTCCATTCTTTTATTATCAGTGGATGTGTGTCTTTACATGTGAAGTATGTTTCTTATAGGCAACAGATCAATGACTCTTGTTTTTTAATTCATTCAGTCACTCTCTACCCCTCTCTATCTTTTGATTGGAGAGTTTAGTCAATTTAGATTCAGTGTTATTATTGATAAGCAGGGGCTTACTCTTGCCATTTTTTTTATTTGTCTTCTGGTTGTTTTGTGTTGTTCTCTTCTTTCTTTCCTGTCTTCCTTTCAGTGAAGGTGCTTTTCTCTGGTGATATGATTTAGTTCCTTGCTTTTTATTTCTTGTGTAACTGCTGTATGTTTCTTTGGTTTGAAGTGACCATGAGGCTTGCAAACACTATCTTATAACCCATTATTTTCAGCTGATAACAACTTAACACTATTTACATGAACAAACAAACAGCAAAAAGGAAACTAAGAAAGACCCTATTCCTTAACTTTGCTCCTCTGCTTTTTAACTTTTGTTGTTTCTCTTTATATTTTATTGTACTATGTCTTGAAAAATTGCGGTTATTGTTTTTTATTGATTTATCATTTAGTCTTTCTACATAGATAAAATTAGTTTACACACCACTGTTACAGTGTCATAATATTCTGTGTACTTACTATTACCAGTGAATTTTGTACCTTCGGATGATTTCTTATTGCTCAATAAAGTATTTTACTTTCTGATTGAAATACTCCCTTTAGCATTTCTTGTAGGACCGGTCTGGTATTGATGAAATCCCTAAGCTTTTTTTGTCTGAAAAGTCTTTATTTTTCCTTCGTGTTTGAAGGATATTTTCACCAGATGTACTATTCTAGGGTGAAGGTTTTATTTTTTCCTTGAGCAGTCATACGTCATTCTACCCCTGGCCCGTAAGATTTCCATTGCAACGTCTGCTGCCAGACATATTGGTGCTCCTTTGTATATTATCAGTTTCTGTTCTCTCGACCCTTTTAGGATTTCTTCTTTATCTTTGACCTTTGGGAGTTTGATTATTAAATGCCTTCAGATGGTCTTCTTTGGGTTAAATCTGCTTAGCGTTCTATAACCTTCTTGTACTTGGATATTGACATATTTCTCTAGCTTGTATAATTTCTCTGTTATTATCCCTTTGAATAAACTTTCTACCCAAAGAGTAGAGTTCTCTACTTACTTAGATTTCCCCTTTTGAGGCCATTTTCTAGATCCTGTGTGTGTGCTTCACTGTTTTTTATTCTTTTTGCTTTTGTCTCCTATGACTGTACATTTTCAAATAACCTGTCTTCAAGCTCACCAACTCTTTTTTCTGCTTGATCAATTCTGTTATGAAAATACTCTGATGCATTCTTCAGTATGCCAATTGCATTTTTCAGCTTCAGAATTTCTGCATGATTCTTATTTTTAATCTCTTCATTTAATTTATCTGGTAGAATTCTGAATTCCTTCTATGTTTTCTTAAACTTCTTTGAGTTTCCTCAACATAGCTATTTTGAATTCTCTGTCTGAAAGGTTACATATCTCTGTTTCTCCAGGATTGGCCCCTGGTGTCTTATTTAGTTCATTTGGTGAGATTATGTTTTCTTGAAAAAAAATTTTTTTTTGACAGAGTCTCACTCTGTCACCCAGGTTGGAGAAGAATGGTGCAATCTTGTCTTACTGCAGATTCCCCACCCTGGGTTCAAGTGATTCTCCCACCTCAGCCTCCAGAGTAGCTGGGATTACAGGTGCCCATCACCACACCTGGCTAATTTTTGTATTTTTAGTAGAGACGAGGTTTCACCATCTTGGCCAGGGAGGTCTCAAACTCCTGACCTCAAGTGATCCACCAGCCTTGGCCTTCCAAAGTGCTGGGATTACAGGCATGAGCCACTGCACCCAGCCTTTCTGAAATATCTTGATACTTGTAGATGTTAATTTATATCTGGGCATTGAAGAGTTGGGTATTTATTGTAGTCTTTTCAGCCTGAGCTTGGTTTTATCCATTCTTCTCGAGAAGGCTTCCCAGATATTCAAAATGACTTGGGTCTGTGATTCATGCTCTATCTGCTTCAGGGGGCACCCCAAGCTCAATAACACTGTGGTTCTTGCAGACTTGTAGACGTACTGCCTTGATGGTCTTGGACGAGGTCCAGGAGAATTATTTGGATTACTAGGTAGAAACCTTATTTTCTTTTCTTACTTTCTCCCAAATGAATTAAGTCACTCTCTCTCTTCTGAGTCACCTAGGACTTGGGATGGAGTAATATGAACATTCCCGTAGTCACCACCACTATGTCTATACTGGGTCAGACTTGAAGCTAGCACAGCACTGTCTCTCTCATCCAAGGCCATCTGAAAAAACTCCCTGGTTATGGCCTATGTTCACTCAAGGCCCTGGGGCTCTATAACCAGCAAGTGGCAAAGTCAGTCAGGCTTATGTCCTTCCCTTCAGGATGGTGAGTTCCCCTAGGCCCCAGGTGTGTCCAGAGGTGTTATCAGGAGCCAGGGACTACAGTCAATAACCTTAGAAGTCTGCCTTGTGTTCTTTTGTACTGCAACTGAGCTGACACTCAAGCCACAAGATGCAGTTCTTCCTACTCTTTACCCTCTCCTTTCCAAAGGTAAAGGAGCCTCATCCTTTGGCCACTGTCACTGCAGATGCAGGACCACTGCCAGACTACCACCAATATTCCTTCAAGACCCAGGGGCTCTTGACTCAACTGATGGTGAATGCTGTCTGGCTTAGGACTCACACTTCAGGGTAATGGGCCTCTCTCTCGCCCAGGGCAGGCCCAGAAATGCCATCCAAGAGCCAAGTCCTGGAATCAGGGACCCAAAAATCTTGCTTGGTGCTTTACTCTACTGCGGCCATGCTGGTATCTTTGACACAAGTCAACGTCTCCTTTACTTTTCCCTCCACTTTTCTGAAATGGAGGGACTCTTGCCCCATATCTGCCTCAGCTGGGAATGTGCTGATTCTCACCTGAAGTCAGCTAGTCTGACAGTCTCATCCAAGGCTCTTGAGATAGTACCTGGATATTTCTGCTGATTATTCTGGACTCAAGGGCTCTTCAGTTAACAGGTGATAAATCCTGCCTGGACTGGGGTTTTCTTTTCAAGACAGCAATTTTCCTTCTAGCCCAGGGTGTGTCTGGAAATGCCATCTGGGAACTAGGTCCTGGAAAGGGGGCCTCACATCTCTGATTGGTACCATATCTGGCTGTGACTGAACTGGTATCCAAAATGCAAGACAAAGTCCTCACCACTTCTCCCTCTCCTCTCCTCAAGCAGAGGGAAGAGGTCTCTTTTAGAGCCTGAAGTTAGAAGATGGAGTGACTTAACAGTGTATTTTGAAAACACCAGTTTTTAATTTGATGAAGACTAGTTTATTGCTTTTATTTCCTTGATGGTTTGTGTGTGTGTTTGTGTTTTAGGAAATCTGCCTAATCCAATATTCAATAATAATCTCTCTTAGGTCTTCTTTTAGAAGTTTTTAGGTTGAAATTTTATGTTTAGTTCTATGATCATTTTTTTACACTTAATTTTTGTGTATGGTATGATGTAAAGATAAAGACTCCCTTTTGCTCCCTCATATATCCATCTGTTTCAGCACCACCAGTCATTGAAAAAGTCTACCTTTACACCGTTAAATTATTTTGGGACCTTTTGTGAATATCCATTAGCTACATATTGATAGATCCATTTATGAACACTCTATTCTGTTTTTGTTGATCTATATGTCTATGCTTAATAAAATATTACATTGCTCCAATTACCAGAGCTTTATAATAAGTCTTGAAGTCAGATAATATAAATGCTCCAACTTTGTTCTTTTTCAAAAAGGACTTGGTTAATCTAGGTACATTGCATTTCTATATAAATTTTAGAATTACCTTTCAATTACTACTGAAAAGCAAAACAACTAAAGCAACCAAAAAAAAACCCAATATTAAAAAACATTTTTTCTGGGATTTTTGAATAAGATCATATTGAATCTACATATCAATTTGTGAACTGACGTATTAACAATCTTCAATATCTCTTTTTTTATTTCCATAGGTTTTTGGGGAACAGGTGGTATCTGGTTACATGAGTAAGTTCTTTAGTGGTGATTTGTGAGATTTTAGTCACCCATCTCTTGAGCAGTATACACCAAACCCAATTTGTAGGTATAATTCTTCATCTGTTTAGGTACTCTTTAAGTTCTCTTAGCAATGTTTTGTAGCTTTCAGTGCACAGGCCTTGCACATGTTTTCTTAAATTTATCCCTAAACTTTTGAATGCTATTATAATATATGTATTTTTTCAAATTTTATTTTCCCATCTTTCTTTGTTAGTATACAGCACATAATTGATTTTCCATATTTACTATGTATTTTGTGACCTTGTTAGTACTAGTATTCCTTTTGTAGGTTTCTTATAATTTTCAATGTTTATTATCATGTCACTGAAGAGAGACAATTATTAATTATCAAATGCAAATATTCAGATCATTTACATTTAATGTAATTTTCTATATTATTGGATTTAAATCTGCGGTTTATTTCTTTTTTCTTTTGTTCTATGTTTTGCCTATTATTTTGTCCCTCTTTTCCTCTTTCATTGTCTTTTTACAGATTGAGTGATTTTTTAGTGCTTCATTTTACCTTCTCTGTTGCCTTATTAGTTACACCTCTTTAGTCTATTTAGTGGTTATTCTAGTGTTTACAGTATGCATTTTAAGTTATCACGGTCACTTAATATTATACTACTTCTTAGTCAGATTTTTCACAAATTACTTTTTTAATCCTTTATTTTACTTAACCATTTATCATTATTTGTCAAAGGTTATCAGATGATTGCAACGATTGAATTAATTTATTAATTCTTTTTAAAAAATGAATTGCTCAATCTTTAATGTTTTGCTTTTCTTTCACTATTTGTCTTTGTGTTTGTATCCTGTATACACAATCACCTCTTCCTGTGGGTCTCTTTATTTTCTAGGATGAGTCACCGTCATTCCTAATGGGCTTTATCTAATCTCTTTCTGAAGTTCTGCAGAGGTTAACTTAAGCATCTTCACAAGCAAGTTTATTTCAGAGATCAGCTGCTCATACTGTGAAGAAGAGGTATTACTGAGGGTAGTCTTCAGCCAGGCTTTGTTTGCTCCTGTTCAGATAAAGGGTACCTACCCATTTTTGAATTACTTTATTTCTCTATTTATTTGATTACTGAAAAAGCTGCTACTGGGTTTGTTGAGGGTGAGATCCTTGCAAAGTGGGTTATTTTTTAAATTGGTCCCTGAGGAACATTGAGGAGGTTTCTTAAACCTCTCTGATGTTGAACATAACTCTGTATAGTATGAAATTTACCATATTCACTTCTGCTTAGAAGAAACTTTCAGCTGATGTTGTCTTTAAAACAAAATGTCAAATTCTGTTTGAAGACATGAAGATAGAAGCCCCTTGTGTCTTAACTTTAGTGTAATTTATTGTTATGTGAAAGTGGTAATTTGAAAGAAGATAGTGCTGAGTTAAATAATTCAACATTGTTGAAAAGTGTTTTTTTAATTGACATAACCTTTGAATTTTTGTATTTTACATATTCATTTCATCATATAGCGAAAATTAACCTACATGGTCTTCTTGTATTATCAAGTGGATTTGAAATTTAACACCTTAGCTAGGTAGCCTTGGGATATAATTTAAATCCTCTGTTCTTTAGTTTCTTCATCTCTACAACAGTGATAATGATAGCACCTACCCCATAAGATTGTTCTGAAAATTAAATGAATTTATTATACATAAGGTGCTTGGAAGAATGCTTGACTTGTAATTATTACTCAATATTTGTTAACTGCTATTACCTCATCTAATATTATTTTAAAACTATTCTTTAGTGAGCAAGATAAGAGAAAATAGAAAACAAAAACAAAACAGAAAAAATTTAATGTAGGATATGAACAGACACTTCTCAAAAGAAAACATTTATGTAGCCAACAAACATATGAGAAAAGCTAATCATCCCTTGTCATTAGAGAAATGCAAATCAAAACCACAATGGGATACCATCTCATGCCAGTTAGAATGGCGATTATTAAAAAGTCAGGGAACAACACATGCTGGCCAGGTTGTGGAGGATGTGGAGAAATAGGAATGATTTTACACTGTTGGTGGGAGTGTAAATTAGTTCAACCATTGTGGAAGACAGTGTGGCGACTGTTCAAGGATCTAGAACCAGAAATACCACTTGACCCAGCAATCCCATTACTGGGTATATACCCAAAGGATTATAAGGCATTCTACTATAAAGATACATGCACACATACATTTATTGCAGCACTATTCACAATAGCAAAGACTTGGAACCAACCCAAATGTCCATCAAAGATAGAGTGGTTAAAGAAATTGTGGCACATATACACCACGGAACACTATGAATCCATAAAAAAGAATGAGTTCATGTCCTCTGCAGGGACATGGATAAAGCTGGAAACCACCATTCTCAGCAAACTAACACAGGAACAGAAAGCCGAACACTGCATGTTCTCATAAGTGGGAGTTGAACAATGAGAACACATGAACACAGGGAGGGGAACAACACACACTGGGGCCTGTTGGGGGTTGTGGGGAGCATTAGGACAAATAGCTAATGCATGCGGGGCTTAAAACCTAGATGATGGGTTGACAGGTGCAGCAAACCACCATGGCACATGTGTACCTGTGTAACAAACCTGCATATTCTGCACACATATCCCAGAACCCAAAATAAAAGAAAAAAATGTAATCTATCCAGTTAAGGGAATGAAAATGATCAATAATGGAATTTGGTAGAGTATTTCCCAGAAAAGACAGAGAATACATACAAGATTGTTCTGCTTAATGGAGAAAGCCTATAACATTATCTTTTAAAAACAGCAATGACAACAACAACAGCAGGAATCCAAAACCAAGCCGTCCCATTGGGAAGCTCAAGTTATTAATAGTTGAAAGTCAGTTTGGATTTTCTTTTTGAAAAAAAATCTTTCCCAATATTTGATGTTTGCTTATTTTCATTACAGTTACACAATGTGATATTTATTTGCTTTTTAAGCAAGTAATAGGAAAACAAGGAGTATTGAGTTTATACTTATCTCTGCTACATCAGCTTTTTCCCATTTTCTTTTATTTAGAATTTATAGTAAACTCATCAAATAACATCATTTTTGGTTTGCCACCGCTTGTATTGTTATGTTTGTTTTTTATTTTTCATAGAATGAGAGTTTGAGCTACACATTCAATTTCATTGATAGTAAACTTCCTCTTGTCTGGATGATGTCTTTGTGGGTTTTGTAATGTTAACCATTCATGATGAAAATGATGTAAGCTTTCCTCTACTCTCTACAAAAAACTAGAGATAGACTCAATTTGAGACAGTCCAGTGTAATGATTAGATGATTACTAGAGTCCATGTAAGTTTAATATTTGCATTTGATATATTAGGCTTATTTGGTTGTATGATTAGTAGATTTTTGCTTTAAAATTATTAATCATGTTATAGTAACATTTATAATGAATGCTACAGTTTGAATGTGTTCTCTAAAGCCCATTTTTTGAAAACTTAATCTCCAATGCATCAGGGTTGAGAAGAAGGACCTTTAAGAGGTGATTAGATCTCGAGGGCTCATCGCAGTCAGCAAGGAGTGGGTTTGTTATAAAAGTGAGTTCGGTTCTGTGTGCCCTCTTCCCTTCTACTTCCACCATGGAAGATGTAGCAAGAAGGCCTTCTTAAGATGCAGAACCCTTAACATTACACCTTCCAGCCTAAATTACCCAGTTTCAGGTATTCTGTTACAGAAGAACGAAAGAGGTTAAGACAGGAGTGTACTAAAAGTTAAATGAAATACCTAGGTGTAAGTTTGTAATATAATTGAAGGCTATGTTTGATCACTAATCTAGCCTCGCTACACTTAAGTACTTATTTTTACACCTCAACTAACTCCAGAAAGGTTTTGCAGATCTTAGCTGCTTAAGTAGATATAAATATGACAGAATCATTCAAAAATGAATTAAAGGGTAAAAAATAAGTATTGAATTGGGAGTTAAGAGTACTGGAAAACTTTGGTTAAGAATACTGCTTTGAAGTATGAAAGTAAGCTCTGAGTTTTCTAATAAATGAAGCATATAAGTATTCAGGAGAGACAAACATTTTTTATGTCATATTTTAAGAGAAATTTACTGTGGAACTTTTTCATACATATTCATATTAGCTGTTATTTTGTAGAAGACAGAGAAATATTCATTATACTACCCTCTGACCCTCCTGATTTTTGGCAAAAGTTTTACTGAAATGTAACACACATAAAGAAAAAGTCATATATGAGCAAATCATAAGTATAAAGCTCAATGAATTTTCAAAAAGTGGTGAATCTTTTTACTCTCAATATGATGTTTGTGAGATTTATTCATGTTTTTTGAGTGTAGTTGTAGATCACAAATATTTATTTCTTTGTAGTTTTCTATTATGTGAATACAACACAGTTTATCCATTTTATTGTTAATGACATTCAGGTAGTTTCCAATTTTTGCTTATTATAAATGTGCTGCTATAGACATGTTTATAGATGTCTTTTTGTGGTATATGTATACAATTCTGTTGGGTATATACCTAAGCGTAACATTACACTATAGAGTATACAAGCATACACTTAAAATTTTTTTTCTTTATTTCTTCTAAAAAAAAAACCTGGAATACATGTGCAGAACATGCAGGTTTGTCACATAGGTATATGTGTGCCATTGTGGTTTGCTGCACCTATCGACCTGTCCTCTAAGTTCCCTCCCCTCGCTCCCACCCTCAACAGGCCCTGGTGTGTGTTGTTCCTTCTCTCTGTGTCCATGTGTTCTCATTGTTCAACTTCCACTTATGAGTGGGAACATGCAGTGTTTGGCTTTCTGTTCCTGTATTAGTTTGCTGAGGATGACAGCTTTCAGCTTCATCCATGTCCCTGTAAAGGACATGATCTCATTCCTTTTTATGGCTGCATAGTATTCCATGTTGTATATGTATCACATTTTCTTTATACAGTCTATCATTGATGGGTATTTTGATGGGTTCCATGTCTTTGCTATTGTAAATAGTGCTGCTATAAACATACTTATGCATGTGTCTTTATAGTAGAATAATTTATATTTCTTTGGGTATATACCCAGTAATGGGATGGCTGGTTCAAATGGTATTTCTGGTTCTAGATCCTTGAGGAATCATCACACTATCTTCCTCAATGGTTGAACTAGTTTACATTCCCACCAACAGTGTAAAAGCATTCCTATTTCTCCACGGCCCTGCCAGCATCTGTTGTTTCTTAACTTTTTAATAATTGCCATTCTGACTGGCATGAGATGGTATCTCATTGTGAGTTTGATTTGCATTTCTCTGATGATCAGCAATGTTGAGCTTTTTTTCCCATGTTCGTTGTCCATGTAAATGTCTTCTTTTGAGAAGCATCTGTTCATGTCCTTTGCCCATTTTTTCTTGGGATTGTTTGCTTTTTTCTTGTAAGTTTGTTTAAGTTTCTTGTAAATTCTTGATATTAGCCCTTTGTCAGATGGATAGATGGCAAAAATTTTCTCCTATTCTATAGGTTTCCTGTTTACTCTGGTGATAGTTTCTTTTGGTGCAGAAGCTCTTTAGTTTAATTAGATTCCATTGGTCAGTTTTTGTTTTTGTTGCAATTGCTTTTGACATTTTCATCATGAAGTCTTTGCCCAAGACTATGTCCTGAATGGTATTGCCTATGTTTTCTTCTAGGGTTTTTATGGTTTTGGGTTTTTTTTAAACTTATTTTTTATTTTTTAATTTTACTTTAGGTTCTGGGATACACATGCAGAATGTGCAGTTTTGTTATATAGGTATACACGTGCCATGGTGGCTTAGTGCACCCATCAACCCATCACCTGCATTAGGTATTTCTCCTAATGCTCTCCCTCCCCTACCTCCCCCCACCCCCTGACAGGCCCCGGTGTGTGATCTTCCCCTCCCTGTGTCCATGTGTTCTCATTGTTCAACTTCCACTTAATGAGTGAGAACATGCAGTGTTTGGTTTTCTGTTCTTCTGATAGTTTGCTGAGAATGATGGTTTCCAGCTTCATCCAAGTCCCTGAAAAGGACATGAACTCATCCCTTTTTATGGCTACATAGTATTCCATGGTGTATATGTGCCACATTTTCTTTATCCAGTCTATCATTGATGGAAATTTGGGTTGGTTCCAAGTCTTTGATATTTTGAATAGTGCCATAGTAAACATATGTATACATGTGTCTTTATCATAGCATGATTTATAATCCTTTGGGTATATGTCCAGTAATGGGATTGCTGGGTCAAATGGTATTTCTGGTTATAGATCCTTGAGGAATCACCACACTGTCTTTCACAATGGTTGAACTAATTTACTCTCCCACCAACAGTGTAAAAACATTCCCATTTCTCCACATCCTCACCAGCATCTGTTGTTTCCTGACTTTTTAATAATCACCATTCAAACTGGCATGAGATGGTATCCCATTGTGGTTTTGATTTTCATTTCTCTAATGGCCAGGAATGATGAACATTTTTTCATAAATGTTTCATAAATGTTTGTTGGCTGCATAAATGTCTTTTTTTTTGAGAAGTGTCTGTTCATATCCTTTGTCCACTTTTTGATGGGGTTGTATTTTTCCTGTAAACTTGTTTAAGTTCTTTGTAGGTTCTGGATATTAGCCGTTTGTCAGATGGATAGATTGCAAAAGCAATGACAACAAAAGCCAAAATTGACAAATGAGGCCTAATTAAACTAAAGAGATTCTGCAGAGCAAAAGAAACTATCATCATAGTGAACAGGCAACCTACCGAATGGGAGAAAATTTTTGAAATCTATGGTTTTGGGTTTTATATTTAAGTCTTTAATCCATCTTGAGTTAATTTTTGTATGAGGTGTAAGGAAGGGGTCCAGTTTCAGTTTTCTGCATATGGCTAGCAAATTTCCCTAGCACCATATATTGAATAGAATATCCTTTCCCCATTATTTGTTTTTGTCAGGTTTGTTGAAGGTCAGATGGTAGTAGATGTGTGGTGTTATTTCTGAGGTCTCTGTTCTGTTCCATTGGTCATTATGTCTGTTTTGGTACCAATGCCATGCTGTTTTGGTTACTGTGGCCTTGTAGTATAGTTTTAAGTCAGGTAGTGTGATGCCTCCATCTTTGTTCTTTTTGCTTAACACTGTCTTGGTTATACGGGGTCTTGTTTGATTCCATATGAAATTTAAAGTAGGTTTTTCTAATTCTGAGAAGAATGTCAATGGTAATTTGATGGGAATAGCATTGAATCTATGAATTACTTTCAGCAGTTTGGCCATTTTCACAATATTGATTCTTCCTATCCATGAGGATGGAATGTTTTTCCATTTGTTTGAGTTCTCTCTGATTTCCTTGGGCAGTGGTTTGTGGTTCTCCTTGAAGAGGTCCTTCACATCCCTTGTTCGCTGTATTTCTAGGTATTTTGTTCTCTTAGCATACACTTTTAATAGATTTTGCCAAGCAGTGTTTCAGTTTATACTTTCCCTAGTAGTGTCGGAGAGTTCTGTTTGCTCCGCATCTTTGCTAACACTTGGTGTTGACAGTCTTTTTCATTTTAGCCATAGTAGATGGTGTGAAGTAGTATCATATGGCAGCTTTAGTTTTTAATTCTCTGATGAGTAATGAAGTTGAATAACCATTAATATGTTTGTGGATCCTATTTTTTGTTACATGTCTGTTCATATTTTGAGCCTAGAGCCACTGTATCCTGAAGTATAGGAGTTCTACTCGATCATAAAGCAAAGCAAATAGTTGAGATATCTGGTATAAATGCAGAAGTTAATATTGTATTTTGAATATTATACAGGCTGATACAAATTTCTATCTAGCAGAGAGCTCATGTTACCCTGGCATGGGCTTCAACTGGGAAAATAACCGAACTTATGAATACCTACATTTTAACAAGAATTGGTTGAAGTTTGGAAAAGGCAACTCCTTAAAGGTCTTAACAAGATAAATTGGCTGAATAATATGCTCCTGATGATAAATGAATTCAATGTTGAGATTTTTTTTCACTCTCAGTCTCAATACTAAAAATTGTCCGCTAAAATGATGATTTTGGCACAGATGATATGAAAATACTCAAGTAGATTGAGACCAAGGACTTCAGTTTATTGAGGTTAATAATGACATAGAGATTTCATAAGATAATCATTTTTTATGCAACATGATTTACTGCTCTTAGTCTACAAATAGCTCTGATGCTTTTTATATTAAATAAATTAACATATGTTAAGTGTATAAAAGAGTGTTTGGCACCTAGTAAGCACTCAGGAAATTTTGATTGCTGTCATTATTAGTATTACATTCTGCTATTTCTTCTCTCACACTTTTTGCTTCCAGGGCTTGAAATTGGGCATAGTTTGTGAACTAATCTTATCTTCCATAACTTAACCTTCTACTGATGCTTTTGACATCTTGTAGGAAAGCAGGTCTATGATGTGCGAGATGATGCTGAGTCCCTCTTTTCTCCCCATCTGTTCTGATCATGTATTCTAGGCTCCCCACAAGACAGGCAAGGCTAGCCTCTGCCTCTTGTCTCTTGCTTGTCTAGCATCTAGTGCAGTTCCTGGCCTTAATAGGAACCCAATAAATGCTTGCTGAAGGTTTGCTATGCTGCATCTCTTACTGTGTCATCTGCTGCACTCAAGATGTGAGTGCATCTCATGGGTTGAAGGTCCTATGGAATGAGTTCAGAGAAACTGTTGGTAGAGTAGGAAAACTAAGGGCTTAAGAGTCAAGAATTTATCTACTTTCTCTAGCTGTGAAATCTTAGGGGAGTTACTTAAACCCTGGGAGTTTCAGTTTCCTCATCAGTGACATGTGAGTAAAGAATTCCAAACTATAAAAGTTGTTGCAAAAATTAGGCATAACTTACACAATATGTCTGTCCATGTAACAAACCTGCACATGTAACCCCTGAATCTAAAAATAATTTTAAAAATGTAATAGCAAATATAAGCATACTTTACTTTAAAAAATGATTAAGTATAACCTACCTGAAGGACCTAATAAGTGTATGCTTCTCAATAAATGGCACTAGGAGGTGGAGCAAGATGACAAAATAGAAGGCTCCTCTGACACTGCCTGCTGCCCCACTGACAAAGACACCTATTTAACAATATCTACACAAGAAAAGCACTTTCATGAGAACTAAAAATCAGGTGAGCTCTCACAATATCTGGTTTTAACTTTATATTGCTGAAATAAGTATTGAAGAGGTAGAGAAAACAGTCTTGAATTGCTGATACCATCCCTTCCCCAACCCTCAGCAGTGATGGAGTGGTGCGGATAGTGTTTCTGGGCACTGGATGAGGGAAAGAACAGCAATTGTGGGGCATTGAACTCAGTACTGTCCTGTTATAGCAGAAAGGAAAACCAGACCAAACTCAACTGACACCCAACTATGGAGGGAGGATTTAAACCAGCGCTGGCCAGAGGGGAATCACTGATCCCAGGAGTCAGACCTTGAGTTTCTGCAAGCCTCACCACAGTGGGATAATGTGCTCTGGAGTTCTAATAAACTTGAAAGGCAGTCTAGGCCACCAGGGCTGCAACTTTTACATGAGTTCTAGTGCTGAACTTGGCCCAGAGACAGTAGACTTATGGGGGCACGCGATCTACCAAGATGCCAGTGAGGGCAGCTAAAGTAGTGCTGGCATCACTCTTTCTGAAACTCCAAGCTGCGTAGCTCTCAGCACCAAAAGAGACACCTTCCTTCTGCTTGAGGAGAGGAGAGGAAAGAGTGAGGAGGACTTTGTCTTGCATCTTGGATACCAGCTGAGCCCTGGCAAAATAGGGCATCAGTCAGAGTCACAATGCCCTCTTTCCAGGACCTAACTCCCAAATGACATCTCTGGACACCCCTAGGCCAGAACGGACCCTGCTGCCATGAAGGAAAGGACCCAGTCCTGGCAGGGTTTATCACCTGCTAACTGAAGAGCCCATGGGCTCCGAATAACCAACAGTGATGCCCAGGTACTATGTCGAGGGCTTTGGGTGAGATTCTCAGACTTGCTGGCTTAAGGTGAGAATTAGCACATCCCCAGCTGTGGTTGCTATGGGGCAATACTCCTTCCCCTTGAGAAAAGTGAAGTGAAAAGTAAATGGAACATTGACTTGCACCTTAGGTACTAGGTCAGCCACAGAGGAGTAGAGCACCAAATGGGCTCTTGGGGTCCCCAGTTCCAAGGCTTGGCTTTTGGACAGCATTTCTGGACCTGCTGTGACCCAGAGAGAAACCCAATTCCTTGAAGGGTGAGTCCCAGACCAGGCAGCATTCACTTCATGTTGACTCAAGAGCTTTTGGACCATGAGGGAACATCAGCAGTCGTCTGGTAGTACTCACCATGGACCTATGGTGGAGGTGTCCATGGGGTGAGACTCCTCTGCCTTTGGAAAAGAGAGAGAAGAGTGTGAAAGACTGCATCTTGTAGTTTGAGTGCCAGCTCAGCTGTAGTACAAAAAGACACCAGGTAGACTTCTAAGATTCCTGACTCTATTCCCTGGTTCCAAGATGCCACCTCTGGACTCGCCTGGGGACTGGGGTAACCTGCCACCCTGAAGCAAAGGACACACACAGCCCTGGGTGGCTTTGCTACCTGCTGATTATAGAGCCCAAGGGCTGTGAGTGAACATAGGTCATAGCCAGGGAGTCATTACAGTAGGCTTGAGGTGAGATTCAGTACTGTGCTGACTTCACGTGTGACCCAGCATAGTCATAATGGGGTGGCCACAGGGGTTCTTCTGTCACTCCATCTTCTGCTCCGTATGGCTCTGCACAGATAGGAAGATTTCATTTGTTTGGGAGAAAATAAAAAAAGAGAACAAGAGTCCCTGTGTGCTAATACAGATAATTTTTCTGGATTTTGTCCAAGACCATCAAGGCCGTATTTGTACAAGTCTGCAAGAAACACAGTGTTACTGAGCTTGAGGTGCCCCCTAAAGCAAATATGACTTAGATCACAACATCTAAGTCGTTTTCAATATCTGGAAACCTTCCCAAGAAGGATGGGTAAAAACAAGCCCAGATTGGGAAGGCTATAATAAATGCCTAACTCTTCAGTGCCCAGACACAGATGAACACCTACAAGTATCAAGATATTTCAAGAAAACATGACCTCACCAAATGAACTAAATGAAGCACTAGGGACCAATCCTGGAGAAACAGATATGGGACCTTTTAGAGAGAATTCAAAGTAGTTGTGTTGAGGAAACTCAAAGAAATTCAATATAACAGAGAAGGAATTCAGAATTCTATCAGATAAATTTAACAAACAGATTAAAATAAAAAGAATCAAACAGAAATTCTGGATCTGAAAAATGCAACTAAAGAATGCTAATACATCAGAGCCTTTGAATAGCAGAATTGGTCAAGCAGAATAAAGAATTAGTGAGCTTGAATGCAGGCTATTAAAATGTACAGTCAGAGGAGACAAAAGAAAAAAGAATAAAAAACTACAACAAAGCACACTACAGGATCTAGAAAATAGCCTGAAAGGGGCAAAACTAAGCGTTCTTCACCCTAAAGAGGAGGTAGAGGAAGATACAGGGGTAAGAAGTTTATTTAAAGTGATAATAAAGAAATTCTCAAACCAAGAGAAAGATATCAATATCCAAGTACAATAAGGTTATAGAACACCAAGCAGATTTAACCCAAAGAAGACAACCTCAAGGCATTTAATAATCCAACTCCCAAAGGTCAAGGAAAAAGAGGATCCTAAAAGCAACAAGAGAAAACACACAACATACAACAGAGCTCCAATAGGTGTGGCAGCAGACTTTGCAGTGGAAACCTTATAGGTCAGGAGAGAGTAGCATAATATATTTAAAGTGCTGAAGGAGGAAAACGTTTGCCCTAGAGTAGGACATCTGGTGAAAATATCCTTCAAACATGAAGGCGAAATAAAAACTTTCCCAGACCAAAAAAAAAAAAAAAAAATACAAAGCCAATCTGAGGGATTTCATTAACACCAGACCTGTCCTGCAAGACATGCTAAAGGGAGTGCTTCAGTCAGAAAGTAAATGACATAAATGAGCAATAAGAAATCATCTGGGCTGGGCGCAGTGGCTCATGCCTGTAATCCCAGCACTTTGGGAGGCTGAGGCAGGTGGATCACAAGATCAGGAGATCGAGACCATCCTGGGTAACATGATGAAAACCCATCTCTACTAAATGTACAAAAAAAAATTAGCCAGGCGTGGAGGCAGGGGCCTGTAGTCCCAGCTGCTCAGGAGACTGAGGCAGGAGAATGGCATGAACCCAGGAGGCAGAGCTTGTGGTGAGGCGAGATCATGCCACTGCAAGCACTCCAGCCTGGGCAACAGAGCAAGACTCTGTCTCAAAAAAAAAAAAAAAAAAAAAAAGAAAAGAAAAGAAAGGAAAAAAAGAAACCGTCTGAAGGTACAAAATTCACTGGTAATAGTAAGTACACAAAAAAACACAAAATATTGTGACACTGTAGCTGTGATGTGTAAACTCTTAGCCTAAGTAGAAAGACTAAATGATGAACCAATCAAAAAGAATAACTATAACAACTTTTCAAGACATAGTAAAAAGAGATAAATAGAAACAACAAAAAGTTAGAAAGTGAAGGAATGAAGTTAAGGCATAGAGTCTTTGTTAGTTTTCTTTTTGTTGTTTGTTTATGCAAACAATGTTATCAACTTAAAATAATGGGTTATAAGATAGCATTCATGAGCCTTATGGTAACCTCAAGCCAAAAAACTTACAACAGATACACAAAAAATGACAGGCAAGAAACTAAATCACAACACCAGAGAAAAATGCCTTCACTAAAAAGAAGATAAGAAAGATAGAAAGAAGATAATACCTCAAAACAAACAGAAAACAAGTAACAAAATGCCAAGAGTAAGTCATTACTTATCAATAATAACATTGAATATACATGGACAAAATTTTCCAATTAAAAAACCTAGAGTAGCTAAATGGATACAAAAAAGAGACCCACTGATCTGTTGCCTTCAATAAAAATATTTCATCTATAAAGAGAAACATACACTGAAAATAACGGATGGAAAAAGATAAGCCATGTCAATGGAAACTAAAAAAGATTTGAAGTAGCTGTACTTATATCAGACAAAATAGATTTCAAGACAAAAACTATAAGAAGAGACAAAGAAGGTCACTATATAATGACAAAGGGTTCAACTCAGCAAGAGGATATAACAATTATAAATATACATGCACCAAACACTGGAGTACCCAGATATATAAATCAAATATTATTAGATTGAGAGAGAGACAGAGAGAGAGGCCTAAATACAATTACAGCTAGAGACTTCAACATCCCACTTTTAGCATTTGACAGATCTTCCAGATAGAAAATCAAGAAACATTGATTTAAGCTGCCCTATAGACCACATGGATTTAATTGATATTTACAGAATCTTTCATCCAGTGGCTGCAGAATACACATTTTTTTCTTCATTACATGGATCATTTTCAAGGATGGACCATATGTTAGGTCATAAAACAAGTATTGAAATATTCAAAAAATTTTAAATACTATCAAGCATCCTCATTGACCAAAACAGAATAAATAATAACAGAAATTAGGGATTTTGAAAACTATACAAATACATAAAAATTAAACAATATGCTTCTTAGTGACTAGTGAGTTGGTGAAGAAATTAAGAATGAAATTGAAAAATTTCTTAAAGCAAATGATAACAGAAACAAAACCTACCAAAATCTATGGGATACAGCAAAAGCAATACTAAGAAGAAAGTTAATAACTGTAAGTGCCTGTATCAAAACAGAGAAAATCTTCAAATAAACAATCTAATAATGCATCTAAAAGAATTAGAAAAGCAAGAGCATGTCAAATCCAAAATTAGTAGAAGACAAGAGACAAAAAAGATCAGAGCAAAAATAAATGAAATTGAAATGCAGACAACAATACAAAAGATCAAGGGAAAAAATGTTGGTTTGTTGAAAAGTTAAACAAAATTGACAAACTTTTAGACGGAGTAAGAAAAAAAGAGAAAATACAAATAAATAAAATTAGAAATGAAAAAGGAGATGTTACTCTGCTTTATTACTCTCCTTAATTACTGCAGAAATTCTCCAGAATTACAGTGGAAATTTAAAGAACTGTTAGTGGTTACGAGGCAACTATATGTCACTAGAAGAAATGGACAAATTCCTGGACACATACAACGTACCAAGATTTAACCAGGAAAAAAAAGATCAAAACCTGAAAAGACCAATAAAAAGTAATGAGATTAAAACCATTATAAAAAGTCTCTTAGTAGAGAAAAGCCCAGAACCTGATTGCTTCACTGCTGAATTCTACCAAACATTTAAAGAAGAACTAATATCAATCCTAATCAAACTATTCAAAAAGTAGAGGAGGAGCAAATACTTTCAAAATCATTCTACAAGGCCAGAAAGCAAACCCTGAAAGCAAACCAGACAAAGACACATAAAAAATGTATCTAATGAATATTGATGCAAAAATCCTCAATGAAATACTACCAAAACCAATTGAAAAACACATTTGAAAAATCGTTCATCATGACCAGGTGGGATTTATCCCTGGGATGCAAGGATGGTTCAACATATGCAACTCAATCAATGTGATACATCCTATTAATGGAATAAAGAATAAAAACCGTATGATCCTTTCAGTGATGCTGAAAACATTTGATAAAATTTAACATCCCTTCATGACAAAAATTCTAAAAAACACTGTGTACAGAAGGAACATACATCAACATAATAAAAGCCATCTATGACAGACCCACAACTAGTACGATACTGAATGGGAAAAAACTCAAAGCCTTTCCTCTAATACCTGAAACATGACAATGAGGCTTGCTGTTACCACTGTTGTTTAACGTAGTACTGGAAGTCCTAGCTATAGCAGTCAGATAAGAGAAAGAAACAAAGGACATCAAAATTGGAATGGAAGAAGTAAAATTATCCTTTTTTGCAGATAATATGATTTTATATTTGGAAAAATCTGAAGACTTGACAAAAAGAACAGATAAACAAATTTAACAAAGTTTCAGACTAAAGAAATCAACATACAAAAACCAGCAGCACTTCTATATGCCAATAATGAAGTGAACAATCTGAAAAAATAAAAAAGTAATCTAATTTACAACACACACATAAAATAAATACACAGGAATTAACTTAATCAAAGAAGTGAAAGAGCTCTATAATGAAAACTGTGAAACACTGATGAAAGAAATTGAAGAGGACACTAAAAAGTTGAAGGATATTTTATGTTCATATATTGGAAGCATGAATATTCTTAAAATGTCCATACTACCCAAAGTGATCCACAGATTCAATGCAATTCCTATCAAAATACCAATGACATTCTTCACAGAAATAGATAAAAGAATCCTAAAATGTATGTAAAACCGGAAACGACCCAGAATAGCTAAAGCTGTCCTAAGCAAAAAGAACGAAAATGGAGGAATCACATTACCTGACTTCAAATTATATTACAAATAATAACCAAAAAAGCCTGGTACTGACATGAAAACAGATACATAGACCAATGAAACAGAGAACTCAGAAACAAATTCAAACACTTTTAGTGAACTTGTTTTCAACAAAGGTGCCAAGAACATACTCTGAAGCAAGACAGTCTCTTCAATAAATGGTGTTGGGAAAATTAGATATCCGCATGCAGAAGAATGAAGCTAGGCCCCTATCTCTAGCCATATGCAGAAATAAAATCAAAATGGATTAAAGTCTTCAATCTAAGGCCTCAAACTGTGAAACTATTATAAGAAAATGTCAGGGCAACTCTCCAGGACACTGGTCTAGGCAAAAATGTCTTGAGCAATACCCAAAAGCACAGGAAACCAAAGCCAAAATGGACAAATGGGCTCACATCAAGTTACAAAGCTTCTTCACAGCAAATGAACCAATCAAGAAAGTGAAGAGACAAGCCATAGAATGGGGCAAAATATTTGCAAACTATCCATCTGACAAGGGGTTAATACAAGGAGCTGAAACAACTCAATAGGAAAAAAAAATCTAATAATTGAATAAAAAAGCCAAAAAATGTAAATAGTTACTTCTTAAAAGAAGACATACAAATGGCAAACAGGCATATAAAAATGTGCTAAACATCATTGATCGTCAGATAAATGCAAATCAAAACTACAATGAGATATCATCTCACCCAGTTAAAATGGCTTATATCCCCCTAAAACAGGCAAAATGCTGGAGGAGATGTGGAGAAAGGGGAACACTTGTACATTGTTGGTGGGAATGTAAATTAGTACAACCACTATGGAGAACAGTTTGGAGCTTCCCAAGAAAACTCAAAATTCAGCTACCATATGATCTAGAAATCCCACTACTTGGTATATCCCCAAAAGAGAGGAAATCAGTATATTGAAGAGATATCTGCACTCCCATGTTCGTTATAGCACTGTTCACAATAGCTAAGATTTAGAAGCAACCTAAGTGTCAGTTGACAGATAAATGGATAAAGAAAATTGGTACATATACACAATGGAGTATCATTCAGTCATAAAAAAGAATGAGACTGTCATTTGCAACAACGTGGACGGAACTGGAGATTATTACATTAAGTGAAATAATCTAGGCACAGAAAGACAATTGTCACATCTTTTCACGTATTTGAGGGATCTAAAAATTAAAGCAGTTGAACTCATGAACATAGAAAGTAAGTAGAAGGATGGTTAACAGAAGCTAGGAAGGGAACTGGGGGTGTGGGGGAAGAGGTGAGGATGAATAATGGGTACAAAAATAATAGAAAGAATGAATAAGACCTACCATTTGATAGCACAACAGGGTGACTATAGTAAATAATAACTTAATTGTACATTTTAAAATAACTAAAAGAGTATAATTGGATTGTTCTTAACACAAAGGATACATGATTGAGAGGATGGATACCCCATTTTTCACAATGTGATTATTATGCATTGCATGCCTGAATCAAAACATTTCATGCACCTCATATATATATACATAACTATGTACTCACTAAAATTAAAAATAAAAACAAACATCACTGGTCATTATCTAATAACACTCGTTTTTGAATTACTGCTCTAATCTCTGCCTTGGTCTGCCCAGGTTCCTTTCTAGTTCACAACTTCAAATTTTTTTTCTCTCCCATTATTTCAATAAGAAGTCAAAGCTCAGATGTCCACAATATTTAACATGACACTAATATCCCTTTGGCTCATTCTTTCTTACACAAAATGTGCATCAGGAAAAGGGACAATCTTTATAACATGGCTATTTCATCCTATCCCACAGGCTTCCCTTATCTATCTGGGAGAGTGTTGTCTTGGCCTGAATCTTTTAATGCAGAATCAAGACAATTAGTGATGAGAAATGGGAAGATGGCTTTAAATAAAAATTATTACCCTGAATATTATTTATTGTCTGTATAGATTAGAAAGTTAATGTCATAGTTTAATGGCTTCATATATGTAAATCTTGTTTCCTAATAAAAATTTTGAGACTCTCATGAATCCAGTAACTATATTGTTTATTTATTTTCCATCATCCCCAGAACCTGGAATGTTGGATTTGTAACAAGCATTAAAAAATACTTGTTGGCTTTAAGTATTAAAAAATATTTATTAAAGATATTGTTTTCAGTAGAATGAAAAAAAATTGATCTATACTGAGGGAGATGGTTTATCTCTTGAACTCATGGGATACCACATTTAAAATGTTTCAAATGCTGTTTGATTCAGGAATTCCAGAAGGTATTTCTGTGCAAGAGAGAACAAATATCAATTCTTCCTTCTACTTTCACTATCCTACCTTTTTTTCTTTACCTGTTTTTTTATAATTTCAATGTCTGAGATGTTTTAAATTTTCCAACATTGCTAGTTTAAAATATGCTTTAAACTATCAGGAGAGTAGAATAAAATTCAGTATTGTTTACTTTTAGGTGTTTTGCCCATACAAACTCAAATGAGATGGAAACATACTTACTCATTGTGAAAAACCATTAAAAAATCCCTATTTTTTTTGTTATGAGTATAACTGGAATTTTTCTGTTTTAAGTTGTACTAAATAGTCATTTTGAGTTAACATAAAAAAATGCAATGCTCACCCAATGGTTACATCAATGCCCGTTAAACATGTGTGAAGTCCTTTCCTGACTGAGGCATCAGCAGTCTTGGGGTCTGTGACAGATTTGGGTTGTCGTCCTTTCTGCAGTCATATATTCTTTATAGTCAGCTGGCAGTGAGGGGAAGAATGAAGTTACATCATAAAGGAAGAAAAATGCTAAGCAGACTATGTAAGTTCCAGATTCCATTTCAAACCATGTGATAATGTAATTCAGGGTCAAAAATACCTGCCCAGAACCTGGAAGAAATACAGGTAGCCTGAAAGAAGATAGCAGTAATAAACTACTTCCACAGGAGGGACCTCTCAGTTTGTCCTTATATAAAGTTATATGAGAAGTCATCATAGTTGCATTTTGTGGAGGCTGTGTTGTTTTTGTGGAGGGTGTGTTGTTTACACTGTGGTCCGAATCATAATATTATCAGGATGCCTAGAGTTTTATATGTAATAATTCATCAGTATCACTTGAAAATCTCAACATTCTGGAGCCACTACTCATAAAATGCAAATATCTAGGACAATTTTAGATTATTATTTTTTTACAAGTTCTAGAAGATAATGCTAGCATAAGTGACGTATAGTTCTCACTAATCCCTATTTGAGCAGGTAGTTTAGGTAACGACACAACTAAAATAATCTTCCATCATTTATTTTTCACCCATTCAACAATTTTTTTGGGTGCCTACTGTGTGCCACAAAGAGTCAGTCTGTGCGTTGTAGTGAGGTTCCAGCTCATTGTGATTATGTTAAAAATGAGGACAACTATTTTGGTTAGTGATATACAAAAGCTAAGTTTTCTCTAATTTTTTCAGAAAGACTTGTTATGTTTTAACATAACACAGCTGCTTAGAAGTGCTCAAAAACTTTTATATTCCTTTAACAAGCAATTGCTATTAGAAGAAACCAGACTAACTGGTTTCTTAGGCTAAGCAGAAGAGTTGAACAGCTTATAGTGTAGCAGGAAAAAAAAAAAGAATGAAGCTTGGTGAATTAGAGTCTATAGGCCTATGGGAAGACACACTGTGTTAGTCTGTTTTCATGCTGTTGATAAAGACATACACAAGACTGGGTAACTTATAAAGAAAAAGAGGTTTAATGGACTCACTGTTCCATGTGGCTGTGGAGGCCTCACAATCATGGTAGAAGGTGAAAGGCATGTTTTATATGGCAGCAGGCAAGAGAAAAATGAGCACCAAGCAAAAGCAGAAACACCTTATAAAAACATCAGATCTCATGAGACTTACTCACTATCATGTGAACAGTATGAAAAAAAAAACAAACCACATGATTCAATTATCTCCCACTTGGTTCCTCCCACAACATGTGGGAATTATGGGAGCCACAATTCAAGATCAGATTTGGGTGGTGACACAGCCAAGCCATATCATTCCATCCCCGGACCCTCCAAAATCTCATGTCCTCACATTTCAAAACCAATCATACCTTCTCAACAGTCCCCAAAGTCTTAACTGATTTCAGCATTGATACAAAAGTCCACAGTCCAAAGTCTCATCCAAGACAAGGCAAATCTCTTCTGCCTATGAGCCTGTAAAATCAAAAGCAAGTTAGTTACTTCCTAGATATAATGGGGGTACAAGCATTGGGTAAATACAGCCATTCCAAATGGGAGAAATTGGCCAGAACAAAGGGGCTACAGGCCCCAAACATGTCCAAAATCCAGCAGGACAGTCAAATCTTAAAGCTCCAAAATGATCTCCTTTGATTCCATGTCTTACATCCAGGTCACGCTGATGCAAGAGGTGGGCTCCTATGGCCTTGGGCAGCTCTGTCCCTGTGGCATTGCAGGGTATAGCCACTCTCCTGGCTGCTTTCACAGGCTGGAGTTGAGTATCTGCAGCTTTTAGAGGCACACAGTGCAAGCTGTCAGTGGATCTACCATTTGGGGTCTGGAGAATGGTGGTCTTCTTCTCACAGCTCCACTTGCAGTGCCCCATTTGGGACTCTGTGTGGAGGCTTCACCCCACATTTCCCCTCTGCACTTCCCTAGCAGAGGTTCTCCATGAGGGCTCAGCCCCTACAGCAGAATTCTGCCTGGACATCCAGGCATTTCCATACATCCTGAAATCTAGGTGGAGGTTCCCAAACCTCAATTCTTGACTTCTAGGCACCCACAGTCTCAAGAACACATGGCAGCTGCCAAGGCTTGGGGCTTGCACCCTCCAAAGCCACAGCCTGAGATGTACCTTGGCCCCTTTTAGCTAAATCTGGAGTGGCTGTGATGCAGGCCACCAAGTCCCTAGGCTTCACACAACAGAAGGGCCCTGGGCCCGGCCCACAAAACCTTCTTTTCCTCATAGGTCTCCAAGTTTGTGATGGGAGGGGCTGCCGTGAAGGTCTTTGACATGCCATGGAAACATTTTCCCCATTGTCTTGGTGATTAACATTCAGCTCCTTGTTATTTATGCAAATTTCTGCATCAGTCTTGAATTTCTCCTCAGAAAATGGGTTTGCTTTTTTATCGCATCATTAGGCTGCAAATTTTCCAATCTTTTATGCTCTGTTTCCCTTTTAAAACTTAATGTTTTTAACACCACCCGAGTCACCTCTTGAATGCTTTGATTCTTAGAAATTTCTTCCACCAAATACCCTAAATTATCTCCCGCAAGTTCAATATTCCACAAATCTCTAGGGAAGGGGCAAAATGCTGCCAGTCTCTTTGCTAAGACATAGCAAGAGTTACCTTTACTCCAGGTCCCAAGAGGTTCCTCATCTCCATCTGCAACCACCTCAGCCTGGATTTCATTGTCCATATCATTATTAGCATTTTGGTCAAAGCCATTCAACAAGTCTCTAAGGAATTCCAAACTTTCCTACATTTTCCTGCCTTCTTCTGAGCCCTCCAAACTATTTTAACCTCTGCCTGTTACCCAGTTCCAAAGTTGCTTCCACATTTTCGGGTATCTTTTCAGCAGCACTGCACTCCTGGTACCAATTTACTGCGTTAGTCCATTTTCGCACTGCTGATAAAGACATACCTGAGACTGGGCAATTTACAAAAGAGAGAGGTTTAATTGACTCACAGTTTCATGTGGCTAGGGAGGCCTCACAATCATGGTGGAAAGTGAAAGTCATGTCTTACATGGTGGCAGATGAAAGAAGAGTGAGAGCCAAGTGAAAGGAATATTCCCTTATAAAATCATCTGATCATGTGAGACTTATTCTCTGTCACAAGAACAGTATGGGGGAAACCGCCCCCATGATTCAGTTATCTCCCACTGGGTCCCACCCACAACATGTGGGAATTGTGGGAGCTACAATTCAAGATGAGATTTGGATGGGGACACAGCCAAATCATATAACACACCAAAACAACCAAGGGTACTTCAGAGAGGCATACATCAGGGACAGCCAAGCCATCAAAGGTAATGTATCAGTTAAAAATGGTATGGTTACTAGGAGGCTTAAATTACATGTGATGAAAAATTTTGCATTTAGATGACAGCACAATAAGATGAACGTAGTTTTTTCCTTTTTTTGCATCATTTCAGCATATGTACAGTTACCTCAGAATAATTCTGAAATAATGTCTTGTATAAAATATAAAAATGTATTGCATTATGACCCCCTCTCCTTTGGCATTTAGCAATGAATGGCTGTGCTTACACTCTACGTCTTTAATTGTAGGGCTGGCAAATGACCTGCCTAATAGTCATGTGACTTAAGCTAGCAGATGCTGTGGCCAAGAGGTTCAACTTATTATTCAGTGACTTCTTGTCATAGAGAACAGCAAGTTAATAAAGTGTTCAAACGCTGTTTGGACACATTTACTATAAAGTATGATGTGAGGGTGATAAAAACATTCCTATTGTAGTACACATGGGCTCTCTATAGACTATTGGGAAATATTTGTTCAGTGTTGCTTATTTTGGAAATATTCACTTCGGTTAAAAGTTATGTACTTAATCACTGTTGTTTTTAAATTTTTTCCTTCTTGACATACTAAGCCATTAGGCTCAATGAAGTTTATTTTTAATTTAAGAAAGCAGAAACTTCAAAGAAAAGAGGGTGGGGTTGCATGTGAGTAACAGAGATGGCCAAGTTGATACAAAAAGTAGCAAAACAGTGTAGAAAAATATCAACATGTCTTGCATAATAAATCACTGAAAATGTGTCAATAAGAGTGAGGCCATCTTACATAGGTACAAACACAGCTAAAATAAATAATATAATAAAATAATATTATTAACAATATGAAAAATCAGTAAATCTTCTAAACCCAACCTATCTCTTAAAAAGAAAACATTATGTGGTAAGGCCTCTAGTGAATGAAAATTTGTACAAATTACAATAAAAATAAAATATTTCTAGTAGTGAGATATTTTCAGTTCTAAAATTTAGTCATCTGGAATTATTTTTAAAGCACCATACTATTAAATCTTTTGAAATAGA
The DNA here is from genome assembly GCF_000001405.40 of Homo sapiens. Taxonomy (NCBI): domain Eukaryota; kingdom Metazoa; phylum Chordata; class Mammalia; order Primates; family Hominidae; genus Homo; species Homo sapiens. The sequence goes on from NC_000005.10 coordinate 43,948,710, forward strand.
GAATATTTTTAATGGGAAATCTGTATGTGATCATAAAGATGGAACACTATGTCCTTGGCCTAGCTGTTCTTGAATTGTAGGCTTAACATATAGTATAGTGGGATTCCAATAAATTTATTTCAGGCATGAAAGCCTGAAGGAATAAACACATACATGTGAATAGAGGAGGGTAACAATGTGATATCCCCTTCTTTCCTAATGAATTCCATATAAGTGATGCCATCAGACTCCTTGTTTTATTATTAGAGTGCTGTGAGAATGGGGTTAGTCAATGAAGGCTGTAATTAGCTATTGGCAAATTAGGCTGTATAATAAGATGCAAAAGAGCTCAGTGGCAAGTTTACAAAATAAAACAGTCTGCCAAGGGATAGTATGTTGCGTATTTTTTCATTCGTAGAAAAGTCATAGACAAAGATTTATTTTAAAAGATGAGTTCAAGTAAACAGTATTTATAATATTGTCTCATTTTACGTTGGCAATATGCTCCGATTACATTTTCTTTTCTAGGTTCTGATACTATTATTTTGGTGTTCCTCAAAGGAGCATGTTCCTAACATCAAGGTTAAGTTTAACAGATTCTTTTCATTTCAAACTCACTTTTGTGGATTGTTTCATTTTGCGAGCATGAGCTTCTTTAATTTCTGTTTTCTTGTTGAGAGAAACTGAGTTTATCATTTCTCACATATCTTCCAGCTTCCTTCTTGAGTTACCAACTATTTGATTCTATTTCATTCTTCTTGGAGATATTCTTTTGGGAACTTCATTTTCTCTTCTAATTTGAACCCGTTCGAGGCTGATATTCAACTAGTACATAGCAGTACAGCAGCACTCATTTTTAAAATAATACGATATTTCTGTATCAGAAAGAAAGTTTTTTTTAATTAACTTTTATTATAGATTAAAAAGTACACATGTAGTCTTGCTAAATGAGTAAATTCCATGACACTGAGGATTGGGGTCCCAATGATTCCATCCCCCAGGTAGTAATCATAGTATCCAAAGGTGGCTCTTCAGACCACTTCTCTCCCTCTCTAATCTAGTGGTCCTAAGTGTCTATTGCTCCCATGTTAATGTTCATGTGTATGCAATGTTATCTCCTACTTATAAGTGAGAACATGTGGTATTTGGTTTTCTGTTCTTATTTTGTTTTGTTTTTTTAAGACAAAGAAATTATGTACTACTCTAAGACTACATGAATCTAATACACAGAGTAAATTTAAAAGGAGGACCCGGGCCGGGCGCAGTGGCTCACGCCTGTAATCCCAGCACTTTGGGAGGCCGAGGCGGGCGGATCACGAGGTCAGGAGATCGAGACCATCCTGGCTAACACGGTGAAACCCCGTCTCTACTAAAAATACAAAAAATTAGCCGGGCGAGGTGGCGGGCGCCTGTAGTCCCAGCTACTCGGGAGGCTGAGGCAGGAGAATGGCGTGAACCCCAGGGGGCGGAGCCTGCAGTGAGCCGAGATTGCGCCACTGCACTCCAGCCTGGGTGACAGCGAGACTCCGTCTCAAAAAAAAAAAAAAAATAAAATAAAATAAAAAAAATAAAAAAAAATAAAAATAAAAGGAGGACCCGAAGTTCAAATATTACTCCAATATTTTTAAAAGGGGACTCTTTTTTTAAGAAGTTTATTCAAGAGGTTAGTAAGTGGTGGTCAGTGCTGGTATGTCTTAGCAAAGATGGACAGTTATTAAGATTAAATCAGAAAGGTGGCATAAGACTTATTAAAACTGAGAACAAGGTGTAGATTTGGTCTCTGGTCGTTGAGTGTGTGGCCCTTCTCAGCTACACACACAGGCAGTGCTTCTCCTCATAGCTTATGGCAGAGATCCTGGTAGAGTTGGAGACTTCAAAGAAGAAAAAGGATTAAAATGGGGAGATAAAATGTTGTGGAAAGAGAATAACTGTTAGAATCTTTATCTGATAGACATCTCTAGAAGTTTCTGGCCTAGCTCTCTTCTTTTTCTCTCCCTAGGAGCCTCATCTTTTTAAGAGACATTTCTAAGACTTGTTATTTTATTTTATCAGTAACATTAAATTCCTTAAAGACTTTGCAGCTGAAAGAATAGAAGGAAGGAGGGAGATTGTATTTTATGAGGGTTACCCATATCTAGGGTATGTATACAGTTGAAATTGAGGATTTTTTAAAGACTACCTAATGGATATTGGTAACTGATATGGTTTGGCTGTGTGCTGACCCAAATCTCATCTTGAACTGTAGCTCATCTAATCCCCACGTGTCATGGGAAGGACCCTGTGGGAGGTAATTAAATCATGGGGGCAGTTACCTCCGTGCTGTTCTCATGATAGTGAGTGAGTTCTCACTAGATCTGATGGTTTTATAAGGGGATCTCCCCCACCTTCACTCTGCACATCTCTTTCTTGCCACCATGTGAAGAAGGACATGTTTGCTTCCCCTTCTGCTATGATTATAAGTTTCCTGAGGCCTCCCCAGCCCTGCAGAACTGTGAGTCAATTAAACCTCTTTCCTTTATAAATTAGGCAGTCTCAGGTATGTCCTCGTAGCAATATGGAAATAGACTAATACAGTAACTAATGCAGTAATTAATACCAAGGCAAAAGAAAAAGTGGGAATTCAAAGCTTTAAAAGCTTAAGCTTGGCCCTGGTTAGGGAAAATTTGCAATGCTTTTCTAGTTCTCACCTTTCTTATCAAACACTTAGGGCAAATTTTAAAGTGATAGTATCATAGAATGTTAAATAATCTTGTCTGGTACACTGAAGTGCAGGGAGTTAAGTAACTTGTCTAAAATCACACAAATATAAAATATAAATGTTTCTGACATAGAGGAGAAAAGAAGAATAGCTACAGAGTTCCAAATATGTTTATCATTCAAATAGAAGTTTGGTCAGAGGCTTTGCCTAACAAGATTTAACAACTTTATTTACATATATTCAAATATTACTGACTTAACTATAAAAGGTTTGTTGTGTGGAAACCGGTCTGAAATTTTTGAAACTTAAATATCTTCTTTAGGATTAAAACAGTCCCATGAAAAAAAATACAAGACAAAACTAGAGAAGAGAATAGCAGGGGTAGTCTAAATGCTTAAATGAAGTACAAATCTTATGATAATTATTTAAAAATTAAATGCTTATGATAGCATTTCCTTATATAAAGAAGCTATTTTGACAAAATCACTCTAGATAATACTGAAAATAATTTTTCAACATAAGATTTTTAAATAGAATTTTTGCTGCAAGAAATAATCATGGCTGAATAAATGTCTTCTTTTGAGAAGTGTCTGTTCATATCCTTGGTCCACTTTTTGATGGCGTTGTTTGTTTTTTTCTTGTAAATTTGTTTGAGTTCATTGTAGATTCTGGATATTAGCCCTTTGTCAGATGAGTAGGTTGCGAAAATTTTCTCCCATTTTATAGGTTGCCTGTTCACTCTGATGGTAGTTTCTTTTGCTGTGCAGAAGTTCTTTAGTTTAATGAGATCCCATTTGTCAATTTTGGCTTTTGTTGCCATTGCTTTTGGTGTTTTAGACATGAAGTCCTTGCCCATGCCTATGTCCTGAATGGTAATGCCTAGGTTTTCTTCTAGGGTTTTTATGGTTTTAGGTCTAACGTTTAAGTCTTTAATTCATCTTGAATTAATTTTTCTATAAGGTGTAAGGAAGGGATCCAGTTTCAGCTTTCTACATATGGCTAGCCAGTTTTCCCAGCACCATTTATTAAATAGGAAATCCTTTCCCCATTGCTTGTTTTTCTCAGGTTTGTCAAAGATCAGATGGTTGTAGATATGCAGCGTTATTTCTGAGGGCTCTGTTATGTCCCATTGATCTATAGCTCTGTTTTGGTACCAGTACCATGATGTTTTGGTTATTGTAGACTTGTAGTATAGTTTGAAGTCAGGTAGCGTGATGCCTCCAGCTTTGTTCTTTTGGCTTAGGATTGACTTGGTGATGTGGGCTCTGTTTTGGTTCCATATGAACTTTAAAGTAGTTTTTTCCAGTTCTGTGAAGAAAGTCATTGGTAGCTTGATGGGGATGGCATTGAATCTATAAATTACCTTGGGCACTATGGCCATTTTCATGATATTGATTCTTCCTACCCATGAGCATGGAATGTTCTTCCATTTGTTTGTATCCTCTTTTATTTCATTGAGCAGTGGTTTGTAGTTCTCCTTGAAAATAAAAAAAAAAAAAAAAAAAAAAAGAAATAATCATGGAACAGGAACAGTTCCAGTTGACAGTTCCCAGTGTGAGTGACGCAGAAGATGGGTGATTTCTGTATTTCCAACTGAAGTAACGGGTTCATCTCACTGGGGAGTGTCAGAAAGTGGGTGCAGGAGAGTGGGTGCAGCACACTGAGCATGAGCCAAAGCAGGGCGAGGCATCACCTCACCCGGGAAGTGCAAGGTTTCAGGGAATTCCCTTTCCTAGTCAAAGAAAGGGGTGACAGATGGCACCTGGAAAATCGTGTCACTCCCACCCTAATAGTGTGCATTTCCAACAGTCTTAGCAAATGGCACACCAGGAGATTATATGCCCTGCCTGGCTCAGAGGGTCCTATGCCCACAGAGCCTCGCTCATTGCTAGCACAGCAGTCTGAAATCAAACTGCAAGGAGGCAGCGAGGTTGGGGGAGGGGAACCCACCATTGCCGAGGCGTGAGTAGGTAAACAAAGTGGCTGGGAAGCTTGAACAGGCTGGAGCCCAGAGCAGCTCAAGGAGGCCAGCCTGCCTCTGTAGATGCCACCTCTGGGGGCAGGGTACAGCCAAACAAAAGGCAGCAGAATCCTCTGCAGACTTATATGTCCCTGTCTGACAGCTTTGAAGAGAGTAGTGGTTCTCCCAGCACGCAGCTGGAGATCTGAGAACGGACAGACTGCCTCCTCAAGTGGGTTCCTGACCCCTGAGTAGCCTAACTGGGAGGCACCCCTCCGTAGGGGCAGACTGACACCTCACATGGCTGGGTACTCCTCTGTAAAACTTCCAGAGGAAAAATCAGGCAGCAACATCTGGTGCTCACCAATATCCACTGTTCTGCAGCCTCCACTGCTGATACCCAGGCAAACAGGGTCTGGAGTGGACCTCCAGCAAACTCCAACAGACCTGCAGCTGAGGGTCCTGACTGTCAGAAGGAAAACTAACAAACAGAAAGGACATCCACACCAAAACCCCATCTGTACGTCACCATCATCAAAGACCAAAGGTAGATAAAACCACAAAGATGGGGAAAAAACAGAGCAGAAAAACTGGAAACTCTAAAAATCAAAGCACCTCTCCTCCTCCACAGGAATGCAGCTCCTCACCAGCAACAGAACAAAGCTGGACGGAGAATGACTTTGATGAGCTGAGAGAAGAAGGCTTCAGATGATCAAACTAATCCGAGCTAAAGAAGGAAGTTCGAACCCATGGCAAAGAGGTTAAAAACCTTGAAAAAAAATTAGATGAATGGCTAACTTGAATAACCAATGCAGAAAAGTCCTTAAAGGACCAGATGGAGATGAAAACCAAGACACGAGAACTACGTGACAAACGCATAAGCCTCAGTAGCCTATTCGATCAACTGGAAGAAAGGGTATCAGTGATGGAAGATGAAATGAATGAAATGAAGTGTGAAGAGAAGTTTAGAGAAAAAAGAAAAAAAAAAGAAATGAACAAAGCCTCTGAGAAATACAGGACTATGTGAAAAGACCAAATCTACATCTGATTGGTGTACCTGAAAGTGACAGGGAGAATGGAACCAAGTTGGAAAACACTCTGCAGGATAAGATCCAGGAGAACTTCCCCAATCTAGCAAGGCAGGCCAACATTCAGATTCAGGAAATACAGAGAACACCACAAAGATACTCCTCGAGAAGAGCAACCCCAAGACACATAATTGTCAGATTCACCAAAGTTGAAATGAAGGAAAAAATGTTAAGGGCAGCCAGAGAGAAAGGTCGGGTTACCCACAAAGGGAAGTCCATCAGACTAAAAGCTGATCTCTCAGCAGAAACTCTACAAGCCAGAAGAGAGTGGGGGCCAATATTCAACACTCTTAAAGAAAAGAATTTTCAACCCAGAATTTCATATCCAGCCAAACTAAGCTTCATAAGGGAAGGAGAAATAAAATCCTTTACAGACAAGCAAATGCTGAGAGATTTTGTCACCACCAGGCCTGCCCTAAAAGAGCTCCTGAAGGAAGCACTAAACATGGAAAGGAACAACTGGTACCAGCCGCTGCAAAATCATGCCAAACTGTAAAGACCATCAAGGCTAGGAAGAAACTGCATCAACTAGGGAGCAAAATAACCAGCTAACATCATAATGACAGGATCAAATTCACACATAACAATACTAACCTTAAATGTAAATGGGCTAAATGCTCCAATTAAAAGACACAGACTGGCAAATTGGATAAAGAGTCAAGACCAATCAGTGTCCTGTATTCAGGAAACCCATCTCACAGGCAGAGACACACATAGGCTCAAAATAAAGGGATGGGGGAAGATCTATCAAGCAAATGGAAAATGAAAAAAGGCAGGAGTTGCAATCCTAGTCTCTGATAAAACAGACTTTAAACCAACAAAGATCAAAAGAGACAAAGAAGGCCATTACATAATGGTAAAGGGATCAATAAACAAGAAGAACTAACTATCCTAAATATATATGCACCCAAAACAGGAGCACCCAGATTCATAAAGCAAGTCCTTGGAGACCTACAAACAGACTTAGACTCCCACACAATAATAATGGGAGACTTCAACACCCCACTGACAACATTAGACAGATCAATGAGACAGAAAGTTAACAAGGATGTCCAGGACTTGAACTCAGCTCTGCACCAAGCAGACCTAATAGACATCTACAGAACTCTCCACCCCAAATCAACAGAATATACATTCTTTTCAGCACCACACTGCACTTATTCCAAAATTGATCACATAGTTGGGAGTAAAACACTCCTCAGCAAATGTAAAAGAACAGAAATTATAACAAACTGTCTCTCAGACCACAGTGCAATCAAACTAGAACTCAGGATTAAGAAACTCACTCAAAAGTGCTCAACTACATGGAAACTGAACAACCTGCTCCTGAATGACTACTGGGTACATAAAGAAACGAAGGCAGAAATAAAGATGTTCACTGAAACAAACGAGAACAAAGACACAACATATCAGAATCTCTGGGACACATTCAAAGCAGTGTGTAGAGGGAAATTTATAGCACTAAATGCCCACAAGAGAAAGCAGGAAAGATCTAAAATTGACACCCTAACATCACAATTAAAAAAACTGAAGAAGCAAGAGCAAACACATTCAAAAGCTAGCAGAAGGCAAGAAATAACTAAGATCAGAGTAGAAATGAAGGAAATAGAGATGCAAAAAGCCCTTCAAAACATCAATGAATCCAGGAGTTGGTTTTTTGAAAGGATTAACAAAATTGATAGACCGCTAGCAAGACTAATAAAGAAGAAAAGAGAAGAATCAAATAGATGCAATAAAAAATGATAAAGGGGATATCACCACCAATCCCACAGAAATACAAACTACCATCAGAGAATACTATCAACACCTCTATGCAAATAAACTAGAAAATCTAGAAGAAATTGATAAATTCCTCGACACATACACTCTCCCAAGACTAAACCAGGAAGAAGTTGAATCTCTGAATATACCAATAGCAGGCACTGAAATTGAGGCAATAATTAATAGCTTACCAACCAAAAAAAGTCCAGAACCAGATGGATTCACAGCCGAATTCTACCAGAGGTACAAGGAGGAGCTGGTACCATTCCTTCTGAAACTATTACAGTCAATAGAAAAAGAGGGAATCCTTCCTTACTCTTTTTATGAGGCCAGCATCATCCTGATACCAAAGCCTGGCAGAGACAAAACAAAAAAAGATAATTTTAGACCAATATCCCTGATGAACATCAATGCAAAAATCCTCAATAAAATACTGGCAAACGGAATCCAGCAGCACTTCAAAAAGCTTATCCACCATGATCAAGTGGGCTTCATCCCTGGGATGCAAGGCTGGTTCAACATATGAAAATCAATAAACGTAATCCAGCATATAATCAGAACCAACGACAAAAACCATATGATTATCTCAATAGATGCAGAAAAGGCCTTTGACAAAATTCAACAACCTTCATGCTAAAAATTCTCAATAAATTAGGTATTGATGGGACATATCTCAAAATAATGAGAGCTATCTATAACAAACCCACAGCCAATATCATACTGAATGGGCAAAAACTGGAAGCATTCCCTTTGAAAACTGGCATAAGACAGGGATGCCCTCTCTCACCACTCCTATTCAACATAGTGTTGGAAGTTCTGGCCAGGGCAATCAGGCAGGAGAAGGAAATAAAGAGCATTCAATTAGGAAAAGAGGAAGTCAAATTGTCCCTGTTTGCAGATGACATGATTGTATATCTAGAAAACCCCATCGTCTCAGTCTAAAATCTCCTTAAGCTGATAAGCAACTTCAGCAAAGTCTCAGGATACAAAATCAATGATGTGCAAAAATCACAAGCATTCTTATACACCAACAACAGACAAACAGAGAGCCAAATCATGAGTGAACTCCAATTCACAATTGCTTCAAAGAGAATGAAATACCTAGGAATCCAACTTACAAGGGATGTGAAGGACCTCTTCAGGGAGAACTACAAACCACTGCTCAATGAAATAAAAGAGGATACAAACAAATGGAACAACATTACATGCTCACGGGTAGTAAGAATCAATATTGTGAAAATGGCCATACTGCCCAAGGCAATTTATAGATTCAATGCCATCCCCATCAAGCTACCAATGACTTTCTTCACAGAACTGGAAAAAAATACTTTAAAGTACATGTGGAACCAAAAAAGAGCCCGCATTGCCAAGTCAATCCTACGCCAAAAGAACAAAGCTGGAGGCATCATGCTACCTGACCTCAAACTATACTACAATGCTACAGTATCCAAAACAGCATGGTACTGGTACCATAACAGATATATAGACCAATGGAACAGAGCAGAGTCCTCAGAAATGATGCTGCATATCTACAACCATCTGATCTTTGACAAACTTGACAAAAACAAGAAATGGGGGAGTGATTCCTTATTTAATAAATGATGCTGGGAAAACTGGCTAGCCATATGTAGAAATCTAAAACTGGATCCCTTCCTTACACCTTATACAAAAATTAACTCAAGATGGATTAAAGACTTAAATGTTAGACCTAAAACCATAAAAACCCTAGAAGAAAACTTAGGCAATACCATTCAAGACACAAGCATGGGCAAGGACTTCATGTCTAAAACACCAAAAGCAATGGGAACAAAAGCCAAAATAGACAAATGGGATCTAATTAAACTAAAGAGCTTCCGCACAGCAAAAGAAACTACCAGAAAAAAACAAACAACCCCATCAGAAAGTGTGCAAAGGATATGAAGAGACTTCTCAGAAGAAGACATTTATGCAGCTAAAAGACACATGAAAAAATGTTCATCATCACTGGCCATCAGAGAAATGCAAATCAAAACCACAATGAGATACAATCTCGCACTAGTTAGAATGGTGATCATTAAAAAGTCAGGAAACAACAGGTGCTGGAGAGGATGTGGAGAAATAGAAACACTTTTACACTGTTGGTGGGACTGTAAACTAGTTCAGCCATTGTGGAAATCAGTGTTTTGATTCCTCAGGGATCTAGAACTAGAAATACCATTTGACCCAGCCATCCCGTTACTGGGTATATACCCAAAGGATTATAAATCATGCTGCTATAAAGACACATGCACACGTATGTTTATTGTGGCATTATTCACAATAGCAAAGACTTGGAACCAAGCCAAATGTCCAACAATGATAGACTGGATTAAGAAAATGTGGCACATATACACCATGGAATACTATGCAGCCATTAAAAATGATGAGTTCATGTCCTTTGCAGGGACATGAATGAAGCTGGAAACCATCATTCTCAGCAAACCATCGGAAGGATAAAAAACCAAACACCGCATGTTCTCACTCATAGGTGGGAATTGAACAATGAGAACACATGGACACAGGAAGGGGAACTTCACACACTGGGACCTGTTGTGGGGTGGGGGGAAGGGGAGGGAAAGCATTAGGAGATATAACTAATGTTAACGAGTTAATGGGTGCAGCACACCAACATGGCACATGTATACATATGTAACTTACCTGCATGTTGTGCACATGTACCCCAAAAGTTAAAGTGTAATTAAAAAAAAAGAAGAAAAAGAAGAAATAATCACATCAAAATTCAGAAGCAGATTTGTTGGAGACAAAGAGCTGGCTTTGGATTGTAGAGCTAAGAATTTAAATTACATTTAAAAATCTATATTATACATGTTAAACAGAAAAAAATAGAGACCATAATTTAGATATACCACATGGCTAACTGCTCATAGCCATGTAACCAAAACTTAAATTATTGTGATTCATGCAAAATGCGACTTCTAATAGTAAATGAAACACAAAAGATAAACCTTACATCTTTGTCAGCATGATTCAATGAAATTGAACCAATGAGCTATAGACAAATAGACTTAAACATTTCTACTTGCACTAAAAAGAGTGGTGCTGTATAACAACCAATCACAATAAAGGTCAAAATACTTTCCCCTTTATGCTTTATAAGTGGCATCATAACTGCTGAGTGGGGCGTTTTACAACCATCAGTTTCCCAGTTCTCAGACTCTTCTTTTGCATGTACCATAAACTTTAAAACAGTTCTCTAAATTGCCTTGATTTTATTTTTGACACATTTAAAAAAGATAAGGATGAAACTCTGGCATTTAAAAAAACTGAATAAATTTTCTAATGCTGCTGTGGTAAATTACCACAAATTTAATGGCTTAAAACAGCACTAATTTATTATTCTCTTAGTTCTGGAGATCAGATGTCTGAAACAGGTTTCATTTGGCTCAAATGAAGGTGTCAGTAGGACTGTGTTCCTTCTGAAGGCTCTAGGGGAGAATCCCTTTCTTTGCCTTCTCCAGCTTCTAGAGGATGAATTCTTCTGCAAGGAATGCCTACATTCCTTGACTTGTGGTCCCTTCCTCCCTCCTCGGCAATAAATGGGAGGCTGAACCCTTCTCACATTAAATCAGTCAGACTCTGACTCTCTTTCCAGGACCCCTGTGATAACATTGGATCCACCTGAATAATCCAGGATCAGCTCTCTATTTTATAATCAACTAATTAGCAACCTTAGTTCCATATGCAACCTTAATTTTCCTTTGCCATGTAAGGTAACTTTTTTTTTCTTTATTTTTAGTTGTACTTTAAGTTCTGGGGTACATGTGCAGAATGTGCAGGTTTGTTACATAGGTATACATGTGCCTTTGTGGTTTGCTACACCCATCAACTTGTCATCTACATTAGGTATTTATCTTAATGCTATCCCTCACATAGCCCCCCACCCCCTGAGGCCCCGGTGTGTGATGTACCCCTCATTGTGTCCATGTGTTCTTATTGTTCAACTCCCACCTATGAGTGAGAACATGTGGTGTTTGGTTTTCTGTCCTGTGATAGTTTGCTGAGAATGATGGCTTCCAGCTTCATCCATGTCCCTGCAAAGGACATGAACTCATCCTTTTTTTGGCTGCATAGTATTCCATGGTGTACATGTGCCCCATTTTTTTATCCAGTCTATCATTGATGTACATTTGGGTTTGTTCCAAGTCTTTGCTAGTGTGAACAATGCCACAATAAACATATGGGTGCATGTGTCTTTATAGTAGAATGATTTATAATCCTTTGGGTATATACCCTGTAATGGGATGGCTGAGTCAAATGGTATTTGTAGTTCTAGATCCTTGAGGAATTGCCACACTGTCTTCCACAATGGTTGAACTAATTTAACTCCCACCAGCAGTGTAAAAGCTTTCCTATTTCTCCACATCCTCTCCAGCATCTGTTGTTTCCTGACTTTTTAATAATTGTGATTCTAACTGGCATGAGATTGTATCTCATTGTGGTTTTGATTTGCATTTGTATAATGACCAGTGATGATGACCTTTTTTGTCATATGTTTGTTGGCTGCATAAATGTCTTCTTTTGAGGAGTGTCTGTTCATATCCTTTGCCCACTTTTTGATGGGTTTTTTTTTTGTTGTTGTGAATTTAAGTTCTTTGTAGATTCTGGATATTAGCCCTTTGTCAGATGGATAGGTTGCAAAAATTTTCTCCCATTCTGTAGGTGGCCTGTTCACTCTGATGGTAGTTTCTTTTGCTGCGCAGAAGCTCTTTAGTTTGATCAGATCCCGTTTGTCTATTTTGGCTTTTGTTTCCATTGCTTTTGGTGTTTTAGTCATGAAGTCTTTTCGCATGCTTATGTACTGAATGGTATTGGCTAAGATTTCTTCTAGGGTTTTTATGGTTTTAGGTCTTACATTTAAGTCTTTAATCCATCTTGAATTAATTTTTTTATAAGGTGTAAGGAAGAGATCCAGTTTCAGCTTTCTGCCTATGGCTAGCCAGTTTTCCCAACACCATTTATTAAATAAAGAATCCTTTCCCCATTTCTTGTTTTTGTCAGGTTTGTCAAAGATCAGATGGTTGTAGAAGTGTGGCATTATTTCTGAGGTCTCTGTTCTGTTCCATTGGTCTATATATCTGTTTTGGTATCAGTATCATGCTGTTTTTGTTACTGTAACCTTGTAGCGTAGTTTGAAGTCAGGTAGCATGATGCCTCCAGCTTTGTTCTTTTTGCTTAGCATTGTCTTGGCTATGCAGGCTGTTTTTTGGTTCCATATGAACTTTAAAGTAGTTTTTTCCAATTCTGTGAAGAAAGTCAATGGTAGCTTGATGGGTATAACATTGAATCTATAAATTACTTTGGGCATTATGGCTATTTATTGATATTGATTCTGCCTATTCATGAGCATGGAATGTTTTTCCATTTGTTTGTGTCCTCTCTTATTTCCTTGAGCAGTGGTTTGTAGTTCTCCTTGAAGAGGTCCTTCACATCCCTTGTAAGTTGGATCCCTAGGTATTTTATTCTCTTTGTAGCAATTGTCAATGGGAGTTCACTCAAGATTTGGCTCTCTGATTGTCTGTTATTGTTGTATAGGAATGCTTGTGGTTTTTGCACATTGATTTTGTATCCTGAGACTTTGCTGAAGTTGCTTATCAGCTTAAGGAGATTTTGGGCTGAGACGTTGGGTTTTCTATATATACAATCATGTCATCTGCAAACAGAGATATTTTGACTGCCTCTTTTCCTAATTGAATACCCTTTCTTCCTTTTTTTTGCCTGATTGCCCTGGCCAGAACTTCCAATAGTATGTTGAATAGGAGTGGTGAGAGAGAGCATCCTTGTCTTGTGCTGGTTACCAAAGGGAATGCTTCTGGGTTTTTACCATTCAGTATGATATAGGCTGTGTGATTGTCATAAATAGCTCTTATTATTTTGAGATATGTTCCATCAATGCCTCGTTTATTTAGAGTTTTTAGCATGAAAGGCTGTTGAATTCTGTCAAAGGCCTTTTCTGCATCTACTGAGAAAATCATGTGGTTTTTGTCATTGGTTCTGTTTATGTGATGGATTATGTTTATTTATTTGCATACATTGTACCAGCCTTGCATCTTGGGGATGAAGCCGACTTGATCATGGTGGATACGCTTTTTGATGTGCTGCTGGGTTTGGTTTGCCAGTATTTTATTGAGGATTTTTGCATTGATGTTCATCAGGGATATTGGCCTGAAATTTTCTTTTTGTTGTGTCTCTGCCAGGTTTTGGCATCAGGATGATGCTGGCCTCTAAAAATGAGTTAGGGAGGATTCCCTCTTTTTCTATTGTTTGGAATAGTTTCAGAAGGAATGGTACCAGCTCCTCTTTGTACCTCTGGTAGAATTTGGCTGTGAGTCTGTCTTGTCCTGGACATTTTTTGGTTGGTAGGCTATTAATTGCTGCCTCAATTTCAGAACTTGTTATTGATCTATTTAGGGATTCAACTTCTTCCTGGTTTGGACTTGGGAGGGTGTATGTGTCCAGGAATTTATCCATTTCTTCTAGATTTTCTAGTTTATTTGCATAGAGGTGTTTATAGTATTCTCTGATGGTAGTTTGTATTTCCATGGGATTGATGGTGATATCCCCTTTATCACTTTTCATTGCACCTATTTGATTCTTCTCTCTTTTCTTCTTTATTAGTCTGGCTAGGGGTCTATCTATTTTGTTGATCTTTTCAAAAAAGCAGCTCTTGGATTCATTGATTTTTTTTGAATGGTATTTTCTGTCTCTATCTCCTTCAGTTCCATTCTGATCTTAGTTATTTCTTCTCTACTGCTAGCTTTTGAATTTGTTTGCTCTTGGTTCTCTAGTCCTTTTAATTATGATGTTATGGTGTTGATTTTACATCTTTCTTGCTTTCTCTTGTGGGCATTTAGTGCTATAAATTTCCCTTTAAACACTGCTTTAGCTGTGTCCCAGAGATTCTGGTACATTGTGTGTTTGTTCTCATTGGTTTCAAAGAACTTATTTATTTCTGCCTTCATTTCATTATCTACTCAGTAGTCATTCAGGAGCCTTTTGTTCAGTTTCCATGTAGTTGAGCGGTTTTGAGTGAGTTTCTTAATCCTGAGTTCTAATTTGATTGCACTGTATTCTGAGAGACTGTTTGTTGTGATTTCCGTTCTTTTGCATTTGCTTAGGAGTGCTTTACTTTGAATTATGTGGTCAATTTTAGAATAAGTGCAATGTGGTGTTGAGAAGAATTTATATTCTGTTAATTTGGGGTGGAGAGTTCTGTAGATGTCTATTAGGTCTGCTTGGTCCAGAACTGAGTTCAAGTCCTGAATATCCTTGCTAATTTTCTGTCTCATTGATCTGTCTAATATTGACAGTGGGGTGTTAAAGTCTCCCACTATTATTGTTTGGGAGTCTTAGTCTCTTTGTAGGTCTCTACGAACTTGCTTTATGAATCTGGGTGCTGCTGTATTGGGTGCATATATTTAGGATAGTTAGCTTTTCTTGCTGCATTGATCCTTTTACCATTATGTAATGGCCTTCTTTGTCTCTTTTGATCTTTTTTGGTTTAAAGTCTGTTTTATCAGAGATTAGGCTTGCAACTCCTGCTTTTTTTTGCTTTCCATTTTGTTTTTTTGGTAAATATTACTCCATCCCTTTATTTTGAGCCTATGTGTGTCTTTGCACGTGAGATGGATCTTCTGAATATAGCACACTGATGGGTCTTGACTCTTTATTCAATTGCCCATCTGTGTCTTTTAATTGGGGCATTTAGCTCTTTTACATTTAAGGTTAATATTGTTATGTGTGAATTTGATCCTGCCATTTTGATGCTGGCTGGTCATTTTGCCTGTTAGTTTACATAGTTTCTTCATACCCTCAATGGTCTTTACCATTTGGTATGATTTTGTCGTGGCTGGTACCAGTTGTTCCTTTCAATGTTTAGTGCCTCCTTCAGGAGCTCTTGTAGAGCAGACCTGGTAACGACAAAATCTCTCAGCATTTCCTTGCTATAAAGGATTTTATTTCTCTTTCACTTATGAAGCTTAGTTTGGCTGGACAAGAAATTCTGTGTTGAAAATTCTTTTCTTTAAGAATGTTGAATATTGGCCCCCACTCTCTTCTGGCTTGTAGGGTTTCTGCTGAGGGATCCACTGTTAATCTGATGGGCTTCCCTTTGTGGGTAACCTGACCTTTCTCTCTGGCTGCCCTTAATATTTTGTCCTTCATTTCAACCTTGGTGAATCTGACAATTGTGTGTCTTGGAGTTGCTCTTCTAGAGGAGTATCTTTGTGGTGTTCTCTGTATTTCTGGAATTTGAATGCTGGTCTGTCTTGCTAAGTTGGGGAAATTCCTCTAGATAGTATCCTGAAGAGTGTTTTCCAACTTGATTCCATTCTCTGCATCACTTTCAGGTACACCAATCAAATGTAGATTTTGTCTTTTCACATAGTCCCATATTCTTGGCAGCTTTTTTCATTTCTTTTTACTCTTTTTTCTCTAATCTTGTTTTCTTGCTTTATTTTATTGAATTTATCTTCAATCTCTGATATCCTTTCTTCCACTTGATTGATTTTGCTATTGATACATGTGTATGCCTCACGGAGTTCTCATGCTGTGTTTTTCAGCTCCATCAGGTCATTTATTTTCTTCTTTAAACTCGTTATTCTAGTTAGCAATTTGTCTAACCTTTTTTCAAGGTTCTTAGCTTCCTTGCATTGGGTTAGAACATGCTTCTTTAGCTCGGAGGAGTTTGTTATTACCCACCTTCTAAAGCCTACTTCTGTCAATTTGTCAAACTCATTCTCCATCCAGTTTTATTCCCTTGTTGGTAAGGAGTTGTGATCCTTTGGAGGAGAAAAGAGGTTCTGGCTTTTGGAATTTTCAAACTGTTTGCACTGGTTTCTCCCCATATTCATGGACTTATCTACCTTTGGTCTTTGAGGTCGGTGACCTTCAGATGGGGTCTCTGAGTGGACATCCTTTTGTTGATGTTGATACTATTTCTTTCTGTTTGTTTGTTTTCCTTCTAACAGTCAGGCACCTGTGCTGCAGGTCTGCTGGAGTTTGTTGAAGGTCCGCTCCAGACCCTGTTTGCCTGGGTATCACTGGTGCAGGCTGCAGACCAGCAAAGATTGCTACCTTTTCCTTCCTCTGGAATCTTTTTCCCGGAGGGGCACCTGCCAGATGCCAGCCAGAGCTCTCCTGTATGAGGTGTCTGTCAGCCCCTACTGGGAGGTGTCTCTAGTCAGGATATATGGGGGTCAGGGACCCACTTGAGGAGGCAATCTGCCCCTTATCAGAGCTCGAATGCTGTGCTGGTAGATCCGCTGTTCTCTTCAGAGCTGCCAGGTAGGTACATTTAAGTCTGCTGAAGCTGCACCCACAGCCGCCCCTTCCCCCAGGTGCTCTGTACCAGCGAGTTGGGGGTTTTGTCTATAAGTGCCTGACTGGGGCTGCTGCCATTTTTTTCAGAGATGCCCTGCCCAGAGAGGAGGCAGTCTGGCCGCAGTGGCATTGCTGAGCTGGGGTGGGCTCTGCCTAGTTCCAACTTCCCTGCAACTTTGTTTACACTGTGAGGGTGAAACCACCTACTCAAGCCTCAGCAATGGCGGACACCCCTCCCCCCTATCAAGCTTGAACATCTCAGGTAGAGCTCAGACTGCTGTGCTGGTGCAAGAATTTCAAGCCAGTGGATCTTAGCTTGCTGGGCTCCATGGGGGTGGGACCTGCCAAGTCAGACCACCTGGCTCCCTGGCTTCAGACCCCTTTCCAGAGGAGTGAAGGGTTCTGTCTTGCTGGTGTTCCAGGCACCACTGGGGTATGAAAAAAACTCCTGCTGCTAGCTTGGTGTCTGTCCAAATGGCCACCCCGATTTGTGCTGAAAACCCAGGGGCCCTGGTGGTATAGGCACCGGAAGGAATCTCCCGGTCTGTGGTTTGTGAAGACTGTGGGAAAAGCACATTATCTGGGCCAGCGTGCATGGTACAGTCCCTAATGGCTTCCCTTGGCTGGGAGAGGGAGTTCCCTGGCCCCTTGTGCTTCCTGGGTAAGGCAATGCCCCATCCTGCTTTGGCTCACCCTCCATGGGCTACAGCCACTGTCCAGCCAGTCCCAATGAGATGAACTGGGTCCTAGTTGTAAATGCAGAAATCAACCACCTTCTGCATCAATCTCACTGGGAGCTTCAGACGGGAGCTATTCCTATTTGGCCATCTTGCCAGCCAGGTAACATTTTCAAAGGTTACAGGGATTATAATGTGAACATCTTTGCAGGGAGTAGGAGTGGTGGTCATTATTCTGGCTACTATAATTGTTATCAATTTAACTTTTATTGTTAATGCAAACCATTAATTTTACTGAAGGAGACGAGATGGTCCGCAATATGATGAAAATCTTTGTACAGTTGTGTCAGTTATAAGATTAGAGGTATATTAAGTAAGAAACACTAAGAAGGTAGGAGACATGAGTTGGGTTTTGGGTCTGCTTGGTGCTCCTAAGTGGCTAAACTGGTCTGCTGGATCCATTGGGCCACTACTCATGCTGGCCAATATATTGCAGACCTGAATGCCATACTAATCAAAGTCCATATTTTTCCTGAATCAATAGTTACAAAATGCCACCTAAAAATCATACAGTAGTTTAAAAAATGGAGGTAGAATTTTCTCTTACCCTGACAAGTCCTTTATTGAAATTAGCACTAAGTCTGTTTTCTCCTTAGATGTAGATAAAATGTCGAATGAAAATGTACAGTGGTAAAATTTCAGTATTTCTTCACTTTGTAATTCAGTGAGAAACTGGAGATGCCAGACTTGGATGTTGTCTCTTCTACCTTTTCTGGCTAATTCACATGATTATTAACAAACTGACAGAGAGGCCAAGGCTTGATCACATCCTGGAAGAGTGGTAGCACTACAGTGATATTTCAAAAGGGCATAAGACTTGTACTTACCAGGGCAGAAGAGAAAGGGGGTTCAAAAAGTAATGGGGGAAAAAAAGAGAACAAGAATATTTTAAAAAGCCAGTAAGAATAAAAATGTAAAAATACAGTCTAATGATATATAACAAAAACAACAAAAGAGGAGAAAAAGTTACACAAGGAAAATAATAGTTACACAGAAAGTGCAGAAACTTAATGGAGTTTGAGGAAAAACAGATGTAGGGGAAAAAAGTACAGACACCCAGCATTGGGCAATGCAAGAGAAAGTCCAGTAAAATGGTGAAGTAAATGTGAGCCAGAACATAACAAAGGTTAAAATAATGTTTGTTTTGCTTAGCCTTAATAATAGGAAAGGGTCTTGCTGCCTTCTTATAGTTTTCCGTCCAAAAATAAAAATTTATTGCCAGTTCTACAATGCCTAAGACAGCCATTCATTCCTAAAAATTTCTATTTTTTTTTTTTTTTTTTTTTTGAGATGGAGTCTCGCTGTGTCACCCAGGCTGGAATCCAGTGGTGTGATCTCAGCTCACTGCAAGCTCTGCCTCCTGGATTCATGCCATTCTCCTGTCTCAGCCTCCTGATTAGCTGGGATTACAGGCACCCACCACCACACCCAGCTAATTTTTTGTATTTTTAGTAGAGACTGGGTTTCACCATGTTAGCTAGGATGGTCTCAATCTCCTGACCTGGTGATCCACCTGCCTCGGCCTCCTAAAGTGCTGGGATTACAGTTGTGAGCCACTGCTCCCAGCCAAAAATTTCTAGTTTCATATTGTCATTTGAAAGAGTTTTTGGGAGTTTATTACTATATGTTTTTTGAGTGAGTAGAGACAAAATGTGTTCAGACATGTAAAATTATCACATGAGGTAATCTTCCTGCTAAGAGATGAACAAAATATAGATTGGTGATATGCTCTGGCTCTATGTCCCCACCCAAATCTCACCTTGTAGCTCCCATAAGTCCCAAATGTTGTGGAAGGGACCTAGTGGGAGATGACTGAATTATGGGGGTGAGTCTTTCCCATGCTGTTCTCATGATAGTGAATGGGTCTCACGAGATCTGATGGTTTTATAAATGGGAGTTTCTCTGCACAATCTCTCTCTTTGCCTGCTGCCATCCATGTAAGATGTGACTTGCCCCTCTTTGCCTTCCACAATAATTGTGAGGCCTCCCCAGCCATGTAGAACTGTAAGTCCAATAAACCTCTTTCTTCTGTAAATTGCCTGGTCTCAGGTATGTCTTTACCAGCAGCATGAAAATAGACTAATACAGTTGGCATAGAACTTGGCTAAACACTGAGGCCTGTGTATTTAGGCATAGTTGAGACATGTACTGCTTGCAAGCAGAGATATGGAGAAAATAACATTTCGGGGCCCTTCTAGTCTTTTTTTTTTTTTTTTGAGATGGAGTATTGCTCTGTCACCCAGGCTGCAGTGCAGTGGCACAATCTCAGCTAACTGCAACCTCTGCCTCCTGGGTTCAAGCAATTCTCCTGCCTCATCCTCCCTAGTATCTGGAAATATACGCATGCACCACCATGCCCGGCTAATTTTTGTGCTTTTTTTTTTTTTAGTAGAGATGGGGTTTCACCATGTTGGCCAGGCTGGTCTCAAAATCCTGACCTCAGGTGATCCATCCACCTTGGCCTCCCAAAGTGTTGAGATTACAGATGTGAGCCACAGCACCCAGCCCCCTTCTAGTCTTAAAATGACTGTTAAGATTACAATCTGAGACAGTTTGTTATAATTTCTGTTCTTTTACATTTGCTGAGCAGTGCTTTACTTCCAACTACATGGTCAGTTTTGGAATAGGTGTGGTGTAGTGCTGAAAAGAATGTATATTCTGTTGATTTGGGGTGGAGAGTGCTGTAGATGTCTATTAGGTCCACTTGGTGCAGAGCTGAGTTCAATTCCTGGATATCCTTGTTAACTTTCTGTCTCATTGATCTGTCTAATGTTGACAGTGGGATGTGAAGGTCTCCCAGTATTATTGGGTGGGAGTCTAAGTCTCTTTGTAGGTCACTAAGGACTTGCTTTATGAATCTGGGTGCTCCTGTATTGGTTGCATATATATTTAGGATAGTTAGCTCTTCTTGTTGCATTGATCCCTTTACCATTATGTAATGGCCTTCTTTGTCTCTTTTGATCTTTGTTGGTTTAAAGTCTGTTTTATCCAAGACTAGGATTGCAACCCCTGCCTTTTTTTGTTTTCCATTTGCTTGGTAGATCTTCCTCCATTCCTTTATTTTGAGCCTATGTGTGTCTCTGCACGTGAGATGGGTTTCCTGAATACAGCACACTGATGGGTCTTGTCTCTTTATCCAATTTGCCAGTCTGTGCCTTTTAATTGGAGCATTTAGCCCATTTACTTTTAAGGTTAATATTGTTATGTGTGAATTTCATCCTGTCATTATAATGTTAGCCGATTATTTTGCTCGTTTGTTGATGCAGTTTCTTCCTAGCCTTGATGGTCTTTACAATTTGGCATGTTTTTGCAGTGGCTGGTACCAGTTTTTCCTTTCCATGTTTAGTGCTTCCTTCAGGGGCTCTTTTAGGGCAGGACTGGTGGTGACAAAATCTCTCAGCATTTGCTTGTCTGTAAAGTATTTTATGTGAAGGACCTCTTTAAGGAGAACTACAAACCACTGCTCAATGAAATAAAAGAGGATACAAACAAATGGAAGAACATTCCATGCTCATGGGTAGGAAGAATCAATATCATGAAAATGGCCATACTGCCCAAGGTAATTTATAGATTCAATGCCATCCCCATCAAGCTACCAATGACTTTCTTCACAGAACTGGAAAAAAATACTTTAAAGTACATATGGAACCAAAAAAGAGCCCACATTACCAAGTCAGTCCTAAGCCAAAAGAACAAAGCTGGAGACATCACGCTACCTGACTTCAAACTATACTACAAGGCTACAGTAACCAAAACAGCATGGTACTGGTACCAAAACAGAGATATAGATCAATGGAAGAGAACAGAGCCCTCAGAAATAATGCCACATATCTACAACTATCTGATCTTTGACAAACCTGAGAAAAACAAGCAATGGGGAAAGGATTCCCTATTTAATAAATGGTGCTGGGAAAACTGGCTAGCCATATGTAGAAAGCTGAAACTGGATCCCTTCCTTACACCTTATAGAAAAATTAATTCGAGATGGATTAAGGACTTACATGTTAGACCTAAAACCATAAAAACCCTAGAAGAAAACTGAGGCAATACCATTCAGGACATAGGCATGAGCAAGGACTTCATGTCTAAAACACAAAAAGCAATGGGAACAAAAGCCAAAATTGACAAATGGGATCTAATTAAACTAAAGAGCTTCTGCACAGCAAAAGAAACTACCATTAGAGTGAACAGGCAACCTACAGAATGGGAGAAAATTTTTGCAATCTACTCATCTGACAAAGGGCTAATATCCAGAATCTACAATGAACTCAAACAAATTTACAAGAAAAAAACAAACAACCCCATCAAAAAGTGGGTGAAGGATATGAACAGACACTTCTCAAAAGAAGACATTTATGCATCCAAAAGACACATGAAAAAATGCTCATCATCACTGGCCATCAGAGATATGCAAATCAAAACCACAATGAGATACCATCTCACACCACTTAGATTGGCAATCAGTAAAAAGTCAGGAAACAACAGATGCTGGAGAGGATGTGGAGAAATAGGAACACTTTTATACTGTTGGTGGGATTGTAAACTAGTTCAACCATTGTGGAATTCAGTGTGGTGATTCCTCAGGGTTCTAGAACTAGAAATACCACTTGACCCAGCCATCCCATTACTGGGTATATACCCAAAGGATTATAAATCATGCTGCTATAAAGACACATGCACACGTATGTTTATTGTGGCACTATTCACAATAGCAAAGACTTGGAACCAAGCCAAATGTCCAACAATGATAGACTGGATTAAGAAAATGTGGCACATATACACCATGGAATACTATGCAGCCATAAAACATGATGAGTTCATGTCCTTTGCAGGGACATGAATGAAGCTGGAAACCATCATTCTCAGCAAACCATCGCAAGGACAAAAAACCAAACGCATGTTCTCACTCATAGGTGGGAAATGAACAATGAGAACACATGGACACAGGAAGGGGAACATCACACACTGGGGACTGTTGTGGGTTGGGGATGGGGGGAGGGATAGCATTAGGAGATATACCTAATGCTAAATGATGAGTTAATGGGTGCAGCACACCAACATGGCGCATGTATACCTGTGTAACAAACATTCACGTTGTGCACATGTACCCTAAAACTTAAAGTATATAAAAAAAAAATTACAATCTAAAAATGCTCCATTTCCCAGCTGGTGGGCCAACTGGTTTGAAAAGAAAGTTAACTTTTAATTACCTACACAAACTGGGGGAAAAGTAGTACAGGTTAGATAAACCAAAATGATGGAAAGTCCAAAAACATCTTAATTTCCTTTGAAGAGGTTTTGTAGCTACATTTAAAGTGGTATTAAGAAAATTCTGAATATATATAACTTATTAGATGAAATGAGCTCATTAGTATCAGTTACCTTATCTAACTTTATTTATTTATTTTAGCAGCTAGTATAGAGACTTGAATATATTCAAGAAGTGTTTGTTAAATTGAAATTGAAAATGCAGTGCCTGACCTGACCATGTGGCTTTCCAATCTTGCATCCTTTCTTTTCCCTTTACTGTTTTCTATGCCAAGTAGGGAATCAATTATGTCACCACTCATGGATAGAACAATTGTGCCTGAAAGTACAATAAGCTTTACAATCAGCATTCGGTCTGAAATACTCACTTAGATTAGTTGATAAAGACTTGTACTAAAAGGGCCGCTCCTCCAGCTTCTACCAAGTGAGCAAAAACAAAGTATTTAGTAAAAACAGAGAAAGTAATTATTAAAAAGCTTAAAGGAATAATTTTATAGTGATTGTTTACTTCAGATATATTTAACCATAAACATATGCTTATGATTTGAAAACTTGCTAATTGAATAAAAATATTTTCAAGAATTGACATGACACTATAATATAAGCAGAAGACTATATTTGAAAATAAACAATAACGAATGTCTTGCAGCAGTTATGTTAGACCAAAAATCTTGGCCAAACAATAGGATTTGGAGTCTACTACTTGATAGTCAAATAATGCAGTAACACTCAGCCAAATAGTTGAGTTAGATTGCCTCAATTGCTCCATCTCTTCAGGCCTCCCTGTATCTAGGCCACAAGAACCAAAGAGATCTTTTTCACATGTCAGATCATGTCTTTGCTCAAAATCTTCCAATGACTTTTTACCTAATTTAAAGTAAAAGCCATAGTACAATGGTTGACAAAGTCATACATAATTTGGTCATTCTGCCTCACTGACCCCATCTTTTACTATTTTCTTTTGGCTCACCTCTGTTCTAGTCACACTGAGGTTTTGTTGTTCTGAAGCATTCCAAGCATGTCCCTGCTTCAGTGCTTTTCTACTTCTCGTTCCAACTTTTTGAAAGGATATGTATATGGCTTTCTTGTACACTTTCTTTAGGAATCTGTTCAAACCTCACTTTCATTAGTCCTCATATTTTCAAGTACCATACACACTCCAGTGCCTAGAATAGTATATGCACATAATACGTAATGTGTATTTGTTGAAAAAATTAATTCAAGACCTTTATATATGAAGTAGAAGTGTAACATTAGTACTTATTAAACAATCTGCTTGCTTCTCACTTACAAAGGACAAAATGAATTAATTAGGATTTGCCACCCATTATGATAACAGCCAAATAAATTTGAGTATCAGAGAAGTTAAAGGTGAAGGTCATTTAGCTGAACAAGAAACCCAAAATCACACCTGTCCCACTTCTAGCTGCTAGACCATGATAACAATTTTTCTTATATTATTGGTGACTTTTGAAAATATAAAGCTTATGCCAAGGAATCTGAAGAGAAGATTGGGTTAGGGCAGAATGGTCCCTAAATGATTGTAGACAGTATAGTGAGAGGAAGAATCTTAGTGAAGCAGGGAAGCAAAAGTCATAACCCAGGACAAACTGGTATGCATAGTTCAGCAGGATGAAGACAGGGGCAAAGGCATAAAAAGGAAGTCTAAATGTATAGCCCAAAGCTAGAAGGGTTGGAAAAGGTCAATATTCCTAGGGGAAAACCAGGACAGTACTAAGGGTGAAACTGATCCCAAGATATTAGGGTCTGGCTTCTCTCTGCTAATGTGTGTGGCCTGTGGGTGAATTTAAAGGTTTACAGATAGTGTGTAGCAGATATAGAACTATTGAAATCACCTTTGGAATATTCAACCCGCAGGCCTTCTGTGAACAGTGATGCAGTTATTTGTCCTTATGTAAACATATTGTTCTTTCACATTGCTCACCCTGGCAATGAGGTTCCTTTGCAACCAGCTCACTTGTGTTTCCTAACATTCAGAATGGTGTTGCATCACAAGAATTGCTTTATCTTGTTTGTTCCTTCTGGTTATCTGGCTTATGTAGGGCTGTATTATGCGACAAGGCACCTTTGCCTTTGTGGGTCCCTTCTTCCATAACATATTGAAATTATATTTTATGACTGTGTTGGTCTAAGGACAAATATGTTAATATGATATATGAAAACATTTTCTTCAGCCTATAAGTTCACTTATTTTTCTTCTGATTTTTAAAAAAATTAAAACATTTTTCTGGTCCCTTAAAAGCATGGTGGGCCCTAAGCATTATGCCTGCTGTGACTAATCTATAAATCAGCCCTGGTTTATAAGCTACTTACTTGCTTTAAAATATAAAATAATCACATGTGACATCTTTAGTTACAGCAAGTGTTCCACTTTGGATCTTCTGATCATAATTGAAACCGATGTATATAGTACCACTCTATTTGGCTACAATTTTTGTCAGTATATGGTATCTAAATCTTTTAATTTCTTAGAAAAAGGTGAAATATTAGTGTGTATTGCTGAAACTCATTAGATTGTGAAATCCTCTTTCAGTTCTATTTTTATGGTTCTGTAGTGCCAGCAGCTCTAGTAATTTCACCTAGGATAAGTAAGAAACTAAACCTGAAAGAAACTTTTATTCCTGGAAAAGGTGGAAACTATCAAAATGAAGATTACTTAAGAAAATTTTAGTTTCCTGGAATTGTAACAATGATGATAATTAACCATTAGTATCATCCAACCTCCGTGTGCTAAATCCCTAGTATGTTTCAAGCAATAAGCTAAGTGTTCAACTCGTTTTTTTTCTTCATCAGTCAATCCTAACAGGTAGTTACTATTATTAATCCCAATATATGGATGAAGAAATTAAGATTATAGAGATTAAATAACTTTCTCATGATCTATGTATGGCAAAACTGAATTCATCTAATTTTGTGTGATGTCAGTATCTATAATTTTAATGCCAGTTATCATCTTTCTTATAGTTCCTTGGAGCTACTGGAGAGTTCTTTGAAACTTTGATAATTTTTGGTTGTGGCCATAATAATATAGATGGGAAAAACCCCAACTAGAAAGGACAATTAGTCGAGTAAATGTTTGGGAAAGTTGTGGGGACTTGATAAAAATGCAATCATTTGCTTCTTTCTCTCTTGACTAATTGTGCGGTCTCTGAAAAAGAGGAGAAAAATTCCCCATTTTTCTCATTGCCTAACCTCTTTACCAAACCATCTTTATGCAGAAAATGAACTCATTTTTATGTGTGTGGGTTTTTTTTTTGTTTTTGCTTGTTTTTCTAAGAGATAGAGTCTCATTATCTTGCATAGGCTAGTCTAGAGCTCCCTGGACTCAAATGATCCTTGCGCCTCAGTCTCCCAAGTAGGTGGGATTATAAGCATGTGCCACCACATCTGGCTGAATTCATTTTTAAATTAATTGTTTTAAAAAAGTATAGTAATAAATACTTGCCCTAATACATGATCCTTTTTATTTGAACAACATGCATTTAGCGAGAGTCAATTATGTGCACAATGCTATGCTAAATACCAAGAGGAATATCTAGGCTGAAATGATGTTACTGTGCTGTAGATCCATGCTACGCAATAATAATGCAAGCCACATATATAATTAAAACATTTCTAGTAATCACATAAAAAGATAAAAAAAAAATAAAATTAATTTGAATAATGTCTTTAAACTCATTATCATTTTAAGATATAATCAACATTAAAAATTGCTAATGAGATATCTTACAATCTTTTTTGGTACAAAGTCTTCAAATCCTAGTGTATATTTTATATTCATAGCATATCACAACTTGGATGCCTAAATTTCATTAGAAAAACTTAATACAGGCCAGGCGCAGTGGCTCATGCCTGCAATCCCAGCACTTTGGGTGGCTGAGACAGGCAGATCGCTGGAGGTCAGGAGTTTGAGACCAGCCTGGCTAACATGGTGAAACCCCATCTCTGCTAAAAATACAAAAATTAGCCAGGTGTGGTGGTGGGCACCTGTAATCCCAGCTACTCGGGAGGCGAGGCAGGAGAGTTGCTTGAACCCAGGAGGCAGAGGTTGCAGTGAGCCAAGATCAGCACCATTGCACTCCAGCCTGGGAAACAGGAGTGAAACTCCGTCTCAAAAAAAAAAAAAAAAAAAAAAGAAAATCTTAATATACATTTTGATTTTATAAAATTAATAGTTGAAAACATAGATTCATGTGCCCAAGTTGTTTCAAACATACTTTTGAAAGTTTTCAAATAATTGAATTGACTCTCAGTTTTATTTTATTTTATTTTATTTTTTATTTTACTTTAAGTTCCAGTGTACATGTTGAGAATATACAGGTTTGTTACTTAGGTAAACAAGTGCCATGGTGGTTTGCTGCACCTATCAACCTGTTACCCAGGTATTAAGCACCACATGCATTAACTACTCATCCTGATGCTCTCCCTCCCCTTGTGTCCCCCAACAGGCCCTGGTATGTGTTGTTCCCTTCCCTTTGTCCATGTGTTCTCATTGTTCAGCTCACACTTGTGAGTGAGAACATGTGGTGTTTAGCTTTCTCTTCCTGTATTAGTTTGCTGAGGATGATGGCCTCCAGCTTCATCCACGTCCCTGCAAAGGATATGATCTCATTTCTTTTTATGCTTGCATAGTATTTCATGGTGTATACGTACCACATTTTCTTTATCCAGTCTATGATTGATGGGCATTTGGGTTGGTTCTATGTCTTTGCTATTGTGAATAGCAATGCAGTAAACATGTGTGTGCATGTATCTTTATAATAGAATAACTTATATTCCTATGGGTATACGCCCAGTAATAAGATTGCTGGGTCAAATGGTATTTCTTGTTCTACATCCTTGAAGAATCACCACACTGTCATCCACAATGGTTGAACTAATTTACATTCCCACCAACAATGTAAAAGCATTCCTATTTCTCCACAGCCTCACCAGCATCTGTTGTTTCTTGACTTTTAAATAATTGCCATTCCAACTGGCATGAGATGGTATCTTGTTGCGGTTTTGATTTGCATTTCTCTAATGATTGTGATAATGAGCTTTTTTTCATGTGTTTTGGCTGATAAATATCTTCTTTTGTGAAGTATCTGTTCATGTCTTTTGACTACTTTTTGATGAGGTTGTTTTTTATTTGTAAATTTGTTTAAGTTTCCTGTAAATTCTAAATACTAGACCTTTGTCAGATAGATAGATTGCAAAATTTTTCTCCCATTCTGTATGTTGCCTGTTCACTCTGATGATAGTTTCTTTTGTTGTGCAGAAGCTCTTTAGTTTAATTAGGTCTCATTTGTCAATTTTGGCTTTTGTTGCAAATGCTTTTGGTGATTTCATCATAAAATCTTTGCACATTCCTATGTCCTGAATAGTATTGCCTAGATTTTCTTCTAGCGTTTTTATGGTTTTGGGTTTTGTGTTTAAGTCTTTAATCCATCTTGAGTTAATTTTTGTATAAATTGTAAGAAAGGAGTCCAGTTTCAGTTTTCTGCATATGGCTAGTCAGTTTTCCCAGCACCATGTATTAAATAGGGAATCCTTTCCCCATCGCTTGTTTTTGTCAGATTTGTTGAATATCATATGGTTTCAGATGTATAGTCTTATTTCTGAGGTCTCTATTCTTTCCATTGGTCCTTATGTCTGTTTTGATACCAGTACCATGCTGCTTTGGTTATTTTAGCTTTGTAGCATAGTTTGAAGTCAGGTAGTGTGATGCCTCCAGCTTTGTTCTTTTTGCTTAGGATTGTCTTGGCTATATGGGCTCTTTTTGGTTCAATATGAATTTTACAGTAGTTTTTTCTAATTATGTGAAGAATGTCGATAGTAGTTTGATGGGAATAGCATTGAATCTACATATTACTTTGGGCAGGGTGGCCATTTTCACAATATTGATTCTTCTCAGCCATGAACATGGAATGTTTTTCCATTTGTTTGTGTCCTCTCTTATTTCCTTGAGCAGTGGTTTGTAGTTCTCCTTGAAGAGGTCTTTCATGTCCCTTGTTAGCTGTATTCCTAGGTATATTATTCTCTTTGCAGCAATTGTGAATGGAATCTCATTTATGATTTGGCTCTCTGCTTGTCTGTTGTTGGTGTATAGGAATGCTTGTGATCTTTGCACATTGATTTTGTATCCTAAGACTTTGCTGAAGTTGCTTATCAGCTTAAGGAGCTTTTGGGTTGAGAAGATGGAGTTTTCTAAACATAGGATCATGTCATCTGCAAACAGAGACAATATGACTTCTTCTCTTCCTATTTGAATATGCTTTATTTCTTTCTCTTGCCTGATTGCCCTGGCCAGAACTTCCAATACTCTGTTCAATAGGAGTGGTGAGAGAGAGGGCATCGTTTTCCTGTGCCAGTTTTCAAAGGGAATGCTTCCAGCTGTTGAACCATTCAGTGTGATATTGTCTGTGGGTTTGTCATAAATAACTTTTATTATTTTGAGATATGTTCCATTAATACCTAGTTTATTGAGAGTTTTTAACATGATGGGATATTGAATTTATTGCAGGTCTTTTCTGCATCTATTGAGATAATCATGTGGTTTTCATCATTGGTTTTATTTACGTGATGGATTAAATTTATTTATTTGTGTATATTGAACCAGCCTTGCATCCCAGGGATGAAGCTGACTTGATTGTGGCAGATAAGCTTTTTGATGTGCCACTGGGTTTGCTTTGCAAGTATTTTATTGAGGATTTTTGCACTGATGTTCATCAGGGATATTGGCCCGAAGTTTTCTTTTTCTGTTGTGTCCCTGCCCGGTTTTTGTATCAGGATGATGCTGGCCTCATAAAATGAGTTAGGGAGGAGTCCCTCCTTTTCAATTGTTTGGCATAGTTGCAGAAGGAATGGTACCAACTCCTCTTTGCACCTCTGGTAGAATTTGGCTGTGAATCCATCTGGTCCTGGGCCTTTTTTGTTGGTAGCCTATTTATTACTGCCTCAATTTCAGAATTTTTTATTCGTCTATTCAAGGATTCAATTTTTTCCTGCTTTAGACTTGGGAGGGTGTTTGTTTCCAGGAATTTATCCATTTCTTCTAGATTTTCTAATTTATTTGCATAGAAGTGTTTATAGTATTCTCTGATGATAGATTGTATTTCTGTGGTATCAGTGGTGATATCCCCTTTATCATTTTTTATTGTGTTTATTTGATTCTTCTCTCTTCTTTATAAGTCCTGCAAGTGGTCTATTTATATATATATATATATATATTTTTTTTTTTTTCCAAAAAACCAGCTCCTGGATGCATTGATTTTTTGAAGGGTTTTTAGTGTTTCTATCACCTTCAGTTCCACTCTGATCTTAGTTGTTTCTTGTCATCTGCTAGCTTTTGAATTTGTTTGCTCTTGCTTCTCTGGTTCTTTTAGTTGTGATGTTAGGGTGTTGATTTGATATCTTTCTAGCTTTCTGATATGTGCATTTAGTGCTACAAATTTCCCTCTTAACAACGCTTTAGCTGCATCCCAGAGATTCTGGTATATTGTCTCTTTGTTCTCATTGGTTTCAAACAACTTCTGGATTTCTGCCTTAATTTCATTATTTATCCAGGAGTCATTCAGGATCAGGTTGTTCAATTTCCACGTAGTTGTGTGGTTTTGAGTGAGTTTCTTAATCTTGAGTTCTAATTTGATTGCACTGTGGTCTGAGAGACTTCTTTTTTTTTTTAAAATAATATCAGTTCTTTTGCATTTGCTGAGGAGTGTTTTACCTCCAATTAAGTGATCGACTTTAGAGTAAGTGCCATGTATATTCTGAAGAATGCATATTCTGTTGTTTTGGGGTGAAGAGTTCTGTAGATCTCTATTAGATCCACTTGATTCAGAGCTGAGTTCAAGTCCTGAACGTCCTTGTTAATTTTCTGTCTTGTTGATCTGTCTAATATTGACACTGGGGTGTTAAAGTCTCCCAGTAATATTGCACGGGAGTCTAAGTCTCTTTGTAGGTCTCTAACAACCTGTTTTATGAATCTCGGTGCTCCTATATTGGGTATATATATATTTAGGACAGTTAACTCTTTTTGTTGAATTGATCCCTTTACCATTATATAATACCATTTTTAAAAAAATCTTTTTTGATCTTTTTTGGTTTAAAGTCTGTTTTGTCAGAAACTAGAACTGTAACTCCTGTTTTTTTGTACTTTCCATTTGATTGGTAAATATTCCTTCATCCCTTTATTTTAAGCCTATGTGTGTCTTTGCATGTGAGATGGGTCACTTGAATACAGCACATTCATGGGTCTTGACTCTACCTCATTTGCCAGTCTGTGTGTTTTAACTGGGGCATTTGGCACATTTAAATTTAAAGTTAATATTGTTACTTGTGAATTTGATCCTGTCATCATGATGCTAGCTTTTTATTTTGCACATGAGTTGATGCAGTTTTTTCATACTGTCATTGGTTTTTGTATTTTGGTGTATTTTTGCAGTGGCTGGTACCAGTTGTTCCTTTCCATGTTTAGTGTTTCCTTCAGGAGCTCTTGCAAGGCAGGCCTGGTCATGATGAATTCCCTCAGCATTTGCTTATCAGAAAATACTTTTATTTCTTCTTCACTTATGAAGTTTAGTTTGGCCAGATATGAAATTCAGATTGAAAATTTTTTTAAGAATGTTGAATATTGGCTCCTACTCTCTTCTGGCTTGTATGGTTTCTGCTGAGAGATCCACTTTTAGTCTTATGGGCTTCCCTTTGTAGGTGGTCTTTCTCTCTGGTTGTTCTTACATTTTTTTCTTTCATTTTGACCTTGGAGAATCTGATGATTATTTGTCTTGGGATTGATCTTCTTGTGGAGTATCTTAGTGGGGGTTCTCTGTATTTCCTGAATTTGAATGTTAGCCTGTCTTGCTAGCTTGGGGAGGTTCTCCTGGATGATATCCTAGAGTGTGTTTTCAAACTTGTTTCCATTCTCCCTGTCTCTTTCAGGTCCTCCAATCTGCTGTAGGTTCAGTCTTTTTACATAGTCCCATAGTTCTCGGAGGTTTTGTTTTTTCCTTTTCATTCTTTTTCTTTAATCTTGTCTGCCTGCCTTATTTCAGCAGATAGTCTTCAATCTCTGATATTCTTTCTTCTGCTTGATCAATTCAGCTATTGATATCTGTGTATGCTTCACGAAGTTCTTGTGCTGTGTTTTTCAGCTCCATCAGGTCATTTATGTTCCTCTCTAAGCTGGTTATTCTAGTTAGCAGCTCTTGTAATGTTTTATCATGGTTCTTAGCTTCTTTGCATTGGGTTAGAACATGCTCCTTTATCTCAGTGAAGTTTGTTATTGTCTACCTTCTGAAGCCTACTTCTGTCAATTCATCTAGTTTGTCTAGTCTTGATCTTTGAGGCTGCTGGCCCCTTGGATCAGGTTTTGTGGGGACATTTTTTGTTGAAGCTGTTGTTGTTGCTTTCTGTTTTTCTTTCAATAGTCAGGTCCCTCTTCTGTAGGGCTGCTGCAGTTTGCTGGGGTTTCACTTCAGGCCCTATTCATCTGCTTTGCTCCCATGCCTGGAGATGTCACCTGGGGAGGCTGGAGAACAGCAAGGATGGGTGCCTGCTCCTTCCTTGGGGATTTCTGATCTCAAGGGGCACTGACCTGATGCGAGTAAGAACATTCATGTATAGCGTGTCTGGCCACCCCTGTTGGAGGGTCTCACCCAGTTGGGGGGCACGGAACCAGGACCCATTTAATGAAGCACTTTGGCTGTCCCTTGTTGGAGAGGGTGTGCTGTGCTAGGTGGATACCCACACGTCTGGGCTGGCCGGATTCCTCAGAACTAGCAGGAGGAAAGATTAAATCTGCTGGTCTGCAGAGACTATAGTCACTCCTCCCACTAGGGGCTCAGGCCCATGGTGATCAGAGTTCTGTCCCTGAGACCCTGGCTGGAAGTTATTGGGGTTCCTGCAGAGAGGCCCCACCCAGTGAGGAGGAATGGGTCTGGGTCCAGCCTGAAGAGGCAATCTGGCCATGGCAGTGTGCTGCGCTGTGGGGAATACCTCTTGGAACCAAGCCATCCAGCCTCCCTGGCTCCAGTAAGGGAAAAGTGAATCCTGGAGCTATAGTGATGGCTGCTGCCCTTCCCTCCCAGGAGCTTAGCTAGCAGCTGCAATGTTGGCTGCTGCCCCTTCCTCAGGGAACTCAGACAGCTTAGACAGCAGGCAGCCGCAGCAGTGGTAATGGCCGCCCCCTCCCCCACCTTACCCTGCCCCAGGGAACTCCGCAGGCTTAGGCAGATTCCAGCTGAGTGGCTGTCGAGAATCTATGCAGCTCTGTGATTGGGACCCAAGGCCCCGGTGGCATGGACTCACGAGTGAGATCTTCCAATCCGTGGGTTGCCCAGTACCATGGAAAAAGCACAGTTTCCCAGGCTGGGTAGCACGCTCACTCATTGCCTCCCTTGGCTGGGAGTGGGGGACTCTCCTACCCTGTGTGGCTCTCAGGTGGGCTGCCGCACCACCCTGCTCTTCCTTCCTCTCTGTGGGTCACACCAGCTGCCTAGTCAGTCCTAATGACAGAACCTGGATACCTCGGTTGCCAGTGCAGGATTCACATGCTGTTTTGGTTCTTTTTGGTGGGAGCCTCAGATCACTGCTGCTTTTGGTTGGCCCTATCAATTTTTAAATTTAATTTAAATTAATGAAAACTAAATGAAATTAAAAATTTACTTTCTCAGTTGAACTAGCCACATTTCAAGTACTCAACAGTAATTTGTGACTAGTAGCTATCTTATTACACAGTGTACATCTTAGAAATTCTATATGGCTTATATACCTTCAATGAATCTCATCTACCAGGATCAGCCTTGGTGAGTAGAAGCTCGTGTTGCTTTCACTATGGTGACTTTGTTCATGAACCCACTGGGAAATAACATGGATAGCTGGAGAAAGAGGCTGACTGGTATGTACAGAATGGGTCATTCTACCCATTTGATCATTACAATCATCCACTGCTGATGTAATCATTTGGTGAGCATTCACATGAAACACAAATATTTCCATGTTTTTTGTCCATTCAGAGAGATCCATCCACATACTTCTTTCTAAAATTTATTTGTCATAATCCTCAAGTCATTTTCCTTCCAAGTCCCTCATCATCCAGCCAAACCATTGAATTGGTATATAATCACGTCTGACCAATTCTCCTTCCAAGTAAAGTAAACAACCAGATACATTGCTCAAAGTTCTGACTGGGAAGATTTTCTTTCTCTGCTTTTTTTTTTTTTTTTTTTGAGATGGAGTTTCCCTCTTGTTGCCCAGGCTGGAGTGCAATGGTGCGATCTCGGCTCACTGCAACCTCTGCCTTCCGGGTTCAAGCGATTCTCCTGCCTCAGCCTCCTGAGTAGCTGGGACTACAGGCATGGACCACCATGCCTGGCTAATTTTGTATTTTTTTTAGTAGAGATGGGGTTTCTCAATGTTGGTCAGGCTGGTCTCAAACTCCCAATTTCAGGTGATACCCCACCTCAGCCTCCCAAAGTTCTGGGATTACAGGTGTGAGCCACCACGTCTGGCCAAGATTTTCTTTTACCCACTGTCCATCAGGGATATTTCAGAGAGGGGCCATAGTGCTGCAGCTCCATTTTCCAGTGGTACCTGTGTATCATACAGAACCATCTATAAACCTGGCCTGAGTCTTTTCTTCTTCTGTCAACTAATATTAGGAAACACTGTATGAGGACATAGGTGCAGGCTGGGAGAAAAAAAGAAGTAGGGACTGTGGGTATTTGGGACACTTCTTCATGTCACTTACTAATGCCTGACTAGGCCTAATCATGTATATACCAATTCTATTTCCATTTGATGATGGACTGTTGCTGTGCATGTCCAAATTTATGGCTTGGTCATCAGATAACACCTAGTTTATGAAGGGCAGCTCAGGTTACATGGTAACTTGGTGATCTATGGTTAAGGGTTCAGTCTTTACTAGGGCCCAGTATGAGGGCCAAGAACTCTTTCTCAAAAGAGAGTAGTTATCTGGATATGACTGGGATTTTTCCAAATTCTAGAAGAACTGCCCTGGGATTCAAATATAGTAATCTACCAAAGGCTCCAAACTGAATTCATATTTGTCACTGAGACTTCAGGTACCATAGGACTTGCTGAATCTGCCCAAGTGGCAGAGCACCTTGCACAGCAGCCTGGATCTGTTGAAGAGACTTCTCTAATTCTGGGACCCCCTCAAAACTTGGAGCTTTTTGGGTCACTTGGTAAATGGGCTGAAGTAACATACCTAATAAGGTATGTGGTGCCTCCAAAATCCAAAGAGGCCCATTATGCTTTGTGCCTTGTACTGTATTCGTCTGTTATCATTCTGCAAATTTCTGCAGCCGGCTTGAATTTCTTCCCAGAACATGGGTTTCTGCATTGTCAAGCTGCAAATTTTCCAAACCTTTATGTTCTATTACTTTTTGAATGCTTTGCTGCTTAAACATTTTTTTTGCCAGATACCCTAAATCATCTCTCTCAAGTTCAAAGTTGCACACGTCTCTAGGGCAGGGGCAAAATGCCACTAGTCTCTTTGGTAAGGCATAGCAAGAATCACCTTTATTCCACTTCCCAACAAGTTCCTCATCTCTATCTGAGACCACCTTAGCCTGGACTTTATTGCC
Source organism: Homo sapiens (assembly GCF_000001405.40). Classification (NCBI taxonomy): domain Eukaryota; kingdom Metazoa; phylum Chordata; class Mammalia; order Primates; family Hominidae; genus Homo; species Homo sapiens. Next base: position 43,984,166 of record NC_000005.10, read on the forward strand.
CATGTCACTGTCAGCATTTTGGTCAAAACCATTAAACAAGTCTCTAGGAAGTTTGGAACTTTCCTACATCTTCCTGTTTTCTTCTGAGCCCTCCAAATGGTTGCAACCTCTTCCTGTTACCCAGTTCTAAAATCACTGCCACATTTTTGGGTATATTTATAGCAGCACCCCATTGTCTGTGGTACCAATTTAGGAGGGACCAGATGCAAGAACTTATCCTTCACTTTAGAAGAAATATCTCAACATGTGCCACACCACTGGATCCCTAGAAATTTTACTGAGGTAGAAGTTTCCTAAATTTTAGTCATATTTTTTCCCACCTCTGACACACGAAGGATTTACCAATAAGTCTGGAGCAGCTGCTACTTCTTACTCAGTAGGTCCCATCAGCATAATGTCATCAGTGTAATGGACCACTGTGATATCTTGTGGAAGGGAAAGGTGTTCAATCCCTGCAAATGAAATTATGACATAGGACTGGAGAGTTAATATACCCTTGAGGTATGTCAGTAAAGGTGTATTTCTGGCCTTGCCAAGTGAAAGAAAAGTTCTTCACCAATAGGCACTGACAAAAACTTATTTGCCAGACCAATATCTACATACAAATACCAAGCAGAAGTGTTAATTTGCCCAAGCAATGTGTCCACATCTGGTACAGCAGCTGCAATTGGAGTTATCCCCTGGTTAAGCTTACCATAATCCACTGTCATTCTTAAAGATCCATCCGGTTTCTGCACCGGCCAAATAGGTAAGTTGAATGGAGATGTGGTGGAAATTATCATGCCTGCATCCTTCAGATCTTTGATGGTGGCACTAATCTCTGCAATCCCTTCAGGAATGCAGTATTGCTTTTCCATTTTTTATTTTATTTTAAATTTTAATTTTTTTTGTGTGTGTACATAATAGTAGTATTGTTTTTGATTTACTCTTTTCCCAGATAGAGACAGTTCTAATGGCTTCCACTGGCCTTTCCCACCATAATAGCTTACACTCCACATCAGTGGGTGGACATGATGTGGGGATTCTGCCAGCTGCTAAGTATATCTATTCTAATTTTGCATTCTGAAACCTGAGAAATAACCAGAAGATGGATTCAGGGACCCACTGGGCCCACTGTGAGACAGACCTAAGCTAAAACTCCTGTATCCATTCTTGCATTACTATAAAGAAATACCTGAGACTGGGTAATTTATAAGAAAAGAGGTTTAATTGGCTTATGGTTCTGTAGTCTGTACAGAAAGCATGGTGGCCTCTGCTTCTGGGGAGGATTGAGGGAACTTTTACTCACAGCAGTAGGCAAAGCAGGAGCAGGCGTCTCATATGATGGGAACAGGAGCCACAGAGCGAGGGGGGAGGTGCTACACACTTTTAAATGACCACATCACAAGAGAACTCACTATCACGAGGACAGAATTACAGGGATGGTAAGACAGGAATAATACAGGGATACAGGGTGGTGGCAGAATAGAAAATTTAGTTTACTTTTGCTAGTCATGTGAAACTCCAGGCATTAGTCCACATGACTAGCAAAAGGAAACTGTTGAAATCACTGCAGAAGCTAAGGCCTGATCAGTTCCTGAAAAACCAGTGTGTGTGAAAAACCAGGCTGGCTAAGACTGACTGGACACAACATGGTGCTGGATTTGACCTAGGTTTCTCCGAGGACCTCATTATATGCTTATGAACATCTTAAATCACACATCCCATCAATGCCATAACAGCTCTGAGAACACTCAAATTTGTTATAAAAATGAGTGGCACCACAGTTCTGAGAAATCTCTACCTTTTTCCAGGAATTTCCATGAATATTTCACCCCTTGGATCCATAAAGATAGAAACCCCAAATCCCATTGCCCGACTCTATCTTCAGTACATCTGCACTCCCTTGAGTGTACACTTTTCTCTTGCAATAAATCTCTGTACTTTCACTATTTTCTGACTCATCCTTGAATTCATTCTCATAACAGTGTCAAGAGCCTGGACACCAGCTGGGGTTGAGTGAAGTCTCATGGGTGTTTGAGGACCTCCTCCAGCCCACTGATAGCAATGGTACTAAACCACTCATTAGAATCCCCCAACCTCCCGCCAGGCCCCACCTCTAATACTGGGGATTAAAATCCAACATGAGATTTGGGCAGGACATCCAAGCCATATCAAATCCATTGATAATCTGATCTCTATAAGTGTTTACTCTTACTCATGGACCACAGAGACATTATGGGTCTCCTGGAATTAGTGTCAGTTTCCAGTGGTCCCAAATATCTGTTATTTTCTTTCCCCCAATGTACAGTTACCTTGGTAAAAGGTTATAGGTCTCTTTGAGGAAAACTGAAAGAAGAATTAATAGTACAGGTGCTTCTTAGCTTATGATGGGGCTGTGTACCAACAAACCCATTGTAAGTTGAAAGCACCATGAATGAAAAGGACATTTTTAACTTACGATATTTCAATTTATGATGTGTATTGTTTTGCTTCATATCATAATGTCAAAAAATTGTAAGTTGAACCATCCTAAGTCAGGGACTGTCTGTATACATTTTCTGTAGTGTATTGGGGTCCTCACTCAAGGGGAACTGGCCTCCCTTCATTTAAGGGATTCAGGATCTGTAAACTGACTCAAGTCTGGGAATTGATTGAGGGCCCATAACTCTGTTCTTATGATTTGGCTTAGAGTTTTATTCATTTGACTTAGATCTTTTCTGTTTACACAGATCAGGTAAGAATTAAGTAGGCTTCCTATCTATAACTTCTTGAAAAACATAATCAACTAACCAACAACATAGGTATGCTCCAGTCAGACTGTTCCGATTGGAGACTATGCTTTGGTTCTCCTGTTCATCATGGTAACCATGGCCATCTTGCCTTTGAGGTTGAGTACTGCTCCTTGGCCTCTACTGTTATAGAATTCAATTACTACCATTGCAGTTAGGTTTCCCAGTTTAGTGACTACAGTTCCCACTGTGTGGTCTGGCCTACAGAGAAGAGCAATCACAGTACTCATCAAGGATGCCAGGGCAAATTTATTTCTATAATGTTGGTGAAAGATATGTCTTCTGGACCCAGTATGGGTGAGTAGATCTTAAATGACAAAAACACTCTTACATTCCAGTTCCCCTAAGCCTTTTTATTCCTTCCTCTACATTAAACCAAGGCATGCCTGGCATTTTCGCTTCACTCACTGTGGGCTACCTTTTGGTCCATGTTTCAGTCAACCAACCAAATAAATTATTAGTGCCTTTTAAAACTCCTACTTCAATAGAGCCTGCATTTTGCAGTTCTTTCAGCTATAATCCACTGTTATTATACTGAAGCCCTGTTTGTGTGGCTGTCAAGTGTGAAGAAAAGAAAGGGTTCTACAATATTATGATTAAATATAACTTTTTTAGTACATCTCTATCCCTGGGCTGTGACCCTCACAAATATTTCATAGCTTTTGTCCCACCTTAGGTGAAATAGCAAGGTTGGAGGGGGCTGTAGTATGGGAAATTTTCTCCCCAGGTAGGGTGAGTCTCTGTTAAAGGCTTTTAAATTCTTTCCCCCTGGAGAGTAGGCCTTCTTTGTTATAAAGAACATTCTGAGGATATTTCACAAAGGTTACTTGTCTCCTCCTGCTGCCAGAACCATGAGACTTTTCTTGATTTTTCACTGTGAGAACCGGGTGGGAGTCTAAAATTAAAACCTATGACTGTGGGAGATTTCCTGAAACTGTGGCCTTCAGGAGCTTCTCACTCTCACGCTAGTCCACATTCAGCCTCCAGCAGTATGTCAAAATGACCATTTAAATATTTCTACCAGTTTATGGCTCTAGTGGCTTCTGTCCCAGTTAAGCCATAGATTGTGACTCTGGATTTTTCTGCCTCTCCAGATCTCAGGGTGGCAGTTTCTGCAACCTCAGTTCTCTAGGACTTCTAAGACAAGTTATTGATTTTCAGTTTGCTCAGCTTTTCCCTTGTTGTAAGGATGAAGGTGACAGCTTTTAAGCTCTTTACACACTGGAGCTAAAAGCACAAATCTTCTCACCAAAAGCATACCAAAGGTAAAATTCTAAAAGATGGATAATATAAAATAAAGATATAGAGAGGCGAGAATTCTTATACAGTGAGTCCTCACTTAACATCGTTGAGAAGATCTTGGAAACAGCAACTGTAAGCAAAATGATGTAATGAAAAACATTTTTTTCTCATCAATGTTACAACAAAATGATGTTGAATGAAATGACATTATTCAAGGACCTGCTGAACAATGTTTTGCTTAAAGTTGTAGTTTCCAAGAACCTATCAACAACATTAAGTATTTACTGTACAGTGCTATAGAGAGTATAAACAGGTACAGTAATTTTATAGACACCTGTCAGTCTTATTTATCTATTTAGGCTCTTTGAATCAGCAATTCCACTCATGGGTATATAACTGTACAAAAAGGATATTTATGAGAATGTTTATTTTGATGTGGTTTATAGCAGCTGAAAGTTATCAACATAGGTACCCATCACTGGAGAAATGGATAAGTAAAATATGGTGGAGGCAAACAATAGAATACTGTACAATAGTTAGAATCACCATGGATTGGATATTAAAAAAACTGCTAAAAAAGTTTGAAAGAGAATTGTATCTATACAAACAATACTAAATAAAAGCATATATGAATATTTAAGGACACATTTCAAATATATTAGAGTTGAGTTCCATGAATGGAACAAAAATGGGGATGGAGCACAAGGGGAAAAATAAAACAAACAGGAGAATAGCTTTGCATGGCTGATAGGATAATATCCTATGAACCCAAGAGGATGATTAACTCAGCTCTTTGCAACAAAGTTCCAAAACACCAACCAGCCAACCAACCAATCAACCACCAAAAAAACAAAAGTAAATAAGCATAAAATGTATGAAAGCAAAGTCTAAAATAAATTTGGTGGTATGAAGGTGGGCTCTCTATATTTCTAGAAATCAGAAAAGCATAACATTAATATACTTATGGAGCTTGAATTTGCCTATATATTAGCCAAGAATTTGTATGGCTTGTTTTGCACTGTATGATATAGTTGGCAGCTTTAAAACTGTTTAAAAGTGACAAAGAAAACAACTCTTTCTGGGATTGGATTTTACTTAGTCATTTTTTACATTTATTTAGCATATATATAATAGGGATAAGCTGGACAGTCCTAAATTGGTTCAATTACCGCCACTTTGGCCAAGGGTAATATTTCCCATCATGTCACCATTATGTTTCATGGTGGGCAAGCCTATCATCCTCCATATGAAGTGTTTACATGTATCCTGTTGGACTGCAGTTATTCAAAGGAGAGCACCACTACATAAATTAGACAAGGTAATAGAATTAGAACTCTCTGAATCTAGGTCTTTGACCCCAACACCCATAATTTTTCCTTTTGTCCTGCTGCCTCTGTTTAGTTATTTTAAAATATTAATTTTTCTCTGATTATAAAAGTAGAATGTGTTAAAAAACATAAATATGAAAACAGAAATCACCAACATTCCCACATTCTTTAGGCCCAATATGTTAGCCACTAGCCATGAGTGGCTATTGAGCACTTAGAAAGTGGCTAATCTGAGATGAGATATGCTGTAATTATAAAATACACACCAAATTTTAAAGACTTAGTTTGAAAAAAATCTTATTAGTAATTTTTATATTAATTACATGTGAAAATGATATTTTAAACATACTGAGTTAAATTATATTATTAAAATAATGTTACCTGTTTTTTACTTTTTTAATGTGGATATTAGAAAATTAAAAATTACATATGTAGCTTACACCATATTTCTTTTTTTTTTTGAGACGCAGTCTCACTCTGTCACCAGGCTGGAGTGCAGCAGTGTGATCTCGTCTCACTGCAACCTCTGCCTCCTGGGTTCAAGCAATTCTTCTGCCTCAGCCTCCCGAGTAGCTGGGACTACAGGCGCACACCACCACACCCAGCTAATTTTTGTAATTTTAGTAGAGACAGGGTTTCACCATGTTGGGCAGGATGGTCTTGATCTCCTGACCTCGTGATCCGCCTGCCTCGGCCTCCCAAAGTGCTGGGACTACAGGTGTGAGCCACCATGCCCGGCTGCTTGCACCATATTTCTACTGGACAACACCGATATATAGGATATATGCTGAACCTTTTTCCTATGCATTTACATAAATCAAAATTTGTGACTAAATCATCCTTACTGTATTATAGCCTGTTTTTTCATTTAACATACTGTAAAGAACATTCTCTAATGCTGTTCAATTTTTTTTTTTTTTTTTTTTTGAGACAGGGTCTCACTGTTGCCCAGGCTGGAGTGCTGTGGCATGATCATAGCTTACTGTAGCCTCAAACTCCTGGCCTCAAGTGATCCTCCCATCTTAGCCTCCCAAAGCACTAAGATTTACATATTTTATGGCATCATTTTGAAGTACTAACTCATGTTCTATCCTATTGGATGTGGCATATTTGTTTAACAAATTTCTTATATTGGGACGTCAAGGTTATTTCCAGTAGTAACCCCACAATAAATACTATTGTATGTAATTCTTTCTCTGTATCTCAGTTCACTTATTAGGAAAAATCCCTAGAAGTGGAACTACCATAAAAGTTTTAAACATGTTTAAGGCTTTTGTTAATTTTTCTAAATTGCTCTACAGAAAAGCTGTGCCATTTTATACTCCCAAAACCAGTGTTTAAGAGTGAAGGGCAAGTGTTTGCCATGTATTATCCTTGTTGGCTTTGATTTCTATTTGACTGCCTTTATCAATATTCCTATTTATCTGGGACACTTGGAATTGAAATTGTTCTTTTAAGGTAGGAATATAGGAAGAAGGACAATATTTCCAAAACAAAGTCCTAGTGACAAGAGGAATTTAAAAAAATAGTGTGTTCGTGTGTGTGTGGTTTTAACCCAATTAAACCTACACATGTTGGCCAACTTATAATAAACTCAACTTGTTTGGGGGTTCTTAATTATTTTGTTGTGAGTAGATATTATGAGCAAAAACTGTTTTTAAATATATATTTTGTGGGGCCGGGTGTGGTAGCTCATGCTTGTAATCCCAGCACTTTGGGAGGCCGAGACCGGCAGATCACTTAAGGTCAGGAGTTCAAGAAGAGTCTGGCTAACATGGTGAAATGTCTCCTCTACTAAAAATACAAAAAAATATTAGCTGGGCATAGTGGCGCACACCTGTAATTCCAGCTATGTGGGAGGCTGAGGCAGGATAATTGCTTGAACCCTGGAGGCAGGGGTTGCAATGAGCCGAGATTGCACCACTGCACTCCAGCCTGGGCGATGGAGTATGACTCTGTCTCAAAAACAAAACAAACAAAACAACAACAACAAAAAACAAAACCATTTTGGCCACAGTGAAAATTTGCAGTAGTAAACTTTAAGGGGAAGTTGAAGATGACACATGAGGGAAATGTTTATTTCTTCAAATTCAGCCACTGGCTGAATATCTAGCATATAGAGCAAGGTTGTCATATTTGTTGCTTACCTAATGTGTAGGTTCTTCATTGTCTTGTGACATTTTTCTTTTAGGGATTAATTCTGTACACCTAGCTATGATTTTTCTCAATGTGCTTCTATCTCAAATATAAGCTTATAATCAAAATTCAGGAGAGAATAATATGTGCCTTGTCTCCTTAGCTGTTAGCATAGGAAAAACTAATTGAGATTATTCATAGAATAAGATTAATGTTCTTGTGGTAAAAAGCAAGCAGAGGGATGGTAAAATCTAATTAGCGAGTAGGGAAGCTTTCCATATGCTATTAGAAGAGAATTCGTATTGCTGGTGATACTGCAAGACTCTTAAAATGTTAGAACCTCTTATTTTCTCCTTTTGCCTATGGTAGTTAACTAATTATTTCTCCAGTCCAATCTTATGACATAAGCACGTTTTTGGTATGATAAACACTAAAAATAGCTGGCTGCAGAAGCCAGTAATGTTAGTAAATTTACAAATGCACCAATTCTTACAACCAATGCCCTTGAATTTTTTTTTTAGTATATACTTAGTAGGGATGAATGAAAACAGTATTTTTAAGAAAACAATATTTTTAAGTAAAATGCCCCCAAAATTTATACTTCTTGTGATGAATTGTTTTCATAGGAAAATAAGTATGATAGTTTAAATCATTTTAAAAGGTAGCACATATAACAGAGCTAACCATTTCTATATTAATTAATAAATATAGAGCAAAGCCCCAAGGAACATTAGCAATTAAGTGCATGAATAAGGACTAGGAAGATGTAGAATCTTTTACTTTTTGATGAAAAATGATATTCTGGCAATAAATACATTTTATGCCAATTGATTTATTTCATCATATATCATTAAGATTTTTAGAGGAGATATATAACTTTAGTGATTCTATCAAAACAGTCTAATATAGGGATTTTAAAGTGGAGATATAAATATTTTTTGTTACATTAACAAATACAGTCTGGGCAAATTTTTGGTCTTCTAATGACTAGATGTTGCTTTCTAGAAATCGATCTTTCTCAGATTATTTTTCTGATCCACCCCAAACATTAGTGACTGGTCAATTAAACCAATACTTATTAAGTACCAAACATTAATTCATTCATGCGTTTATCAAAAAAATCATGTGCCAAACATCTACCATGTACACAATACTCTTTTAATTTCAGTAAGGAATACAATTAGACATAAATTATTTTGTGTCTTAGGGGAATTTACAATCTCCTAGAGAAAGAAGAAGACATTAGATCAATTGAAGAAAGTTAGGCTAAGTTAAGAGATTGGTGAGAGACCTAATGAATAGCCTGAATGGGAAAGAGGGAGAAACACTATGAGTTGGGCTACTCAAGAAAAACATCAAATTGAGAATGGAGGCATGGAATTCATGAGCAGCTTTGCACAACTTCCATAGTATCTATGAATACGTTGGTTCTAGAAATCCTCTACTCTAACCTAATTTTACTGATGAAGAAATTGAGGCCCAAAGAACATAAGAAATTTGGCTTAGATTGCAGTCAGATAGGGTCTGCAGTGGGGCTGGAATTCAGTTTCCCAGACTATTGGTCCAAGGTGCTTTCTGTTTGAGGAATTTAAGAGATGAACTCACGGACCAGCACAGACCTTTGTTGCTAACCTCTCTTTTATTGCTAAAATTTCTCTCAGATTTTCCAAATTTTAGGTTTGAAGTTATAGTTCTGTTTTGCTGTTCAAAACTGATTTACTGTTTACTAAGAAAAGGCATGACCATTTATGTGCCATTTTGCTGTACTGTGAAAGTAATTTTCATGGTAAGTAGGATGAATTTGCAATTTAAAATAAGGCTATGTAAAAGAAAATGTTTCAATTTTGTCATCCCTTCACCCTTGTCCTTGACCTGTCATGATCGTAGTGACCTCCATTTTTTTCCTCCTCCACGAAGAGATCTTTCAACAGCTCTCATACATGCCTGCATTTTCTTGACAAAAACTACCATGAAAGCAGTGTTTGAAAAGTTCAGTACGGCCTCCAATCTCAGGCTTTATCTTTGAAATTTTGCACACTGAGTTAAAATATTGCTACATTTGTGGCCTGGGATTGTCCCTGCTAATTCCATATGAAGTAAGAGTGCCAAAGAACTCTTAGAACTCCCCCTGTGAATTTGCTTCATGAGCGGTTCTGGACTTGGCGGTTTAATCTCTCCATCAGGATCAACGTGATCCTGCGTTAAAGCCAAGGTCAAATGGGATAAGCAGTTGAACTTTCTCCTTTGTTTTGCGTGGCTCGTTGAAACATGTAACCTTTATAGGCTTGGTTTCTGCTTTGTAGGGGAATCTGAAGTCCAAGCAGATGTTTCTTTCCTTCTTTTGAAAACCCCTTTTCATTTTACTAGGCATGATGTCAAAGAAGCAATTGGGGGTAGATTAGGTAGGAGGTGGAAGGTCAGTGTTTTCTTTGCTAATATTGCAAAATAAAAAGATTTTGTGTTTGTTTATTTTTATTTTTTGCCAGTTGGGCCACTGAGAGTGAGTTGTTGATTCTAAAGACATAGATTTCCTTCTTGTGTCAGCAATGGCTGTGGAGTCAAGGTATGTGCAGCCAAGCCTGGGCAGCAGCCATCCGATCCCTTTCAGTTGGTAGAAAATAAAACCCTTAAGCAACCAACTGCCACATTTTAAGGTTTTTTCCTCTAATGCAGTCAACGTAAATGACTCCCTTCTTCCACAAAATAATTTTTTTTTTACAATAACCTATGAATAAAACAGTAGTTGAGCAGCTGTTCCTCTTCTAATGTAATTCCGTTTTCTTAAATGAACCACCATGTATGCAGTATCTTTAACTACAAGTGACATTTTTGGCCAACTTTACAGCTCTGTCATTTCATGTGGCTCACTAACAAGACCCTTAAAATAACTGTTCTTTAGTAACCTCAAGTGTTTGGCCTTCTGCTTCAGAACAGCATGTGGGACAACTATCAAACTGGCTGTGGTGTCTGAAGGCAGAATACTATACGTCCAATTCTGTCTTTCTCTGGCTGGAGGCCGTAGTCTAAAACCTCCAATTCATATTTTCTGAGAGTATCTGGAAAATACTGCTAAGTCTTTGACTAAGCAAATGGTATGACATAGGTAATTAGACAGAAGAGGGATTTTCAATCCTCAATGCATATTAGAATTACATGGTGAGCGTTTAAGAAATACTGTTGTCTAGACTTCAAGTCCCCTTCTGACTGAATTGAGGTGAGAGAAGAGTGATGTTGAGGTAGTGAGGTGGGAGAAGAGTAATGTCGATTCTTTTTAAAAGATCCCAGATGACTGTAATGGGCCAAGACTGAGAACCATAGCAGCTAGAGGATGTAGACGCTACTACCTATATTAGGGCATTTTGATTGGCAAAAATAGATTCTCCTTCCAGAGAACAAAAACAAAAACAAAAAGTCATTTCTTTTTCACTATATTTTCAACCCCATATTTGACAATTTGAAAAGTTTTGATGAAATTAAAATCAAACCTGTGTTTTATTCTTCACAAACAAAAAATGTATAGTGACATAGTAACTATTTCTATTAAGAGAGTTTGCTCTTTGGGTCTGGACTGCAAGTTATAATGAATTTACAGAAAATGTTTGTAAATATGAGCCAATAAGTTCTACTTTTTGCCTAAGCTAATTTGAGTTTCTTCTGCCATTTGCAATTAAAAGATTTCTGTCAAAATATGCAATACACCATTTTTTTTTTTAAGACACGGAGGAAATGAGATTGGTGATTGGAAACAAGTGAAGCCTTCATATGAGTGATACTACATAAGCTGGAAGAATTTAGATTCACTTAAGAGAGAGAAAAGAGAACACTGAGTGATAAGTAATTCACTAATTTAACTGGATCTTCATGCAGATGGTGAAGTAAGTTTTTTAATTTGCAAAAAAAACAAAAAACAAAAAACAAAAAATATAGTGGTAGCACAGTGGTAGGTACTAAAGATACAGCAATTATTACAATGTTATTATTTCTTAACCAGGCCTTCAGAGGTTTCTGACACTGCATCTTTCTCTTTTTTGAGAATTTTACACTTTTTAAGTGTTTTTGATTTGAGCATTTGAATGTCTTCTGCTATCATCTGAAATTATGCATTTTAGTGGGACTATGAGCTCCTTGAAGGTGGTTTAATGTCTTTTGATCTTGTTCTTTGCAATGTGTGACACAGTGCTTGGCCCATAGTGGGCACTTAATAAATACTTCTCAAATGACTTTTTAAACCAAGAAAAAGGATAATTAAATAGCTGCTTGATATAAGATGGAGAAATAGCTCATCTTATATTAGTTGACTATTAGTTGGATGTATATTAGTTGGATATTAATTGGATATTAGTTGACTATTAGTTGGATGTATATTAGTTGGATATTAATTGGATATTAGTTGAATTCAGCCTTCACAAGACTGAAGACAATTTATTTAAAAAACTTTTCAGAAACCTAATGGTAGATCTAAATGCAGAGATGAGAAGATCTAGCATGAGATAATTAAGTGAACAAGTTTCTGAAGATCTTTAAGAGGTTCTGACAATTTCTCACTTAGTTTTAAGTGCAGACTTTATGCCAGTGTAGTATGATGCCAAAAATATGGGCTCTGGACTCAGATATACTCACCCTCAAATCCTACCTCTGCTACTCACTAGCAAGATGACCTTAAACAAATTACTTTAGTTTTTGTCAGATTCCATTTTATCATGCATAAATCATATTGACCTTATAGGACTATGAAGCAATTTTGAGTTGCTCATGTGCAGTATGTATAATTGGTGGCTAATATTGTTATTTGGCCATTATCGTAGATTTCTGGAAAAGACAAGTCTGTGAAGGATGGTCTAAGTAAGTGGCTCTTTTGTGCATTTTCTGGGCACGCACTGGGGACCTCCCCTCTCTGAGTCATTATAAATCAAAAAAAGTCTATAAAGATATAATGCAAAGCTGTTATTGTAATTCAGCTCCCCACCTTTGTGTAGAGATAGCACGGTGTAGAGGAAAGAGTGTGGAGATTGGTATCTGATGCCCTAGGTTTGAGTCCCAGCTTTGACACTTACTATTTCCTTACCTGCCAAATATGGGCTCTAATTCCCTATGGTCCACCTTTCAAGGTTGCTATGGGCAATAATTACAGAGCCAATGAGAAAGTAATTTTTCCATTGCAGAAAGCTGCTCAATGTAATTATATAAAAAAAGAGAGGACATTCCCATTTTTCTAACTTAGAAAAATCTGGAAATAGAAGGGTATGTTCACTTGTTTGCATTGCTATAAAGGAATACCTGAGTCTCAGTAATTTGTAAAGAAAAGAGATTTATTTGTCTCACAGTTCTGCAGACTGTACAAGAAGTGTGATGCCAGCATTTGCTTCTGATGAGGGCCTCAAGAAGCTTAAATTCATGGTGGAAGGCAAAGGGGAGCCAGTGTGTCACATGGAGAGACAGGGGGCAAGAGAGAGAGGTGGAGGTGCCAGCCTCTTTTAAACAACCAGATCTCTCATGAACTTATTACTGCAGGGAGATAACCACGACTTTCATGAGAGATCCGCCACCATGACCCAAGCACCTCCCACCAGGCCCCACCTCTAACACTGGGGATTACATTTCAACATGAGATTTGGAGGAGACAAACATCCAAACTATATCAAAGGGCCTGATCATTCAGATTTGATCCAGAGATGACAAGTATACCATGGAAGATGCAACAGAGAAGATGCCATTCAATTTGTTGTATCTTTTATTTGGGATTAACATTGGGAATCAACATGAAGTTCAAAAGTATCTTTGGCTGCATATAAACAGGGATGACAAAATAGTCTATGATCTTATATGTAACAACAAAATTCTCACTTGGGCACAGTGACCCACCAAATTATTTCTTTATTTGGAGGTAATTACCTACCTTGTGGCTGACATGTTTATAAAGTAAACCCAAAGCATTTAGTTTCTGTTTGCTTTTGTTTAATTTTGTTTTCCACTGTCTTACCCTGGGTCGAAAGAAACCCTACTCATAATGGGAATGGCATGGAGCTATTTTTAAAAAACTCAGCCAGAGGAGGAGCAAGGGTCAAAGAACCACCACTGCATAAGTAAACAGTATCTACTTTTAAGATGACTTTCGTAACAATGGGACCCGCAGAAAGCCTCCCGCCTGCTGCAGGCAGGGCATCACTGCCCTTTATTCCACAGCTGCATGTGTCCATCCACCAAAGGCACCTATTGCTACATCTACTTCCTACACCAGGAGTGTTTACTTTTCTCCCAGTGTGCAGGTTTGGATATACTTTCTTTCTGGAATTAAATCAAAGTCAGTCTCTGGCCTGTGGTCTAGAGGGCAGAAAAGTTTAGTCATAGCTTGGTCCAACTCCTGAGCAATGATATTAAGCTTATGATTTCTGAAATGTTTATGTTAGCTCTAGCCATGCCGTTTACTGCAATTGTTGACACTAACACTGTTCGGTCCAGATGAGAGAACAAGATCAGCAACTGAGATTGTTTTGCACTGTAAGTTCTACTCACAGATGTTCTCATACTAATGAAAGCCAGAGTGTATTGCTTTCTCTGATCACATGACCAGATAGCCAAGGTTGTTGCAAACATTCAGGACAGCTTTATTTTCCAAGGTTAACAGTTACTGGGGAAAAATAAGGTGAAAATAATGTGTAAGAGGTAACTTGCTTTCTTGAGCATATTTCAGAGGCCCCTCAAAACATTATATTTAAAAAAGAGTGCTCTTTTTAGTAGTGTCTGCTTTGCAATTACTTTTAAATCTCCAAGGATATAAATCGTTTGTGGTATGTAAAACCAGCATTGAATTCAAGTAGTTTTTAGTCAGCTAAAAAAGTTGCTTTATTTTCACAACTTTGGCTCTTGTAGACACGGTTTTGGAGCATACACCGCCTGGTCTTAGAAATATGCATAGAAAGAACCTTGCTTCGTTTTTCCTTTTGGCTTTCATTTGTTTAATATTATACTAATGGACAAGTTGGGCCAACTAAAGAGACAGGAAAAGAGGCAAGTTAGGAGAAGGGTGATTTTAATTAACTCTTTTTAAAGCTGCTGAAATCTGCCCCTTGGATTGGCAATGCTTTACCATTAGAACCAGACTCTGAAGAATCTTGAACTATTCTTTCACTTTAGATTTTTAAAAAAGGAATTTATTTAACAAGAAGGGAAAGATTTCTTTACAAAGTTTTCTGCTTTGCTCTTGAGTGATAGGTGTAGTTTTTGATCTTTACTTGAAGAAAATTATGTGACATTGGTGGACCGCATAGGCCTTACTTCATGATAGCAAACAATGTTATGACGGGAAATTGATACATACAACAAAAACTATTTTCAACCCTCATGCCATGGAAGCTGTATGCTTTGCAACAGGATGATAATGCAGCAAAGGAATTTGAACAGTAGCTTGGGGTTTGCTATAATAGGATTGGAAATGCATCTGTCTAATTAGGGATTTTGTTCTAATCTACTGAGCTTGAATCATTGAACATTTGATGTCTGAGACAGGCCTGTTTGGTTCTTTTTAGCTTGGCATTATTCAAGAATATACATAAATAGTCTTTTGTTTAGTCTATTTGATATATATAGCCACTAAATATATTGTTTTTTTCTTGTAAGACATTTTGCAGATGTGTTTTTTTGACATAATTTTCTCTTAGCCACATAATGTAGTAAATATGTAGAAAAATATGTATTCAGGTGCCCTGCCAATGAGGTCAGAGTTTCCCAAGGTAAATGTCTTCAATTAAGAGAAATTATTAATAATGGTGATAGCTAACATTTATTGAGTACTTAGTCCTATGACTGGAAGAGTACTAGGAACTTTACATGTTGTGACAAAGAGTTGTTAGTTTTCTCCCATTCTGTTTCTTTCTCTTCCTGGCAACCCAATTAGTGGCATTTCCATCCTCAGCTGTGACTGCATGTGGCCAGATGAGTTTGTTCTTTTCAATGGCAAGAAAATAGTGACATGTACTATTTCTAGGTCTAGTCTGTAAAATCTCATATGTTATGCTCTGTACTTTTTCATTTTCTGCTGCCTTGATGCAGACAAATATTAGCAATCTTAGAAATGATATGTTGAAAGAGTGGGGTTATCAGAAGCATACTCTTATTTCCAACATTTCTGCTAAGAACAAAACCTCCTGACAATCAAGAATACCCAATTAGGACTGTATGTGTGTGAGAAATGAATTTTTGTCATGTTTTGTATCATTTGAGCATTTATTTATGACAACATCTAGCATTACTTCAGCATACATATATTGCTTAATTCTTTGCTCTTTGAGATAGGAATAATATTTTACTCACTTTACAGATGATGAAACTGGCTCATAGGAATTTAAAAAAAAATCTAAGTGGAAAACAGTTTCTAAATGGTAGAGTTGGGTCTTGATTCAAGTTCTCTTTCTGGAGGCCTTTTTCTCTTGTTATAGTTATTAGATAAGAGATAAGACAATGCTCTTATAATTTCCAAATCACATACTTTGCACTATGCAGATAAATCCTTTAGGATTGAAAACATGTTTGCATCCTAGGCTCTCAATAAATTCCTGTATTCACTAACCTTTGATTTCAATTTGAGGGTTGCACTCAATGAAATTCTATGTGTCAATAATTGGTAAGTTTTTCAAAGAAAATAGAGATAAAGTTTGACAATCTCAAATATTTTAGATTTAAAGAAGAGTTAAAAGGAATTATTCAGTAGGTGTACATATCTATTACACATAGATGATATATTTGAGGGTTCGTAATCAGTTATTAAATAATATTAATCTATAGTGAGCACTTTAAAAATGTCTGTTTTTGTAGTTTAAATTATTGAGAACATATCAACAGCAACCATTTTTGTTACTGTTTAATATTTTACTCAAGTTATTGTCATTGAATTATTTCATGATTTCAATCATAGGAAATCTTCAGTTATCTTGAATCTTGATGAGGTCTGTATTTTTAAATCCTGTACCTCATTGTCATTCAAGAAATTTTAGGCTTTCTACATCCATCAAGGGATAGTACTATAACTGCATCATATTGTTTGGATGATTGGAAAAGACATTTTGAACTGTTGCCATATTATATGCACAATCAAGTTAAGCACTGTAAATACATCACAGTATAATATAGTTTTAAATGTAGAGATCTTGCATGCTTATTAAAAATAAAGAAGCAGAAGAACCAATATTAGTAGTCTTGGGAGTTAAGCAAGCACATACCCAAAGAGAAAAAGCCCACTGGTTAGTGGAAAAATTTAACATCAATTAAATAAAGAATAGCATTCTCAAAGTTCGAAACAAGTAGTGAAGTGCATGAAGGCAATGAGGAAGCTCACAATCGGCATAACAAAATGCTTGAAATACCAGAGGAAATACACTTTCGCTGTTGTATTATAAAATAACATATTTATTCTTGGTTGATAACTAAGTATAACATTCCATGCTAAGGACCAAAGTCCATTTTCTTTTTGAAAAAATATTGACATCATTTTCCGTAATAACAAATGAAAGCAAAAACTGCATCTCAACAACCGAATGCTGAGTTTGTTTCACTGGAGAGTGACAGTTTTCTCTTTATCTCTCCCTGCTAATTCTCAGTGTTACCTGTTACTCTTGACTTCACTGCTCCAGGAGTAGAGTCTAGTTTATGAGCCAAACTTCCTAGAGGAACACTAGGTCCTCTCTTTGCAAATAAAGTTCCATTTAGTCCTGGCAATGCAAAGCTTTCTGGTTCAAAGAGAAGAGTCTTATAAGACTTCTTGGACACCAAATAACTCTTACAAAACAACATTTTGATGAATTAAGTGTAAATGAATCAGAAACATATGGATTAAATTTCCTTTCAAATATGCATGCCTTTTCCTAATTAAGGGGGAAAATGTTTGGCAAAATGTATTTTGCTGAACCCAAAATACTAGAATAAAACTCAGTGTTTTCCTGGACCCCCAAATTATGCTGGAGCCTCTTTTCTTTTAAAATTAATTCATGTTTAGACTTAATACAGTTTATTTTTTTAAATTTGAAAATGACTTTATTCTGAGCTGTAATTACTTCCTTGGATTAGTGCTTTTTTTCAGTTATTGATAAAACCTTTGACACTCAGCTTTACTTCCAGCTTTATATTCACATGTTACCAAACGTTTGGTAGAAGGAATGTATTCTGCTTCTCTGTCAATAATTGTGCAACCTTAATTTTGCATTTTGTTCAAATGGTAAAAGCACTGTACAAATTGTCTGGAATTTTTTTGCCATGCTGTGGTCACTTGTAAAAGGCATAGACCAGAACAACTTTTGAAGATGCTGAACAAAGAGACATCAGTTCCAGCTCCAAAGAGACACCAGTTCCTGCAGAGACACCCAGGGAGAAAGTGTGTTGTGTGGTACTGCACTCATTCTGCTGCTATAAACATGTCCATTCCTTCTCTACCCTCCTCATTATGCCATGGCAATAGAGGAGGAAATGAGCACAGTTGGTTTTTACTAAGTTCCAGTAATCTTTTTCCATCCTCTTAATTTACCTCTTTGGGTAGGCATACGCTAAGAGGGGACAAAAGAGTAAATGCTTACTGAATTAGCTGTACTGTGTGCACTGGCAGTTAAGGTCCTACTGTCCTTTCACCAGAGAGTTCTAGCTAAGGAATGTAAGACTTCTGATCTCTCCAGCCTACTTTGGATACTTTTTCTTTTTTTCTCTAAACTATGAGCAAGCAAGTCTTCATCATTTTTCCACCTAAACTAAACATTCCCTGCTCCCCCACCCTCTGTCCAGGGCCTTTGCACATGCTGTTTCCTGAGCTTGGAACACTTCCCTACTTCCCACCTCCCAGCCACACCATCACTAATCATATTAAGCTTTCAAGTCACAGTTCAAATGTTACCACTCCAGATAGTTTTTTTGAACACATATGTTCCCCTCTCTTGCAAAGCTTTTTGTTTTCTTTATAGCATTTAAAATCACAATTGGCAATTATTTTAGTGATGTGTTTGTTTCCTTGTTTTCTATTTCTTCCACAAAGGCAAGGATTATATTTGCCTTGTTTATGACTTTTCATCTCAGTGCTTAGCAAAGGACCTGGCACACAGAAGTACTGAATAAATATTTGTTGAATGAATGAATCAAAGAATGAGTCATTAGGTGGCCTTGTCCTCCTTTAGGGCTTTGGCATGCAACCCTGTGGCAAACATGTTCTTGAGTAAATAGAAAGTGGGTTTGCTGGGACACTAATAGTTAGTGTCTGCTGTTTCAGTTTAATTATTACTAGTAGTCTCCTCTGCTTTCAGCAGCATCCTGGTTCAGGTGATTTAATTATATAGTCCCTGCAGTTATCTAGTATTTTGAATCTTATTTATTTCTTTTAATGTAAAGACAGTGTCTACTGGATTTGTCATAGGGATATGGTGCTCTGGTTGGATATATCTGAAGAAAACATGTGACTGTGCCTATCTGTGGTCTGGAAGACAGTATATTGTCCATAGAGCGTAAAGAGTATTGGTTGATCATATATAACCAAGATAAGAGATGGTTCAAAAAAGAATAATGAAGTTGTGCATCATCTGGCTTCTGAGGCGATATATAGCAATGATCTCAAGAATTCTGATATGAATAGAAGAATAGACAAATTGAGATTGATGACTGAGGCAGGAAAAGGAAAGTCTTCATGATACGTACCATGTTAGTTGTTGAAGTTACAAAGATTTATAAGACTTTATTGCTGCCTTTCAGGGGCTAAATTTGCTTCTAAAAAAGAGACATACATGTAAAAAGGATAAATAGACTATGTGTACAATATATAGAGAAAATGTGGTGTAAGATCTTGGTGGGTAGATTCAGAATGTTTGGTGTCCAGGAACTAAAAGAAAACATCTTTGGCAAAGTAGGTGGAGATTAGATTGATAAGTCAAACCTTGTTTGACTTAGGAGGTGTAACTTGAGGACAGCAGAAATGGAGAGAAAAGAGATTATTCTGAGAAGTGTTTATTCATCACTTTAGTAACCCAGAAGTAAATTTAGTAAAACAACAACAACAACAACAACAAACCACGAAGAAATATAAAGTAGTTAACTGTTCTGTTTTGGGAAAATCCTGATGCAAATAATTATAAAAATTTATAATTTTGATATCAACATTTTCCCCCAAATTTTCAAGGATACACTGAATTAGAATAAGTTAACTTGTATAAGTTTCTAATTCATTTTATTATGATGCTTTTATAGATTTCTATTTGCAGGACAAGTTTTTAGAAATGTTTATTTTTTCTTAGGGGATATATCTGAAATATGGTAAGCTGCTGCTTTGTTAGTATTTCCCAAAGTGTGTTCACGGATATGACTTCTGTGGGATGTTATGGGTGTTAGGAGGAAAAGGGTTTCATGGTCAAATTATTTTAGGAAGCTCCAGAGTAAGCAAAGTTGAACAGATTTCCTTTTTGCTAGAATGTTCAGCAACTTTATTATGTTAATTTATCTTGTAATTGTAAGAATGGGACACAAGATGCAGAGCTTCTGGCACTTTTTGAAAGATAGAAACTTGTTTTAAAAGATAAAAAATAAGAAACAGTACTGAGATGAAGTTAGAGTACATAGATTTATTGGGGAGTAACCTATGAAAGGAAAGGGAAGAAAACAAGATGGAGCCATGGGAGCTCTTGGGCTTATCTGAAAAAGTCTTTGTTAGCTCCACAGAGAGCTCTGGAGCAAAGATTGCCATTAGAGGAGCCCTCAGTTGGGCTGTCAAGGTGAGGCCTTTGTTTCAGAGTCTGCTCAGTCATTGGCTGGTGCCACCCTGAAAAGATTATGACTTTGATTCAAAAGCTAGAGGAAGACATGAAGGAGTTAAGAGTTGGAAGTTGTTCAAGCAAATTCCTTGCAGTTAGGCAACATGTCCTTTCTTGCAAGGGGGCCCAAGAAGTCCACTTCTTTCACTACCTCACACACATTTGAGAAACAGCTCCTCCAGGGTCACAGTTGGTCTCTCTTTCTGAGGGGAAACGTGGAAGAGGAAGGTTAGAAGGACAAACTGGCACTACAGTTCATCTTGAAACTGTAACTCTGTTCATCCTCTCCCTCTACCACTACCTGTCCTAAATTCCCTTTGCCTTCCGCCTTCACCTCTCCTAACACAGGTAGATATCCTAATGGTTCAAGACCATCTGTTCTCAGTCCAATGCTGTTGCATTTGTCCATTCATGATCATGACTGAGAAGGGAATACCAACAAGTACTGAAGTGGGTCATCTAAGTTCCACATGTATTCCTCACTGTGGCTATTTGTATAACAGCAATCTTACCTTTTTTTTTTTTTTTTTTTTGAGATGGAGTCTCACTCTGTCACCCAGGCTGGAGTGCAGTGGCGTGATCTCGGCTCACTGCAATATCCACCTCCTGGGTTCAAGCAATTCTCCCTGCCTCAGCCTCCTGAGTAGCTGGGATTACCGGCATCTACCACCATGCCCGGCTAATTTTTGTATTTTTTAGTGGAGACAGGATTTTGCCATGTTGGCTGGGCTGGTCTTGAACTCCTGACCTCAGGTGATCCACCCGCCTTGGCCTCCCAAAGTGCTGGGATTACAGGTGTGAGCCACTGCGCCTGGCCTCTTACTTCTTCTTGAGGATCAAGATCAATTTGCCTTGCCAAAATGCAACTTGTTTTCGCCTATCGATCCCTGGACACAGCTATAGCTTTTCGGTCTCTGGTACTCTGCTGTGTCTTGCAGCAGAGAGTGTCCTCTTTGGGGACAAGGAGTTCTAACCTTACAGAGCTCAGAGTTGCAGCGCCACAAAATTTCCCCCTTAGTCATTTGGAATGATGGTAAATAGGCCATTATTTCTTCCATCCCATCTTCTCATATCCATATAGCTTTCCTACTGGGACACAGTCTCTCTCATTCAGCACACTCTGCTTCCTGGGGGATGGCACCACATCCTTGCAGAGTATTGTTTTCAAGCTGGTCTTCAGCTGTGATTTAAACAGGTCTTTCCAGTGTTCTATGAGGCCTGCTGCTACAGGATGGTGTAGAATGTAATACACTAGTGGCTACTTTGGTGATAGATCCATTCCTGCACCTCCTTCACTGTGAAGTAGGTTTCCTGGTCAGATGCTATGTTTGTGGAACAGATACTTCGTAAGCCCCAGATATGGTACTGGCTGAGGATCTGTGGTTAGGAAAGGCAAACCCATAACTGGAATTAGTGTTTATTACTGTGTAACCAAATCACTGGCCTTTAATGATAACAGAATCCAGTGTGGTCAACCTACCACCATATGGTTGGTCAATCTCCTTAGGGAATATTGGCATATTGGGGTTTCAACTGTAGTCTCTTTTGCTGGTAGTCTGGGTATTCAGAGGCAGCAGTAACTAGATTGGCCTCGGTCAGTGGGAGTTCATGTTGTTGGGTCCATGCATAGCATCTCTGCCACCATGGTCATTTTTTTCCAGTTGCTTATTGTGCCAGCATTGAAGTGGCCACTGACAATGTCTAGCTATTATCAACTGGTGATTCATTTGGTCTACTTATTTGTTTAGTACATCTTATGTGGTGGGTGCTTTTGATGGGTATTGAAGTATAATATAAGTACCTCATCTTTTATGTCTTTCTGTGTGCTTCTATCCCAGACCTCCTTCTCTCAGGCTCCTGACCAACTGGCCAGGCCATTTGCCACTGCCCATAAATCCATATATTTTCTAATATCAGGCCACATCTCTCTACAGAAAGTGGATGACTATGTGCACCACCCAAAGCTCTGTTCATTGTAAAGATTTTTCTTCTCCATTTGACTTTCAAGACCACCTCTGAGTGAGTAAGTGATGAAACTGTGTTGTATTTTTGACTTCACCTGCATACTGAGCAAAACCATCCATAAATTAAGCTCAGCCTTTTCTTCCTCCTTTAGCAAGCTGCTAGTGTTAAATTTCCCATATGGCCTGAATATGAGCTTGAAGGAGAAGGGTGCTGGTGCAACCATTCTGGGCAACGTGAAGCACAAGCTACCTCCTCATGCAGCTTGCTTGTGTCTTCTGATCCTGTAAGTGCCGTTTTCATCTTATTGTGTCCACAATTGGTTCCTTCCAGTGGGTTTTTGGTCTCGCTGACTTCAAGAATGAAGTCGCGGACCCTCGCGGTGAGTCTTATAGTTCTTAATGATGGTGTGTCCAGAGTTTGTTCCTTCAGATGTTCAGATGTGTCCAGAGTTTCTTCATTCTGGGGGTTCGTGGTCTTGCTGACTTCAGGAGTGAAGCCACAGACCTTCACAGTGAGTGTTACAGCTCTTAAAGGTGGCATGTCCAGAGTTGTTTGCTCCTCCTGGTGGGTTCGTGGTCTCACTGACTTCAGGAGTGAAGCCGCAGACCTTTGCAGTGAGTGTTACAGCTCATAAGGGTAGTGTGGACCCAAAGAGTGAGCAGCAGCAAGATTTATTGTGAAGAGCAAAAGAACAAAGCTTCCATAGCTTGGAAGGGGACCTGAGCAGGTTGCCGCTGCTGGCTGGGGTGGCCAGCTTTGATTCCCTTATTTGGCCCCACCCACATCCTGCTGACTGGTCCATTTTACAGAGTGCTGATTGGTGCATTTTTACAGAGTGCTGATTGGTGCATTTACAAACCTTTAGCTAGACACAGAGTGCTGGTTGGTGTGTTTTTACAGAGTGCTGATTTGTGCATTTACAAATCTTTAGCTAGACACAGAGCACTGATTGGTGTGTTTACAATCCTTTAGCTAGACAGAAAAGTTCTCTAAGTCCCCACCCAACCCAGAAGCTCAGCTGGCTTCACCTTTCATTATGATTGCTGCTAGACCCACTCAACTCTGTGACTTGGCATGTCTGACAGGACCTAGACCATGATAGGAAGTTCTGGATGCAAAATTGCCTGAGATTCCATGGCCAAGCATAATACACTGCCTAACCCCAATAGCACTCCAAGAGCTGTTTCTCAAAAGCATGTAGTTCTATGTTGTGGATGGAAGGCTATACTTCAGGACTCAAAGAATCTGTATTAAGATTCTCCTACTAAGGCTTGAAACATACTCCACACTATACCTTTTCCCACCACTGACTTTTAACACTGTTGGTTCTTGTGGATTTCATGGCTCAGGTAGCCTGGTTACTTGCACCATAGCTTGAATGCATGCAGTGTACCTGAAAAGGCCTGCAAGACATTATGCGTCCTTCTTTGTAGTAGAGGATATAAGATGCAACAATTTGAGTTTTACTTTACAGAGGATATCCTGATATGTACTTGATCACTGGACCTCCCATAACTTTACTGGAGTGGCAGGTCCCTGAAGATTTGTAGGGTGTATCTCCCACCCTTTGAAGTACACATTTTTTAACAAGGTCTGCAACTGCTTTTTGCTCACCCTACTCTACTAACTTGGTGTCATTGATATAATACTGGAGCAATGTGATATTCAGTGAGGTATACAAATAGCTCAGATTTCTTCAGTTTATATTATGACAGAGGGTAGGAGAATTAACAAAGTCCTTGGACGAAATCATGAATATATATCATTGTCAGTTCCATGTGAATGTAAACTGTTTATTATATTCTTTCTTGACTGGAATAGAAAATGGCACACTTGCGGAATCAGTAGCCACACATCACATATCTAGGGCTGTGTTAATCTGCTCTGGTAGTGATATCACATCTCATAATGCAGCTTGTTTGATCTTGTGGTAGTCATGGCCATTCTCCAGGATCCAACTAGTGATTGCAGGGACTAGACTAGAAAAATGTATAAACCACTATACCTGCATTAATTTGATCTTTAAAAGTGGCATTAATCTCTTTACCATTCCTGGGATACAATTTTTATTTTTTTGATTTTTCACTTTCTATGGGTAGAGTAAGGACAGTTTTGGAAGTTTCAATTGGGCTTCTCAACTAAGACAGCTTTTACCCCACAAGTCAAAGACCCAATGGAGGGTTACTCCAAGTGCCAAATATGTCATTCCTAATCATTTATTCGGCAGCCAGGGAAATGACCAGCAGTTGGGTCGACAAACTCAGTGGGCCCCTTGTAAACTCAATTATGGCCAGTCTTGCCCTTTTTCCTGGAGACCTGGCCACCACTTAAATCAACAGTTTCCAGATTTGAAAACTGGCTCAGTTTTGGGAACTGATCAAGAGATCATGACATTTTATTGGTTGATTGATTGATTGAGACAGGGTCTCACTCACTCACCCAGGCTGGAGTGCAATGGTGTGATTTTGGCTCACTGCAATCTCTGCCTCCTGTAGTCAAGCCATCCTCCCATCTCAGCCTCTCAAGTAGCTGGGAATACAGGTGTATGCCACCATACCTGGCTAATTTTTATATTTTTTGTAGAGAAGGTGTTTCACCATGTTGCCCAGGCTGGTCTCAAACTTCTGGGCTCAATCGATCCCACCTTTGCCTTCCAAGATGCTGGGATTACAGGCATGCGCCACTGTGCCTGGCCAGATCATGGCACTTTAATGGGGGCAATAGCTGTCTGATTTCTGCTTGTTCATTCTTATATGCTTATTTATATTTATTCCTTGACTTTTATTTTAGGTTGAGGGGGAAAATGTGCCAGTTTGTTACATGGATAAATTGCATGTTTCTGAGGTTGGTGTACGAATGATCCCATCACCCAGGTAGTGATCATAGTACCAAATAGTACCATACCCCTCTCCCCTACTTCCCCTGAGTAGTCCCCAGTGTGTATTTTTGCCATCTTTATTTCCATGTTTACCCAGTATTTAGCTCCTGCTTATCAGTGAGAACATGCTTCCACACAGCAACAGAAACTATCAATAGAGTAAACAGATAACCTATAGAATGAGAGAAAATACTCAGAAGCTATGCATTCAACAAATATCCAATGTCCAGAATCTATAAGGAGCTTAAACAATTCAACAAGCAAAAAACAAACAACCCCATTAAAAATGGGCAAAGGACATGTATATTTCTTTTAAAATCAGTTTTCTTGTGGTAGAATTGATGTTAAATAAAATTATATTTTAAGTGTTAAATTTGATGAGTTTTGAAGTATAGTCATGTACCTTTTACACAATCATCATGTCAAAACATTACTAACACCCCCAAATTTCTCTCATGGTCCTTTACAGTAATTATTCACCCCCATCCCCAGCCTCTGTTAACCACTGTTTTGCATTCTGTTGCTACAGTTTTGCCTTGAAAATTTTTATTAGACAGTACATAGTCTTTGGGGACCTACTTTCTTTTTATTTAGCATAATGCTTTTGATGCTTATCTATATTGTAGCATGTGTCAGTAGTTCCTTCTCCTTTTGTTGAATACTATTCCATTGAATAGATAGCCCACAATTATAATTATTAATCAAGATGATATAAATTTTCAAGTAAAATCTTTGTGTAAAGTTACACTTTTACTACCCCTGGGAAAATACTTAGAAATAGAATTCCTGGGTCGTATAGCAAGTATATGCCAAACTTTGTAAGAAATGACCCAACTTCTTTTCCAAGTGACTGAACATACCAGTGAAATATGAAAAGTCCAGTTGCTCTACATCTTTTCTAACAGTTAGTATAGTTAGTTTTTAAAATTTAACTGTTCTTGTGGATGTGTAGCGGTATCTCATTGTCATTTTAATTTGGATTTCTCTATCAACTAGGGAAGCTAAGAATCTTTCTAAGTGCTTCCAAGCCATTTGTATATCCTCTTTGGTGCAGTGGCTACTCAACTGGCCCATATTTTAATAAGACAGTTTCTGTTCTTATTATTGAACTGTAAAAGTTTTTAAGCATATTCTGGATAGGTGTTTTTAAAATCAGATACATTTAAAAAATACCTTATCCAAGCCTATTGGGATTGCTGTTTCATTTTCTTGGTAAATTTTGAGGAGCAAAAGATCTTAATTTTGATAAAGAAGAATTTACCAATTTGTTATTTTATGGTTCATACAGAACAATTTATCAATTTGTCATTTTATGGTTCATACCTGTTGTGTCCTATGAGGTATCTGTCAGGCTGAAGGGCAGAACAATTTTCTTCTATAGCTTCTTCTAGAAGTTTTATAACTTTGCTTTTACATTTAGTGTATGATCCATTTGGAGTTAGCCTTTGTTTATGGTGTGAGGTAAGAGCTGATTTTCTTTTATTATTTTTACTTTTATGCATATGAATATTTTTACTTAGCCTAATGCTTTTGATGCTTATCTACATTGTAGTATGTATCAGTAGTTCCTTCCTCCTTTGTTGAGTAATATTCCATTGAATGGAACTGAATGTGAATATTGATTTTTTTCAAGATCATTTGTTGCAAAATTAATATCTGTGTCTCTGTATCCATCTCCCTCTCTCTACCCATTCATCCTCCATTCATTTTAACTTTGTCATTTATGTTGATTGCAACCCTGGTTTCTGGTGGTTAAGTACCCTTTTCTGGCCTCTATTGCTTTAGTGCCCCATTATCTTCATTGTTATCAATGAGACAAATTCTGTTATGGTGTTTTCTATATCAGTTTTGATCTGCAGAGGAGAGCCATTATGAACTTTTAAATAATGATAGTGTCCCTCTCATATTCTTGATGGCTTTGGTCAATTGTGTACCCTCTGGGCATCTTTTGTGACATAGAATAGAATCTTCTGATGGGGTTATGTATAATCTCCCCAGGTCTTACATATCATAGACACCTCAGTATGCATGATTTCTTAAGCTTTTTTTTTTTTTTTTTTTTTGAGATGGAGTCTTGCTCTGTCACCAATTCCTTTCTCGACCATCTGCTATGGCAATTCAAGCATTTCAGTTTTTCTCAGTGTGAATTATTACTTCCTCCAGGCTTATTGGAGCCACCCTAGCTGCAAACTGACACCATCTTTCAGAGTATTTTCCAGGGTGTTAAATATATATTGTGAGACAGTGTTCTAAGCCAATTAGCATTCAATGTATCTAGTCCTGTAATCCAGCCCCCTTTATCAAACACTCATTAAACCCAGGCAATAGGTACTATTCTGGTTTCTGCTAATACATACTGGTTGGTTCTTTCATGTCTTTGTGGATATAGTTCCTATTCCTCTTTTATCAGGTCCAGCACTTCCGACTGGATTATTGCTGCAACTTAATCCTATTTTTTTGATGATTTAGCATAAAGGAGGTAAGGGGGGGTGCTGAGTGGAGGTTCCTGTTGCTTTGCAGGTTAGGGGCTTCTGCAGGCTATTCTTGGATTGGGGAAGTGCTAAGTCTTAACAGGGAGGGCTAGGACATCTTTGCATGTTCTGAACTTAAGAGTAGTCTGGGCTGGGCGTGGTGGCTCAAGCCTGTAATCCCAGCACTTTGGGAGGCTGAGGTGGGCAGATCACGAGGTCAGAAGTTCGAGGCCAGCCTGGCCAATATGACGAAACTCCGTCTCTACTAAAAATACAAAAATTAGCTGGGCATGGTGGCATGCACCTGTATTCCCACCTACTCAGGAGGCTGAGGCAGAAGAATCACTTGAATCTGGGAGGTGGAAGTTGCAGTGAGCTGAGATCATGTCACTGCACTCCAGCCTGGGCAACAGAGCAAGACTCTGTCTCAAAAAAAGGAAAAAAAAAAAAGAGTAGTTTTGGGAAAAAAAATCCTAGGAGGAATCCACCCACATGTTATCATTTCATGCATTAGGGTCCCAGGTGTTTCTAAGCAGGGTCCTAATCTTGCATCAGTTGAACATTCAGACCTGCATCAGGTGAACATTCATTTTTCTTTGAAACTGGGAGACTCTTCCTACTAAATCCTGAATTTGGTCTTTAGCTTTTCTTGCTTTCCAGAGTAGGAAAAATGAGGAATAAGGGCTTTTTAATAATCTGCCAAAGGACCCTATAGCCTTCACATTTAGTTTTCAATTGTTAACTGCCCTCAGTTTTTCATAATTCCTTTTAGGGGTAAGTGTAAGTTAATAACAATCAGTGAATTTCATTGACTTTCTATGCATCGTTTCTATTACATTTTCAAATACCTGAATTACAGCACAATGGCCAGGGTGCTCCTCTCCACAGGTACATTTCTTCAAGGTTTAGCCATTGGGCCAATGTCTTGAGGCAGGGACTACCTGTGGCATGATATCACCTCGGATGGGTCCTTATTGTCAGTCAGGGAGTTAGTGATACCGTTGCTAAACTCTATTTTGCCACCTGGTTTCTAAGACTTTTGATTGTTCCACTATATTAGATTTTCTGGGAAGCAGATGCTAAGACAGAGTTAGGATTGGAAAGATTTATTGGAGATTAACACCTAAGACAGGAAAAGGGAAGAAATAATATTGACAGTAGGGAAATAGGATTGCAATGTAGATCTGACAGTCTCCTAACACACTGAAGAATCTGAAGTGAAAATTGCTTGTTTCAGAGGTGTCTCATGTTGAGTAGTAAGTGGCTGGGTCCTTTTACTACATTCTTGCTCAGCCATCGATTGATGCCACCTTGAGAAGAGCACGACCTTGGGATGAAACCTGGAGCAGATATGAAGAAATTAATAACCACAGGCTGACAGCTAACTGGACCTTTTGGGGCTGGGTAAACGTCCCTTCTTGAAAGAGGATCCGAGCGGCATATTTCCATTTTTATCATATGAGATATCTTGCTGGTCTAGTGTTCTATGGAACACATTTGCATCCTGTTCTATTAATTCTGCTAATGATAATGAAACAGTTTAGTAGTAGATAAGCATAATTATTGTTACTATTAGTATAACTTGGCAATATTTAAATACTTGCACAAATTTGGGTACAACTGGATGCTTTATACCTACTAAACCTCTGCTTCCTATTTAAAATTTTTATTTTAAATAAAAATTTTAACTTTCTCTCTCAGCTTTGGAATTTAAAGAATCATGAGGGCTGGGCGCGGTGACTCACGCCTATAATCCCAGCACTTTGGGAGGCCGAGGCAGGCAGAACACCTGAGGCCATGAGTTCGAGACAAGGTTGGCCAACATGGTGAAACCCCATCTCTACTAAAAATATAAAAAAATTAGCTGGGTGTGGTGATGGGCACCTGTAATCCCAGCTACTCAGGAGAATGAGGCAGGAGAATTCCTTGAGCCCGGGAGGTGGAGGCTGCAGTGAGCTGAACTTGTGCCATTGCACTCCAGCCTGGGCAATAAGAGTGAAACTCTGTCTCCAAAAAAAAAAAAAAAAAAAAAAAGAATCATGATCCCTAGTTTTATTCATTACTTTTAAAGATTCTTTTGGAGGTGGAGCCAAGATGGACAAATAGGAACAGCTCCAGTCTACAGCTCCCAGCTTGAGCGACGCAGAAGATGGGTGATTTCTGCATTTCCAACCGAGGTACCAGGTTCATCTCACTGGCGAGTGCTGAACAGTGGGTGCAGTGCACCATGCATGAGCCGAAGCAGGGCGAGGCATCGCCTCACCCGGGAAGTGCAAGAAGTCACGAATTCCCTTTCCCAGTCAAAGAAAGGGGTGACAGACAGCACCTGGAAAATCAGGCCACTCCCATCCGAATATTGCACTTTTCCAATGGGCTTAACAAATGGCACACCAGGAGATTATATCCTGCACCTGGCTCAGAGGGTCCTACACCCACAGAGCCTCGCTCATTGCTAGCACAGCAGTCTGAGATCGAACTGCAAGGTGGCAGCGAGGCTGGGGGAAGGGCGCAAGCCATTGCTCAGGCTTGGGTAGGTAAACAAAGCAGCCGGGAAGCTCAAACTGGGTGGAACCCACCACAGCTCAAGGAGGCCTGCCTGCCTCTGTAGGCTCCACCTCGGAGGGCAGGGCACAGACAAACAAAAGACAGCAATAACCTCTGCAGACTTAAATGTCCCTGTCTGACAGCTTTGAAGAGAGTAGCGGTTCTCCCAGCATGCAGCTTGAGATCTGAGAATGGACAGACTGCCTCCTCAAGTGGGTCCCTGACCCCCGAGCAGCCTAACTGGTAGGCACCACCCCAGTAGGGGCAGACTGACACCGCATGCAGCTGGGTACTCCTCTGAGACAAAACTTCCAGAGGAACGATCAGACAGCAACATTTGTGGTTCACCAATATCCGCTGTTCTGCAGCCACCACTGCTGATACCCAGGCAAACAGGGTCTGGAGTGGACCTCCAGTAAATCTCAACAGACCTGCAGCTGAGGGTCCTGTCTGTTAGAAGGAAAACTAACAAACAGAAAGGACATCCACACCAAAAACCCATCTGTACGTCACCATCATCAAAGACCAAAGGTAGATAAAACCACACAGATGGGAAAAAAACAGAGCAGAAAAACTGGAAACTAAAAATCAGAGCACCTCTCCTCCTCCACAGGAATGCAGCTCCTCACCAGCAATGGAACAAAGCTGTACAGAGAATGACTTTGACAAGTGGAGAGAGGAAGTCTTCAGAAGATCAAACTACTCCAAGCTAAAGAAGGAAGTTCGAACCAATGGCAAAGAAGTTAAAAACCTTGAAAAAAAATTAGACAAATGGATAACTAGAATAACCAATGCAGAGAAGTCCTTAAAGGACCTGATGAAGCTGAAAACCACAGCACAAGAACTACGTGATGAATGCACAAGGCTCAGAAACTGATGCGATCAACTGGAAGAAAGGGTATCAGCAAAGGAAGATGAAATGAATGAAATGAAGTGTGAAGAGAAGTTTAGAGAAAAAAGAATAAAAAGAAATGAACAAAGCCTCCAAGAAATATGGGACTATGTGAAAAGACAAAATCTACATCTCATTGGTGTACCTGAAAGTGACAGGGAGAATGGAACCAACTTGGAAAACACTCTGCAGGATATTATCCAGGAGAACTTCCCCAATCTAGCAAGGCAGGCCAACATTCAGATTCAGGAAACACACAGAACGTCACAAAGATACTCCTCAAGAAGAGCAACTCCAAGACACATAATTGTCAGATTCACCAAAGTGGAAATGAAGGAAAAAATGTTAAGGGCAGCCAGAGAGAAAGGTGCAGTTACCCACAAAGGGAAGCCCATCAGACTAACAGCTGATCTCTCGGCAGAAACTCTACAAGCCAGAAGAGAGTGGGGGCCAATATTCAACATTCTTAAAGAAAAGAATTTTCAACCCAGAATTTCATATCCAGCCAAACTAAGCTTCATAAGTGAAGGAGAAATAAAATCCTTTACAGACAAGCAAATGCTGAGAGATTTTGTCACCACCAGGCCTGCCCTAAAAGAGCTCCTGAAGGAAGCACTAAACATGGAAAGGAACAACCGGTACCATCCACTGCAAAAACATGCCAAATTGTAAAGACCATCAAGGCTAGGAAGAAACTGCATAAAACAACAAGCAAAATCACCAGCTAACATCATAATGACAGGGTCAAATGCACAGACTGGCAAATTGGATAAAGACCCAAGACCCATCAGTGTTCTGTATTCAGGAAACCCATCTCATGTGCAGAGACACACATAGGCTCAAAATAAAGGAATGGAGGAAGATCTATCAAGCAAATGGAAAACAAGAAAAGACAGGGGTTGCAATCCTAGTCTCGGATAAAACAGACTTTAAACCAACAAAGATCAAAAGAGACAAAGAAGGCCATTACATAACTGTAAAGGGATCAATAAACAAGAAGAACTAACTATCCCAAATATAGATGCACCCAATACAGGAGCACCCAGATTCATAAAGCAAGTCCTTAGTGACGTACAAAGAGACTTAGACTCCCACACAATAAAAATGGGAGACTTTAACACCCCACTGTCAACATCAGACAGATCAATGAGACAGAAAGTTAGCAAGGGTATCCAGGAATTGAACTCGGCTCTGCACCAAGCGGACCTAATAGACATCTACAGAACTCTCCACCCCAAATCAACAGAATATACATTCTTTTCAGCACCACACAACACCTACTCCAAAATTGACCACATAGTTGGAAGTAAAGCACTCCTCAGCAAATGTAAAATAACAGAAATTATAACAAACTGTCTCTCAGACCACAGTGCAATCAAACTAGAACTCAGGATTAAGAAACTCACTCAAAACTGCTCAAGTACATGGAAACTGAACAACCTGCTCCTGAATGACTACTGGGTACATAAAGAAATGAAGGCAGAAATAAAAATGTTTTTGAAACCAACGAGAACAAAGACACAGCATACCAGAATCTCTGGGACGCATTCAAAGCAGTGTGTAGAGGGAAATTTATAGCACTAAATGCCCACAAGAGAAATCAGGAAAGATCTAAAATTGACACCCTGACATCACAATTAAAAGGACTAGAGAAGCAAGAGCAAACACATTCAAAAGCTAGCAGAAGGCAAGAAATAACTAAGATCAGAGCAGAACTGAAGGAAATAGAGACACAAAAAACCCTTCAAAAAATCGATGAATCCAGAAACTGATTTTTTTTGAAAAGATCAACAAAATTGATAGACCACTAGCAAGACTAATAAAGAAGAAAAGAGAGAAGAATCAAATAGAAGCAATAAAAAATGACAAAGAGGATATCATCATCAATCCCACAGAAATACAAACTACCATCAGAGAATACTATAAACACCTCTATGCAAATAAACTAGAAAATCTAGAAGAAATGGATAAATTCCTTGACACATACACTCTCCCAAGACTAAACCAGGAAGAAGTTGAATCTCTGAATAGACCAATAACAGGCTCTGAAATTGAGGCAATAATTAATAGCTTACCAACCAAAAAATGTCCAGGACCAGATGGATTCACAGCCGAATTCTACCAGAGGTACAAGGAGGAGCTGGTACCATTCTTTCTGAAACTATTCCAGTCAATAGAAAGAGAGGGAATCCTCCCTAACTCATTTCATGAGGCCAGCATCATCCTGATACCAAAGCCTGGCAGAGACACAACCAAAAAAGAGAATTTTAGACCAATTTCCTTGATGAACACTGATGCAAAAATCCTCAATAAAATACTGGCAAACTGAATCCAGCAGCATATCAAAAAGCTTATGCACCATGATCAAGTGGGCTTCATCCCTGGGATGCAAGGCTGGTTCAACATACGCAAATCAATAAACATAATACAGCATATAAACACAACCAAAGACAAAAACCACATGATTATCTCAATAGATGCAGAAAAGGCCTTTGACAAAATTCAACAACCTTTCATGCTAAAAACTCTCAATAAATTAGATATTGATGGAACGTATCTCAAAATAATAAGAGCTATCTATGACAAACCCACAGCCAATATCATACTGAATGGACAAATACTGTAAGCATTCCCTTTGAAAACTGGCACAAAAGAGGGATGCCCTCTCACACCACTCCTATTCAACATAGTGTTGGAATTTCTGGCCAGGGCAATCAGGCAGGAGAAGGAAATAAAGGGCATTCAATTAGGAAAAGAGGAAGTCAAATTGTCCCTGTTTGCAGATGACATGATTGTATATCTGGAAAACACCATCGTCTCAGCCCAAAATCTCCTTAAGCTGATAAGCAACTTCAGCAAAGTCTCAGGATACAAAATCAATGTGCAAAAATCACAAGCATTCTTATACACCAATAACAGACAAACAGAGAGCCAAATCATGAGCAAACTCCCATTCACAATTGCTTCTAAGAGAATAAAATACCTAGGAATCCAACTTACAAGGGATGTGAAGGACCTCTTCAAGAACTACAAACCACTGCTCAATGAAATAAAAGAGGATACAAACAAATGGAAGAACATTCCATGCTCATGGGTAGGAAGAATCAATATCATGAAAATGGCCATACTGCCCAAGATAATTTATAGATTCAATGCTATCCCCATCAAGCTACCAATGACTTTCTTCACAGAATTGGAAAAAATTACTTTAAAGTACATATGGAACCAAAAAAGAGCCCGCATTGCCAAGTCAATCCTAAGCCAAAAGAACAAAGATGCTGGCATCACGCTACCCGACTTCAAACTACGCTACAAGGCTACAGTAACCAAAACAGCATGGTACTGGTACCAAAACAGAGATATAGACCAATGGAACAGAACAGAGCCCTCAGAAATAATGCCACATATCTACAACTATCCAATCTTTGACAAACCTGAGAAAAACAAGAAATGGGGAAAGGGTTCCATATTTAATAAATGGTGCTGGGAAAACTGGCTAGCCATATGTAGAAAGCTGAAACTGGATCCCTTCCTTACATCTTATACAAAAATTAATTCAAGATGGATTAAAGACTTACATATTAGACCTAAAACCATAAAAACACTAGAAGAAAACCTAGGCAATACCATTCAGCCATAGGCATGGGCAAGGACTTCATGTCTAAAACACCAAAAGCAATGGCAACAAAAGCCAAAATTGACAAATGGGATCTAATTAAACTAAAGAGCTTCTGCACAGCAAAAGAAACTACCATCAGAGTGAACAGGCAACCTACAGAATGGGAGAAAATTTTTGCAACCTACTCATCTGACAAAGGGCTAATATCCAGAATCTACAATGAACTCAAAAACAAATTTACAAGAAAAAAAAAAACAACCCCATCAACCAGTAGCTGAAGGATATGAACAGACACTTCTCAAAAAAAGACATTTATGCAGCCAAAAGACACATGAAAAAAATGCTCATCATCACTGGCCATCAGAGAAATGCAAATCAAAACCACAATGAGATACCATCTCACACTAGTTAGAATGGCCATCATTAAAAAGTCAGGAAACAACAGGTGCTGGAGAGGATGTGGAGAAATAGGAACACTTTTTCACTGTTGGTGGGACTGTAAACTAGTTCAACCATTGTGGAAGTCAGTGTGACGATTCCTCAGGGATCTAGAACTAGAAATACCATTTGACCCAGCCATCCCATTACTGGGTATATACCCAAAGGATTATAAATCATGCTGCTCTAAAGACACATGCACACATATGTTTATTGCAGCACTATTCACAATAGCAAAGACTTGGAACCAAGCCAAATGTCCAACAATGATAGACTGGATTAAGAAAATGTGGCACATATACACCATGGAATGCTATGCAGCCATAAAAAATGATAAGTTCATGTCCTTTGTAGGGACATGGATGAAGGTGGAAACCATCATTCTTAGCAATCTATGGCAAGGACAAAAAACCAAACACCGCATGTTGTCACTCATAGTTGGGAACTGAACAATGAGAACACATGGACACAGGAAGTGGAATATCACACACTGGGGACTGTTGTGGGGTGGGGATAGAGGGGAGGGATATCATTAGGAGATATACCTAATGCTAAATGACGAGTTAATGGGTGCAGCACACCAACATGGCACATGTATACGTATGTAACAAACCTGCACGTTGTGCACACGTACCCTAAAACTTAAAGTATAGTAATAATAATAATAATAATAAAAGATCAGAGAAAGGCAGTCAAAGAAAAAAATGAGTTCTTGAAATACACCTCACATAAAAATCACTGACTTTCAAAACTGCTCTCAGAAATCTATAAGAAGATATCAATTATTCTGTTAACTGAAATAATTCAGTTATTTATTTTAAAATATAAGTGTTAAGTAAAAAAAAAAAGAAAAGTGGAGAAATTTCACATCTTTATCAATTATAAAACAATTTTTCCCCTTCATGTGGAAATAGATTTATTGCTGTTAAGTACTACTCCAGCATTGTTGTATTTCTGCAACTATAGGCAGGAATGGGAAATACCATTATTGATTTCAACAGTGCTAACTCCTCAGGGTTTTATTTTTCCTTTTGCTTGTATTTTCATTTTGTTGATCTCAAGATTTACTCCCATCTCAAGATATGTTGAGATGGGAGAATTTGAAGTTAAAATGTAGAAATATAAATTGGAAAATGTTTTGTAAGATCATTTTGTCAGTATGGTTCATAAGTCCTGAAACAGATCCTGTTATGTCACTTTCAGAAGAATATTACCTCAAAGCCCTGATTGTATGTCCCCAAATATTCAAATAGTGTTATTAACAATAGTGAAAACGACTATTTTAGTCTACCAGGAAAAAGCTCGTAATATATTGCTAAACAAGAAAATCAGATTACATAGAAATTATCTGCAAAATGATCTACCAGGCTATAAAAATTGCTAGCATTGGCAGTATAGAAGAAAAAAACTATGTAGGGATATATGCATTAGGAAAAAATGGAAAAATAAAAGATTCTTTCAAGTGGATGTGTTTTAAGAGTGGCAGTTTTTATTCAGCTTTCTTTTCCCCACTGATGTACTGGAGTAATTCTCTACTTTTTATAGAGAACTTTCTCTTTTTCTCTTTTCTCTGTCTTTGTAGAGAGAGATTATTACTGCTAGGTAATTATATCTGGGGGTTTTATAATTTTTCATGGTGTCTCACCAGGGACCCTTTCTAGGAGAGTGTAGGAAGATGGGAATTCCTTCCCACTCCAACTAGGAGACTGTAGTGGGATTTCCTCCTGACTCTTAATTCTTTTAGCAGATATTCCTGAACATTTTGCCTTGCCACCTTCCCCCCTTTTAATGAGGAACTTATTTAATGCTCATTTATATTTAATATATAATTTCTTTAATACTATTTGAAGTTTGCAACTTTCATTTCTTTATATAGAGAGTTACTTTCAAAGAAATTATGACGTTTTTTCTGGAAATTAAAAGCACTGAAAGGAAATTTAATTAGCACTTTGATTCTTGGATTTCTTTGAATTAATGACATCCTTGTGACCAGAAAAGAAAAGGGCTGCAAAAGGAAATAGAGAACAATTCTGAATTTAAGCAGTGGTTAGAAAGAATGGAAATAAATACAAATTATAACATTTTGTTTTTCTCCTTGCACATGGATACTTTCCAAGATAATAAAAATAATGGCTTTATAGCCAGGGGCAGAGTTTGATACTAAGATGCAAATCATAAATATGGATAGGAATTTTGAAATGGCAATTGAAAATATTACTGGAATTAGGTACAGAAATTCAGTGTGTATACATGTGTATGTGTGTACATTGTCAACTTCTGCCTTTAAACTTGTATTTTAGAACTTCTCATTAGAGGGTATATGTTACAGGATTGTATTAGGACATGGAAACTTCTCTATCTTTATGTTTGTTTTCAATCAATATCATCCAAGTCAAAGCAATGATCATCTCACTTTTAAATTGCTTTTAAAATAATTGGGAACAAAGTTCATTATTTTTCACACGATCATACTAATCAAGCTGATGTGTGTGTGTGTATATATATATATATATACACACACACATCTGCCTTACATCTAAGAAAAAAATTAAAATACTGTACAAAGTAATTTGTAAGAGAATTAGAGTTAATAATAATAATTCCCAAGTGCCATGGTTTGAGTGTGAAAATTAGTCATGAGTGAGGTGTTGCTATAACAAATACCTGAAAATGTGGAAGCAGAAAACAGTTTTGGACTTGGATAATGGGCAGAGGCTAGAAAAATTTGGAGGAGCAGGCTAGAAAAAGCCTGGATGGCTATGAATGAAGCTTTAAGGACAATTCTGGGGAGGACTCAGAAGAGTATAGCTGTAGGGAAACTCTGAATCTTTTTAGAGATTGTTTAAGTGGTTGTGATCAGAATCTTGGTAGAAATATGGAAAGGAAAGGTCATTCTGATGAGGTCTCAGAGGGAAATGAAGACTATCTTATTGGAAACTGGAGTAAATGTCATCTTTGTTAAAAGGTTGTAAATAACTTGGCTGCATTGTGTCCATGCCCAAGGGCTTTACAGAAAGCAGAATATAATAGTGATGAACTAGAATATTTGGTGGAGGAAATTCCTAAGCAAAATATTGAAGGAGCTGTATGAGTACTTTTAACCACTCATATTAGGTTGGTGCAAAATAATTGTGATTTTTGCCATTGAAAGTAATGGCATGTCTTTTAAAGACATGAAAGGAAAGGAATGATTTAAAGATAGAATTGAAATTAAGAGTTAAGCAGAGTGAAAATATTTGGAAAATTAATAGCCTGGTCATGTAAAGAGTGAAAAGGCATTTTTAAGAGAGCAAACCAAGGGTAGGTCTAAGCAGCTGTTTGCAAAAGAGATTAGTGTAGATAGAAGGGAGCTAGGTGCTATTCATCAAACAATAAGAGAATGACCCTGAAGGCATTTTGAAGTTCTTCAAGGCTGCCATGCCCATCACAGGCCCAGAGCTCTAGGAGGGCAGACTGATTTTAGAGGATGAGATCAGGGCATGTTCCATGGGCTTACTACAAGAGCTGCCTTGGCACTTCACTCCCCCACATTCCAGTGCAGTGTTCCTCAGCTGGCCCATCCACAGCTCAAGTAGACCCAGGTGTTGCTAGTGCAAGCAGTAAGCCTTGGTGATGCCCATAGAGTGCTGGCTCTGCATATGGACAGACTGTCCAAGTGGTGGGGCCATAGCAGCCTCTACCTAGGTATCAAAAAAATGTACTGGACAGTCTGAGGGCCCAGGCAGAAATCTGTTGCAGGGTTGGAGCCACTGCAGAGAGGATCCCCAGTAGGATAATGACTAGTTGAGCCATGGAAGTGGGGCCACCCC
Source organism: Homo sapiens (assembly GCF_000001405.40). Lineage (NCBI taxonomy): Eukaryota > Metazoa > Chordata > Mammalia > Primates > Hominidae > Homo > Homo sapiens. The sequence continues at coordinate 44,023,029 of NC_000005.10, forward strand.
TGAAACCCAAGAACTATAGAGCTACCAGCATGAAACTTCCACATGGGAGAGCTGTAGGCATGAGATGGCAACCATAAGAGTGCTAAGTGAGCTGAGGTCAGCAAAGCCATAGGGGTGGATAGGAGTGGGGCTGCTTAACCCCTGCCTGAGTGTGTCAGAGAGGTGAATGATTATCTTTCACATGGAGTGAAAGATTATTCTGAAGCTTTAAGGTTTAATGTTTTCCCTGTTAGCTTTTAAATTTACTTGGGGCCTGGAATGGGAATGTCTATCCTATGCTTGTTCCACCATTGTATTTGGAAGCATATATATATCTTGTATGTATGTACAGGATGAATCATATCTTGAGTCTCACCCATATCTGATTCAGATGAAACTCTGGACTTTGGACTTTTGAGCTGATGCTGGAACAAGTTAAAACTTTTGGGGTCATTGGGATGGAATGAATGTATTTTGCATGTGAGGAGGGCCTGAATTTTGGGGTCAGGGGTGAAATGCTGTGGTTTGAATGCATCCCCCAAATTTATGTGTTGGAAACTTAATCCCCAGTGAATAGCATTGAGAGGTGGGACTATTAAGAGGTGATTAGCTCTAATGTCCTTATTGTCAGAGCAAGTTCATTATTGAAAGAGTGAGTTTCTTATGAAAGGATAAATCTAGGTTTCTTCCCTCACTCTCTCCCCATATGATGTCTTCCACCATGTTATAATGCATGAAGAAGGTCCTCACCAGGTGCCAGTGCATTGATCTTGGACATCTGAGACTCCAGAACTATAAGGAGCAAAGATTTCTTCTTCTTTTTTTTGTATAAATTACCCAGTCTCAGGTATTTGGTTATTGCAGCACAAAATGGACCAAGACACCAGGTTTCTATTTTTTCAAATTATCATGCTGTCTTTTAGAACTCTCATATTTTCATTAATTAAAAAAATTCTTTGTTCTATTACAGATATGCTTTTCAATTACTCAATACAATTTTAAGCACAAGATGGAAGTTATTATCTAGTGATGGCTAGCTAGAAAAATATATATTTAACTTCTGTTAAAAGACGTTGTTTGGGATTTATATAAAAATTACAAATAAAGGTGTATAAATTCTAATCTTATTACCTTAACTCTAATCATAATATAATCCTTAAGGTGATGTTATTGTATATATATTTTAATTACTTATTCTCTCCCATAAATACTGACATTTAGACACATAACACATGGTTTACCTTTCTCACAATTAAAGAGAGTGATCTAGTAGATAGATGAAAGAATTCTAACTACCTACTGGACTTTAGAGAAAGGAGAAAAACTATGAGATATTTTGAGGAATTCATAGCTTTTATTGCTATCAGAGTTTTCTAAATATCAGGGAAAACTCTTATGCCAATTGTACTATTGTAATAATTACCTTAATGCTGAATTTCTTAAAGCAACTATGGATATTGTTGTTTTTACAGCTTTTGGGGGAACACATAATCTCCTTGGATATCAAGTACACTGAGTAAGCATTTTTCATTATTGCATCTCCCTTTACACACAGATAACATACTATGATAACTTTTATTTTCTAAAGAGGCCTCAATTAGTACTTGATGAATGAATCAATTACTGGTAGCCAGTTTTTCTCTCCCACTTACTTTTTTTCAGAATTTAAAAACAAAATATAGATAACTATTTTTTCAAACACCTTTTGCCTATAGGCATAAGATGATGTGTTAATTTTCTTATTTTACAGAAAGTAAATTTAGGACTTTAGGCAAGGTAAAGGAGACTTGTTTTCTTAAGTATTTTTCCTATTTTGTTTTCCTTGACTGGGTTTGTGAAGCACTTCATGAGATGTCATTTTATCATTAAGCCAAAGTCCAAAAAGATGCACACCTTCTTAGAAGATGTTATGTCTAAAGTTTTATGTGAGTGAGAGAGTAAATCTGACGCCCAATTTATATCTGCACTTTGATGGATCACATGATTCATAGCTTTTCACTCTTGATGCATCAAGGCCTTGTTAATTTCATGTAGGTACTTATATCCAGGACTATGAAGTTTCTAGGAGAAATGAACACAATGTTTAAGAGAATGGAACATATAATGTTTTATCTGTATTTGTTTAAATAGTTCTATAATTTGAGAATGAAGCCTATTTAAGTGTAAACTATCTACAAATAATTTTTTAAAAGCCCATCTCTCATATTTAGTATTTAATAATGAAAAAGACTACTAGAAACAACAAATTTAAATGTCTCTGTGATGATGCTCTTACTAGGAGGTTTTTAGTGACTATAGTGAATGTATTTTTCTTAAGAAACCACATTGTTTTTCAATAAAACAAAAATGTGCCTTTACTGAATTACATTTTGAATTTAATTCCATAGTATCACTATCTGAATAAAACAAAAATGTAATTCATCTTTGTGTTTGTGAGGTTGTAATTGAAAAACTTTTACTGTAATCTCAGATGTACAAGAAAATAGAAAATCAAAGATTTTATAAGACTATTTAATAAAGAATTGTATATAGTGATCAGTATGTTTAATATATGTTTAAATTCAAAATTCAAAATGAAGACATTAACTATTAGGTACTGTTTTTACTTGGTAACGTTTAATACACACATTATTGCTTACTGTGTTAGGTGCCAATATGTTCCTTAAATTTAATTTGAACCATAACAAAAACAAAACACTGGATTGTCTTCACATCTCATATCATCTAAAATATTGTCTCACAAAATAGATTATATTTTGTGATTTATAATTTTTCTCTTTAATATAAAATTGATTATATAATTCAATTTACATGAAATGTTGCATTCATTGAAAAACATTTTCTAATCCCTTTTTCTGCTTAGTAAGATCTCTCTGTAAATATTTATGAATTTGCCCTTTAAACAAAACAAAAAAGAACTTTTCAGATTCAAAGCAAAACACAACAAAAGAAACAAATTAGGAAAGTATTTTTTCCTTGGCAAGTGATCTTTTTATGAATATTTGGCTTAGGACACTATTGAAAATTGTGACATTTTTTTTCTTCTCAGGCAAGGGTTTCTCTCTTCCTTTTTCCAGTGTAATACTGGGTGTTGGTCTGATCTCTATGTTTATTTTTATGCAGTGATGACAGCACATCTTTATGTTGACCAACTACTGACAAAAACAATTTTACGTAAGCAGTGACAGTTGTGATAGCAAATTATTTTCCAGGCTGTAAATTTAGTCTCCTGTGGCAGTTTTCTTTGGTACTATCTTTCAAATTTCCCATATGCTTTTAACTTTGTTCCATTATCATACTATAAATCATTATGGTTCCTGAGAGTGTTAAATATCAATCTCTTATAATATAAGTTTATTCCATGAATGTTAGAAGACAGACAAATTCTTAACCACAATCCACTTACCCTATCAACCTTCCAAGCTCCTAATTCTGTCTTAATTGATATCCCCAGTGTGTTTTTATACATGATGCTATAATATGCTGTTACCTTTTTGAAAAATCAATTTAATCAATATTTCTGCTGAACTGATGTGTTAGCTTTGTATTGCACCAATTTAGAAATTACTTGAATTTTTATTGACCTGTTTCATTATTTTTGCCTTTTGAAGGTGTAGTCACAAAGTGCATGTTCAAGGATTTACTCAGAAGGAAAGACCACATGAAATGTTTTGATTTTTACATTGCACTTATGTAGATTAGAATGAAAGACTGGAAGCCAAAGTCATATTGTTAACTGGAATAAGACCTACACTTTTAGAATTGGAAAGCAAATATTTTTATGTTTTCTTAGGAGTAGTATACAGGCATTTTATTTTTATTATTAACTTCTATTTTAAGCTCAGGGGTACAAGTGCAGGTTTGTTATATAGGTAAACTTGTGTCATCGGGGTTTGTTGTACACAAGTTTCATCACCCAGGTATGAAGCCTAGTACCCATTAGTTATTTTCTGACTTCTTCCTCCTCCCACCTTCCAATAGGCCCCAGTGTGTTTTGTTCCCCTCTATGTGTCCATGTGTTCTCATCATTTATCTTCCACTTATAAGTGACAGCATGTGGTATTTACTTTTCTGTCCCTGCATTAGCTTGCTAAGGATAATGGCCTCCAGCTCCATCCATGTCCTTGCAAAGGACATAATCTCATTCTTTTTTATGGATGTATAGTATTCTGTGGTGTATATGTACCACATTTTCTTTATCCATCTATTATTAATGAGCATTTAAGTTGATTCCATGTTTTTTCTATTGTGAAGAGTGCTGCAATGAACATACATGTGCATGTGTCTTTATAATACAATGATTTATATTCCTTTGGGCATATACCCAGTAATGGAATTGCTGGGTTGAGTGGTATTTCTGTATTTAGGTCTTTGAGGAATTGCCACACTGTCTTCCACAATGGCCGAACTAATTTACACTCCCACCAATAGTGTGTAAGTGTTCCTTTTTGTTCACAACCTCGCTAGCATCTGTTTTTTTTTTTTGACTTTTTGATAATAGCCATTCTGACTGGTGTGCATTTAATGTTTATAAAAGATCTTCAACTTTGTGAAGAAAGTGCCCTGCAAATAGAGTTATTAAACATTAGAATAACTTTAGGAAGAAGATTACCTTTAAATGACATTTTAGAATAGATGGGACACTCACCTTTCTGAAACTCTTTTTGAGAGTATACAAGGGTAGAGGCTAGAAGCATTCTTTTGGAGGTTTGTCATATTTTTATCTATTGATAATAATATATAAAAAATAAATACTACTGTAACAATGTTTAGCAGTCTTGATCCACTAGGATACAGATGTGGACTATGTGTTTTTTTTGCACTACTTCTGTAGTCTCTGAAATCTCCACGCATTTTCTGTTATGTAATGAGCCCTTTTAATGACATCCAGTTTGATTCATAATGTCTTTCTTACTTTCAGGGCCTGCAGAATTGTGGAGTCTCTTCTTGCTATCTCATTGGCCTGAAAACTTCCTTCTCTCACTCTCCTCCACATGCACCCCTTCCACCCAAGGCTAGACTAGTGGCCTGGAGAGCATGTGCTTCTTTTTACAAAATGTGTTCCCAACCCCATTCCCTGCCCTACTCCTCTGGTATTTGAGAGGTAGGGCCAGTTTTCTCCTTAGAGGGTTTTATTTGGCAATATCATTTTTCTCTCCTTTGTAGGTTGTGATTGCTTTTTGGCTTTTCTACCAGGTTGCTGTGGCTTAATGTCTAGGAATGATGGTACCTCTAGCTCCACAAACAATCTGGATTGGGCTTTATAGACTTTGTGATTCTAATTTCTGTCTTCTCACTAACACCCAGCTAGTGGTTTCATGCTGCCCTCCTGATTCACGTATCTCTTTCTCTCCTTTCAAAGTAGACTGTTGAGCTTCAGGATACCACAATCAGATTTATTCTCTGGGGCCCCAAAGCTGGGATATGGACACATGCCAAACATCCCTTGTTTATCAGTGTTGGAGAAAGTAGCAATGTTTTCCCTAATGGTGTGCTATATCTACTGTAATCCCTGCATTATTTGGCTTTAGAAAAGATATCCATCAGCACTTCACCCCTTTAGCACTCTAAGATAAGGTAGGCATTAGAGAAGAGAGAATAACTTTCTATTAAAAATTAATCACTTTTTAAGAAAAAAATACAGGAAAAGCAGTTAAGTAATCATTCCCATATACTCCCATCCTCCCTTTTTCCCTCAGTTTTTTTCTCTGAAGTGATTGTTTTCATTTCTAGTTGAGCATTACTCCCCAGAACTTTCCCAGTTTTGTCCCCCTGCCCTGTTGAATTCTGCTCTTGCCAGATCTATGTTAGGTAGACAAAATCAGTTCTAAGTAAGCAAGATCTATAAAAAATGGCTTCAGATTTTTTTATTAGCTCTTCTAAGCCAAATTAATCTCTGTATGGTTATCCAAACTTAGACTTGCAGACTTATTAGAAAAATATTACTAAATATATGTGTCTGTAGGTGTTGCAGATGATGTAGGATTAGGAAGAATGCAGGTGTCTTTATTTATTTTTATGCTTTTTACTTCCCTTGAGTAAAAACTTTAGAGATGATTGAACAGAGGGATATTCAAGTACTCATAAATCCTATCCTACTAGAGACAAATTGTATTCACAACTCAAAATACATGGGGTTTTCTGTAGGAAGGTTGCATTTTTTCTCTCTCTTTATTTAGTTACCCATGGCGGGTAACTATTTTCCTACTGGTGTGCTATATCTGGTGCAATCCCTGTATTCTTTGGTTTTGGAAAAGATATTGATCAGCACTTCACCCCTTTAGTACTCTGAGATAAGCTAGGCACTAGAGAAGAGAGAATGACTTTATATTAAAAATTATTCACTTTAAGGAAAAATACAGGAGAAACAGTTAAGTAGTCATTCTTTTTTTTTATTATACTTTAAGTTCTAGGGTACATGTGCACAATGAGCAGGTTTGTTACATATGTATACATGTTCCATGTTGGTGTGCTGCACCCAGTAACTCGTCATTTACATTAGGTATATGTCCTAATGCTATCCCGCCCCCCTTCCCCCACCCCACGACAGGCCTCGGTGTGTGGTGTTCCCCTTCCTGGGTCCAAGTGTTCTCATTGATCAATTCCCACATTTGAGTGAGAACATGCAGTGTTTGGTTTTTTGTCCTTGCGGTAGTTTGCTGAGAATGATGGTTTCCAGCTTCATCCCTGTCCCTACAAAGGACATGAACTCATCCTTTTTTATGAATTTTTTTTTAATTTAAAAAATAATTAAATTCATACCAACTAAATTCTTGGGATATGATGAAACATAAAATGGTGAGCAAGTTTAGAAACAAATTCTTCTGTTCTATTATATTTGGAAGCAGACTTGTAAAAAACTTTTTCTCTGCTCAATGCCAATCAGCTCACAAAGCCTAATTGCTCTTTAAAATGACTTGTGGAGGGCATCAGGGAAGAGATGAAAAGGATTCAGAGATGGTGTAATAGGGTAGTGGTGATATGGTTGAGATTATAGAAGACATTTTTCTAACTGTGTAGAAAAGCATGGCTAAAAACTGTGTTTGCTGATTTTTGGTAAGTTAAATCAGTACTAGGTAAAACTAAATGTCAAACTGTTTTGAAAAGCTAGAAAAGATGCCATCTCCCTCTTTGATTTGAGAAATTGCCATTGGACAGAACCACAATAGAGTTTTAATTTTAGATTCAACTTAATTTAATTCACTAGAAAGCTTTTGTCTATGGATGATTTTATTTAACTAAAATACTCAATACATGTTGTTGGGTAATAATTAGAAATTGAGAAATTTAAAAAAATAATCAAGTTTTCAAATTGTGGTTATTCTTCTTTAGAGTGCTCTGCCAAATACCTCTAGATTATATTGACTAGATTAGAGTTTAGAATTTCAAGTGGCCTTTTACTGTTTGTTTTTGTATTTTTTTCTCTCTAACCCAATTATTTTACTAAATTTTTCCAATATGTAATGTATTTAGATGGTTCAGAATTCATAGAATAGAGAATTCAGAGAAACGTCTCTCCTATTCCTGAACCTCAGCCACTCCTCTTCTCACAGACAACCTATATATTTCTTTTCAGAAATATTTGTATTACATACCTATATACACACTGACTTTTTTCATTTTTTATTTATTGACAGGACTCTATACTTTTCTTTTAACCTTAGAAGATATTAGAGATCCTCCTGTATAGTAACTCCTTATTATTTCTTATGGCTGCATGTTATTCCACTGTATAAATATATCATAATTTGGGGAGACAGGTTGTATTAGTCCTTTTTCATGCTGCTGATAAAATCATACCCAAAACTGGGCAATTTACAAAAGAAAGAGGCTTAATGGACTTACAGGTCCGTGTGGACTCACATGGCAGAAGGAGAGGCCTCACAATCATGGCAGAGAGTGAAAGACATGGCTCACATGGCAGCAATCAAGATAAGAGAGCTTATGCAGGGAAACTCCCCTTTCTAAAACCATCAGATCTTGTGAGACTTATTCACTGTCATAAGAGCAGAATGGGAAAGACCTGCCCCCATGATTCAGTTACTTCCATTAGGTTTCTCCCATGACATGTGGGAATTCAAGATGAGATTTGGGTGAGGACATAGCCAAATCATATCACAAGTGGAGGAAGATGGTACAATAGAAGGCTCCACTCATTGTCTCCCTAGCAAGGACACCAATTTAACAACTATCTATGTAGAAGAAACACCTTCATAAGAACCTAAAATCAGGTGAGCCCTCATAGTACCCGGTTTTATCTTCATATAGCTGGAAGAAGCACTGAAGAGATAGAAAAGACAGTCCTGAATCACCAACACCACCCCTCCACAGCCCCTGGCAGCAGTATGTGGTGCAGAGAACATCTCTAGGCACTGGGGGAAGGAGAACACAACAACTGGGAGGGATTGAGCTCAGTGCTGTCCTGTTAGAGCATAAAGGAAAGCTGGACCAAACTCAGCTGATGCCCTCCCACAGGGGGAGCATTTAAACCAGCCCTAGTGAGAGCGGAATCACCAATCCCAGAGTGCCAAACTTGAGTTCTAGCAAACTTTGCCACCATGGACTACAGTGCTCTGTGTCTCTAAATGAAGTTGAAAGGCAGTCTAGGCCATAAGGATGGCAACTTTTAGACAAGTTCAAGTGCTGAAGTAGGCCCAGAGACAGTGGACTCCAGGGGCACATGACCTATTGAGACACCAGTCAGGGTTGCTAAGGGAGTTGGTGGCATTAGCCCTCCCCTAAATCCAGGTTGCATACCTCATGGCTCCAAAAGAGACTCCTTCTATCTGCTTGATGAGAGGAGGGGAGAGAGTGGGTAAGACTTTGTCTTGCATCTTCAATACCAGCTTAGCCACAGCAGGACAGAGCTTCAGTAAGAGTCATGAGGCCCCCGTTCCAGGATCTAGCACCTGGACAACATTTAAGGACACACCCTGTACCAGAAGGGAACCCACTGCCTTGAAGGAAAAGACCCAGTCCTGGCAGCATTAATCACCTGCTATCTGAAGAGCCATGAATAACCAGCCCCAATACCCAGGTACTATGTCAAGAGCCTTGAGTGAGCCTCTGAGACTTGCTGGCTTCAGGTGAGACTGAGCACATTACCAGTTGTGGTGGCTGGCTATAGGGCAAAGCAGAGGGAAAGTATTGAGAAAAGCAGAGGGAAAAGTAAAGGGGGCTTTGTCTTACACATTAGGTACCAGCACAGTCACAGCGGGGTAGAGCACCAAGTGGGCTCTTGGGGTCCCTGACTCTAGGACTTGACTTGACTTTACTTTTGGATGGCATTATTGAATCCATCCTGAGCCAGGGGAGAGCTCACTGCCATGACGAGTGAGTCCCAGGCAAGTCACTACAAACTGACTTAAGAGACCTTGGCCCTTAAGGGACATTGGTGGTAGTCTGGGGTTACTTCTTGTGGCCTGGGGTGGGGGTGGCCATAGAGTGAGGTTCCTCTGCCTTTAGAAAGGTGAAAAAAAGATGGGAACTAGTGGTTTGAGTGCCAGCTCAGCTACACTACAGTAGAACAACAGGTAGACTTCTAAGTTTTCTGATTCTAGTCTCTGATTACTGGATGGTACCTCTGGACCCACCTCGGGAACAGAAGACCTTTCCACCCAGAAGGGAAGGACACAGGCTTTGCTGGCTTTGCCACTGGCTGATTGTGGAGCCCCTGGGCTTTGGCTGAACAGAGGCAGTACACAGGGAATTGTTACAGCAGGCCTTGGGTGAGACCCAGAGCAGTTAGAGTGGTGGTGGCCATAGGGGTGCTTATGTCTTTTTACCCCCAGCTTCTTCACCCCCAGTATTAGAACAAAGAGAGAGGCCCTGTTTGTTTAGGAGAAAGTGAGAAAAGACAAGAGTCTGTGCTTGATAATCCAGGGAATTCTCCCAGATTTTGTCCAAGACCATCAAGGCGGTATCTCTAAGAATCTGCAACAACCACAGTGTTACTGGGCTTGGGGTGCTCCCTAAAGCAGATACAGCTTAGATCACAACACCCAACTTCTTTCAAATATTTGTAAATCCTTCCCAAGAAGAAAAGCTACAAATAAGCTCAGACAGTGAAGAGTACAATAAATACCTAACTCTTCAATGGCCAGACACTGACAATGTCTACTAGCATCAACATCATCCAGGAAAATATGACATCACCAAATGAACTAAATAAGGCACCAGAGACCAATCCTGGAAAAACAGAGATATGTGACCTTTCAGACAGAGAATTCAAAATAGCTGTGTTGAGGAAACTCAAAGTCTTCAAGATAACACAGCAAATGAGTTCAGAATTCTGTCATATAAATTTAACAAAGATATCAAAATTCAATTGTTTATTGCTAGTATACAGAAATGCAACTGATTTTAGTACATTGACCTTATATCCTGTGACTTTGCTAAATTAACTTATTGGTTTTAATATCTTTTTTTGTAGGTTTCTTAGGAGGTTCTTTGTCAGGGGTCAGCAAACTATGGTCTGTGGGCCAAATCCAGCTCACCACCTGTTTTTGTAAGTGAAGTTTTACTGGACATAGTCATTCCCATTCATTTACATATCTAGAATATTCTGGCTACAATGGGAGAATTGAGTAGTCACAATGGAGACAATATGGCCTGCAAAACCATATTTACTATCTAAACATATTCATAGATTCCAGAGATTCGGGTATAGATTTTTGGGGGTCATTTCAGAATTCTGGCTATCACTGTTATGATAGCATAAATGTACTGTCTTGCTATTCACTTTCCATCTGTCCCTTGTGTATGTGTGTGTGCATGCACTTTTGTTCTTATTTTCCAATTTGCTTTTGTATTGTTTCTTAATGATTTTATTTTAGCTTCATTTTAGCTACTGTGCTTTGAGTGCTTACTCAAAGATTTATAGTAGGCAACTTTAACTTATTATAGCTTACCTGTAAATAATATAACACTTTATGTACAGCATGAGAAGCTAAGAACAATACATACCCATAAATTCTTTGTATTTCTCTAAATATTTTTGGGTTTTGTTTTGGGATATCATTGAATTACTCAGAATCGCTTTGATCTTTTCAAGACTGATCTTTTAAAGATCTTTTCAAGACTTTTTATATATGGTAGGGCATGTCTAGAAGCCTTTAGTTGAGGGTTACTTTGGCCCCATTCTGACACAGAATTGCTCTTTGTGTAATTTCTTTTCCTTTCAGCACTTTTATTAAGATATTTTTATGTTGACTTGTCTTCAAATGCACTAATCCAGTGTTCTGTTGCTTCGAGTCTGCACTTGATACGGTTTGGCTGTGTCTCCCCATGAGTTGTGGGAGGGACTGGGTGGGAGGTAATTGGATCATGGGGGCAGGTTTTTCCTGTGCTGTTCTCGTGATAGTGAATAAGTCTCATGAAATCTGATGGATTTATAAAAGGGCAGTTCCCCTGCACAGGCTCTCTTGCCTGCTGCCATGTAAGATATGGCTTTGCTCCTCCTTTGACTTCTGCCATGTTGTGAGGCCTCCCCAGCTATGTGGAGCTGTAAGTCCATTAATCCTCCTTTTTCTTTAACAAGTTACCCAGTCTCAGGTATGTCTTTATTAGCAGTGTTAGAACAGACGAATACAGCACTGAAGTCTTTAGAATGCATTCTTAAGTTTAGATAATTTTTTTTCTAGAATGTCTATTTCTTTTTATAGATTTTAATCTGTGATTGAAATTCTGTATTTTTTATTCATTTTGACTATCTTTTTTCTCTTTTCTTAAATATATTCATCTTAATTATTTTGAATTCCTTATCTGTTAGCTGTATTACTTGAATCATTTCTGTTTCTGATTCTATTTATTGTTTTATCTCTCAATTATTGAATATTTTAAAACTAATTCTTAGCATTTTTTTTCTTTTCTTTTTTCTTTTTCTTTTTCTTTCTTTCTTTCTTTTTTTTTTTTTTTAGACAGAATCTGCTGTTGTTGCCTGGGCTGGAGTGCAATGGCATGATCTCGGTTCACTGCAACCTCTGCCTCCTGCGTTACAGCAGTTCTCCTGCCTCAGCCTCCCAAGTAACTGAGATTACAGGTGCCCACCACCTCGCCCAGCTAACTTTTGTATTTTTAGTAGAGACAGGGTTTCACCATGTTGGCCAGGCTGGTCTCAAACTCCTGACCTCAGGTGATCCACCCACCTCGGCCTCCCAAAGTGCTGGGATTACAGACGTGAGCCACTGCTATATTTAGTAATTTAGTAATTTTTGATCGGAAGACTGACATTGTATATATGTCATAGATACTTTGATTTATGTTATCTTCTAAATAGTGCTAAATTTTGTTTGGTCAGAGACTAAAATTACTTGTAGATCACTTTTATTTTGCCTAGGTAGTTTGAAGTTTTGTGAGAGCAAGTCTATTTTAGTTTTGCTCTTTCTTTTTGGGCACAGCCCTTATACCTAGGGAAATGTCACATCCATATCCTAGGATTGTGACATTTGAGACATTTCTGTGGTGTAAAATGAATGCTTTAGGTCTCTAATCCCTGGCTGACCTAAGGGATTTCCATGGCCTTGGAAATCTCTCCTCTGCTCTCTAGCATCTCAGTGGCTGCTCTCAAATAGGTTGCCAAGCTTTGCCCTGCATATATACACTTTAGAAGTTGACTAACAACCTAAGGGAAAAGGTTATGCAAATTATTAGGGTACCTTTTCTGTAGCTTTTTCCTCTCTGAGACTCAGCCATTCGAATCCTAGCTCTTTTGGTTACCCAGCACTCTGATTTTGGTTTCTGCTGTCCAGCAAGACTACCTGTCTTTACTTAGGCTCTATTTTCCTGAGCTATAATTTGGAAAATGCCCCAAGGGAGAAATCCTTGGTTTATGTGATGTTTATCTTGTTTGCCTCTTTTTTCTCAAGGACCATAGCCCTGCACTGGCTATGGTCCAATGCCTGCAAACAGTTGCTATATATGTTTTGTCTAGATTTTATACTTGTTTATAGCAACAAGTGAAGTCCAATAATAGCTGTTCCATCATGGATGAAACTGGAACATGCCCATGTTAACTACTTTTATTTCTCTTTGTACCATCTATTGCTTCAGAATACATTTTTTTCTACCATTGCTAATCAGTTTTTTTTCTATTAACATTCTATAACCAGATGCAAGTGCTTTTTTTACATCTATAGGTTTGGCTCCTGAGGCTATACTATTTGGATGTAAGAAGTATAAAACAGTTGCCTTAGAATAGAACTTGTGTTCTAGACTTTTGACCATAGCCAGTTTTGACTTCCATTTCCTACTATCACTCCTTTTAAATCTATTGGCTTCTAATGGCTATGGCTGAGTTCCTGGTTACTACTTGATTTCTTAGATGCCAGACCTTTTTGCATTAAACACTGAGTCTCATTCAGTAATGACCTCATCTTGGGCTCCCACTTCTTGTATCATGTCCTGTGGTGACCCCTGCTCTGATGTGAAAAGAAAATAAATATTAGGTAGGAATTCATATTACAAATTACACTCTTATTGGTATAAATATTTTATAATGACATTTAATGAATATCCTTTTTTGCCTTGATAATGGACATATCATATTGTGTGGATGGACTCATCCACACAATTTCTATATTTACATTAGAAATTGTGTGGGTGAGTATTGAAAAACCATCTAGACTGCCTAATGTTATGTAATTGCTAATATTTAAGTGAATCTGTGAGTAAATAAGAGCTGGTTTCCTTTTTTGTCTGATTAAGAAGATAAATGAAGGGAGATTATGCCCACCTGCTGTGTCCAGCAAGATTACCCATCTTTACTTAGGCTGGAAAAATAAAACCAACAGGAGACATGCTAAATCAGCTACAACTATCTCAAATGATAGATTACTCTCAAGACTGAGTCATAAAGCCTGTGTCTATTCAATTTTCCTGTTGCATTAAATTATAATAAATACATACAATATTAAAAATATGGGAAAATTTCTAAATACAAAGAATTGACAAGGTCTTGGGGACAGAGTAGACATTTAAGAATGATGGATCGGGGATATTAATCTTGGAAGATTTTATTGACTCAAAATAATTTTCTTTTCTTTTTTCTTCAACTTATATTTTACATTTCAGGGTACATGTGCAGGTTGTGCAGGTTTGTTACATAGGTAAATGTGTGCCATGGTGGTTTGCTGCACAGATCAAACCATCACCTGGATATTAAACTCAGCATCCATTAGCTATTCTTCCTGATGTTCTCTCTCACCCCACCCCCTCCGACAGGCCCCAGTGTGTGTTGTTCCCGCCAATGTGTTCATGTGTTCTCATTGTTCAGCTCCCACATCTAAGTGACAACATGCGGTGTTTGGTTTTCTGTTCCTGCATTGGTTTGCTGAGGATAACTGTTTCCAGCTCCATCCACGTCCCTGGAAAGGACATGATGTCACCTTTTTATGACTGCATAATATTCTATGGTGTATATGTACCAAGTTTTCTTTATCCAGTCTATTGTTGATGGGCATCTGTGTTGATTCCATGTCTTTGCTATTTTGAATAGTGCTGCAATGAACATACATCTGCATGTATCTTTATAATAGAATGATTTATATTCCTATGGGTATATACCAAGTAATGAGATTGCTGGGTCAAATGATATTTCTGCTCCTAGCTCTTTGAGGAATTGCTACAGTGTCTTCCACAATGGTTAAACTAATTTATATTCCCACTAACAGTGTAAAAGCATTCCTTTTTCTCTGCAACCTAGCCAACATCTGTTGTTTCTTGACTTTTTAATGATCACCATTCTGACTGCCATGAGATGGTAACTCATTGCGGTTTTGATTTGCATTTCTCTAATGATTAGTGATGTTGAGCTTTTTTTCATATGTTGGTTGGCCACATGAATGTCTTCTTTTGAGAGGTGTCTGTTCATGTCCTTTGCCCACTTTTTAATGGGGTTTTTTTCTTATAAATTTATTTATGTTCCTTATAGACTCTGTATATTAGACCTTTGTCAGATGGATAGATTGGAAAAAATTTATCCCATTCTTTAGGTTGTCTGTTTACTGTGATGATAGTTTCCTTGCTTTGCAGAAGCTCTTTAGTTTAATTAGATCCCATTTGTCAATTTTTGCTTTTGTTGCAATTGCTTTTGGTGTTTTTTTCATGAAATCTTTGCCTGTGCCTATGTCCTGAATGGTAATGCCTAGATTTTGTTCTATGGTTTTTATAGTTTTGTATTTTACATTCAAGTCTTTAGTACATATTGAGTTAATGTGTGTATAAGGTGTAAAAAAGGAGTCCGGTTTCAATTTTCTGCATATGGCTAGCCAGTTCTCCCAGCATCATTTATTAAATAGGCAATTATTTTCTCATTTCTTATTTTTCTCAGGTTTGTCAAAGATCAGATGGTTGTGCTAACAGGTGTGTGGTCTTATTTCTAAGTTATCTATTCTGTTCCTTTGGGCTACGTGTCAGTTTTTGTACCAGTACCATGCTGTTTTGGTTACTGTAGTCTTGTAGTATAGTTTGAAATTGGGTAGCATATGCCTTCAGCTTTGTTCTTTTTGCTGAGGATTGTCTTGGCTTTTGGGCTCCTTTTGGTTCCATATAAATTTAAAATTTTTTTTTGTCTAATTATGTGAAAAAGTTCAATGGTAGTGTAATGGGAATAACATTGACTCTATAAATTACTTTAGGCAGTATGGCCATTTTCATGATATTGATTCTTCCCATCCATGAGCATGGAGTGTTTTTTTATTTGTTTGTGTCCTCTCCGATTTCCCTGAGCAGTGGTTTATAGTTCTCCTTGAAGAGTTTCTTCACATCCCTTGTTAGCTGTATTCCTAGATATTTTAGTCTCTTTGTAGCAATCGTGAATGGGAGCTCATTTGTGATTTGGCTCTCTGCTTGCCTTTTGTTGGTGTATAGAAATGCTAGCAATTTTTGCCCATAGATTTTTGTATTCTGAGACTTTGCTGAAGTTGCTTATCAGCTTAAGAAGCTTTTCAGCTGAGACGATGGGATTTACTAGGTATAAGATTATGTCATCTGCAAACAAAGGCAGTTTGACTTCCTCTCTTCCTATTTGAATACCTTATTTCTTTTTATTGCCAGATTGCCCTGGCCAGAACTTCCAATATTATGCTGAATAGGAGTGGTGAGAGAGGTCATCCTTGTTTTGTGATGGTTTTCAAGAGGAATGCTTCCAACTTTTGCACATTCAGTATGATACTGGCTGTGGATTTGTCATATATGGATCTTATTATTTTGAGATATGTTCTATCAATACGTAGCCTATTGAGAATATTTAACATGAAGGGATGTTGCATTTTATTGAAGGCCTTTTCTGTGTCTATTGAGATAATCATGTGGTTTTTGTCTTTAGTTCTATTTATATGATTAATCACACTAATTGATTTGAGTGTTGAATGAACCTTGCATCCCAGGGATGAAGCCAACTTTATCATAATGGATAACCTTTTTGATGTGCTGCTGGATTCAGGTTGCCAATATTTTATTGAGGTTTTTTTGCATCGATGTTCATCAGGAATATTGGCTTGACGTTTTCTTTTTTGCTGTTGTTGTATCTTTGCTAGGTTTTGGTATCAGGATGATGTTAGCCTCATAAAATGAGTTACAGATAAGTCCCTCCTTTTCACTTGCTTGGAATAGTTTCAGAAGAAATTGTACCAGCTCCTCTTTATACCTTTGGAAGAACTCAGCTGTAAATCCATCTGATCCTGGGCTCTTTTTTGTTGTCAGGTTGTTTATTACTGCCTCAATTTTAGAACTCATTATTGGTCTATTCAGGGATTCAATTTCTTTTTGGTTCAGTGTTGGGAGGCTGTATAAATCCAAGAATTTATTCATTTCTTCTAGATTTTCTAGTTTATGTGCATAGAGGTGTTTATATTATCTTTGATGGTTATTTGTATTTCTGTGGGGTCAGTGGTGATATCACCTTTATCATTTCTGATTGTGTCTATTTGATTCTTCTCACTTTTCTTCTTTATTAGTCTAGCTAGTGGTCTATTTTATTAATTTTTTCAAAAAGCCAGCTCCTGGATTCATGGATTTTTTGAAGGTTTGTGTGTGTGTGTGTGTGTGTGTGTGTGTGTGTGTGTGTGTGTGTGTGTCTATCTCCTTCAGTTCTGCTCTGATCTTGGTTATTTCTTGTTTTCTGCTAGGTTTGGGGTTTGTTTTCTCTCGATTCTCTACTTCTTTTAGTTGTGATGTTAGGTTGTTGATTTGAAATCTTTCTAGCTTTTTGATGTGGGTATTTAGTGCTATAAATTTCTCTCTTAACACTGCTTTAGCTTTGTCCTAGAGATTCTGGTACATTGTCCCTTTATTCCTATTAGTTTCAAATAACTTCTTGATTTCTTTTTTATTTTTATTATTCACCCAGTAGCCATTCAGGAGCAGGTTGTTCAATTTCCATGTAGTTGTGTGGTTTTGAATAAGTTTTAAAATCTTGAGTTCTAATTTGATTGCAGGCTGATGAGAGAGACTATTATCATTTCAGTTATTTTGCATTTGCTGAGGGGTGTTTTACTTCTAATTGTGATCAAATTTAGAGTAAGTATGGGGTGATGACAATAATTTGTATTCTATTGTTTTTGGGTGGAGAGTTCTGTAGATCTATCAGGTCCACTTGATCAAAGCTGAGTTTAGGTTCTGATTATCTTTGTTAATTTTCTGCCTAAATGATCTGTCTAATATAGTCAATGGGGGTGTTAAAGCCTCCCACTATTATTGTGTGGGAGTCTAAGTCTCTTCGTAGGTTTCTAAGAACTGGTTTTATAAATCTGAGTACTCCTGTATTGGGTGCATACATATTGAAGATAGTTCACTCTTCTTGTTGAATTCAACCTTTATGTAATGCCCTTATGTAATGCCCTTATTTGTCCTTCTTGATCTTGGTTGGTGTAAAGTCTGTTTTGTCAGAAACTAGCATTGCAGGGCAGCCAAGATGGCCGAATAGGGACAGCTCTGGTCTACAGCTCCCAGCATGAGCGATGCATAAGATGGATGATTTCTGCATTTCCATCTGAGGTACTGGGTTCATCTCACTAGGGAGTGCCAGACAGTGGGTGAAGGACAGTGGGTGCAGTGCACCATGCATGAGCCGAAACAGGGTGATGCGTTGCCTCACTTGGGAAGTGCAAGGGGTCAGGAAGTTCCCTTTCCTACTCAAAGAAAGGGGTGACAGATGGCACCTGGAAAGTTGGGTCACTCCCACCCTAACACTGTGCTTTTCTGACAGGCTTAAAAAACAGCACACCAGGAGATTATATCCAGCACCTGGCTTGGAGGGTCCTATGCCCATGGAGTCTCGCTGATTGCTAGCACAGCAGTCTGAGGTCAAACTGCAAGGCAGCAGTGAGGCTGGGGGTGGGGCGCCCACCATTGCTCAGGCTTGCTTAGGTAAACAAAGTAGCCAGAAAGCTCAAACTGGGTGGAGCCCACCACAGCTCAAGGAGGCCTGCCTGCCTCTGTAGGCTCCACCTCTGGGGGCAGGGCACAGACAAACAAAAAGACAGCAGTAACCTCTGCAGACTTAAACGTCCCTGTCTGACAGCTTTGAAGAGAGCAGTGGTTCTCCCAGCATGCAGCTGGAGATCTGAGAACGGGCAGACTGCCTCCTCAAGTGGGTCCCTGACCCCTGAACCCCAAGCAGCTTAACTGGGAGGTACCGCCCGGTAGGGACAGACTGACACCTCACATGGCCAGGTACTCCTCTGAGACAAAACTTCCAGAGGAACGATCAGACAGCAGCATTTGCAGTTCACAAAAATCCGCTGTTCTGCAGCCACTGCTGCTGATAGCCAGGCAAACAGGGTCTGGAGTGGACCTCTAACAAACTCCAACAGACCTACAGCTGAGGGTCCTGTCTGTTAGAAGGAAAATTAACAAACAGAAAGGACATCCACACCAAAAACCCATCTGTACATCACCATCATCAAAGACAAAAAGTAGATAAAACCACAAAGATGGGGAAAAAACAGAGCAGAAAAACTGGAAACTCTAAAAAGCAGAGCACCTCTCCTCCTCCAAAGGAATGCAGTTCCTCACCAGCAATGGAACAAAGCTGGACAGAGAATGACTTTGACGAGCTGAGAGAAGAAGGCTTCAGACAATCAAACTACTCCAAGCTACAGGAGGAAATTCAAACCAAAGGCAAAGAAGTTAAAAACAGGCAAAGAAGTTAAAAACTTTGAAAAAAATTTAGACGAATGTGTAACTAGAATAACCAATACAGAGAAGTGCTTAAAGGAGCTGATGGAGCTGAAAGCCAAGGCTCGAGAACTACGTGAATAATGCAGAAGCCTCAGGAGCCGATGTGATCAATTGGAAGAAAGGGTATCAGTGATGGAAGATGAAATGAATGAAATGAAGCGAGAAGGGAAGTTTAGAAAAAAAAGAATAAAAAGAAATGAACAAAGCCTCCAAGAAATATGGGAATATGTGAAAAGACCAAATCTACATCTCATTGGTGTACCTGAAAGTGACAGGGAGAATGGAACCAAGTTGGAAAACACTCTGCAGGATATTATCCAGGAGAACTTCCCCAATCTAGCAAGGCAGGCCAACATTCAGATTCAGGAAATACAGAGAACACCACAAAGATACTCCTCGAGAAGGGCAACTCCAAGACACATAATTGTCAGATTCACCAAAGTGGAAATGAAGGAAAAAATGTTAAGGGCAGCCAGAGAGAAAGGTCGGGTTACCCACAAAGGGAAGCCCATCAGACTAACAGTGGATCTCTCGACAGAAACTCTACAAGCCAGAAGAGAGTGGGGACCAATATTCAACATTCTTAAAGAAAAGAATTTTCAACCCAGAGTTTCATATCCAGCCAAACTAAGCTTCATAAGTGAAGGAGAAATAAAATACTTTACAGACAAGCAAATGCTGAGAGATTTTGTCACCACCAGGCCTGCCCTAAAAGAGCTCCTGAAGAAAGCACTAAACATGGAAAGGAACAACCGGTACCAGCCACTGCAAAATCATGCCAAACTGTAAAGACCATCAAGGCTAGGAAGAAACTGCATCAGCAAACGAGCAAAATAACCAGCTAACATCATAATGACAGGATCAAATTCACACATAACAATATTATTGTTAAATGTAAATGGACTAAATGCTCCAATTAAAAGATACAGACTGGCAAATTGGATAAAGAGTCAAGACCCATCAGTGTGCTGTATTCAGGAAACCCATCTCACATGCACAGACACACATATGCTTAAAATAAAAGGATGGAGGATGATCTACCAAGCCAATGGAAAACAAAAAAAGGCAGTTGTTGCAATCCTAGTCTCTGATAAAACAGACTTTAAACCAACAAAGATCAAAAGAGACAAAGAAGGCCATTACATAATGGTAAAGGGATCAATTCAACAAGAAGAGCTAACTATCCCAAATATATATGCACCCAATACAGGAGCACCCAGATTCATAAAGCAAGTCCTGAGTGACCTACAAAGAGACTTAGACTCCCACACAATAATAATGGGAGACTTTAACACCCCACTGTCAACATTAGACAGATCAACGAGACAGAAAGTTAACAAGGATACCCAGGAATTGAATTCAGCTCTGCACCAAGCAGACCTAATAGACATCTACAGAACTCTCCACCCCAAATCAACAGAATATACAGTTTTTTCAGCACCACACCACACCTATTCCAAAATTGACCACATAGTTGGAAGTAAAGCTCTCCTCAGCAAATGTAAAATAACAGAAATTATAACAAACTATCTCTCAGACCACAGTGCAATCAAACTAGAACTCAGGATTAAGAAACTCACTCAAAACCACTCAACTACATGGAAACTGAACAACCTGCTCCTGAATGACTACTGGGTACATAACAAAATGAAGGCAGACATAAAGATGTTCTTTGAAACCAACGAGAACAAAGACACAACATACCAGAATCTCTGGGACACATTCAAAGCAGTGTGTAGAGGGAAATTTATAGCACTAAATGCCCACAAGAGAAAGCAGGAAAGATCTAAAATTGACACCGTAACATCACAATTAAAAGAACTAGAGAAGCAAGAGCAAACACATTCAAAAGCTAGCAGAAGGCAAGAAATAACTAAAATCAGAGCAGAACTGAAGGAAGTAGAGACACAAAAAACCCTTCAAAAAATTAATGAATCCAGGAGCTACCATCAGGGTGAACAGGCAACCTACGAAATGGGACAAAATTTTTGCAACCTACTCATCTGACAAAGGGCTAATATCCAGAATCTACAATGAATTCAAACACATTTACAAGAAAAAAACAAACAACCCCATCAAAAAGTGGCAAAGGACATGAACAGACACATCTCAAAAGAAGACATTTATGTAACCAAAAAACACATGAAAAAATGCTCATCGTCACTGGCCATCGGAGAAATGCAAATCAAAACCACAATGAGATACCATCTCACACCAGTTAGAATGGCAATCATTAAAAAGTCAGGAAACAACAGGTGCTGGAGAGGATGTGGAGAAATAGGAACACTTTTACACTGCTGGTGGGACTGTAAACTAGTTCAACCATTGTGGAAGTCAGTGTGGTGATTCCTCAGGGATCTAGAACTAGAAATACCATTTGACCCAGCCATCCCATTACCGGGTATATACCCAAAGGACTATAAAACATGCTGCTATAAAGACACATGCACACGTATGTTTATTGCGGCACTATTCACAATAGCAAAGAGTTGGAACCAACCCAAATGTCCAACAATGATAAACTGGATTAAGAAAATGTGTCACATATACACCATGGAATACTATGCAGCCATCAAAAATGATGAGGCACATGTATACATATGTAACTAACCTGCACATTGTGCACATGTACCCTAAAACTTAAAGTATAATAGTAATACAATAAAATAAAATAATAAGATAAAAATAAAAATAATATAAAAAAAGAAAATAGCATTGCAATCTCTGCTTTTTCCTCTTTTCCATTTGCTTGGTAAATACGCCCCCATCCCTGTATTTTGAGCCTACGTATGTCTTTGCACATGAGATGTGTCTCTTGAATACAGCATACTGCTGGTTCTTGACTCTTTATTCAGCCTGACATTCCATGTCTTTTAATTGGGGCATTTAGCCCATTGACATTTAAGGTTAATGTTGTTATGTGTGAATTTGATTCTGTCATTATGATGCTAGCTGATTATTTTGCAGGCTTGTCTATGTGGTTGTTTCACATAGTCTGTGTACTGAGTGTATTTTCATAGTGGCTGGTAACAGTTTTTCCTTTTCATATTACTGCTTCCCTCAGCAGATCTTGCAAGGCAGGCCTGGTGGTAATGAATTCCCTCAGCATTTGCTTGTCTGAAAAGGATCTTATTTCTCCTTTGCTTATGAAGTTTAGTTTGGCTGGATATGAAATTCTAGTTTGGAAATTCTTACCTTTAAGAATGTTGAATATTGGCCTCCAATTTCTTCTGGCTTAAAGTATTTTTGCTGAGGGGTCCACTGTTAACCTGATGGGCTTCCCTTTGTAGGTGACCTGGTCTTTCTCTCTGGCGGCACTTAACATTTTTTCTTTCATTTCGACCTTGGAGAATCTGATGATTATGTATCTTGGGGTTGATCTTCTCATGGAGTGTCTTACTGGAGTTCTCTTCATTTCCTGAATTTGAATGCTGGTCTGTCTTGCTAGGTTAAGCAAGTTCTGGATGATATCCTGAAGTATCTTTTCCAACTTGGTTCCACTCTCCCTGTCTCCTTCAGGTACTCCAGTCAGTTGTAGGTTTGGTCTCTTTATATAATCCCATATTTCTTGGAGGTTTTTTCATTCCTTTTCATTCTTTTTTCTCTGTTCTTGCCTGCCTGTCTTATTTTAGAAAGATAGCCTTCAAGCTCTGAGATTCTTTACTCCACTTGGTCTGTTTAGCTATTGATATTTGTGATTGCATTGTGAAGGTCTCGTCTTGTGTTTTTCAGCTCCATCAGGTCATGTATATTTCTCTCTAAACTGGCTATTCTGGTTATCAGCCCTTGTAATGTTTTATCATGATTCTTAGCTTCTTCGCATTGGGTTAGGACATGCTCCTTTAGCTCAACAAAGTTTGTTATTACCCACCATCTGAAGCCCACTTTTGTCAATTTGGCAATCTGAGCCTCTGCCCAGTTATGTGCCCTTGCTGGAGATGTGTTACAATCATTTGGAGGAGAAGAGGCACCCTGGCTTTTTGAGTTTTCAGTGTTTTTGCTTTGATTCTTTCTCATCTTTGTGGGCCTATCTACCTTTGATTTTTGAGGTTGCTCATCTTTGAATAGGGTTTTTGTGTGGTCTTTTTTGTTGATGTTGTTTTTGTTGCTTTGTTTGTTTTAACAGTCAGGATCCTCTTCCACAGTGCGCTGTGGTAGGCTAGGGGTTCACTCCAGACCATAATCATCTGGGTCCCTCCCACACCTGGAGTTATCACCAGTGAAGGCTGCAAAACAGCAAAGGTGGCAGCCTGCTTCTTCCTCTGGGAGCTCTGTCCCAGAGGGTCACCAACCTGATGCCGGCCTGAATGCTCCTGTAGGAGTCTGGAGACCCCTGTTGGGAGGTCTCTCCCAGTCAGGAGGAATGGGATTAGGGATCCAAGTAAAGAAGACTTTGGCTGCCCCTTGGCAGAGTAGGTGTGCTGCACTGGGGTGGGGGAACCCCTCTTGTCCAGACCACCTGGACTATCCAGATTCAGCTGGGAGGAAAGACTAAGTTGGCTGAACTGCAGAGACTGGCTTCCCCTTCCCCCAGTGGTTCCCTCTTAGGGAGATCAGAGTTCTGTCCACAAAACCCTGGCTGGAGTTGTTGAAATTCCCACAGGGAGGCCTTGCCTAGTGAGGAGGGATGGATCGGGATCCCTGTTAAAGAAGCAGCCTGTCCATGATCTGCCACAGAAGTTGTGCTGTGCTGTAAAGGAATTCCTTATAGACTGCCCAGACTCCCTGAAGCTGGCAGCCAGAAAGGTGGGCTTAAGCCACAGAAATGGTGGCCACTCCTTCCCCTGATCCTTGGGCTGCAAAGATCCATGGCAAAAGCGTGGTTTCCCAGATGGGGTCGCACAATTGCTCACCACATTCCTTGGCTGGGTGTGGGAGCCCCAGTGGCATTGTGTCTCTCCCAGGTGGGGTGTTGCCCCATCCTGCTTTTCCTTGCTCTCCGTGGGTCATGCCGATTGCCTCATCAGTCCCAGTGCAAGAACCTGGATATCACAGTTGAAGGTGTAGAATTTACTCCCTGTTTTTGTTCTCTGTGACAGCCACAGACTGCAGCTGCTTCTAATTGGCCGTCTTGGCCCACCCCCAAAACAATTTTCAACTTGACATTTACCATTTGTTTTTGTGTATCTTTCCTCTTTAGTTTTATAGAAGATAACCAATTAAAACAAAATTTGGCTATGTATTTAGATTGTGATTCTTCTGCCTACTTGAAAATTACATGTCTTTACATGATATAACTTCTTTCACTTTATTGAACACCCTCGATAAAGTTGCAGAGATAAATACCTTTTGGGGGCAAAATCAGAATTAGCTTACCTTCTGAAATGCAATATGGTAATGATATTAAATTTTTACACTAACTAAAAATAGTATCTTTCCTTACTTTATTTGATTTGGGACACACACACTTGCAAGTGTGTGTTTAAAGATAATCCCGTCACAAGGATTGATACTATTTTTTTCTGCATCTCTACTATATTTAATTTCTTCTGTATTATAATAATGCTGTTGAGCTACACTTTCATATGTCCCACTATTGCGTAGGAATTTATTTTACATTGAAAACAAAAAGAAAGACCTTTAATTTGAGGTTATACATCTTTATTTTTGTAGCCTCTTTTGAATTAAGATTAAATTGAGAAGGAAGGGAGGTGTTTTTATTTATGTTGTTAAATAAATTTTTAAAACTTACTAATTAAAAATTTCCCCCCATTAGAATTCTTTCTACCACCATGTTATTTTCTTCTTTGTCTGATTTATTATATTTTAAGTAAGAAAGAAACATCTTTGGTTTTAGAAGACATTAATTTGCCAGGGTTGTTGTAACAACTGTTACAGAAAATGTTATAAAATGTGAACTACCATAGAATTATTTTAAAAATGGGCTGTTATATGGCATGGTTAAAATTATCTTACTCCACAAAGTCTTTTGACTAATTATAATTGCCAAAAACTTTGACTAAGTTTAATCTTTTAGAGAGAGAAATAAACTCTAACTGTTCAGTGAAACACTAAACGCACACCAATTTCAATGAGGAAGAAAGAGAGAGAAAAAGGGGAAACTGCTTCACAAATGTACACACACATGCATGGATACACAGAAACACACACACACACTTTCAGGTTGCACTGAATCTATTTGAGTGTATAGACCAATTCAAATGCTTGTATTATTGCCCTAATTGGAACACTCATTTCAGAAGGCTGTTTATAATTCTGACGAGGATGTCCTATTTTGTTGGTTTGGCTGCTTTGATTAAAACCTTCTGTGAGGCAATGGTCATTGCGTGATAGGCCCAGACACAAATTAAGATGACAACAGTCAGTTGACCTACTAAACAAAAAGTACAACAGCTTGGTAACTATGACCAGACAGAGTTACTTTACTGCTTAGTTAAAACTACACCCCCCACCCCCCACCCAAAAGAATAAAAGCCCTGTTTCAACAGTGGCTTCTTTTGGGCGTATGTAAATCCCTTCATGGAAAGTTGCAAAACCCCAGGAAATCCCACCTGTGAATGATTGTAGTATTTAACCCCGGGGTTAGTTTCTATAATGCTTATTTCATGAAAAGCCTCCCCCCATCACAATTTTTAGTGGTTGGTTTGTATAAGGCAAGCTCAAAACTGTAAGCCTGAAAACCACAATTTTCCCAAATAGGCAGTATTTCCAGTGATGTAATGTGAAGGTGACAGGGTTAACAGTTTAACCTCATAACTCAGAGAAGCAGAAAGTCTCCTCTAAATATGATGTTATAGGCCATGATAATCTGAGAGTCTTTTGAATGAGTTTTTGCATATGACATATATAATCACATATATAATCAGAGTAGTGATTAATCTGTTTCTGATATGGATATTTGATATTTATATTTATGTTTTAAAAGCCTCAATTCTGCCTTTGTCTCTGCATGAGACAGTTTAAGTGA
This sequence comes from Homo sapiens, assembly GCF_000001405.40. Taxonomy (NCBI): domain Eukaryota; kingdom Metazoa; phylum Chordata; class Mammalia; order Primates; family Hominidae; genus Homo; species Homo sapiens. The sequence continues at coordinate 44,049,115 of NC_000005.10, forward strand.
GTTGCTAGTATAAAGACATTGTGGTGTTCTGAGGGTCACATTTTTGGCAACTTACTAAAAAAATGTTGGACAATGTTTTTTTCATTATCCCTATTTTTTTTAAACCATAGTTTTATATGAAACTATTTAATCTGTCTTCTGGTGGTACAGTATTTACAACAGAAAGGTTGTATGTTAAATGGTCGACTTTTCAAGCAACTCAAACACCTGGTCAGCATAAATCTTTTAATAAAATTTTACTCCATTAACTCCTTTCTTACCAGAACTTCTGAAAATTCCTTGCTAAAAGGCTGAAAAGTGACTAGTCATATAAGCCCCCAAATATTACACAGCCATGAGAATTAAGAAATATTGCTCACATTAGTATATGAAACTTTATAAAGAACAAAATCAAGTGGTTTCTGGGCTTCAGTTATTAATCTCATTGTCTGTTTAGTTTATGACTTCGTTTTTCTCATTTCTAAATTCCATATTCTAGTGCACTAATGATTTCCACATTGAAAGTAATTTCTTGGATGAAGAAAAAGAGCTTTCCCAGTATGAAAAAATCCAAAATAATTAGGATGGAAACACAAGGAAGAGGTACACCTTGAAAAATCTTGCCTAGGAAAATAGTTACTCATACTTTTGTGTGTACAATGAAGTAAATGTATACAAAGTTAGGTTTGAACATGAATGTATTTTTGTATAGTCTGTTATAGAATGTTAATTAAATGCAGTTCAATGGTTGTTTTAATCTTTTAATGATGCTTATGTACTCCATTGTAAAGATAGTCATTTTTTATTATAAAAAGTTAAAAGGAGTGAATGTTAATTGCATTCTGCTAAAGGAGTTTAGTGTTTCTATTATTTTAGGCAGAATTCCATTATCCAAGTGTGTATGAAGTATACACTTATATAAACACTATCAAATGTATACCAAAGGGACAGAGACTATGCTTTGATAGGATCCAGAGTTTTGTACATTTCTTCATTAATTAGTACAAATGTTTATATAATTGATACAAATAATATAAACTACTATATAAGTAATTAATTATACAAACATTTATGAATGTCTATTTTGTTTCCAACAAAAAACTGATTCTCGGGATGCTAAATACCTATGAAAGAGAGGTGGTCTCGACACAACACAGGGAGTCTATCGGAAACTATGTAAGCCAAAAACCCTGACCAAGATGGTCAAGAAAATCGTCTCTTTGTTATTGTTTCCCAATACATATCTTAACTCTGACATCACTCATGAGCTCAAAATTTCTCACATTTTAAATATCTGTATATATTTTGCAAAAGCTTATTAATTAATTTGAACAAGATATATTCAGAGCTTTCCCTATGCCACGTGTTACGGTGGTGTTACAATTCTTGGCCAAAGGAGGCACAAAATGTAACTTGTTAAAATTAACTTCCTTTGTCAGAAGTGTGCAGTTCTTTAAAGTCTGCAGGTTCTTGGTTCTTAAAATTAATGTCCATCGCCAGGGGTTTGTGGTATAATGACATACAATAATGTACATATGCAGTTAGTGGCAGCAGACATGCAAACACATAGTTACAATGTGATGTGAAAAAGGCTAAGACTACTCTGTGAGATTATATAATATACAGAGGGTATGGTAAATAGCTTTGTCTTATGAGAGTATCAGGGAAGACTTTACACTGAGGATGATTTTATTATCTGGGCTTTGAATGATGAGAGATGGTGGAGGGCACTAGAAGCAGAAAGGTTAGCAATTCCAAAAGCTCAGAGGCATGAAAGTAAACATCCAGTTTGGGTAACTGTGAGTAGTCTAGAGTGGCCTTAGCAAAGGTGGTACCCAAGAAAGGAGTATGTGGCTATATGACTTCCTCTTGATAGTCAGGGGCTGTCTCCCCAAACCACAATCTATCTCAGTTTGTGCCACTTCCCCCAGGGCAATAAGAACCAGAGATGGTTAGATGATACTCTCAGCTTCAAATTCAGTGGAAATTTGTAGTGCTCCCTGTTGAAAGTATTGTTCTTCTAATATTAACATTTTTTTTCACTAGTAAGCCCTAGAGTCTCAAAGATGGAAAACCAAAATATTTCAAATGTGTCATTTGAAGTTGAGACGCATCACTCTAATATCTCTCCCTTTGTTCCAGACTCAAATATGCTTGTTATAAGAGGAATATATTGGTCATTGGTATAGAACATATATCTCATGTTTTGTGCCCATGTTCTTGGCTTGCAAGGCCTTTTTTTTTTGAGACAGACCCTTGCTCTTTTGCCCAGGCTGAAGTGCAGTGGTGCAATCTCTGCTAACTGCAGCCCCTGCCTCCTGTGGATTCAAGTGCTTCTTGTGTTTCAACCTCTCAAGTAGCTGCGATTGCAAGCACCTGCCACCCTGCCCAGCTAAGGTTTGTATTTTTTGTAGAGACGGGGTTTCGCCATGTTGGTCAGGTTGGTCTCAAACTCCTGGCCTCAAGTGATCCACCCAATGCAAGGCCTTATTTCTGAGCTGCAACCATAACCAAATCTCCCTTCAACAGGAAATTCCATCATTAAGAGAAGTACTTCTATAAGATGGGGTTTATAAAAAACATAGTGATATCCATGGACAGTAGTAGCCCCTTGACCTTCATGTATATTAAGTTCTTTGGTAGAAACAATGTTATAGGGATTCCACAATAGTACATGAAGTATAGAGTAGGACTATGGATACTAGGGCTGGCATAAGCACGGAGTTAAAAAAAAAAAGAACTATAAATCTGATATTGGTATGTGTTTTAGAGATGTCAAAATGCTAACCTTTTCATGATGGAAAGGATCCACTCATTTTTCAGGAGGTACTCAAATTCCCACTCACTGTATAGAACTGTGTTGGGAGCCTAGCGTTGGTTATTGATACTGGAAAATAGGCTACTTGATGATGACAAGAATCTCTTCAAGGAAAATCCACGTTGAGCTCATGTGTAGCCTCTATCCTTGCCAACACGTTTTTATGAGCATATTATTTATTGAATAGATATTTGGGAAGGAGGAAAATTGAAATCTATGAAGTAGTCATCTTGTTCCCCTGATTATTAAGCACTTGCTCTTCAAGGGTCTTTTCGGTAAATATTCACCTAGCATACAGCATTTTAATGTTTATTTCAAAAAAACCCCAGCCATATAACACATCCAGAGACATTTTGTCAATAGTCCTCCAATATTGCTCCTTTCATATCCTTGGCTATTCAATAAAATCTTTAGCGACCAGCCAGAATCCATGATCTGTTTCTCAAATCGTGCTGCTCTAAATTCTGTCTTCTTAACAGAGTCAGTTTTTTTCTTGTGCTATGCCTTCATAGCAAGCCACTTTTAGCTACTGTCACAGATGTCTAGAAATTAAGCTTAGGACTGTCCTACTCAGTCTACTAGTCATATGGTTCACCTCATAATGGCTGAATGTGAATTGAATAGTGGATGGCAGTGTTGTGGGGGTAAGCACATGGAGTGTATGAATGCCCTGCTCCTAAAATGTACATCTCTCTGATGTAGTATGTTGATTTGATAATGAAATGCTATAGCACTTGCCTGATTCAGGGCTGGGTTTTTCAGAAAACTATGTGGCAGACTTCTAGTTGTCATGGGAAATCCATTCTTTCCTCTTTCCATATGAATAGCATTTTTTTGAGTATATGACAACTTCATCTAGAAAATAATATTTTCAGACTCCTTTGTAGCTAATATGGCCAATGTGTCTAACTTTTTGCTAATGGAATGTGAGTAGAAATAATATTTTATATCAATTTCCTCAAAGTAAATTGTCCTAGACTTTCTCTCCTTGCCACTTTTCACTGGTGGGCACGTAGACATGGAGCTGAGGCAACTTTGGTCATAAAGATGAGGATTGCACTAGGAGATGGTAGATAAACAAGACAGAGAGAACTTTCTAGAACAGAGCTATCTTTTAGATGTGGATCATTTCTAGATGCCTCTGGACATCTGAATAATTAAACGTGACAGAAAATGAGCTACTAAATTTTGAATTTCTTTGTTGTAGCAACTTGTTCTGTATTATATTGCATATATCCTATTTATTCTTGGAAGCTCTAATCTCCTGATCACTTAGTGCCTCATTCTGTTAGGGCCCAATGGTAAGCCAGAAGAAGTTCTCAAAATTATATTTACTTGCTGAAATAATTACATTCTGAATATGGCGTGACTTCTCTTCAAAACCTTAGAGGCATTGCTTTGCTTTGGGTCAGAATTTGCCATGGGTGGTATTTACCATTTTATCTTTACCACACTGTGAGCACCATTATATAAAACATCTCGGCCCTTTGTTGCAAACCAGAGAAACTAGCAGTGGCTAATCAGAAAATGAATTCACTTGAAAGATATTGCATGACTCACAGAATCAAAGACATGGCAGAAGAATAAGGTTTGGTCATTAGAGAATATTTGTAGAATATTCATCTGACCATATTTTTAGTAAACAGAATATATGAGGATTTCAAACAACTCAATAGCAAAGTAAACCAAATAATTCAATTAAACATTAGAAAAAAATTGGATATTTCTCAAAAGAAGGAATACAAATGGCAAACTGTTATATGAAAAAATACTCAACACCACTAATTATCGGAGAAATGCAAATCAAAATCACAATGAGATATCATTTTACCCCAGTTAAGATGGCTATTAGCAAAAGGATACAATATAACAAATGCTGTCAAGGATCCAGAAAAAGGGGAACCCTCATACTTTGTTGGTAGAAATGTAAATTAGTCACTGTGAAAACCAGTATGGAGGTTTCTCAAAAGATGGAACTACCATATAATCCAGCAACCCCACTGCTGGATATATATCCAAAAGAAAGGAAAACAGTGTATCGAAGTGATATATATGCTCTCTTGTTTATTGCAACAATATTCATAATAGCCAAGATCTGGACTAAACCTAAGTGTCCATCAACAGATAATTGGATAAAGAAAATGTGGTATGCATACAGAGTGGAGTATTGTTCAACCATAAAAAGAATGAAATTCTGTCATTTGCAGCAACATGGATGGAACTAAAGAAATTATGTTAAGAGATTTAAGCCGGTAACAGAAGGACAAATATTACATGTTTTCACTCATTTGTGATAGCTAAAGGAAATTGATCGCAAGGGGGTGGTGAATAGAATGGTGGTTACCAGAGGCTGGGAAGGGTAGTGGAAAAGGTAGATGGAGGGGGGTTAACTGATAGGTACAAAAGTGTAGTTAGATATAAGGAATAGGATATAGTGTTCAATAGCACATTAGGGCAACTATGGTTAACAATAATTTATTGTACACTTCAACATAGCTAGAAGATATTTATTTTTATTGTTATGTTTTATTTCAATAGTTTTGGGGGAACAGGTGGTTTTGGGTTACGTGGATAAGTTCTTTAGTGGTGATTTCCAAGATCTTGGTGTACCCATCACCTTAGTAGTGTAAACTGTACCCAATGTGTAGTCTTTTATTCCTCACCCACCTCCCATCCTTTCGCCTGAGTCCCCAAAGTCCAGTATATCATTCTTATGCCTTTGCTTCCCCTTACCTCAGCTCCTATGTATAAGTGAGGACATAAGATACTTGGTTTTCCATTCCTGTGTTACTTCACTTAAAATAGTGGTCTCCAACTCCATCCAGGTTGCTGAAAATGCCATTATTTCGTTCCTTTTTATGGCTGAGTAGTATTCCATGGTGTATATATGTCACATTTTGCTAGAAGAGATTTAGAAAGTTTCCAAAACAAAGAAATGATAAATGTTTGAGGTGGTGGGTATTTCAGTTACCCAGATTTGATCGTTATACGTTGTATGCTTATATCAAAATATCACATGTACCTCATAAATATGTACAACTATTATGTATCCATACACATTTTTTAAAACTGGCTATATTTACACAATGGAATACACTTCAGCCATAAAAAGAAGAAAATCCTGCTATTTATAACAAGGATGAATCTGAAGAACATCATATTAAATAAAATAAGCCAGGCATAGAAAGACAAACACTGCATGGAGTCACTCATGGAATTTATAAAAGTTAATCTCATGGAAGTAGAGAGTAGAAGGATGGCTATCTGAGACTAGGGTGGTTAGGGGGCAGGGGGCTGGACAGATACTGGTCAAAGAGTGGATATTTACGGTTAGGAGGAGTAAGTTTAAGAGATCCATTGTACAGCATGACTGTAGTTAATGGCATTGTATTATTGAAAAATGCTAACAGAGTGGGTGTTGTTTTCACCATAAAAATGATGACTATATGAGGTAATGCCTATGTTAATTGCCTAGATTTAACCATTCCACAATGTATATACACAATCATTTGTTTCATAACTACATTTCAGTCAATGACAGACAGCATATATGACGGTGGGTCCCATAAGATTATAATGGAGTTGAAAAATGTTCATGTCCAGTCATGTTGTAGCTGTAGTAACATTATAGCACTATTACTTTATTTTTAAAAATTAACTTAGTGTAGCCTAAATGTACAGTTTTCATAAAATCAACAGCCGTGTACAGTAATATCCTAGGCTTTCCCATTCACGTACCACTCACTGACTCAGCCAGAGCAGTTTTCAGTTCTGCAAGACTCCATTCATGGTAAGTGCCTTATACAGGTGTATCGGTTTTGTCTTTTATACAATATTTTTACTGGGCATCTTTGATGTTTAGATACACAAATAATTACCATTGTGTTATAATTGTCTACAGTATTCAGTACAGTAATGTGATATAGAGGCTTGTAGCCTAGGTGTCTAGTAGGCTATACCATCTAGGTTTGTGTAAGTACACTGTATGACGTTTGCACAATGATGAAAGCATCAACGAGACATGTCTCAGTAAGTATCCTTGTTGTTAAGCTACATATGTTTGTATTTCCAAACATCATGCTGTACACAATAAATAGATACAATTTTATGTGTCAATTCAAAACATAAATCAATTTGGAAAAAAAGTAAATAAAATCCCAAATCCATAAAACAAAATTCAAATCCTAGGTGAAAATATTTAATTGACTGAATCCAGGCCAAACTGGGGGTAAGGAGCATATAGACAAAAGGGAGTATTTGATACTTTTGACTTCTGTAACATAAGGTGGGTCTTTATCTCTTTCAGCAACTCATAAAATAGAGAAATTTTCAAAATGTAGAACTACTATTTCAAACTTTATTATTTTTATTGTTAAAAAGTTATCTAGAATATTGCAGTATCTTTCTGTTTTCCCCTTTCTTACAGTAGACAAAGAAGACAGAAAGGGAGGGTTGAAGGATAGAGAAAGAAGCCCTTCAAATTAAACAACTAATCACAACACTCCGTGTTAGCCATTTGACCAAACAATGCCTTACCACTCTATTATTTCAAATCAATCACTTTACTATAAGAAAGTCATTTCTTTGAGGAGTTAATTTCCAAAGTAAACATTAGACTACTAACATTTCTATACTGCATGTTTGCCAAACAGCAGATTTCACATCTTGGACAAATATGGCAAGTTTTTAAGAAAGTTAATTAGAATTTTACATGCTAACCAAGTCCTAGGAAATGCAGTGTTTGAATAGATAAATGTCAAATAAAAAGTGTGATTTATAAAACTCTAAAGCCCAATATTTTTTTTCTGAAATGGGTAGATTTCAACATGTCAGAACAAGCCTAATATTGTTTCTACAAAGTCACATATTAATTTATCTTTCTCTTTCATCATTTTTATTCTTCTCTTAAATTTTATATGACTTAAGACACTATCAACATGGTGTGACTATTTGCAACTGTGCAGCTGCACTGTATTCCCACCAGGGAAGGGGGGCACCTTATGACTGCTCCATTATTTCCTCATCCAGGTCATAAGAGATATTCTGTTCTCAATGCACCTCTTTCTTCCACTTTTCTGGGGGAAAAAATAAAGCCACCCTAGCTAATTCCTTAAGCCAGCACTAGATTAAGACGGGTGACTACATGGCCTTCCAGGAAGCAGACTTTACCAATCCTTGTTGGAATTTTTCCCCTAAAAAATTGCTTGTGGAAGGTTCCTGAATGTGTAGAAACTTTTAGCACCTCAAAAAATCACCTCCAGAACTTTATTTAGGCACTGTATGTCAACTGGTGTTTATCTAAAGCCATTCCTTTCAGGAAAATTAAGTATTAAGGTGAGGATGAGTGTGGGAAGAACATACAGAGTACCATATGTGGGATGCAGGTGTTTGGCATTCATTTTAAACCAGAAGGACCCAGGGGCTCTAGGAAGTCTTATTTGTTTTGATAATTCTGTCTCTAGGATGTTCATTCATTCTTTATTCACTTATTCATTCACTCACTCATGTATTGTGGATGTTTGCCATGGCTTAGTCACTGTGCTAATTACTAGAGATACAAATAACAATAATAATCATCAGGCCATCAGATTTACATACTTTTCTGAAATTAGAAACAGCCATAGTGATAAGCAATAGTTTTCAAAGGTAGTTTTTAATTTTTACATGATAAAATAGAATAATCTTTTTTTACATTTTTAAACACCATTTGAACACCATCCAAGCTGACTAATAAATAATATATCTAACAGTAAAATTTAAGGTGAGGAAAAAGAAATTAGAATTCATTTCTCTCATTTCTCCAAGACCTCTGCAACATCTTCCAATCTTTTTTGGCTCACAACAGTAAGAAGAGAAGCAAAGGTAGAAAAGATGAAAGGAAAGGAGAAGGAGAAAGATCTTGGAAGGGGTATTTTACTTAATGAGGACAGGGTAAAATATATTTGTTGAATAAGATTAGCAACACCGCTCTCATTTCTATATTGCCTCAAATAAAGGAAGGCATATATCAGGTCATACTTACATTACATAATTTTTGTAAAGCTTTGTATTTGTCTGGCAGGATTCAGCCACTTATCAATGCTGCTTAAATCCTTTTCCCACTGGCTTTCCTAAATGTCAAACCCATGACCAGTCCAAGTTAGTGAATGATTACTGTTAGACACGAGACCGAAGGCGCACATTCATGTCTACTCTCATTGGTTGAAAGCAGTAGATGGCTTACACTTATGTGTTTTGAGGATGGTTATACTTGCTTTGGTTGCTAATAATTCTCTTAATCTCCTTGTTTTTATTTATTATTTTGAAATAGCCAACCTCAGGTTGGCATTGCAGAACTTATAGAAAAGCAGACTGCATGTGATTACTTAACCTTGGGCCATGTGATGGGCTCATTATTGATAAGATTTTGGCCAGGTGACTCTTGACTATGAAACATGTAAAAGAGTTATGGAGGCATGTGCAAGAACAGTGCCATGGGGTCAGAATAATTTTTTTCTTTCATATAAAGTGTCTTTTTGAGTTCTCAGAAATGCAGAAAGCTCAGGATTTATGGATTTTTATTTCTGTGTGGGGCTTAACTCCTCCTTGGAGTTTGTAGAAAATATAAGAAAACCTTGCCTTTATGTAGAGAAACCCATGTACAAAAAAAAAAAAAAATCCATTTGTAAATGTGGTACTGTATGGTTCCAAAACTTTTGACTCTCTGGTAGCCTATGGTTCGTTCTCCGGTTTGGCACATCTTTCTCCTATCATGTCTGGTTTCTTAGGTACATAATAACATAAAATAAAAATGATCCCTCCCAATCTGACTTTAACGAAGAGAAAGGCACCTGCTTTGCATGTGTTGTGTGGTGGTAAGGGGTGGGTACAAATTCTCAACTATGACTGTGGTCTCCAGTTACATCACAGTTAATAAATATAAACAATCTGCTTGCTTTGTCCCTCCTATTGGATGGCTGGGCAGATTCAGTGCTGTTGCACAGTCATATTTTATTGGACAAACTAAGTTGTTCTAGGTTTTCAAATTGAGTTATGGGGAGAAATATTGGGAAAGAGTTTTGAACTTGGACAAACTAAAGCTTGATTTATTGTTTTGGGATTTTACTTCTGACTCCAGGTAATTGTGTATTTTGATAAGTTTTTGAATGTGCCTTTGATTTCTTTTGATGAGGTACAATTTTCCCAAATATAATTTTATGATAATTATTTTATATTTTGCAATTGCTTTGTTCCTTTCCTTTTGTGAACTCTGTTGCCTTTTTTAAACTTGAAAAAAATTGAATAGAAAGAATACATTTCTGGTTGAAGAATATGTGATTAATAGTAATTCAAATGTTCTAAGAAAAACAAATCTTGATTATTTACCCCACAAATTCCCTTGAATCACTCACATTGAGACTGATGTTATGTATTTTATGTTATTTTTTAAAGAAGAGATTGAGAATGATCTTTTTGTAAAAATGTCAGCAAATATACCAAGTTGGGTAAATTTACTTTTTAAATCTTGGACATGTCTATCTGACCTAAATTCAAGTAATTGCTATTACTTCTTGAATGTTACATTTAGCATTATTTTTGATGTTTGTTTCGATTTATAGTCTCATAAAGGATCCAGCCTTCCCTTCCCTAAGGAATTCAACTCATCTCCCCTGGTGGGCATTCCATATCATCAGCGGTTGAGTTTTAATAAATATGGATAGACAATTTAGAGAAAAATGAAAAATATTTCCTCAAGTCCTGTAAAATTCACAGATTCAAATCTAAATGAGAAAAAAATTGATCATTTATACATTAACCTGATTCCCAGTCTCATTTATCTTTATAATAAAAAATATTTGATAGAAATTCATGCAGGGCTAAGCTTTGTTATTTATACAAGCGTAAGTTTATATTTAAGAGGCCAGGGAGAAATATAATGAGAATAAAGTGTTTAATATGATTGTAAATTTTTCTCTTTTTGCTAGATTTCTAGTCAAACTTCTTTTTTTATTATACTTTAAGTTCCAGGGTACATGTGCACAACATGCAGGTTTGTTACATATGTATACATGTGCCATGTTGTTGGGCTGCACTCATTAACTCGTCATTTACATTAGGTATATCTCCTGATGCTATGCCTCCCCACTCCCCCCACCCCATGACAGGCCCCAGTGTGTGATGTTCCCCTTCCTGTGTCCAAGTGTTCTCATTGTTCAATTCCCACCTATGAGTGAGAACATGCGGTGTTTGTTTTTTTTTGTCCTTGTGATAGTTTGCTGAGAATGATGGTTTCCAGCTTCATCCATGTCCCTACAAAGGACATGAACTCATCCTTTTTTATGGCCACATAGTATTCCATGGTGTATATGTGCCACATTTTCTTAATCCAGTCTATCATTGATGGACATTTGGGATGGTTCCAAGTCTTTGCTATCGTGAATAGTGCCACAATAAACATATGTGTGCATGTGTCTTTATAGCAGCATGATTTATAATCCTTTGGGTATATACCCAGTAATGGGATGGCTGGGTCAAATGGTATTTCTAGTTCTAGGTCCTTGAGGAATCGCCACACTGTCTTCCACAATGGTTGAACTAGTTTACAGTCCCACCAACAGTGTAAAAGTGTTCCTATTTCTCCACATCCTCTCCAGCACCTGTTGTTTCCTGACTTTTTAATGATCACCATTCTAACTGGTGTGAGATGGTATCTCATTGTGGTTTTGATTTGCATATCTCTGATGGCCAGTGATGATGAGCATTTTTTCATGTGTCTTTTGGCTGCATAAATGTCTTCTTTTGAGAAGTGTCTGTTCATATCCTTTGCCCACTTTTTGATGGGGCTGTTTGTTTTTTTCTTGTAAATTTGTTTGAGTTCTTTGTAGATTCTGGATATTAGCCCTTTGTCAGATGAGTAGATTGCAAAAATTTTCTCCCATTCTGTAGGTTGCCTATTCACTCTGATGGTAGTTTCTTTTGCTGTGCAGAAGCTCTTTAGTTTAATTAGATCCCATTTGTCAATTTTGGCTTTTGTTGCCATTGCTTTTGGTGTTTTAGACATGAAGTCCTTGCCTATGCCTATGTCCTGAATGGTATTGCCTCAGTTTTCTTCTAGGGTTTTTATGGTTTTAGGTCTAACATGTAAGTATTTAATCCATTTTGAATTAGTTTTTGTATAAGGTGTAAGGAAGGGATCCAGTTTCAGCTTTCTACATATGGCTAGCCAGTTTTCCCAGCACCATTTATTAAATAGGGAATCCTTTCCCCATTGCTTGTTTTTCTCAGGTTTGTCAAAGATCAGATAGTTGTAGATATGTGGCATTATTTCTGAGGGCTCTGTTCTGTTCCATTGGTCTATATATCTGTTTTGGTACCAGTACCATGCTGTTTTGGTTACTGTAGCCTTGTAGTATAGTTTGAAGTCAGGTAGCATGATGCCTCCAGCTTTGTTCTTTTGGCTTAGGATTGACTTGGCAATGCAGGCTCTTTTTTGGTTCCATATGAACTTTAAAGTATTTTTTTCCAATTCTGTGAAGAAAGTCATTGGTAGCTTGATGGGGATGGCATTGAATCTATAAATTACCTTGGGCAGTATGGCCATTTTCATGATATTGATTCTTCCTACCCATGAGCATGGAATGTTCTTCCATTTGTTTGTATCCTCTTTTATTTCATTGAGCAGTGGTTTGTAGTTCTCCTTGAAGAGGTCCTTCCCATCCCTTGGAAGTTGGATTCCTAGGTGTTTTATTCTCTTTGAAGCAATTGTGAATGGGAGTTCACTCATGATTTGGCTGTCTGTTTGTCTGTTATTGGTGTTTAAGAATGCTTGTGATTTTTGTACATTGATTTTGTATCCTGAGACTTTGCTGAAGTTCCTTATCAGCTTAAGGAGATACTGGGCTGAGACAATGGGGTTTCTAAATATACAATCGTGTCATCTGCAAACAGGGACAATTTGATTTCCTCTTTTCCTAATTGAATGCCCTTTATTTCCTTCTCCTGCCTGATTGCCCTGGCCAGAACTTCCAACACTATGTTGAATAGGAATGGTGAGAGAGGGCATCCCTGTCTTGTGCCAGTTTTCAAAGGGAATGCTTGCAGTTTTTGCCTATTCAGTATGATATTGGTTGTGGGTAGGTCATAAATAGCTCTTATTATTTTGAGATACGTCCCATCAATACCTAATTTATTGAGAATTTTTAGCATGAAGGGCTGTTGAATTTTGTCAAAGGCCTTTTCTGCATCTATTGAGGTAATCATGTGGTTTTTGTCTTTGGTTCTGTTTATATGCTGGATTAGGTTTATTGATTTGCATATGTTGAACCAGCCTTGCATCTCAGGGATGAAGCCCACTTGATCATGGTGGATAAGCTTTTTGATGTGCTGCTGGATTCGGTTTGCCAGTATTTTATTGAAGATTTTTGCATCAATGTTCATCAAGGATATTGGTCTAAAATTCTCTTTTTTGGTTGTGTCTCTGCCAGGCTTTGGTATCAGGCTGATGCTGGCTTCATAAAATGAGTTAGGGAGGATTCCCTCTTTTTCTATTGATTGGAATAGTTTCAGAAGGAATGGTACCAGCTCCTCCTTGTACCTCTGGTAGAATTCAGCTGTGAATCTGTCTGGTCCTGGATTCTTTTTGGTTGGTAAGCTATTAATTACTGCCTCAACTTCAGAGTCTGTTATTGGTCTATGCAACTTCTTCCTGGTTTAGTCTTGGGAAGGTGTATGTGTCCAGGAATTTATCCATTTCTTCTAGATTTTCTAGTTTATTTGCATAGAGGTGTTGATAGTATTATCTGATGGTAGTTTGTATTTCTGTGGGATTGGTGGTAATATCCCCTTTATCATTTTTTATTGCATCTTTTTGATTCTTCTCTCATGTCTTCTTTATTAGTCTTGCTAGCAGTCTATCAATTTTGTTGATCTTTTCAAAAAACCAGCTCCTGGATTCATTGATTTTTTTGAAGGGTTTTTTTGTGTCTCTATTTCCTTCAGTTCTACTCTGATCTTAGTCATTTCTTGCCTTCTGCTAGCTTTTGAATGTGTTTGGTCTTGCTTCTCTAGTTCTTTTAATTGTGATGTTAGGGTGTCAATTTTAGATCTTTCCTGCTTTCTCTTGTGGGTATTTAGGGTATAAATTTCCCTCTACACACTGCTTTGAATGTGTCCCAGAGATTCTGGCATGTTGTGTCTTTGTTCTCGTTGGTTTCAAAGAACATTTTTATTTCTGCCTTCATTTTGTTATGTACCCAGTAGTCATTCAGGAGCAGGTTGTTCAGTTTCCATGTAGTTGAGTGGTTTTGAGTGAATTTCTTAATCCTGAGTTCTAGTTTGATTGCACTGTGGTCTAAGAGACAGTTTGTTATAATTTCTGTTATTTTACATTTGCTGAGGAGTGTTTTACTCCCAACCATGTGGTCAATTTTGGAATAGGTGTGTTGTGGTGCTGAAAAGAATGTATATTCTGTTGATTTAGGATGGAGAGTTCTGTGGATGTCTATAAGGTCTGCTTGGTGCAGAACTGAGTTCAATTCCTGGGTATCCTTGTTAACTTTCTGTCTCGTTGATCTGTCTAATGTTGACAGTGGGGTGTTAAAGTCTCCCATTATTATTGTGTGGGAGTCTAAGTCTCTTTGTAGGTCTCTAAGGCCTTGCTTTATGAATCTGTGTGCTCCTGTATTGGGTGCATATATATTTAGGATAGTTAGCTCTTCTTGTTGAATTGATCCCTTTACCATTATGTGATGGCCTTCTTTGTCCCTTTTGATCTTTGTTGGTTTAAAGTCTGTTTTATCAGAGACTAGGATTGCAACCCCTGCTTTTTTTTGTTTTCCATTGGCTTGGTAGATCTTCTTCCATCCCTTTATTTTGAGACTATTTGTGTCTCTGCACGTGAGATGGGTCTCCTGAATACAGCACACTGATGGGTCTTGACTCTTTATCCAATTTGCCAGTCTGTGCCTTTTAATTGGAGCATTTAGCCCATTTACATTTGAGATTAATATTGTTATGTGTGAATGTGATCCTGTCATTATGATGTTAGCTGGTTATTTTGCTCATTAGTTGATGCAGTTGCTTCCTAGCCTCGATGGTCTTTACAATTTGGCAAGTTTTTGCAGTGGCAGGTACCAGTTGTTCCTTTCCATGTTTAGTGCTTCCTTCAGGAGCTCTTGTAGGGCAGGCCTGGTAGTGATGAAATCTCTCAGCATTTGCTTGTCTGTAAAGGATTTTATTTCTCCTTCACTTATGAAGCTTAGTTTGGCTGGATATGAAACTCTGGGTTGAAAATTCTTTTCTTTAAGAATGTTGAATATTGGCCCCCACTTCTGGCTTGTGGAGTTTCTGCTGAGAGATCAGCTGTTAGTCTGATGGGCTTCCCTTTGTGGGTAACCTGACCTTTCTCTCTGGCTGCCCTTAACATTTTTTCCTTCATTTCCACTTTGGTGAATCTGACAATTATGTGTCTTGGAGTTGCTCTTCTTGTGGAGCATCTTTGTGGCATTCTTGGTATTTCCTGAATTTGAATGTTGGCCTGCCTTGCTAGGTTGGGGAAGTTCTCCCAGATAATATCCTGCAGAGTGTTTTCCAAGTGGGTTCCATTCTCCCTGTCACTTTCAGGTACACCAATGAGACGTAGATTTGGTCTTTGCACATAGTCTCATATTTCTTTGTGGCTTTGTTCATTTGTTTTTACTCTTTTTTCTCTAAACTTCTCTTCTCACTTCATTTCATTATTTGATCTTTAATCACTGATACCCTTTCTTCCAGTTGATCGAATCAGCTACTGAAGCTTGTGCATGTGTCACGTAGTTCTCATGTCATGGTTTTCAGCTCCATCAGGTTATTTAAGGACTTCTTTACACTGGTTATTCTAGTTAGCCATTCGTCTAATCTTTTTTCAAGGTTTTTAGCTTCTTTGCCATGGGTTCAAACTTCCTCCTTTAGCTCGGAGAAGTTGGATCATCTGAAGCCTTCTTCTCTCAACTTGTCAAAGTCATTCTACATCCAGCTTTGTTCCATTGCTGGTAAGGAGCTGCATTCCTTTGGAGGGAGAGAGGCTCTCTGATTTTTAGAATTTTCAGCTTTTCTGCTCTGTTTTTTCCCCATGTTTGTGGTTTTATCTACCTTTGGTCTTTGATGATGGTGATGTACAGATGGGGTTTTGGTGTGGATGACCTTTCTGTTCGTTAGTTTTACTTCTAACAGTCAGGACCCTCAGCTGCAGGTCTGTTGGAGTTTGCTGGAGGTCCACTCCAGACCCTGTTTGCCTGCGTATCAGCAGCGGAGGCTGCAGAACCGCGAATATTGGTGAACAGCAAATGTTGCTGCCTGATCATTCCTCTGGAAGCTTCGTCTCAGAGGAGTACCCGGCTGTGTGAGGTGCCAGTCTGCCCCTACTGGGGGGTGCCTGCCAGTTGTGCTACTTGGGGTTCAGGGACCCACTTGAGGAGGCAGTCTAGTCAAACTTTCATAGTTTAAAGGAAATCATTTAGTCAGAGAAAGAGATAGAAATGACCGTGGGTTCCGCTAAATGTTTTGGGTGTTGGCTATGCGCTAGGAACTGGGCAATTTGCTTTCCATATAATTTATCTTATTGCTCCAATATCCCAGTGAAGATGAGTGCCCCATTCTACAAATGATAAAACCAAGGCACGGTAAGGTCGGGTTTCTCACAGGATTCTTTTTCACCTCTCTGTAGAAGCAAGTGGTATGATTGAAGGTAGGGAAGTCCAGACAGTTAGAAAAGGAACACTAGTTGATCAAAGTGAAAAATGCAAGAGTTGATACAAAACTAGTGAATCCTACATTAGGATTTCAATTAGAGTCCCAGTAAGAACCACTCACTGTCCCTTCTGCTTGACCTTGAGGCTCTCTGAAGGACCAGTAAGTGTTTGGATTCTCTTGATCCAGTGAAGCCTTCCAGAGTTCCTGGCCATAATCCCTAGAGCCCTTTTCTTGTACTGGCTGAAAACATCGAGCTATGGATTTTTAGTCCAGAATAGGGAGCTCAAAGTCATATTTCAAGTTGCATGTGTGGATATGTGTCCTGTTTGTTGGGGAAATGTGAACTCAGATACCCAGGGCAGGTATCAGAGCAGCTTGGAACATTTTTGTCCTACTTTTTCAGCATAGCTTCTCCTTCCCAAGTATGTGTGTACAGCATCTGGCCCTTGTTTTCCTAACTATCCTTCCAAACTCGTGTTTTTTGGCTTCTCCTTGGGAAGTGCAAGTTATTTGAATTCTGAAGAAAATCAAGAATAATTTCCTGGCTCTTGTGGGCCACCAAATGATGTAGTTTTTGAGCATCTACTTCACAGCATATTTCTGGGACAGTCTGCAGAGAAAGGTCCCTTCTATATTGCCACATGACGATAACTACCTACATTCTTTTTCCTCAACAAAACAAGCTTCATGATAGCTGGGTAAAATCTCCTTCCAAATAACATAAAAGAAATTTTGATACTGTAAAATATCTGAATAAGTATTCAATACTATACATAGCTTCACTAAATTGTATACAAGGCAATGATTCTAACTTTTATCATTGTTCCTCTTTGTTTATGGCATCACTACATCTGACCAAAGAAGATGTGAACTCATCACACAAAACTCAGTCAATGGTGCAATGTATATATTTTTTTCAAGATAACATAAATCTTTTATTGTAAGTCCATTTATTTATGTTACAATAAGAGTATCATAAAAAACAAAATTATCTTATTAATTTAAAAACATATGGGGTGCTTCTTGAATTTGTGTGTAATTCTTGTGCAAAGACCATGCAACTCTTTTTCTGTATCATTCCAATTTCAGTATATGTGCTGCTGAAGCAAGCACAACATGTATATTCTTGTTTATGACATATATGGATTTTCTGTATAATCAGTTTTACCTCATCACTGAGGAGGAAAGCCCTATATATTTAAAAAGGGAGTACCATGTTTATACTGGGAAAGAGAAGAAAAGACACTGTAATTCATGGAATACTTAATGATATAAGTGCTGTGTGAGGTGTTTTATACAGATTTTCTCTTTTAGCCTTTATTTAAAGACTATGAGCGCATTTTAGTCTTCCCATTTTATAGATTAAAACTTAACCTAGAGAGGTTACATATTTTCTCAAATCCAAGTTGAGAGAATGAATGAACTAGAAAAGAAACCTAGCTCTATTTATGGAAAAATTTTATGATTTTCATACTAAACCATGCTACTGCTCCCCTATATAATTTATTTATTCATTTACTCACAAATATTTATTTACTACCTACTTTATGGCAGACACTATGCTAAATTATAAGGACAGAGAAATAATCAGTATATGTTTTTCAATGGTAGAAAAATGACAATTAAAATTAATTTTAAAATACTGTGATTATTCTTTGAAAGGAGGAAAGATCTCTTCTTATATATTAATATCCTAGATAAATGCAAGAAAATTTTGTTACACAGTAAAACTTTATTCATGGTAGTGATTTGTGATGTATCACAAACGTTTCTTGCTACACTATTGTATGATTTAAGAGTATTTGGTATGAACTGCTAGACAGCAAGATCTAGTTTATGTTTAGATATATTGATTTTTCCAGACTAGATATCGTTTTTTAAAAATGGGACTTTTAGGAGAGCTGTATTTGAACTTGTTACACATGAGTCTGAATTCTGGTTAAGCAGAGAAATCCATCTTAATGGAGGTAGGGTTGAGAATTGGAACTCTAGGTAGTGGCTCTCCACACCAGTGGTTCTCAAACTGAAACATGCATCAGAATATCATATAGGGGTTGTTGAAACACAGATTTCTGGCCTCTTGCCCTACTCCTGAAATTTCTGATTCAGTAAGTCTGAGATGGGGCAAAAAAATTTACATTTCTAATAAGTTATATTATATTTATATTTCTAATAAGTTCCTAGGTGATATTGATGCCATTAACCTGAAAAAATTTATATTTCTAATAAGTTCCTAGGTGATATTGATGCCATTAACCTGAGGACCACACTTGGAGAATCATTGCTCTATAGGAAATATTTTCATATCTTCTTATACAGAATAGGCAAAAATGGGAATAGTTGATATATTCCCTGGGCCAATTTGTTCTGACCACTACCAACTTTTGCCTTGGCCTCACTCTTGAGATCTGATGACCTTTCAGTTCATGCATTAGGAGCCAAAGAACTCACAAGATGAACATCAGTAATCTCCCTCTTTATAAAATAGTTTAATTTTATTTTTAAGTTTTTTGCAGATATGATTTAGTTTGTTCATTTATGCATTCATTAAAATTAAGGTAAACTTCAGAGGACTTTGTTAAATGAGAAAATGTAGAAAGTTATATAACACAATTTTCCCTGTTTTCTCAGGGAAGTAAAAGCCAGTTGCACTAAAATCATTTTGAGGAAACAGATATGTATGGGGTGATTTGGTGCACATCTGTTGTTCAAAGGAAATTTTATTAACTTCAAACAGAATAAGTGAACTCCAAAAGGAGTGACACCTCTCCACATTGCAGAGGAGCAAACTGTGTTTTCTTGTACCTGGCACTTAATCCAACCGTCAAACCCAATGGGCATGAGTTTTGCTAACTTGAGTGAAGTGATAACTAAACATTTCAAACTCAGACTTGAATGTTTTGGTATAAAATATAAAGTGCATTCAGCTGAAACCCTAATCTACAGCATTTTGATTTTTTCCCCCTTGATTTATGTTTAGTACTTTGTTAGAAGGTTTGCTTTTCATTTGATTCCACATGGATGCAATGTTTCCTGTCTCATAGCCAAAGTCAACCTTTTAAGGTCTATAGGAGTGTTGTAGGCATATAAATTTTAAGAAGTAGAGAGAACGCTAAAATTCAGGACCACCTAAATTGCCAGCAGCAGCTTTAGAACCACACAGGTCAGTCAGTGTCCAAGTGGTCAAAACAAAGACTACTCAGGGCAGAGCCTAGGAAACCTGACAGTCGCAAAGCTTGTGGAGTAGCGTTCCTCATAATGGAAGGCAAAATGAGACATCAGTGTAATCAGTGAAGGTTAAACAGACCTGGGATATATTAGTCATGGATCTTAAAACAAAAAAAAAGGCGGGGGGATGCTTTACACTACTTAAAGAGATTTCTGCAACCTTATTTCTAAAGCTTGGCAGCCTTAGGAGGTAAAGAGTCTAGTTCATAAGGCCAGAAATTTTATGCAAACTTTTAAAAAAGTTCTTACCTTGGCTAATTGAGATTGGAATGCTGAAACAGTACTATGGAAGAGAGCCATGTACGAATAAGATGGAATCAAGTGGCTCTTCTGGGTTCATGTAATTATTTTCTTCTTGTGGTTATGAAGATGATTGATGATTGATAATGAAGTTAAATTATGAAAACTCACCTTGCCTTTTGATTATATTCTTTTTGAGATGGAGTCTCACTCTGTCACCCAGGCGGGAGTGCAGTGGCACAATCTCAGCTCACTGCAGCCTCTGCCTCCTGGGTTCAAATGATTCTCCTGCCTCAGCCTCCCGAGCAGCTGGGACTACAGGTGCGTGCCACCACACCCAGCTATTTTTTTTTAATTTATTTTTTTGGTAGAGACAGGGTTTCACCATGTTTGCCAGGCTGGTCTCGAACTCCTGACCTCAGGTGATTCACCTGCCTCAGCCTCCCAAAGTGCTGGGATTAAAGGCGTGAGTCACCACACACAGCCATTTTTTGATTATATTCTTATTAGATCTTTCCAACATTTCCAAAATTTCCAATGTGTACTATGTGTAATGGTTTATAAACAAAGTCTGTTATTGTTGATATAGAATTGGAGGCAGCAGATGCATTTGATAAAAAATTTTAACACTTTTGAGAAAAGAACTTTGCAACATAATAAAAATTACAGCACCCAAAGAAGAAAATTTGTGGATCCCATTAAAGCTATGTAAAATCCACAAATAATTCTTTTGAATTATCCCCCTAAAGAGTCATTTAATTTAAAAGGAGAGAAAAATGCTTTTTATTAATTTTCATCACCACACCTTCCCTGCCCCCATTCAAGAATGTTGGAATCAAAATGGAAAAAAAAAACTGGAATGTTTACTACAATATGTCCAAGTATTTGAAGGGTCTTACCAAAAGTAATGAAACTGTCAACATGGTTTCTTGTAAGTTTATTATGCGTCTATGAACTGGCAAATGTAGCACATTTGTTAGAAGTTTTCTAATATTCACCTTCAGAGTTCCTTTGCTGAAAATAATTCAGAAAGTCAGAGCTCCAGGAGCTAAACTGGAGTTTTTATTGATCATCAGGTGTCAAGTACTTAAAACTGACTTTGCTCCTTCAACTAGTCACATCCTTCAACTAGTCACACAGAATTAGGTTTAAACAATTTCCAGATCATTTGCCTTTATATTTTTCAGTTTCCTTGGAATTCTCAGCAATTTCTTGTAAGATTTCAAAACTTATGCTTAAGAATAAAAAATGTAACAGAATACAGGAAATTTTATTTTTTGAGCACTGACACTTTCGTTTTATAGCAGTTACTGGGGGTGTTGACCTCTTCCTCAGAAATAGCAGTAGTGGTTTAATGAAGATTGTGAATGTTTCTTAGTTTATGTCTCACCCTAGCCAAAATTAGAAAGTAAGTTATTGTTTTTCTATCCAGTCTTCATTTTATCCCCTCAGAAATATTCATACTATTTTATCACTAAGTATTTCTTTTTGTTTTCTAGGCTCATTACATAGGCTTGATCTCCCTGACCTAATACTCTTGCATGAAACAGGTCTTAGAGTATTCATTTGGCCAATTCTGTTGGCTTCATGATGTCCTGCTCTCCCAATGTTGTGCCACTCCTGGCCTAGTGCTT
This sequence comes from Homo sapiens, assembly GCF_000001405.40. Lineage (NCBI taxonomy): Eukaryota > Metazoa > Chordata > Mammalia > Primates > Hominidae > Homo > Homo sapiens. The sequence continues at coordinate 44,070,721 of NC_000005.10, forward strand.
TTTTCAAAACATGTAGGCATCTAGGGTGTCATTTTCTCTTCTGTTGATGTGCTACAGGCACATTTAGGAGGATGGGCCCCAGAATACTTAAAAAAATACTTTCAATAGAGAGATAACAAGGTATAAGTATGTTGTGGTTGTTCAAAACATACTTGTTGTATAAAATTTCCTGTTTAATGCTGGAGATAATGCATCTTGCCTTTGCACCTAACTCAAGTGGGTATTTTAATCTATTCAGATAGGTTGGATAGTGCCATAATTCAGTGCCATGGAAAAGACTTTCAGGTAGGGTGAAGAATGCCCTACCGTCAGGCTGCCTACCAACTTTTCCAACATATTTTAACTGCAGCCTGCTGATAATTCCCTAAAGATTATGGGAATATAAAGAGGTTATTTTGGATTAAGTTACTCCGTCCTTATTCTTAGAAAGTCATATTATACAATGTCAACAAAAACTAGAAGCAAAACAAAAGAGAACATATGGGATGCTATAGGAATGGATAGCAGAGTGATCTCATCTCTTTAAGGGGTCAAGGAAGGCTTCCCAGGGAAGAAACATCCATAGTGAAACCTGAAACATAAGTAGATATTAACAAATGAACTCAAAGGAATCCAATATTGCAGAATCATAAAGTCAAGGGGTCATGCATTTTAGATGAGACTGAAGAGACAAGCAGGGACCAAGGATCACAAGGTCTGATAAGCTTTGTAAAGAAGTCTATTTATCTTAAGGGAGAGGGAGAACTATTGAAAAACTTTCAACTGGCAATGACATGAATAGATTTGCATTTTAAAGGCTATAGTATCCTCATGCTGTGCTGTTAATAATAAACACTTTAATGTCAATTAATTCATAATCCTCTTTTACTAACCCATACATTAAATTATTACATAGCAACTACCGGGTAATGAGAAGAAAAGACAGGCTGAATGGTGGAGTCTGGGGTGACAAGAAGCATCACAAGATATGAGATATAGGGAAAGAGGGAAGCATAGAATGATATACTTGGGTGAATGAAAGAAGGAAGGGAGGACAGAGAGACCTAGAGGAAGGTGAGCAGACAGGCAGTCAGACCAAACAAGGTGCTTTCGCATTCATGCACAAACTCTTTTAAGTCTCACAATCCATTTTGCAAAAGAGAAAACTGAAACTCAGAGCAGTTGACAGCTCAAGAGAGGTAAATTTGCCCAAGATCACATAGCAAATGGCAGGGCTGGAATTTTAATTTAGATTCTTCCACTGTATATTCAATGCCTTTTCTGATAAGGAATCTTGTTTTTAAAGTTGGGAACATAACAAGAGTGAGTGGAGGTATAGTCTATATTCCAACATATAGCTAGAAGATAGAAATTACCCATTGTCATAAATTTGCCTGTGATTACCCCTCATTGTGAGACAGATATTCAAAATCAAATGCTTGCAACCCAGTGGAAGAACTGTATGATGTTCTTTACTGGGTGAATCCTTCTGTGATTTTCAAGGTAGAAAATGATTAACATTTCAATGTTCTCCCCTTCCAAGGATCTATGTAATACTGTGTAGACTGTCAGCTGCTGAACCACATCCAAATTTCCTTTTTGTATTCAGCAAGGCTATGTCATTTCTTGTTTAGTCAGTTGTTATTTTATTATTAATTTTATAAATATTTATTGAGGCTAATGTAATCCAGGTACTGTTCTATGTGCTGGAAAACATCAGTGAAAAAAACAGAACATCTTTGTTCTCATTTATTTAGTGTACTTATATATTTTAGTCTTTAATTACTCTGTGTCAAACAATAACACATTTAAAATTGACTTAAACTTTCCATTTTTAAATTTCAAAGGCTTCCATTTTTTCCCCTGCCCCCACATCTAGTTCCAGAATATTGGGATTGGCAAAAATGTACATGCTATCCATCAATACACTTGACATTTTGGAGATTTTGATTCTTCCCTCCTAGATTTCATTGTTAAAAAGGAAAGAGAAGTGAAGTTCTTTTTATGATTAAACATGCTATGACTCTTAACAAGTATTTACCTTCTGATTCAATCCTTGCTTTTCCTTGTGTCATGATGTTCCTATATTCTTATTCTCCTTAGGCAATAGTGAAGACATTTTGCTGTCCTATTATGTCTTTATTATTATTATTATTATTATTATTATTATTATTATTATTATTATTTATTGAGACAGAGTCTCACTCTGTTGCCAGGCTGGAGTGCAGTGGTGTGATTTTGGCTCACTGCAACCTCCGCCTCCCAGGTTCAAGCAATTCTCCTGCCTCAGCCACCCCAGTAGCTGGGACTACAGGCATGTGCAACCACGCCCAGCTAATATTTGTATTTTTGGTAGAGATGGGGTTTCACCATGTTGGCCAGGATGGTCTCCATCTCTTGACCTTGTGATCCGCCCGCCTCGGCCTCCCAAAGTGCTGGGATTACAGGCGTGAGCCACCGTGCCCGGCCTTATGTCTTTTTAATATGTGGTGTCTGCATTTGTAGCATGAGTGATAAGGAGCACAAACCAAATCTTGGAATTTGATAAAATACCTTCTTTCTAAACTATATGAGTTCATTTTCAGAGAGGTAATGTAACCATCCCAAATACCTGTCATTTAAACAACAAGTTGATTATTCTCTAAGGATACATATTATAGCCGATATATTTTATGGATAACCAGAGATGGCTTCTAAATTGTGATGATTTCAACCATATTCTGTCTTACTTAAGTTTCCAAACTGTGACATTTACCTCATTGTTATCCATCATCATCATCTATTTCTATAGATGTCCTATAGATATCTATTCCTATCTAGTCTGTCACCTTATTCCTATATTACTTCCAGAAAGGAGCATTCAGACATTGAGTTTATGTTGAATTGACATATTTATCTATAGTTCCTGACTCCAACTACCAAAAAAATAATCCTGTAGATTAGAATATAGTTTTTTGCAGAACTAAAAGGCATTAATCCAAAATAACTCCTGACCTTGTATTCATTGGTTGGTAAGGTTTGGAATACAATGACTTCTCCAAGAGCTAGTAAACAAAGGAGGGATCATAAGGCTAGTTATTGACTAGATTGATGGCTGTAGGAAAAATTCCAGATTGGTTGCTTTCATTACCCCACTGGTTGTCAATTGCCACATTTGTTGATATCACAAATGTGCAGAGTAGCAAGAAGATAAGATGCCCAGAAAATAGAGGAGAAGAATACTTCCTTGACCTTTAGTTTTGCTGAAAAATTGTGCTAATATCTTTCTGGATGGAGTATTGGGGCTATATTTCTGATTACAGATGAAGAGAGGAAGCATGATTAAAGGCATGTAAAATGGAGCATGTGTGGAGAGCATTCGTGACAGCCCTTATAGGCTTGAACTCTGTGATGACCAGAGCTACACATGATAATCTTTAGTGGATCTGCATCATGATTTTATACAAAGGTAAGGAAGTGGTTTTTTTCTTTTGATTTCATTTCCAAATTGAACATAATCAACATTGTTATTATTTTTTTTGCTTGTAGGGATACACTGGCCAGGTATCTCTGAGAACATCATGTCCTGGTGCCTAGGTCTTTTTCCTGACATTACAGAGTTCAATACGCTTTATGTACAGTTGGGATTTTCATTCCCAACTTTTAAGCATATTGTTACGGAAGTTTAACTGCTAGTTTTCGCTGATTTATGTAATTTCCTAAAATCCATTTGCAGTTATTCCCTGCTACATACTGAGGAAAAGGAAGAAGGAGGAATAGATAAATCTAGCGTCTCTCTTGAAAACCACAGTTTATGCAATGGCCATTGCTTGATTTGTCTACTCTTTTTTTTTTTCTTTTTTTTTTTTGAGATGGAGTCTCACTCTGTCGCCCAGGCTAGAGTGCAGTGGCACGATCTCAGCTCACTGCAAGCTCCTCCTCCAGGGTTCACGCCATTCTCCCGCCTCAGCCTCCCGCGTAGCTGGGACTACAGGCACCCGTCACCACGCCCGGCTAATTTTTTGTATCTTTAGTAGAGACGGGGTTTCACCGTATTAGCCAGGATGGTCTCGATCTGCTGACCCCGTGATCCGCCCGCCTCGGCCTCCCAAAGTACTGGGATTACAGGCGTGAACCACCACGCCCGGCAAATTTGCCTACTCTTAATCTGAAATATAAAATCATCTTCCAAGGGATAGGGATTCTACTTACTTATACTGAAACGTCGTCATGGTCTCTTTTTGTTATTACTATTGTTGCTTTATTTTGTCTTATGTAATCAAGAACAAGAGAAGTAATCATCCTTAGCTGGTTGCCTCAAAAAAATTTCAAGAAAATTGTGTTTTCTTAGCCACGTGCAGTGGCTCACACCTGTAATCCCAGCACTTTGGGAGGCTGAAGCGGGTGGATCACTTGAGGTCAGGAGTTAAAGACCAGCCCGGCCAGCATAATGAAACCCCATCTCTGCTAAAATAAAAAAAAAAATTAGCCAGGGATGGTGGCCTGCACCTGTAGTCCTAGCTACTCAGGAGGCTGAGGCTGGAGAATCACTTGAACCTGGGAGGTGGAGGTTGCAGTGAGCTGAGATCGTGCCGTTGCACTCCAGCTGGGTGACAGAGAAAGACCCCGCCTAAAAAATAACTAAATAAATGAAAAATAAATACATAAATAAATAGAAAAATTATGTTTTCTTTAAGAGTGGTGAGGCAAACTGGGGTGGGCACACAGAAGAGTGACCAGGATAGGCAGGAAACATGGTATTTTCCCTCTTGAGAACAGTGGAGGAAACAGGGTTGATTAGTCTAGAGAAGCGACTTGCTGCAAACTTTCATTTATTTGAATGGTTCCTATGCAGGAGAGGCCTAAGGCTTAACCTTGGACCGCTTCAGAGGATAGGATTAGGACAAAAAAGTGACAATTATAGAAAATTTAATTTGAACACATTAAAAAATCGGTTTATTTCTATTGGTTTGAAATGTGAAAAATGGAAAAGGCTGTCTTGAGAGTACTCTCCTAAATGAGTACATAGCAGTAGTAGTATTTCCCACACAGAAGCTGGGAAGCTGGCTGACAACTTCGCTGGACTGTGCTGAGGAAATTCATACATCAACTTGAGGGTTAAATAGATAACCTTGATGGTCCTCTCCAACTCTGAGATTAAGTGTGCATTAATAATTCTTATGTAGCAACTGAAACAAGATATTGAGAGACTTAAAATATTTATTTTGTGAACTCTTAAAGGGCACTCGGTGCTCAATAAGATGTTCACTTACTGGGAGTGAAGCATTAGACAAAAGACCATTATAAGACTTCTTTGAAGAATATCATTGTCCTCTCTATTTAAAGGTAATTATTTTGGGCAATATTTGTGAAATAAAAGGTAAGTTTTTCAGGCAGTGTTCTTCATTCATGGTCAGGAACAGCTTGCTTTTTGTCTAATGATGCTAGCTCATTTCTCCATACTCATGTGTCTTGCATTGTGGTCAACAATGATCATAAAATGAGCTCTTCTGTCTTTAGAAACTTCACACTACACAGATCCATCTGTTCCTTTTTACCTAAGCCGCGTTGGTCCTATGGCTTCCAGCTGTGTCTCAATTGCTAATTCATTCTTAAAGGAGATGGGTTGGCTAGATAACTTTAATAGCCTTGTTGATCATTCTATACCCTATGTTGACTTAGAATTATACGGTTTTCTCCAATTTAACTTTTTTTTTCTGGTAAGCTTTTCAGCTAGCTGTATTTTCTTAATTTTCAGATAAATTAAAAATAATACATTCTTTTCTTTTTTTGTAGATCCCTATATATGCTTTAGGTAATTGACAGCTTCTTACATTCTGTATGAAACAAGCTCCATTCTTTTTCTGATCCTCCAATGAAAACAATAAAGCCAAATATTCAAGCAATTAAAATATTAAACTTGCTCTAGTTCAGTTGTGACATTAAAAAGTGCAAATATATGAAACAAAATAAACATGACTTATAATAAATTGAATTCTCCATCTCTGTGCAACTGGCATTAAAGGGAATACAACTTCAGCTATTATCTCTACTTACTGCTTTGTGAGCAGTTATCATAATAACTGGAAAATTACTCTTTCATCTCTTGATGTTTTACAAGTTAATCATTTAAAAATTTGTCTAGACATATATGACATTTATTTTTCATGGTTCTCAAAGACGTTGTCAACAGGAAGTCTCAGTTATTGCACATTTTATTTAATTGTTTGCTTGATTATTTCTTCCCTTCAATTCTGTCTGTTATCTCCCTGGGCATTCCTACTAAATAGATGACGTCTAGATTTCAACATAATTGAGAAAATATGAGAAACTCTCATATTTTAATCACTCGTGCTTATAATGATCCATTCAGGGAAAAATCTAGATATGTATAATAAGTACATATGTGTGTGTTAATGCTTAGAAATGAGACTAGGATATACTGTAATATATTAACAGTAATTAACTTTGGACTTTTTAATAGGTCCTTTTTTATTTTATTTTATTCTTCTGTGTCTGATTTGTCATCAAGGAAAGCCTTTTTGGGCTTGTTATTTCTCCCCCAAATCATGTATGTGCTTCTCATTGACTCCCTGAACTGTGTCTATGGGTAGAGCTGACTACATGGCCTTGAGACCAGTGCAGCAGTACATAGCCTCCTACTCAGAAGTTTAGGGTTTAATGCTCTGCAGTTGGCAGCTTAAAATTTTTAGCAATTTTATCTTTGGATCTATATTTTGTTAAGTGGCATCAAATAAGACAGTGAAGAATACATGAAACCTGAGATCACACATAATCTTGCCTTCAAGTCTTGGCCTTCTGCTCTTGGCCATTTTGTGCACTTATTTCTCTCCTCCCTCACTTTATCTTCTATCCTGCTCTGTAACCACTGCCTCCTTTCCCCTTTAGTGGGTGCTTGGACATAGACATGAGGAAGGTCAAAGTCAGTTAAGGCTCAGGTGATGTGTGTTGTGTAGCCTCTGGGCATGGGGCATGGAAGTGCCCAAATCTGCCCAAGCTAGCAGCACCATGTTAGGAATGGTAGCCTGTGGGAAGCAGAGGTTTACTTCCCCATCATGGGCTGGGCAACGTGTGTTGGCTGGGTGACTGACAGTTGGAGAAATTCAGCTTCAGCAGTAAATGGATTGTGTGTGAAGCGTCATGGGACTAGGTCTCCCAGGGTGATTGTGAGGGTCTGAACTCATTTAGATACCATTCTCATACCCAAGCAAGCATGATATTGTATAATGAAAAAAAATGATGCAGTTTGAGAGAGAAACCAGAAAAATATTTTCTATTTTAGTACCTTAAAATGCACCTTTTTCTGCTTTTTGAACATGGCCCCACATTTTCATTTTGCACTGGGCTCCATAAATCATGGACCTGGCTCTGCTTGTGATGCCCTTCAGATATCTCCCGTCAGAACCCAGTCTAGAGGGCTGATGGCATAGGTTTACATTGATCAGTATGGTCATCCATCTGCCTCAACTGTGAGGATCAGATAGGTAACCCCAGGGATCTTTCTTTCTGTAAAATTGATTCTTTCGAATCATTGAAACAACTGGTGTAAGCAAACTCAATTAAGTTTAAGGCATTTTACTGAGCAGTGGCTTAATAAGGAGACAGTGATTTCCTTGTTAGGGATGTGTGGTTTCTTCCCCTCTTTGAGATGAGTTTCTCATGGCAAACTCCAGTTAGGGAGAAGCCCACCAACCCTCCTGCCTTAGAATGGTGAGACACAGGTGCCTTTCTTTTTGAATCTGCTTTTGATATTGTTGTATCAAATGTGTCAGTAGATCTAAGTGGAATGTTTCACGCCTCTTCCATCTTTTTCCTGGCCTCCACAAAGCACATTTTCAAATTAGGGTTGAGTTTCTTTCATGTTGGTATAGCCAAAACAACTATTCAGAAGATGTGTCTGAGAAATCCAAGGCACTAAGAGTCCTTGCCTTCCTTTCCTACTATGTTTGTGGTTTCTGCGATTATTTATCTGTACTGTAATCCTTTCTCTAAATTGGGGCATATAAATAAGATTTGATACATTTTCCTTTACATATTTTCTGTAATACTACATTAATGTACTGAGAATGTCAACTGGGTTATACTTGTGCTAGATATAGAAAAAATACTCAAACTTTAAAGCATGTGGTTGACATAATTTCTTCATTTCCCTTGTGATAAAGTTGTTTTTCTTTTCCTCATGGTTCCCTTGGTTTGGATTGTGAATTTCTGTTAGAGGGTGTTATAAGTCACTTAGTTTGTTATCTTTCTCAGAAGTCCTATCTTGTCTCGAGTTATTTAAAACTCTGTAAACATTGAGCTAAACAGCCAGACAACATTCTAATTGTCTTAATATACTTAGGTCATCTCCTGTTACTGGACAATAGTTTGCTGATCATTTTTTCCATTCCAATTAATGTTTTAATATGTATTATATATAATGTATATAATATACATTATATATGATATATATTATATACATTAATAATATATATTAATATACATTATATATAATATATAAATATACATTATATATTTTATATTTGTTTTAATAAACATATATTTTATATATGTTTATATATATTTTATATATGTATATATAATATTTCAGAGTATTTCTTCAGGATTGGTCTCCCATACTGGAAAAATACAGGTATTTATAAAGGCCTTGATAATATATTGCAAATCAGCTCATTAGAAAGATTATACCCATTTAGATTTCTACCAGCATCCCAAAGTTTGACTGTCTGATCAGCTTTAGTTATTATCACTTAAGTGATGGAAAATGGAATCCTGTTTTGATTTGCATTTCTTTGACTAGTAAGATACGAAGTTTGCTTAAATGTTTTTCAGCCACTTGTGTTTTCTTTTTCAGGCATTTTATTTAATAAAAACGTAGTCTTCAGAGCACAATAGACTTTAGAAAATATATTAAATTGTTTATGATTTCCACCATGAGTCTTTTATATGTGTTAACTTGCACAAATGAAAAAACTGTATCTTAATAGGGATGTCTTTCATGGTTGTCTGCAACAGTCATAGCTTACTAATTCTATTGAGGGGAGATGGCTGAGGCTAGCCAGCTATCTAAAAGAGAGATTTGACCAAAGATAGACAAGAGTGCATAATGTAGCTTCATAGTTGTAACTTCGTCAACTCCTGCTACTGCCCATATGATTTCTTAGCAGTTGTTTAAGGGCTTATATTTTTCTAGAGGGGGAGGAATGTACTTTTCATCGAAGGTTTATTTGGTAATTCATATTTCCTTTATGGTCTACATTGATTGTCGGTTATAGCTCTTACCCAGTGTGTGTTTTTTGAAATGGAAATTTAATTGGGTGAGCATTTGTGATGAGATGTTTAAGTGACTTAGGAATATGCGTAACGACATGTACATGTTGTTTAATCAAAAGTGTAAAGTAAGTAGAATTAGAATTTAGAAACAGTAGTCTCGTAGTGCTAAGACTGAACATTACTTATTTTCAGTTGAGCAAGGAAAATTAAACTACTTACAGTTATATTATTATTTACCCTGGTGATTTAACCTTACAAATATTTTACAAAATAATATAAATAGAAACATGTGAAGTGTAGGCAACTGGAAACGTCACATTTTCTAAGTAACCATAAATGGATGAATAGTAAATCTTATATATTTATGATCTCTGAAATATAATTCAAATACTGACTGTGTGTGTGTGTGTGTGTGTGTGTATATAACATATATACATACAATTAACATTTGTTTAGCAATTTATGGCTTTGTAATATACTTCTATGCACATAAATTTATTTGATTCAATAAAGAGAAATTACTATTACCAAAAGTCTTTTCAGTTTCTTGGTTTAAACCTAAATATATATATATATTTTAGCCTAAATATATATATACATTTTAAATAATATATAAACCTAAATATATATATTTTAACCTAAGTATGTATATATATTTTAACCTATATATACATATGTATTTAAATGGTTTATATGGGAATATATATATTTAAATGGTTTATATCAGTGTATATATGTGTGTGTGCATATATATATATGTGTATATAATAGACATATTTAAATTTAAACCAAGAAACTAAAAAGTCTTTTGGTATTAGTAATTCCTTTTTAGTGAATCAAATAAGTTTATGTGCATTAAAGTGTATGAAATGTTTAATAAGAATTTCCAAAGAGGCAATAAGTATGACTCAGTAACACAAGCCCAGGGAGGAGTAGATTCAGAAGCTGGGGAATTCTCTTGAGAATAATACTTTTGTATATAGGAGCTTGAGTATCATCCCAAATTGAAAAAAAAAAGGGAGTTTTTAATGATAATTACAAAATGTTAAAAAATTAAGCTAGTAAATGACCTTAAAACAATTTTTGGTGCAAAACAAAACTATTTAATGCTTGTGGATGCCTTCATTCACGGAACAAATAATAATTATCGATCTTTTCTATGGGTTAGACACTGTTCTAGGAACTTCGGATAGATCAGTTAATGAAAAGAGAAACATTCCTGCCCTCATTGTGCTTGCATTCTATCAAGGAGAGATACAAAATGAACAATAAACCTGATAAATAGGCCCATATTAATGACTGTGGAAAGCTAAGTGTTATGGACAGAAGAAACATTAGAAGCAGCAAGGGGAATTAGGAGTCAGTGTGGGAGAAGAGAATACATTCTCAGTATTAAATAAGATGATAGATAAGGGAAGGCCTTGTTGAGAAGGTAAGTTCTGAGTGAAGACATGAAAGAGATAAGAGGATTAGTCAAGAGGTTATCTGGGAAAAAAAAAATATTCCAAGTAGAAGTAACACCAAGAGCAAGTGCACAACCTGCGGACATGCTAGAAACATGTGGGAGGCCAGTGCCTAGAGGAATCAGGGATGATGCAGAAGCAGATGGGTTCAGAGAGCCAATGGGGATGGGGAGCAACCCCATAGGACCTTATTAGTTGTAATGATTTTAGATTTTATTCTGAGTGAGATGGAAATCCAATGCAGAGTTTTAAGCAAACGACTTGATCAGACTTGATTTTTTTTTTAGTTATACTTTAAGTTCTAGGGTACACGTGCACAGCATGCAGGTTTGTTACATAAGTATACATATGCCATGTTGGTTTGCCGCACCCATCAACTCATCATTTACATTAGGTATTTCTCCTAATGCTATCCCTCCCTCAGCCCCCCACCTCCCGACAGGCCCCAGTGTGTGAAATTCCCTGCTCTGTGTCCATGTGTTCTCATTGTTCAACTCCCACTTATGAGTGAGAACATGCGGTGTTTGTTTTTTTTGTCCTTGCGATAGTTTGCCGAGAATGATGATTTCCAGCTTCATCCATGTGCCTGCAAAGGACATGAACTCATCCTTTTTAATGGCTGCATAGTATTCCATGGTGTACATGTGCCACATTTTCTTAATCCAGTCTATCATTGACAGACATTTGGGTTGGTTCCAAGTCTTTGCTATTGTGAATAGTGCTGCAATAAACATATGTGTAGCATGTGTCATTATAGTAGCATAATTTATAATCTTTTGGGTATATACCCAGTAATGGGATTGCTGAGTGAAATGGTATTTCTAGTTCTAGATCCTTGAGGAATCACCACAGTGTCTTCCACAATGGTTGAATTAATTTACACTCCCACCAACAGTGGAAGAGCATTCCTATTTCTCCACATCCTCTCCAGCATCTGTTGTTTCCTGGTTTTTTAATGATTGCCATTCTAACTGGTGTGAGATGGTATCTCATTGTGATTTTGATTTGCATTTCTCTGGTAACTAGTGATGATGAGCATTTTTTCGTATGTCTGTTGGCTACATAAAAAGATTTGAGAAGTGGATCAGACTTGAATTTTAAAAGACTGCTTCTAGTTTCTGTGCTGAAATTACCTTGTAAAAGATTAGGTTAAAAATCCAGGCAAGATATGGTAGAGGCTTGAACTAGGGTGCATATGATAAATAGTGACCAGATTCTGAATATATTTTGAAGATTTTACCGATGGGATTTGCCAGCTTGTAACACAGGATGTGTCAGGAGTGGCTTTCCTGGTTGCTAGACAGTTCCTCGGACTCCATGCTGCTAACTATCCTTGGAGTTGAGGCTCCTGGTGTCCTCTTTGGTTTGAGTCTTTGTCTCTGGTCATCCCAGGTTTCAAACTAATGCTCGTCTGGTTGGTACTGATGTACAGCTTCTCTGTGTACCACTCAACTGGTTTTAGGTGTCCTGTTCCAACATTTGAACCCTTACTATCTATTCAGCCCTCTATCATGTTCATTATTTGCCCTAATACCTGTTTATCTTCCAGCCATTTGGGCCTGAGATTTTTCCTGGAATCTGTTACTAGCTGCCAGCTATGATACAAGTGTGAACTAGAGCTGCAATTATTATTATTTTATCAGTGAAGCCATGATGAAGGGAACGGGCTAGGAGTTATTCAGGATTTTTTAAAAAGTAAGGAAATTTTGATTTCATTAATCCCTAGCTAAACAAGACTCTATGTTGTCACCACTTTAAGTTAAATAAAATGTTCCAGCAGAATAAATATATTCATGAAGGTTTCCATCTTTATGACATATTTTTTTCTGATATGACCAAAAAATCCATGTAGCTATAGAAAATATGTTTAGTTAAAATTCTTTAAAAGCATTTTGAAACTCTATTGTTTTGTAATTTGGTTAGTGATAATTGGGATATTTAAACAGTAACGATTAAAATAAAATTTATAGACTGTTTATGAAAAATACTTCTTGTGTAACCATGTTTTGTCACATCGAGGTAGAAATTTTGGGTTTGCTTCATTCATACATTTACTGGTACAAACTCATCTGAACTCCGTTTGACCTCATCTTACTTGAAATGGACTCTCTAGGAAAGCAGAAAATACTTTCAAATAAACATCTCCTAAAATGCATTTTAACCTTGGATCTGGAAATCTATAAAAGAATACCTGTTTTTTTAGTACATTGATAACATAGAGAGAATTCCTTACAGCTGAAAATTATGGTATTTAAAGGTTTCAAGATGTCTTTCCAGGTTTTGAATTGGCAGCAAGCCAGTTACTGAATGGCTATATTTTAGAAGCCCATCTTGCCTCCACTTCCTTAGGTTTTCTAATTTTTCATATCAGTGCTCGGCTCTGAGAAAATATTGTATATATTCTTTAAAGTCCATTCACTTTTCTGTTGCTCTAGACACAAGATTTGCCTCAAAAAAAAATCCTTAAAAATAAGTAAAAGATACAACAAATCCCTGCAAATCCTAGAGAACCTGACCGTCCTTAAGTGTATAAGCACAAACATTTTGGATTAGTTCCTCATAAAACTTAAATAAATGTTGACATAAGAATCTTAGTATAGTGTCATTATTTTCATATCAACTTCTAAACTGGTTTGTAACAAACATATCTTTTTGTATGTGTGTGGCTTGCAAAGCAATCTTAATGGCTTAAAGCATCTGTGTTACATACAATTTAAATACCTTTGAATTCTCTTTCCATAAACCATTGATTGACTACATCATGGGGCACTTCCAAACCCCATTCTTTTGGATAGTGCTTCATGTTCCATTTTGTGGATAGAAATGTGGCAATATCCTATCCAGTAGAGGTTTTCATTGGGTAACCACAGGAAGGACTCAATGTAAAAGCTCTGAGACTTTTACCATAAAAGAAAGGGAGAGATATTTGTAACATTTTACAAAAATGTGTTTTTGTTATGTCTGAATATTGTTCTTCCAGAATCAGTGATTTTTTTTTTGTTTTACTGCCGGATGATGGAAAGAAAAAAAAAAACTTGACATTTGTTTCTTAGACTGCCCAAGAATTGTAATGACTGTAAATGAACTTGCCTCCTGTGGTCATTTGTAAATTAAATTTATTGCGGAGGATATGTGTATAATCCTTCCTGGGGACCATTTATATGAAAGTTAATAAAGTCTACTTGTGGCCTTAAACGAGCAGAATCAAGAGAATCTAGAGAACTTTTAAAAAATAAGGAAAAATGGAATAGTGAGAAGAACAGAAATAAAATCAGGTGATTTTAGAAACATAGTTCACCTTGATAGATTGGAAAATTTACATACAAAATTAAGGAATGTACAACTAAGAATTGTTCACAGATGGCCACCACACTTATGGTAGGTTAATTACGTAGGATTTGACTTTATGTCTGGTTTTACGTGTCTCTTTCTTTGGTTAGAAAACCCCTTTCTCCTCATATATTGCCAATTCATACCCTCTTACAATTTGGCTTAGTTTTTTCCTTTTCTCAAAATATCCTCAAGCTATTAAGTTCTATACCAGCAAATGCTTTATTAATGTTACATCATTCTGCATTTGTTGCCCTGTCTGCTTTTCCAGCTACTGCATATTTGTATAATTTTGCTTGTAGTTTGAGCCTAATTTCCAGGCTTATTAGGGGTAAAAAAATCTATCTTTTGTTTTCTTCTATTTCCTTTATATTTTCCAGTACAATAATCCTCTCATAGCAGGAATCTTTAACTGGGGAATTTACTGTATTAGATAATTCAACCAGGCATATGATTTCTCAGTGGGGCACTATCATCACTTTGGATTGGACAGATATTTGTCTTCTGGGACTTATCTCTCTGCCACCTTCCCTTTCTCCATATTGCAACATTTTTAACATCCTTGGCTCTGACAGTAAATGCCATTAGTCTTTTAAGTCATTTGACAACCCATGATGCCTCCTAAGAAGAAAGTATTATTGCCCCAATTGAGTCTCAGTTCCTTTCATAATACTAAAAACAATTTAGGATTATTTTATTTATTGGTTGCTTTATTTGTTCTTCTCCCACACTAAGATAAAACTTCAACAGTACATGTACTGATTTTTTTTTCTGTGTCATTCATTGTATATGGTATAATACTTAGGACAATGCCTGGCACATGGTAGGTGCTTAATAATTTATAGAAAAAATGTGTGCCAAAGCCATTTCATAGGTCTTTGTAAACTATTTTAAGCAGCACAAAATTTTGGCAACAACTTACTAAATAGGTTGTAGATAGTCTGAGTTAAAGAGCATCTACTAGTTCTGAACACAGATTAGCTTAGATATTGGCAGAATGTGGCTTTCATTAATTTCTTTTTCCTCTAAACTTACTATAAAACTTTGGGAATGGCAGATACTCTTTTTTTTTTTTTTTCGAGACGGAGCTTCACTCTTGTTGCCCAGGCCAGAGTGCAATGGTATGATCTCGGCTCACTGCAAACCCCACCTCCTGGGTTCAAGTGATTCTCCTGCCTCAGCCTCCCTAGTAGCTGGGATTACAGGCACATGCCACTACACCCAGCTAATTTTTGTATTTTTAGTAAAGACGGGGTTTTACCATGTTGGCCAGGCTGGTCTCAAACTCCTGACCTCAGGTGATCCGCCCGCCTCGGCCTCCCAAAGTGCTGGGATGACAGGCATGAGCCACCACACTCAGCCTAGATAGTCTTTTTATACCTGGTTTCTCTTACTAGGTAATAAGATAATTAGTAACACTTGGCTTTAATCTGTGATGGTTACTGTTAGGCCAACAGTAATAATTCCTATCAAGATACAAGAAAGAAAAACATTTTGTATGTAACAAAGAAAGCCTTAAATGGTCATTACTATTTAACAATGTTCAATATTGCCATCTTTTACTTTTGAAACAATGCAACATATCCACGTGGCCTTTAGTGGTCCCACTGATTGACTTCCCAGCTAGTCAAGGCTGGAGATTCCAGAGGAAATGTTATAAGCAGAATGTCTTGCAATTACCATTCAGGTATAATGTTAATAGTTATCAATCTTGCACGTATGTTATATTTAACTCTATTTTTTTGCTGTAACCAGTTTCCCAAATATCTAGGATCTGTGCTGAGGAGTTAAATCAACATTATCCTGTCTTTATCACCTCTGTCACTTTGAAGTATAAGAAAGTTCTTTTCTCTAGGCACTTTTCAAAGATTTATACAAGTATATATCTTCCTTTTGATTTTTCAGAATCAGGTCTCAAAAGCTTACCCAAGGTCAGAATTCATTCAAGATGCATTGGTGTCTTTTTGAGCATTAATTTCCACCAGTTGTGCACATTCTAGGACTAGTAGCGGTTTGAGTTTCCTGGTAGCTTGGCAGCATTATTTTCAGTGTTTTATTGGGCTTACTATTTCGCTGAAGGCTTAACAGGCTTATTTTCAAATTCTTAATCAAGAACAAGTTTAATGATTAAAGGTAATTATCTCCAGATTAGAAGGACTTTAAAAAATTTATCAGCATTCCAAAATTTAACAAATAACTCTTGATAATCTAATTAAAATCCTACTTTTGCTGCCAGACTATTTCAAGTCAGACACTCATTCAACCTCTTGTAGCAAATCATGATCAATTTAAGCAGTTTCTGACAATTCAGACATAGAAGTTGACCTGTGTAATATTTAGATTGTTCCCTGGAGGATGATCATCTGTGAGAATTAGTTTTGCCTTCTTACTTATTTTTAATGGGAGATAATGTTAGTTATCTCTAGTTATTAAGAAGTTAAAATCACCCTAAAGTAGAGGGTGCATTGGCTGTGTAATATACCTATGTGTATATAACAGACAAAATTGTTTCCAGCAGCAAATCAGAATCAGCTGCTTCACATCATAGTGAAAGGCCTTTCACTTTCCATTAGATTTGCACCTTAAATAGTAATTAAATTTAGAGGCCATATTGTAAAGGAATTCAGTCTAGTTTAGAACCATGGAATTTTGGTGGGTAATTAAACACACACAGAAAATCCTACACTATTCATGGGAGCTGTTTATATAAGCTGGGGGGCAAAATTTTTTTTATAGTTCTTAAAATAATTTGGACTTCTTGAATAAGCCTTATTTACCCAAAGATATACTTAACCTGTTAGTAACCAGCTGTTGTTTTAGAACCAACTTAAAGTTTGAATTCTAACAATGGGAGTTGTATGCCATCAAGCAACCAGAAAGGGTGCAATCATGGTTAAGTGAAGACTCCAAGAGCACAATTTGTCTGTCAATCCATGTTATTTGTTTTAATTTCTATTGCTTCTAGAAAGCTTTTTGTTAGTCTTGTTTTCATTTTTAATTTTTGTGGGTACACAGTAGGTGTATATATTTATGGGGTACATGAGATTTTTTGATACAGGCATGCAGTGTGAAATAAGCACATCATGAAGAATGGGGTTTTCATCCCCTCAAGCATTTTTTCAGGGTTGCAAACAATTCAATTACACTCTTTAAGTTATTTAAAAATGTTCAGTTAAGTTATTAATGACTGTATTCACTCTGCTAGTCTTTTCTTGCCCTTCATACTCTTCTAGGAGATTTGGTGGCAGAATTGAAAGTGGATGAGGCCGAGAAACATGTAACCTAGGCATGGCAGCACTTCCAGACCTCATCTGTGTACATATTTATGTGCTTCCAATTATCAATGTGTGGGAGTTTTGTCAAAAAAAGCTGGGCTTGTAGTTCCTTTTGTTCTTCAGTGTCTATTGTGGTTTATGTTTTAAATGGGATGCAAATGTGATTTACAGTGCATGGCATGATGCAGTTAAGAGAAAATTGGACTTTACAAGGCAATGCAGACTTTAGCAGGGAAGGGCTGCGTGTGAGCAACATGTTCCTGCGGGTGACGAAGGAACAACCCAGCGTGACTTATGGTGAGGCTGCAGAGTAAAGAACATGTGAAGGGTTGTTCTGCCCAAGGAACATGGCTTTCTTCCCTGTGGTCTGGGAGAGCAGAACTAAGTCTCTTAAAACTGTTTAGAGAGCTGTTATGTAATGTTGCTATATGGTTGAGAAAAGGACATACAGAGCAGGAATGTTTTCTCATTGGGCAGGGCTGATTCTAACAGATACCTAAGGAGCATATTTATCACCATTCCAGATAGCCACACAATCAGTGTCCACATTAGCACTTTTTGGTAGAACATTCCCAAGAAATTTTAAAGTTCTGAACAAATGGCCATGCTGTCTGAACAGCAGTTATGCAGCCCAACCATCCTTAAAGAGCGGAGACTCTTTGGAATCAAGTTTACCAACTCAAAGTTCCTGCAGGAGTGGAATGACATTAAATCAAATTATTCAAACATAATTCATTTAATCATTCAACAAATCTATCCTGAGCATGTTCCATGAGCTGGAAAATAAATATGCATTGGTGACAAAAAAAAAAAAAAGCATCGTGGTTCAGGAAAAAAATGTGGGTTTTGATTTTAATCTTGGCTTTTATATTTGTGTAAATCTTATTTCAATAATGCAGATATATTATAGCTTCTAGTATTTGAGACATATCTCAACACATATTTAAAATGGCCTTGTTTCTTTTAACCCATTATTATACATTTAGGACCTTTAGTTTTTAACTGTGAGATGAAGCAGTTGAATTAGTATTGTCTTTGGGGAGAATAGCTGGGTTTCAAATCACATCACTGCCACTTAATCTTTGAGGGAGTCTTGGAAAAATTATTTGACTCCTCTAATTTTCTGTTTTTCTGTCTTCAAAATCATACTTACTTCAAGAGGCTATTGTAAGGATGCTAATACATGTGAATTTCTTAGAACAAGTGACTGCCATAAAGTTAGCTCACAGTAAATTCATACATTTCTATAAATATTTCTGAGGCCAGCTGGGGTAGCCATTTGGGTTGTAAAGGGATTGGTGTGTATGGGTGGAGTATAAAGTTTTACTAGCAGCCTTCCTACTCAGGGTGTCAAGCAGGTCCATCTTCAGAGGGCTAGGAGGAAGATAAACCTTATCCCACTGACCTAAGTTAGGTTTCTACTGGGGACCCAGTGACTAAATGGTGCAATTTCCAACACACAGGGTCTGGATCTGGAGGTTTTAAGAATTTCCAAACTGTGAGAGGGCCTTGGCCATAGTTCAGGGAAGAGAAAGTTCAATTTTTGGCTTGCTATTAGTCTAAGGACACTGGTGTCAGCTTCTTTGGATTCAGCTTTCAGCAAGCAAGCATCTATCTGGAAGCTTTCCTTCATCAGGAAGCAGCTGGAGCATGCCTATAGGGAAAGGGAAAACAGTAAGGGTAATTAGGAACAACAGGAGGAAAAATGATTTCCCAGAAAAGCACAAAAATCTAACATAAATCATTTTGCAGGCACTGAGAACTGAAGGGTCAAGACTTCCAGTTGATGTGAGTGGGGAAATGAGGCAAAAATTGGGCAAAAAAATCACTCTGCCAGAGTGGCAGGGACATAGGTCATGGGGGAGGAGGAGCATGCCACTGAGCGAGCACAAGTAGGGGAAGCTGCCCAAGAAAACTTTTTGTGCTTCCTAACTTTCCCTTGGTCTTCTTCTCCCCAGAGACTCTTTTTCAGCTTGGCTGTTTTTCCTTTTCCCTGCTTGGAGAAATGAGGCCAGAGAGCACAAGCTGTAGTGAGCTGATTCCACTGTGTTGTTGAAGCAAAGAAGGGGCTAGTTTGGGGATTAGTGAGTTTTGTGTTTGCACCTGCAGTTAGCTCATTGGGCATGCTATTGCAGGTGGATGTTCCTTGCAGATGTCACTGTCCATCTGGCTTCTGCATCTGGATCTGCCACTTTACCTTGGTGTAACATGCAGTTATTTAATCCAGTTTTATTGAAAAGTTTCTCCCATATCAAGCACTGGATAGTTTCAGGAGAATTTTACTAATGTTTTATATGTGAGGGATGGAGTGTGGGGTGGACAGTGGAGGAAGCAGTGTGAATATGTAGGGTCAATTATAGGAAGGTTCACAGGGCAATACACAGAATGTCACCCTCTGCACTGGATTTTTTCCTCCCCCTCCCCACTATTCTTCTTCTTCCTTGTCACTTAGCATATGCGGTGATCTAGTATCATGTGTAGCAGTTTACCAACTATCTTCTAATATCTGCTGAATTCTATCTACCAAATAAATACTGAATTTATTGATTAGCTATTGTTACTTCTACCAAATAAATATTTAACTCTGTAAAAGGTAAAGTTTTTTAAGTAAAACTTGTTTTTCATCTAGTTACTTTTATAAAAAGACAGTGTGTCTTTTTTTAACATACATATTACACAGAACCTGTGTTGATATTTGTGAATATTTGGTTGTAATCATAAGTTAATCTCATTTTCTACAAAATCTACATTAAGCATATACTAAACGATAAAAGTTACACAATAGTTGATTTTCTAATGGTTTTTTCTTGAAAATATTCTATAATTAAATGTGAGTAAGAGAATTTTTTTAACAAAGGAAGATAATAGGTTAGTCATTTTCTGCCTAATGATTTTTGTAATGAGACTTTTAATGGTGACTTTAAACTTGTCTGTTACTGACACCAATACCACAGAGAGGAGCTATGATAAAACCAGTCGTTGGAATGAAACCAAAAAGAAAATATATAAATAACAGTTTAATAAAAACGCATTCCCAGAGCTGACCACACTGCTCTATGGGAAAGCTGATAACCGAGGAGGACTCATTAGAAATATAACTCATTTTTTCTAATTTTTCTTCAACCATTTTTAGTTGATCTGTTTGGATCTATTTTTTTGCTCAGTATAAATTAACATAATCTTCTGATTATAAACAAAGGTCACACTAATTATATTCTATTTCGAAAACTTTGAAGGCTTGAAAGGAAAAGATCAATGTCTGTAGTCATCTTACTATCTAGTTTTTGCTTTGTTACAAACCAAGCCCAAAACCTAGTGGCTTAGAAAACAACAACAACAAAAACAAACAACAACAACAAAAAAAAATAGTCATTTAGCTCACAACTCTTTCAATCTACTGGCAAGTTGGCAGTGACTGGCCGCCCTTGGGTGGCCTCATTCCTATGCTAGGCACTGGCTTCTGGTTGTTCTAGGAGCAGCAGCTGGGATGGCTTGTCTCTGTTTCATAGAGCCTCCCACTTTCCTGAACATGATCTCAGGCTTCTTTACATGGTGGTCTCAAAGTTCCAAAGAGCAGTATGAGGGTGAATTTACATATGCCAGCCCTTATTAAGCCTTTGCTTTCTTCTCATGAGCTAATGCCTAGTTGGCCACAGCAAGTCTTATGGCCAAGTTCAGAGTCAGATGGGAAGATATGATTCAAAGGTCATCAATGTGAAAGGCACTTATTGTGGCCATTTTTGCAAACACTACAAAAAAATAAACTTGGCAATAATCTATATACAGCTTTGTATCCTGCATTTTTTTTTTTTTTTTTTTTTTTTTTTTTTTTGAGACAGAGTCTCATTCTGTCACCCAGGCTGGAGTGCAGTTGTGCGATCTCAGCTCACTGCAACCTCCACCTCCTGGGTTGAAGTGAGTCTCCTGCCTCAGCCTCCTGAGCAGCTGACACTACAGGCGTGCGCTACCACACCCAGCTAATTTATTTTTTTGTATTTTTAGTAGACATGGGGTTTCACCATGTTAGCCAGGCTGGTCTTGGACCCCAGACCTTAGGCAATCCACCTGCCTTGGCCTCCCAAAATGCTGGGATTACAGGTGTGAGCCACCATGCCCAGCCTGTATCCTGCATTTTTCACTTATAAAATTATAGTATGAGAACTTACCTATTAAATATTCTTTAGAAGTATGATCTTTGTTATATAATATTGAAATACCTGGTTATACCACAATTTGTTTATCCACTTTTCTAATAGAAATTAGAAAATTCCCCCCCTGGAAAAACTAGAGCAATTATTTTTTAGCAGCAATATTTGAGAATATCAAATTTTCTACAATGTCAGCAATGCAGCTTAGCATACATTTTGAAAATCTTTGTCAATTTGATAAGCAGAAAACTATATTTTCAAATTTACAAATTTTTATTAAGTCTCAAGCATTACCTTTTTTATAAGACAACATTTTTAATTGTTGTAAACCATTAGTTATCTTTTTAGGAAAATGTATTTCATTAAAATAAAAATAAATTTATATATTCATAAAATATATGATAGAAGAAGTATATAAGGGACGGAAGAAGCTTGAAAAATGACTTTATTTACATGATACCACATATTTAACTTCAGTGTTTTCATCCTATAATACTTAGAGCAGTTCTCAGAACTCTGAAAATGTTTTATGCTCCTTGAGGACAGGTCAAATAAAGCATATTGGAAAAAAAACAGACATTGAAATTAGGTGCTGGACATTACAGTAACATAAAATCTGCATTTTTGAAAATTTGTTTTCAAGGTAAGGGTAGGAGAAAAGTTTTTCTTTTTTTGGTATGAGACTCAAAACTCCTATGATCTTTATTTAAAAAACAAAAACAAACCACAGCTTATAAAAATACCTACTCTTAGTCAAGCAAATATTCAGGAACAACACTGGAATAGTACTTTGGAAAACAATTTTTTTTCACTACCATTTTTGTGTTGGAAAAAGGGGTCATAGATATAGATGAACTAATTCTGCTAATCTTAAAATGTTGTTTTTAATTTGAATGTTGAAAGAACATAAAGACTAAATTTTAATAGAAACATTGGGTGTTACAGAATGTCAGAGAAACATTAGCTCTTCAACATTGAATGCATATAATATTTTTGATAACAGGTTAGGTGACAAAAATTCAAGCTTAATCTATACAATCTGTGCAATATGTGTGAGTTATGGATGTTGTGAGAACCTTAACTTTTGTACTTCCTGACTTTTATATTGGATAAAGTAGTTTTTCAAAATGTTTCTGAAGTGGAACTTTGAGAAAATATTTTAAGGACAGGACACATAGCAAAAGGAAAGTGCAGGAGAGAATTCATAAGTAGCCAGTTGGGGAGCTCACTACTGGATGTGCTTCTGGTTGGGGCATCTCCTGATGACAATGTGGGAAACAACTCAAACTCAAGTGACTTTGACCAGTTTTTAGACCTAATAAGATGGTCAAGATGCTTATCCCTCATTAGCAGTTGCCAATTTCGTAACACATGACTCTAAATAGGAAAGAGGAAGAAAGAAGAAAGAGAAAAATTTTGAATTTAATGCAGGAGAGAAGGTAATTTCTTCAAGCTGTTGAAATGCACTGATTGTGTCTTTTGTGGTGAGGAGGAGGATGTACATTATAGAAAATAAACCACTTGTGAGAATGGAGCAAGGGAAAAAAAACCCCAATGGCAAAAAACTCACCTCCTACATCAAATATTTCTGCTATGGTCCAAAAAAAGGAAAACTTTTTCTTCGGCCTTAGGATATGTATCTTTTTACAGTGTAGATTATATTGTTTCATTCCCCAGTCTCTTTACTTATTCAAAGTTGTTTGCAAACATTTAATTCATGTAGTACAATTCAAAACATATGCCACTGGTGATCAAATGCTTTAATCTCCCTCTCTTATAAAATTTTCAGGTATTTGCAGTTTGTGGACATAATAATGTCACATTATTTCAGTGTTTAATTTGAGGACTAAAAGATGTTTGAGAAGTGTGTGTCATATTTGGACAATGAGAATCCAATTGAGTTCTTTGTTCACAAATATTACAGTTCCTTCAGAATTATGCTTTCTGAGTAAAATAATTCTTTTAAGACATTGTAATTTTATGTTTTATAAAATTTGATAAGGTTGATTGCTCAATTATTTCTGAAACTAAACAGCAAGTAATCACCTACAACAATAAACACAAAACAAAATAAATAAAACACTTTCTTCTTAATTAAAAAAAATCTTTTCTTTTTTTTTTTTTTTTGAGACAGTCTTGCTCTGTCACCTAGGCTGGAGTGTAGTGGTGTGATCTTGGCTCACTGCAACCTCCACATCCTGGTTCAAGTGATTATCGTGTCTCTGCCTCCCGAGTAACTGGACCACAGGTGTGTGCCACCACATCTGGCTAATTTTTGTTACTTTTGGTAGAGACAGGGTTTTGCCATATTGGCCAGGTTGGTCTCGAACTCCTGACCTCAAGTGATCTGCCCACCTCGGCCTCCCAAAGTGCTGGAGTTACAGGCGGTGAGCCACCATGCCTGGCCTTAATATAAAACAATTTTTATAAACATTTTCCTTGCCCATTTTTATCTTTTATTTGTGTAATAGTGGTGAAAAGTAGATATAATTATAATGCCTCTGAAGAGTGAGAATTATCTTTCAAAGAAGAAAACTTAAGAAGATAAATTAGTGCTTGAGTAAGCTCGACAGTATATCACACAAGTAAAATCTGGAAAATATAACAAGTTACAATAATATGGGCCTTGGTAAACTTTTAAATAATTACCATTGGCTTTGTGGAATCTTTAATTTATTGGATTCCCTTCCCTCTGATCTCCTGTATAATAATCTAATGAAAAGAGTTTATATTGTTTTAGGATTAAATTCCACACATTTAACAGTAACTTGGAAAAGTGACTTGAGCAATAATCTCTCAAGTAAGATAGGTGTGAAGATAGTTCAGAACTGGTATGACAGCTCATCAGGGTCTAAATTTGTCTCTCTTTCCATTCTGCCTTTCTCAACCTTAACATGTGGTTTCCATTCCTACAGTTGCCTAATGGTTTAATGTGGCTGCTAGAGGTCCGTCCATTACATCAGCTATCCAGTTAATTGGCAGGAAGGGGAGCATAGCAAAAACGGGCATGCAATAATCATCTGTTGTTCTTTAAAGGAGCTATCTTAGAGCACCAAGGTAAAACTTTTAATTACGTCTTTTTGGCAAGAACTTAATCTTAAAGCCATTCTTAGTTGCAAATGAGGCTAGGAATATTACCACTTTGGATATACATGGTTTCTGCTACCATTGAAAAAGTGAAGAAGGGATATTAGATAGGCAACTAGCTATCTCTGCCTAATACATCTGTTTTAAACCCCTTAAGGGAATAACTTTTTGGTTCCAACACATGATACACATTCTATAAGTATTTGTTCACTTGACAGATTACATGGACCATGCTAACACAATTTTTAATACCTACTTCTTACTTACTTCTTTGCTGCACATTCTCTTCCTGATTCCTGCCACTCAATGGACAATGCTCACCTGTTCTTATGATAGAAAGTGTATCCAAAAGCTCTTGGAAATAAAGGAGCTTGAGAATCTGAAATCTTTCAGGTGGAAAGTGTCACTTAGCTGGATAAATGGGATGTACATCAGAAAGAAAAACAAAGTGGGTAATAAGTAGCTCTGCCATGAGAATGGCAGAATGGGTGATATGTGAAGACAAGGAAAGCACTTCTGTGAATACTACTGACAATAAATATAAAAATGGTGAGTTTTTCAGTAGCATAAATGAGATGAGGTAAAAGGGACTTTTGCTACTTGAATTCTAGTTATAAATGACACATTTACTTATATTTAAGTCCATAGCACATCTGCTTCAAGCAATGCTTTCATCAAAACCTGTTGAGATTACCTATTACCTAATTAATCTCATCTATACTTAATCTAAGTTCTTTCACCAAACAGCTCTCCTCCTTTTCAACTATATCCTTATTGCTTCTGAATATATTCCTTGACTAGAATTGAGATAATATCCTTGAGCGTACGTTGTTACTTCTAGTGCATAGGTTCTTTGTTTCTGAAATTCCCTCTTAGGATGCATGTTGTAGCTTTATTTTCCTTATACCATATATTTCAGGCACATACTTTTAGATCTTAATGAAAGCAATTGGTTCCAGCAAGTCTTTGTAAATCAAATCCAAATTGATGATTAGTTAAGTCTGTGTTTAATGTCAAATTAATATTAAATTTCATTTGAGAACCTTAAGTACCTATGTGTTCTATAATGATCTACCTGGCAGAACATTTTTTTTTCATTGTTTTTGGAACAAATCGGCTTATGCAACTCTCCTAAATGTGCTCACTGTAGGACTTTCTGCCATGCAGCAATAACACTCTTGAAGGCAATGCAAAATCTACATTTGTTTGGACCGTGAACTAGTCAGAGGGCATTTTAACAACTCTGCAGAATGCAAGAAGGTCTCTTTTATCTACAATTAAGTCCCTTGTTAGCTGTCATATCATTTGCCAGATGCTAAAGCCTCTCTCAAAACCCTCCCTAGATCTTTTTCCAACAAGGAGTTCACTTGTTAATCATCTTCTGCTTGCTGTAATCTATATGCTGAGTATAATATCTATATTCTGAGGATAATATCATTATAATATCTTTACCACAAGAAGGGAACATATTTGCTAGGTAACTGGGAATGGTGCATGTGAAGGACAGCATTTACCCCATTTTTACTTGATACACTCTCAATCAAGTTCTTGGTTCATGAAACTCTCATTTTGCAAAGAAGTAGATACTATTTAGTCCCCTCCTCATTGCCATTTTTTTTTTTTTTGCACATCATCTGGCTGATCCCCATGGGTTTCTCTAAATTATTGTACTTAACATATTCTGCGTGTACTAATAAACTCTGATTATATTTCATTCCCGAATACATGGCCTACAACTAGAATTTTTTCTGTTGCAATTAGGTATGATCATGTTCTGGTTCTTGGACTATGAGCTGGAGTATAGCTGTGTTAAAAATAAAACACTTACAAATAAAGCAATTGTTAGTATCTCCTCTTTTCCGCTTCCTTATGACTGAGAAAAGGAGACAATTGAAATCTTGAACTAAGAGTAGAAAATAGACTTTAAGGACGTAAGCAATCCTGCTATTCATGAACCATTCACCTCTGGATTGTTATATGAGAAAAGTAGATTTGATCTTCTTTAAGTCACTGATTTTGTTTGGGGCAGGGAAAAGGATAAAAGGAAAAGTAAGCCTCCTTGCCTTTGTGACATTGCCTTTTTCCTAATATATTGGTTTAATTTAAGTTCTACTTAGTTAGAACTGGCTTCTTTTGTGCAAATTACTCAATCTTCTGAATTTCTTTCTGAACTATAAAAAAAGATACCTTTGTTCAAAGGTTGTTGTGAGAATCAAATGAAATAACACATGTGAAGCTAAAGAATTTTGGAATATTTAATTTAAGCTCATGGAATAAGTATAACACAAGATCTTCTTTCTTATTTCCAAAGAGCTGGGTCTTTGATTGAGGAAACGTGAATACCTCAAAGTTCTTGGAATAAAAAAATAGGCTTGGAAGGATTAGAATTTACTATATAGTTCCACAGTAATATGTTTTTAAAAGCACGCTTAATATAAAGTGCTTGAAAGCATATAATGGGAAAAAATGTCTGGGTGAGCTAAATCCTGGAATGAGAATCTTAAACATAAAGCTCTGTATTGACATTGTAGAGATTTGATTCCGTATTTGATTTAGTAATGAATTCATGCTTTCCTGTCTTGCTTCTCTCTTCTCTAAATTGGGAAATCTCAGAAGATTTTTGGCTCAATGAATAACAAACTAATGGTTATGAGGAGTTTTAGGTATATAAATTTATTATCTGTAATAACAAACTTAGAACATATGTAAAACATATTAGGGTATTGTCTGCTCTCAAGATATTTATTTATATTACAGCTTCAGTGTATAAGAAAAATTTATAGGGCTAATCATCACTTCTTTGTATTAGTGCAGAAAGCTACCACCCCCTCATTGAAGATTGGGAGACACATTTTCATTTAGTGACATTTTTCCTTGTGTGGTCTCTTTTTCTGAGTGTTCTTCATTCCCATGTATTTATTACTACCAAGCATGAAATATTTTTTCTCCCATTTGTATAACTTTTTTCATTATGTAAAGACTCTGCTCATGAAACCAATTCCTTGTTTGTTATCATGTAGAATTTTTAGTTATTTTTTCCTTTTGTATTCAAGACCTTCTTTTTCTTCTCTTCACCTGAATTATGCAATCTTAGTTCATTATGCATCCCCATACAAATTCCTTGCTGAGATGATTTTTTAAATATGCTTTTGGAAATCTGGTGTTAGCATGAATCACCAAGAATATTACCAAGAGACATTTGAGTCAATTATTAATATACACACATATACACCACACATTGTAATTTAGAAATATCACACAGTCATATATAAAATCATACACAAAATTTTAACATTGTAGTGAACATTAATGTATATATTACATTTTGTATTCTGCAGACCTTGGAAAAAAGCTTTTATTGCCATCAGTGTCCATATGTTTGAACATTTTATAAAGTGTCATTAATTAGAAACATTTTAGCTTTGGGTCTTTTTTTCAGACTTATCTATCGTTATGAATTGAATTGTGCTCCTCCAAATTCATATATTGAAGACTGTCCTACTAGTATTAAGAATATGGCCTTATTCAAAGATAGGTTCATTCTAGAGGTAATCAAGTTACAATGAAGTCATTAGAATGGGCCCTAATACAATAGAACTGGTGTCCTTAACAGAAGGGGAAATTTGGACACAGAGACATGCATAGAGGGATGACAACATGGAAAGGCATAGGGAGAAAATGGCCAAGCAGAGAGGCCAGGAACAGATTCTTGTCTCACAACTCTCAGAAAGAATGTCTTCAGAATTGTGAGACAATATATTTCTGTTGTTTAAGCCACCTGGTCTGTGATACTTTATTGCTGTCCTGGTAAACTAAGTATGTTCATAAAACACAGTTCTTATTTTATATAGAAATATGTCCAACAGTATTTCAGTAGATGGCACCACCTTCCATTTAGTTGGCTAACAACAACCTGAGAATCATTCTTGAGTTTTTCCTTTCCCTTATTTTCCACATAGAAACTATCAGCAAATTATTTCTCAACTATCATCATTTTTCTTCATTACCACTACTATTAGAAAGTCTAAGCCTGCCAAGCGCGGTGGCTCATGCCTGTAATTCTGGCACTTTGGGAGGCTGAGGCAGGAAGAACACCTCAGGTCAGGAGTTTGAGACCAGCCTGGTTAACATGGTGAAACCCCTTCTCTACTAAAAATACAAAAATTAGCCAGGTATAGTAACAGTAATCCCAGCTACTCAGGAGGCTGAGGCAGAAGAATCGCTTAAACCCGGGAGGCAGAGGTTGCAGCGAGCCCAGATCGCACCACTGCACCCCAGCCTGGGTGGCAGAGTGAGACTCTGTCTCAAAAAAATAATAAAAAATTAAAAAAAGTCTAAGACTACAATATGTTGTCTGGAATACTGAAGTGGCCTTCTAACTGATCTATTTTCTTCCATGATTTCTCATCTGTAATCCATTCTTATTGTAACAGACTGATACTTTTAAAATATAGTAATTTCATGTCTCTTCCCTGCCTGGAGCGCTGGTTGGGGCTTCCCTGTTTTCATAGAGGAAATCCAGACTTTTCACCCAGTTTACCAGACTCTTTAGTTTTCTTACAACACAATTCAAGGGACTTTGGCTTTGGGCCTGAGGACGTAACTACTACCCAACTATGCCCTTCCCTTAAGTAACTAGAAAACTTGACAACAAATTATGTTTTAAGATGTTGGGCAATAGGCAGTGAGGGACTGGAATTTCTGAGAGGAGAAAAACAGATGAGCTAAGCAACATGATCATCTGGCTTTTTACCTACAGAAAATTTCTGGGAGTGGGCATCAAACGGAATATAGTAATCTCACCAAGATGAAGCCAGATATCTGACTTCCAGGCCACAGCGGCAGCTAGAATTTGCAGGGCAAGGTAGTGAGGATAAAGGAGCTCTGATAAGAAGAAGCTTTATAAATCTACATAGGAGAACCCACTGAGTCTTTGGCTGAATATTAAGCTGTGCATACACAGGGTAAGACAGCATGAGGCCAGGGAAAGAGCCTACTATTAAGTAAAAAACATCCACTGAGGAGTGATGAAAGAACAATTTATAGAGCTCAAACAAGGCTGAATGAGTGAAGAATCATCATTAAAAATGCTTGGTGTTTAGTAGAGTCCCAGAGAGACAAAACCAAGGTAGTAGAGCTAATATAGCCCTAGAGTGAAACCTATACTAATTTTACATTAACAAAGTTAAAAACAAGTCTTGAAAGGATCGAGCTGATGGGTAAGTAAATTGTTAGCCTGATGGAACAAAATAGAATACTCCATTAAGAAACACAAAAATCCAGACACTCAACAATGTAGCACCCATAACATCCAATAACTACTAAAAAATTACAAGGCAGATGCAGAAAAGTATGAGTCTTAGTCAGGATTAAATCAATCAATAAAGATGGATTCAGAAATAATGAAAGAAATGATAGAGTAAGAAGATAAGACTTTAAATTTGCCCATGGGTTTAGGGGAAAACATGAAAATAATAAGAGAGCACATAGGAAATCTCAGAACAGAACTGGAATTTATATATAATAAAAAAACTAAATGGGAATTCTAGAACTGTAAAACAATATCTGAACTGAAATTTTCACTAGATTAAACACTGCAGAAGAAAAGAATGTTGAACTTCCAGATCGGCAACAGAAATGATCCAAATTTAATGACAGACAGAAAAGAGGCTGAAAAAAACTTAACAGTCTTAATGACCCATAAGGCAATGTCAAGCCATATATTGTATTTGTAATTGCAATGAGAAAATGAGGACAGAGATTGTGGCAGAATATTCTTTTGAAGAAATAAGGGCTAAAATTTTCCAGATTGGATGAAAACTGTAAACTAACCTCACTAATTCAAGAATCTCAACAAACTCCAAGCTGCATAAACACAAAGCAAGCTAAAAAAATGTACGTTATAATTAAACTACTAAAAATCAGTGACAAAGATAAAAATCCTAAAAACAGCCAGAGAAATAAGATATATTATGCAGAATAGAATAACAGTAAAAATAGCCACTGACATCTCATCAAGAACTATGCAAGCCAGAAGACAACAATATGTTTTTAAAGTCCTAAGGAAAAAAAATGTGTCAACATGGAAGTCTGTTTTCTGCAAAAATGATTTTCAAAAATGAGACTGAAATATAGTTAAATGCACAAGACCTGTGAAGATTTTTTTCTTATTGGGCTACACTAAAAGATACGTTAAAGGAGAAGTTCTGGTCTGGAGTAAGGGCTCATGCCTGTAATCCCAGCATTTTGAGAGGCCAAGGTGGGAGGATTAATTGAACCCATGAGTTTAAGACTAGCCTGGGCAACATAAGAAGACCCCGTTTCTACAAAAAAAAATTTTTTTAATTAGCCTGGTGTGGTGGTATATGCCATTAGACTCCAGCCTAGGTGACAGAGCAAGGCCTTGTCTCAAACAAAACAAAACAAACAAACAGAAACAAAAATAAGAATGTTTTTCTGGCAGAAGAAAAATGATACCAGATGGAAACTTGTACTATGTGAAGGAATAAATAATTCCAGACATAGTCAATATGCAGGCAATAAAATATTTTTATGAGTTGTTAATTTCTTTAATAGATAATTAGTGTAACAATGTAGTATGAGATTTATCTCATGTGTAAAAAAAATTATAAAAACATTACCAAAATGAATGGGGAGGGGATAAATGAAAGTGTATCATTATAAAGTTCTTACATGCAGAATTATATAATATTATTTGAAGCTAAATTATGACACATTTAAGATGCATATTGTGAAACAGCATAACCAAAACAAACAAAGACACAAAAAGGTACAGTTTAAAAATAAATAGGGAACATAAAATGGAATACACAAAAAATTCAATTAATTTAAAAAAGTCAGAAAATGAGAAAAAAGGAATAAAGAATAGCTGGGACAATTACAGTCAAATTTCAACATGGTGTTACTTAAATAAATGCCAATAATTGCATTATGTGTAAATGATGTAGCCATTCCTACTAAAAGAAAGACATTTTAATTTGAAAAAATGCCATATTATTTGTGGTTTATAAGATAAACCCACTAAACAGAAAAAAAAACCAGATTAAAAGTAAAAAGTAAAAATATACATATACCATACAAACACTAATGTTAAAAAAATGAGACTGACTATACTAATTCATCCAGAAGATATAATAATTCTAAATGTATAATCCACAAAGGGAGAACTGAGGGCATTGAAGGGAAAAATAAAACAATCCAAAATTACAGTTGAAAATTTTAACATTCTTCTCTTAGTAATTAATAGAAGAAGTAGACAAAAAATTAGTAATATATAGAAGACTTGGACAACATAATCAACCTACTTAACCAAATTGCCATAAACCACTGCAGCCACACAACTGCAGAATATGTTTTTTTTTCAAGTGAAACATTCACTAACAACATTAGTGAATTGAACATGCTCTATAAGATTGAAATCTCTTACTACGATGATATTAAGTTAGAAATTAATAGTAAAAGACATGTGAAAAATCCCCAAATAATTGAAAATCAAACAACACACTTCTAAATAAGCCATTTATCAAAGAAGAAAGTACTAGAGAACTCCTAGCTAGACAGATATAAATAAAAAGTAAGGAAATATAAATTAGTAATGCAGGAATAAAGGAAGAGATATCACTTTAGAGCTAATGACATAGAGGGTAATAAGGAACATTACGAAAAATTTTATAATAAATTTGATAACTTAAAGTAAACAAATTTCTTAAAAGATACAAATTACCAAAACTTATATAATAGAATGTAGAAATATCCAAATAGCTCTTTAGTTCCTTTAGTTTTAAAAGAAATTAACTTTGTAATTAAAGATCTTCCCCCCCAAAAAATTTCAAACCCAAGATGGCTTTACTTGGGTATTCTATCAAACATTTAAGGGATAGTTAGCATGAATCTTATGCATTTTTCCCCACAAAATAGCTTCCACAATCTCCTGTACTCACCACATCACAGAACTTATCAATCTATACTATTACCACATGTTTTTATTTCTATCTCATTTGTTACCCTGAAGTCAACCTTTTAACTTTGTATTCGCAATGACCAGGATGGTGTCTGGCATATAAGTTTTGCTAAATAAATGTTTGTTAATTTGTTTTAAGTGAACATGTGTTAAGAAATGTTTATACTCCCACTAGAAATATACACGGGTTTTGGTGGTTCCACAAACTAGCCAGCATTTTATGATGTCAAATAAATGTTTTGATTTTAGCCATTTTTGAGCATGTGTTGGTATCCCGTGGTTCTAACTTGCATTTTTTCTCTGACTGATAATGTTGAGCATTTGCATGTGAGCATATGACATTTTGTATACCTTTTTTTGTAAGGCACCTATTAAGGCTTTTGCTCATTTTTTTAAAATTATACTTTAAGTTCTAGGATACATGTGCTGAATGTGCAGGTTTGTTACATAGATATACATGTGCCATGGTGGTTTGCTGCACCCATCAACCAGTTATCTACATTAGATATTTCTCCTAATGCTATCCCTCCCCTTTCCCCCCACCCCCTAACAGGCCCCAGTGTGTGATGTTCCCCTTCCTGTGTCCGTGGGTTCTCATTGTTCAACTCCCACTAATGTGTGAGAGCATGTGGTGTTTAGTATTCTGTTCCCATGTTAGTTTGCTGAGAATGATGGTTTCCAGCTTAATCCATGTCCCTGCAAAGGACATGAACTCATCCCTTTTTATGGCTGCATAGTATTCTATGGTATAAATGTGCCACATTTTCTTTATCCAGTCTATCATTGATGGGCATTTAGGTTGGCTCCAAGTCTTTGCTATTGTGAATAGTGCTGCAATAAACATACGTGTGCATGTGTCTTTATAGTAGAATGCTTTATAATCCTTTGGATATATACTCAGTAATGGGATTGCTGGGTCAAATGGTATTTCTGGTTCAACATTCTTCAGCAATCACCATATTGTCTTCAAGAATGGTTGAACTAACTTACACTCTCAACAACAGTGTAAAAGCATTACTATTCCTCCACAGCCTCACCAGAATCTGTTGTTTCCTGACTTCACATCCGTCGTAAGTTGTATTCCTAGGTATTTTATTCTGTTTGTAGCAATTGTGAATGGGAGCTCACTCATGATTTGGCTCTCTGTATGTCTATTATTGGTGTATAGGAATGCTTGTGATTTTTCACATTGCTTTTGTATCCTGAGACTTTGCTGAAGTTGCTTATCAGCTTAAGGAGTTTTGGGACTGAGATGATGGGGTTTTCTAAATATACAATCATGTCATCTGCAAACAGAGACATTCAACTTCCTCTCTTCCTATTTGAATACACTTTATTTCTTTCTCTTGCCTGATTGTCCTGGCCAGAACTTCCAATACTATGTTGAATAGGAGTGGTGAGAGAGTGCATCCTTGTCTTGTGCTGGTTTTCAAAGGGGATGCTTTCAGGGTTTGCTTATTCAGTATGATATTGGCTGTGGGTTTTTCATAAATAGCTGTTATTATTTTGAGATACGTTCCATCAATACCTAGTTCATTGGGTGTTTTTAGCATGAAGGGGTGTTGAATTTTATTGAAGGTCTTTTCCGCATCTATTGAGATAATCATGTGCTTTTTGTCATTGGTTCTGTTTTTGTGATGGATTACATTTATTGATTACATTTTTGATGTGCTGCTAGATTCTGCTTGCCAGTATTTTATTGAGGATTTTCGCATCAATGTTCATCAGGGATATTGGCCTGAAATTTTCTTTTTTTTGTAGTCTCTCTGCCAAGTTTTGGTATCAGGATGACGCTGGCCTCATAAAATGAGTTAGGGAGGGGTCCCTCTTTTTCTATTGCTTGGAATACTTTCAGAAGGAATTGTACCAGCTCCTCTTTGTACCTCTGGTAGAATTAGGCCATGAATCCGTCTGGTCCTGGACTTTTTTTGGTTGCTAGGCTATTAATTATTGCCTCAATTTCAGAACTTGATATTGCTCTATTCAGGGATTTGACTTCTTCCGGTTTAATGTTGGGAAGGTATATGTGTCCAGGAATTTATCCATTTCTAGATTTTCTAGTTTATTTGCATAGAGAAGTTTATAGTATTCTCTGATGGTAGTTTGTATTTCTGTGGAATTGGCGGTGATAACCCCTTTTTAATTTTTTATTATATCTATTTGATTCTTCTCTCCTTTCTTCTTTATTAGTCTGGCTAGCAGTCTATTTGTTTTGTTAATCTTTCAAAAACCAGCTCCTGGATTCATTGATTTTTTTTTTGAATGGTTTTTTATTCCTCTATCTCCTTCTGCTCTGATGTTAGTTATTTCTTCTCTTCTGCTAGCTTTTGAATTTGTTTGCTCTTGCTTCTCTAGTTCCTTTAATTGTGATGTTAGGGTGTTGATTTTAGATCTTTCCAGGTTTCTCATGTGGGTATT
This sequence comes from Homo sapiens, assembly GCF_000001405.40. Lineage (NCBI taxonomy): Eukaryota > Metazoa > Chordata > Mammalia > Primates > Hominidae > Homo > Homo sapiens. Next base: position 44,105,675 of record NC_000005.10, read on the forward strand.
TAGTGCTATAAATTTCCCTCTACACACTGCTTTAGCTGTGTCCCAGAGATTCTGGTACATTGTGTCTTTGTCCTCATTGGTTTCAAATAACTTATTTACATTTGCCTTAATTTCATTATTTACCCAGTAGTCATTCAGGAGCTGGTTGTTCAGTTTCCATATAGTTGTGCAGCTTTGAGTGAGTTTCCTAATCCTGAGTTCTAATTTGATTGCACTGTGGTCTGAGAAACTGTTTGTTATGATTTCTGTTCTTTTGCATTAGCTGCGGAATGTTTTACTTTTAATTATGTGGTCAATTTTAGAATAACTATGATGTGGTGCTGAGAAAAATGTATATTTTGTTGATTTCGGGTGGACAGTTCTGTAGATGTCTATTAGGTCCCCTTGGTCCAGAGCTGAATTCAAGTCCTGAATATCCTTGTAATTTTCTGTCTCATTGATCTGTCTAATATTGACAGTGGGTGTTAAAGTCTCCCACTATTATTGTGTGGGAGTCTAAGTCCCTTTGTAGGTCTCTAAGAACTTGCTTTATGAATCTGGGTGCTTCTGTATTGGATGCATATATATTTAGGATAGTTAGCCCTTCTTGTTGCATTGATCCCTTTATCATTATATAATGGCCTTCTTTGCCTTTTTTGATCTTTGTTGGTATAAAATCTGTTTTTTCAGAGACTAGGATTGTAACCCATGCTTTTTTTTTTGCTTTCCATTTGCTTGGTAAATATTCCTCCATCCCTCTATTTTGAGCCTATGTGTGTCTTTGCACATGAGATGGGTCTCCTGAATACAGCACACTGATGGGTCTTGACTCTTTATTCAATTTGTCAGTCTGTGTCTTTTAATTGGGGCATTTAGCCCATTTACATGTAAGGTTAATATTGTTATGTGTGAATTTGATCCTGTCATTATGATTCTAGCTGTTTATTTTTCTCATTAGTTGATGCAGTTTCTTCATAGTGTTGATGTTCTTTACATTTTGGTATGTTTTGGCAGTGAATGGTACTGGTTTTTCCTTTCCATATTTACTGCTTCCTTCAGGAGCTCTTGTAAGGCAGGCCTGGTGGTGACAAACATCTCTCAGCATTTGCTTGTCTGTAAAGGATTTTATTTCTCCTTCGCTTATGAAGCTTAGTTTGGCTGGATATGAAATTCTGCACTGAAAATTCTTTAAGAATGTTGAATATTGGCCCCCACTCTCTTCTGGCTTGAAGGGTTTCTGCAGAGAGATCTGCTGTTAGTCTGATGGCCTTCTTTTTGTGGGTAACCTGACCTTTCTCTCTGGGTGCCCTTAACATTTTTTCCTCATCTCAACCTTGATAAATCTGACAATTATGTCTTGGGGTTGCTCTTGAGGGGTATCTTTGTGGTGTTCTCTGTATTTCCTGAATTTAAATGTTGGCCTGTCTTGCTAGGTTGGGGAAGTTCTGCTGGGTAATATCCTGAAGTGTGTTTTCCAATTTGGTTCCATTTTCCCTGTCACTTTCAGATACAACAATCAAATGTAAGTTTGGTCTTTTCACATAGTCCCATATTTCTTGGAGGCTTTGTTCATTCTTTTTCATCCTTTTTTCTCTAAAGTTATCTTCATGCTTTATTTCATTAAGTTGATCTTCAATCCTGATATCCTTTCTTCCACTTGATCAATTTGGCTGTTGATACTTGTGTATGCTTCATGAAGTTCTCACGGTGTGTTTTTTAGCTCCATCAGGTCATTTATGTTCTCTAAACTGGTTATTCTAGTTAGCAGTTCCTGTAACCTTTTATCAAGGTTCTTAGCTGCCTTCCATTGGGTTAGAACATGCTCCTTTAGCTCAAAGGAGTTGGTTATTACCCACCCTCTGAAGCCTACTTCTATCAATTTGTCAAACTCATTCTCCATCCAGTTTTGTTGCCTTGCTGGTGAGGAGTTGTGATCCTTTGGAGAAGAAGAGGCATTGTGGTTTTTAAAATTTTCAGGCTTTTTGTGCTGGTTTTTCCTCATCTTCGTGAATTTATCTATTTTTGGTCTTTGATGTTGGTGACCTTCAGATGGGGTTTTTGCATGGACGTCCTTTTTGTTGATGTTGATGTTGATGCTATTGCTTTCTGTTTGTCAGTTTTCCTTCCAACAGTCAGGCACCTCTGCTGCAGGTCTGCTGGAGTTTGCTGGAGGTCTGCTCCAGACCCTGTTTTCCTGGGTATCACCAGCAGAGGCTGCAGAACACCAAAAATTGCTGCCTGCTTTTTCATCTGGAAGCTTCCCAGAGGGGCACCCACCAGATGCCAGTTGGAGATCTCCTGTATGATGTGTCTGTCAACCCCTGCTGGGAGGTGTCTCCCAGTTAGGAGGCAGGGGGGTCAGGGACCAACTTGAGGAGGCAGTCTGTCCCTTAGCAGGGCTCAAGCACTGTGCTGGCAGATCCATTGCTCTTTTCGGAGCTGGCAGGCAGGAAGGTTTAATTGTGCTGAAGCTGCACTCACACCTGCCCCTTCCCTCAGGTGCTCTGTCCCAGGGCGATGGGGGTTTTATCTATAAGCCCCTGACTGGGGCTGCTGCCTTTCTTTCTGAGATGCCCTGCCCAGAGAGGAGGAATCTAGAGGGAGTCTGGCTACACTGGCTTTGAGGTGCTGGGGTGGGCTCCACCCAGTTTGAACTTCCTGGTGGCTTTGTTTACACTGTGAGGGGAAAACTGCCTACTCAAGCCTCAGTAATGGCAGACGCCCCTCCCCCCACCAAGCTCGAGCATTTCAGGTTGACTTCAGACTGCTGCGTGCTGGCAGCAAGAATTTCAAGCCAGTGGATCTTAGCTTGCTGGGCTCCATCGGGGTGGGATCCGTTGAGCTAGATGACTTGGCTCCCTGGCTTCAGCCCCTTTCCAGGGGAGTGAAGGGTTCTGTCTTCCTGGCATTCCAGGCACCACTGGGATATGAAAAAAAAAAAAAAAAAAAAAAAAAACTCCTGTAGTTAGCTCAGCATCTGCCCAAATGGCCACCGAGTTTTGTGCTTAGAAACCTGGACCCTGGTGGTGTAGGCACCTGAGGGAATCTCCTGGTCTGCAGGTTGTGAAGACCATGGGAAAAGCATAGTATGTGGGCTGGATAGCACTGTTCCTCATGGCACAGTCCCTCGTGGCTTCCCTTGGCTAGGGTAGGGAGTTCCCCAACCCCTTGTGCTTCCTGGGTGAGGCAACAACCCACCCTGCTTCTGGTCACCTTCTGTAGGCTGCACCCACTGTCTAACCAGTCCCAGTGAGATGAGCCAGGTACCGCAGTTGGAAATGCAGAAATCAAGCACCTTCTGTGTTGATCTCGTTGGGAGCTGCAGACCGGAGCTGTTTCTATTTGGCCATCTTGCCAGCCACCCTTGCTCATTCTTTATTTGATTGTTTGTCTTTTAATCTTTTTTGGTTACACATTTTTTATTTTTGTCTCTTTTTGTTTATGCATGTTTATTTCAAGTGAGATAAAATACCTTTAAATTTATAAATGGAAAACTGATTAAGAAGAGGAACTTCGAAAAAAAAATTAGAAAGTCGATGTGATAAGACTAATCAGCTCAAGATAACTGATTCTTCAATTAGTGTGGACCAGAATGACAGCCATGTAAGAAATAATGTCTCTGTGTCAAGACAAAACAAAACAAAACAAAACAACAGCAACAAGAAAATGGAATAAAATCAACCAACCAATCCACATTCCATTAAAAAAAATGTATCATGCAAAAGTCAAAGATAATTTTCACTTTGTGTATGGGGTTCATTTTTGTAGGTCAATTATTATATAATCAAATAGCCAATTATTTCATGTATTTCACGCAGCAAAATTTTGCAAAATAATTCTGAGGTCATTTGCTCCAAAACTACAATTTCAATTAGAAACAAAACAGAATGCATAATAACAGATTTCACAGCTTCTTTCTTTGTAAACTGAAGAGCTTACTATCATCAAGAATTTCTGTGAAAGATTTAAATAGGGCAATGAAATTTTTTAAAAAATTCAAAGTAAGTCACAGATATAACAAAGGCAGTTATCTTAAACTGATCACTTTGCTACAAATATCTTAAACATGTAAGTGATACAGACAGGAGGCAGGGAAACACTGGGTGAAGAGGGTGGTTCCCTGGCAAAAGCCCCACCCACAAGCCTGGAAACCATGGTTCTAAATGAGAACATTTATCCCTGTTTTCCTGCCCAAGTGTTACATTTTTAGCCTGACCCTCCCCGCATCCTGTGCCCATATAAACCCCAGACCTCAGTTGGCAGAGAGACAAGCAGCTGAACATTGAGTGGAGAATAAGCAATTGAACATCAGAGACTATAGACACACATGACTTAACTTCAGACAGCACAACTTTGGAGAGGTGCCTGGGAGGAGACAGCTGAGCTTCAGGGAAAGATCACTTTCTTCCCACACCATCCCCTTTCCAGCTCCCCTTCAGGTGATAGCCACTTCCACTGATTAATAAAATCCTCCACATTCACCACCTTTCAAACCGTTCATGCAATGTGGTTCTTCTTGGACACTGAACAAGAACTGGGTACCAAGAGTGCAGGGTGTAAAAGGCTGTCACCTTGACTCTCCACTGAACTGGTTAACCTTTAGCCATCTATGGATGGTAACTGCTAAAAGACCATTGTTTGTAACACATGCCCTGTGGGGCTTCAGAAGTCAAGAGCAAGTGCTAGATGATGCTGTGGGCCATATGCGGTTTGTTCCTGCTGGCAGCTAAAGGCACTTGCCTAGGCTCCGGTACCCACTCACCTGCATGCTCATCATCCTGCAAAAGGTTTGAGCTCTGGCAGAGCGAAAGGAGCCACCACCCCCCACCCCCACTGTCACATGTGTCCATGTGAAGAGACCACCAAAAGGCTTCGTGTGAGCAATAAAGCTTTTTAATCACCTGGGTGCAGGTGGGCTGAGTCTGAAAAGAGAGTCAGTGAAGGGATATAGGGGTGGGGCAGTTTTATAGGATTTGTGTAGGTAGTGGAAAATTACAGTCAAAGGGGTTGTTCTCTGGTGGGCAGAGGCGGGGGTCACAAGGTGCTCCGTGGGGAGCTTCTGAGACTCATTGTCTAGGAGAAGGAATTTCACAAGATAATGTCATTAGTTAAGGCAGGAACTGACCATTTTCACTTCTTTTGTGATTCTTCAGTTGCTTCAGGCCATCTGGATGTATACGTGCAGGATTGGGCTCAGAGGCCTGACATTCCTGTCTTCTTATATTAATAAGAAAAATAAAATAGTGAAGAGTTGGGGCAGTGATAATTCTTGGGGGTGGTATGGAGAGATAATGGGTGATGTTTCTCAGGGCTGCTTTAAGCAGGATTAGGGTCAGTGTGGGAACCTAGAGTGGGAGAGATTAAACTGAAGAAAGATTTTGGGGTAAGGGGTGATATTGTGGGGTTGTTAGAAGGAGCATTTGTCATATACAATTGAGACACAGGACTAGCTGGATTTCCTAGGCTGACTAAGAATCCCTAAGCCTAGCTGGGAAGGTGACCTCATCCACCTTTAAACATGGGGCTTGCAACTTAGCTCACACCTGACCAATCAGAGAGCTCACTAAAATGCTAATCAGGCAAAAACAGGAGGCAAAGAAATAGCCAATCATCTATTGCCTGAGAGCACAGCGGGAGGGACAAGGATCGGGATATAAACCCAGGCATTTGAGCTGGCAATGGCAACCCCCTTTGGGTCCCCTCCCTTTGTATGGGAGCTCTGTTTTCACTCTATTTCACTCTATTAAATCTTGCAACTGCACTCTCCTGGTCCGTGTTTGTTAAGGCTCAAGCTGAGCTTTTGCTTGCTGTCCACCACTGCTGTTTGCCACCATCGGAGACCCACTGCTGACTTCCATCCCTCCAGATCCAGCAGAGTGTCCACTGTGCTCCTGATCCACCGAGGCACCCATTGCCACTCCCAATTGGGCTAAAGGCTTGCTATTGTTGCTGCACAGCTAAGTGCTTGGGTTCATCCTAATAGAGCTGAACACTAGTAACTGGGTTTCACGGTTCTCTTCCATGACCCACAGCTTCTAATAGAGCTATAACACTCATCACATGGCCCAAGATTCCATTCCTTGGAATCTGTGAGGCCAAGAACCCCAGGTCAGAGAACGTGAGGCTTGCCACCATCTTGGAAGTGGCCCACTGCCATTTTGGAAGTGGCCCATCACCATCTTGGGAGCTCTGGGAGCAAGGACCCCCCAGTAACATTTTGGTGACCATGAAGGGACCTCCAAAGCAATGAGTAATATTGGACCACTTTTGCTTGCTATTCTGTCCTATGCTTCCTTAGAGTTGGAGGAAAATAGCAGTCACCTTTTGACCAGTTAAAAATGATTAGTGTGGCTGCTGGACTTAAGACTCAGGTGTGAGGCTATCTGGGGAAGGGCTTTCTAGCAACCCTCAACACTTCTGGGTTGGGGACGTTGGTCTGCCTGGAGCCAGCTTCCACTTTCAATTTTCTTGGGGAAGCTGAGGGCTGACTAGAGGCAGAAAGCTGTCATCCCAAACTCCCTGCAGTAGCTGGTTGAGATCATGGTGCAGCCAGAAGTCTCTACTCAACAGTCACCCATGTGTGCACCCCTACCTTTCCTTCTGACCCATACCTCCTGGGGTCTTGACCACGACTTTCTTGAAAGTGTAGCCCCCAAATTCTCCTTACCTCTGAATGTACTTCCTCTGATCCCTTCCTCCGAGGTACTAATGGTTCAGACTTTCATTTCCTCTAGCAAGTTGTGTCTCCAAAAGGATTGAAGGAAGCTCTACGCTGCATCCTTAGGCACCTAGGCTATAACCCAGGGAGTCTTATCCCTGGTGTCCCTCCCGATTTAGGTATACAGCTCTCGACATGGGCAGTTATGTGCGACCTGTTCCCCACCACCCTTGCCAGGGCCCCAAGTTTGTAATGGCTAAGAGAGAGAGATGGAGAGAGAGAGAAAGAAATGGAGAGAGAGAGAGAGAGAGAGAGAGAGATGGAGAGAGAGAGACAGAGAGAGATGGAGAGAGAGATGGAGAGGGAGACAAAGAAGGAGTCAAAGAGAAAAAGAAAGAAAAAGATAGAAATAGTAAAAAAAGAAGTGTGCCCTATTCCTCTAAAAGCCAGAGTAAATTTAAAACCTGTAATTGATAATTGAAGGTCTTGTCCGTGACCCTATAACACTACAATACCACTTTGTTGTCAGTGTAAATAAGGGCATAGCCTGAAAGTGTCTGAGGCCACTGACAACCCGTAGTTTTCCTATCAAAAATCCTTCACCCAGTAACCCATAGATGGGCCAAATGCATTCAGTCAGTAGTGGCAACTGCTTTGCTAAATGTAGAAAAGTAACTTTTAGAGGAAACCTCATTGTGAGCACACCTCACCAGTTCAGAATTATTCTAAGTCAAAAAAGCAAAAACGTAGCTTACTAACTCAAAAATCTTAAAGTATGGGGCTATTCTGTTAGAAAAGGGTGATGTAACTCCAACCACTGATAATTACCTTAACCCAGCAGATTACATGCTGTGCATGGATGTGCTTCCACCTGAACTTTAGGCCATGTGTTTCAATCCCTGTACCTGAACAATGGAACAACTTCAGCCCAGAAATGAACACCACTTCCATTTTAGTAGGACCTCTTGTTTCCAATCTGGAAATAACCCATATCTCAAACCTCACCTGTGTAAAATTTAGCAATACTATAGACAAAACAAACTCCCAAGGCATCAGGTGGGTAACTGCTCCCACACAAATAGTCTGCCTACCTTCAGGAATATTTTTTGTCTGTGGTACCTCAGCCTATCATTGTTTGAATGACTCTTCAGAAAGTATGTGCTTCCTCTCATTCTTAGTGCCCCCTACGACCATCTACACTGAACAAGATTTATACAATTATGTCATACCTAAGCCCTGCAACAAAAGAGTACCCATTCTTCCTCTTGTTATTGGAGCAGGAGTGCTAGGTAGACTAGGTACTGGCATTGGCGGTATCACAACCTCTACTCAGTTCTACTACAAACTATTTCAAGAACTAAATGGTGACATGGAGCAGGTCACCAACTCCCTGGTCACCTAGGAAGATCAACTTAACTCCCTAGCAGCAGTAGTCCTTTAAAATTGAAGAGCTTTAGACTTGCTAACCGCCAAAAGAGGGGGAACCTGTTTATTTTTAGGGGAAGAATGCTGTTAGTATGTTAATCAATCTGGAATCATTACTGAGAAAGTTAAAGAAATTTGAGATCGAATATAATGTAGAGCAGAGGACCTTCAAAACACTGCACCCTGGGGCCTCCTCAGCCAATGGATGCCCTGGACTCTCCCCTTCTTAGGACCTCTAGCAGCTATAATATTTTTACTCCTCTTTGGACCCTGTATCTTTAACTTCCTTGTTAAGTTTGTCTCTTCCAGAATTGAAGCTGTAAAGCTACAAATAGTTCTTCAAATGGAACCCCAGATGCAGTCCATGACTAAAATCTACCGTGGACCCCTGGACCGGCCTGCTAGACTATGCTCTGATGTTAATGACATTGAAGTCACCCCTCCCGAGGAAATCTCAACTGCACAACCCCTACTACACTCCAATTCAGTAGGAAGCAGTTAGAGCAGTTGTCAGCCAACCTCCCCAACAGTACTTGGGTTTTCCTGTTGAGAGGGTGGACTGAGAGACAGGACTAGCTGGATTTCCTAGGCTGACTAAGAATCCCTAAGCCTAGCTGGGAAGGTGACCGCATCCATCTTTAAACATGGGGCTTGCAACTTAGCTCACACCCGACCAATCAGAGAGCTCACTAAAATGCTAATCAGGCAAAAACAGGAGGTAAAGCAATAGCCAATCATCTATTGCCTGAGAGCACAGCGGGAAGGACAAGGATTGGGATATAAACCCAGGCATTCAAGCCAGCAACAGCAACCCCCTTTGGGTCCCCTCCCATTGTATGGGAGCTCTGTTTTCACTCTATTTCACTCTATTAAATCTTGCAACTGCACTCTTCTGGTCCGTGTTTTTTATGGCTCAAGCTGAGCTTTTGTTCGCCATCCACCACTGCTGTTTGCCACCGTCACAGACCCGCTGCTGACTTCCATCCCTTTGGATCCAGCAGAGTGTCCACTGTGCTCCTGATCCAGCGAGGTACCCATTGCCACTCCCGATCAGGCTAAAGGCTTGCCATTGTTCCTGCATGGCTAAGTGCCTGGGTTTGTCCTAATAGAACTGAACACTGGTCACTGGGTTCCATGGTTCTCTTCCATGACCCACGGCTTCTAATAGAGCTATAACACTCACCGCATGGCCCAAGATTCCATTCCTTGGTATCTGTGAGGCCAAGAACCCCAGGTCAGAGAACGTGAGGCTTGCCACCATTTGGGAAGTGGCCCACTGCCATTTTGGTAGCGGCCCACCACCATCTTGGGAGCTCTGGGAGCAAGGATCCCCCAGTAACAAAATGATTGGCGATGTGCTGGATGTAGTTTTGTATGAATTGAGGAACTAAACAGAAGACACAAGGTCTGAATAAGAGATGGAGAAAAGCAGGTATTAAAGGACTAAGAATTGGGAGGACCCAGGACATTCAATTAGAGAGTGCCTAAGGGGGTTCAGCATAATTACTTGCTTGGTTGGTGAGTTTTTGGGCTCTATCCTTGAGTTTTTTGTGTGTGTGTGTTTTTTTTTTATGTTGTCATATACCAGGCCAGATTGATTTAGGTAAAAACAGCACTCTTCATTTAAAAATATACAGAGTCCTCCTTTTTCAGCAGTGAGTAAGTCAAGGCCTATTCCTGTCTTTTTATGTTAATAAGAAAAATAAAACAAAATAGTGGTGAAGTGGTGTCATGAGGGGAACAGGAAGCAAACAGCTGTTCGGTCCTATTTGCCAACTGAATTTTTGGAGAAGGAAAACTAATGTGCATGTGCCTGTCCAATTAGCAGGTAAACACAGGTAGGTGGAGGAGCCACAGAGGAAGAAGAGACCTTTTGTAAGGCAAAGCTGGAAATGTAAAGTGAAAAGATGAGAAGGAGAAAATCTGGCCATGAGGGACAGAAATTGGAAGGCTAGCTGCTTCTTTAGTTACCTTATTAGCATAAGCATAGCCTTGAGTGATGTGATCTGATACCTTCTGATGGCCCTTGCAGTGAATGACCCTAGCTTCCTTGGAAGTAGAGCAGCTTTAAGAAGAGTTTTTATTAAGAGGCATTAATGATGGAGGACCCTTGTGTAGTGAGGAAATTTTCTTCCGCCTGTATAACAGCATGGTGGTGCAGGATATGTAAGGCATATTTAGAGTTAGTATAAATATTGACGCATAGTCCCTTTGCAAGAGTGAGGGCCTGAGTTAAGGCAATGAGTTTGGCTTGCCGAGAGGTAGTGGAGGGGGACAGAGCAGTAGCCTCAAGGATAGATGTGGAAGATACTATAGCATAGCCTGCCTTTGCTGGTGAGTGACAATTAGGCCTGTTGGAACTGCCATCAACAAACCAAGTGTGATGAGGGTGAGGAACAGGAAAGAAGGAAATATGGGAAAATGGAGTGAATGTCAGGTGGATCAAAGAGATACAGTCATGGGGGCCAGGTGTGGTATCAGGAATAATGTGGGAGGCCAGACTGAAGTCTGGGCCAGGAACAATGATAATTGTGGGAGACCCAACGAAGAGTGAGTATTGTCAAAGGAGCCAGGGGGCAGAAAGTATATGTGTCAGGTGTGAGGAAGAAAATAGATTTTGGAAGTTATGAGAACTGTAGAGTGAGTTGAATGTAGTTTGTGATTTTGAGGGCCTCTAAAAGTATTAAAACAGCAGCAGCCACCGCATGCAGACATGAGGGCTAGGCTAAAACAGTAAGGTCAAGTTATTTGGACAGAAAGGCGACAGGGTGCAGTCTTGGCTGTTGTGTAAGAATTCTAACCACACAGCCCTGTACTCTGGCTGTGTATAATGAAAAGGGTTGGGATGAGTTAGGGAGAGCAGCATTTAGGGCTGTTTTTTTAAGGAATGGAAAGGGGAGTGGAGAAAGGATTTAGGATTTATGGGGTCAGCTAGGTTTCCTTTTGTGAGTTTATATAATGGTTTAGTCAGGATGGCAAAAACAGGTATTTAAAGGCAAAAGTACCCAACCATGCCTAGGAAGTAAAGGAGTTGTTGCTTTGTAGAAGGAGTTGGGGCTTGGGAGATTATCCGGACATGATCAGCTGGGAGAACACGTGTGTTTTTATGAAGAATTATGCCAAGATACATAATCAATGAGGAAGAAATTTGGGCTTTGGAGGAGGATACAAGATATCCTTTTAAGAATAGATGTTGGAGGAGTAGGAGGGTGTCCTGTTGGGAAGATTTGTAGGAGGGGCTATAAAGTAGAAGGTCGTCAAAATATTTAATAAAGTGAGAAGTAGTTGGATGTAAAGAGAGTAAATCATGAGAAAGTACTTGACTGAAGTAATGGGGGCTGTCCCTGAAGCCTTGTGGCAGTACAGCCCAGGTAAGTTGCTGAGACTGATGGGTGTCAGGGTCAGTCCAAGTGAAAGTGAAGAGAGGCTGGGATGAAGGTGTAAAGGAATAGTAAAGAAAGCGTCTTTGAGATCCAGAACAGAATAATGGCTTGTGGAGGGAGGAATTGAGGATAGGAGAGTATATGGGTTTGGCACCACAGAGTGGATAGGCAAGACAATTTTGTTGATAAGGTGCAGATCCTGAACTAACCTGTAGGACTTGTCCAGTTTTTGGACAGGTAAAATGGGGGAATTGTAAGGAGAGTTTATAGGCTTTAGAAGCCCATGCTGTAGCAGGTGAGTGATAACAGGCTTTAACCTTTTTAAAGCCTGCTGTGGGATGGGATATTGGCATTGAGTGGGGTAAGAGTGATCAGGTTTTAATGGGATGATAAGGGATGCATGATCAGTCGCCAAGGTAGGAGTAAAGGTAGCTTATACTTGTGGATTAATGTACGAGACACAAGGGGAGAATGTGAAGGAGGCTTTGAACTGGGGAAAAGTGTGTCAATGAGGTGTGGTTGTAGCTCAGGAATATTCAGGGAAGCAGATAATTTAGTTAAAATGTCTCGACCTAATAAGGATGCTAGGCAGGTTGGGATAACTAAAAAGGAGTGCATAAAAGAATGTTGTCCAAGTTCATACCAGAGTTGGGAAGTTTTAAGAGATTTAGAAGCCTGGACATCAATACTCACAACAGTTATGGAGGCAAGGGAAACAGGCCCTTGAAAGAAGGTAATGTGGAGTGGGCAGCCTCTGTATTGATTAAGAAGGGGACAGACTTACCTTCCCCTTTAAGAGTTACCTTCCACTTTAAGAGTTACCCAAAGTATCTATGATGGTCCAGGAGGCTTTTGAGGTGATCGGGCAGTGTCAGTCTTCAGCTGCTAAGCCGAGAAGATCTGGGAAGGAGTCAGTCAGAGGGCCTTGAGCCAGAGTTCCTGGGGTTTTGGGAGTGGCTGCCAGGCGAGTTGGACAGTCTGATTTCCAGTGGGGTCCTGCACAGCTGGGACATGGCTTAGGAGGAATCCTAGGCTGCAGGCATTCCTTGGCCCAGTGGCCAGATTTCCAGCACTTGAAGCAAGATCCTGGGGGAGGAGTTCCTGGAGGAATGCCTGGCTACTCTGGTTCAAGTGTTTTGAAGTTCTTGTGTGCTGGAGATGTGGCTGGGGTTTCTCTCACAGTGGAGGCAAGTAATTGCAACTCTTCTCTATTATTGTACACCTTGAAGGTGAGGTTAATTAAGTCCTGTTGTGGGGTTTGAGGACTGGAATCTAATTTTTGGAGCTTTTTGTAATGTCGGGAGCAGATTGGGCAATAAAATGTATATTGAGAATAAGACCAGCCTTCTGGTCCCTCTGGGTCTAGGGTGGTAAAGGGTTGTTGCCAAATGGGCCATGAACTGGGCTTGGTTTTTATATTTGATGAAGAAGAAGAGCCTAAATGATTTGGGAGGGGTCAGATAAAAAAAAAAGGAGCATTAACCTTGACTATGCCTTCAGCTCCAGCCACCTCTTTAAGAGGAAATTGTTGGGCAGGTTGGGGAGGGCTAGTAGCGGAACGAAACTGTAAGCCGAACTGGGTGTGAGGAGGGGAGGTGATAAAAGGATTATACGGTGAGGGAACAGAAGCTGAGAAAGAATTGGGACCTGGCTCAGCCTGGTGAGGAGCAGCCTGGGGAAGAGGGGAGAGGTCAGAAGGGTCCATAAAAGGAGGATTCAAAGGACTCAGAGCTTGGGGTGGAGACTGAAGGAACCAACAGGAGAGAAAGAAGAAAAATTGGAGATGAGTTGCATTGGGAGCAGAGACTAGGGAGGGACTGATGTAAAAAAGAATGCCTAGATGTCAGCCACCTCAAACCATTTGCCCATTTTATGACAAGAATGATCTATATCTTATAGCATGGAGAAATCAAAAGTGCCATTCTCTGGCTATTTGGAACCATTGTCGAGTTTTTATTGGGGTCAAGCGGGATTGCAGAAGAAAATAAGGCATTTAGGTTTTAGGTCAGGTGCAAGTTGAAGAGGTTTTAACACAGGCTAAGGGAGAAGAAGGAGGAATGGAGGGTGGAAGTTTGCCCATAGTGAAGGAGGCAAGCCCAAAGAAAAGAGAGGGTAGAGGCACGGGAAAGAGGGGAGGTTGGTACTTGCCACCGGGGAGGTGGTGCTTGCCACCAAGGTGAAGCATCAAGGCAGGCACCCCTGCGGTGATCAGACACCTCTGAAATGTGGGTGAATAATCAGGCAGGCATCCCTGTAGTGATTAAACTTCAAGGGAAGACTGTCTTCCCAAGTCCATCACCAGCGCCAGAATTTTGGTTTCACGGATAAAATGCATCTCCTCTGTCTCTACCAGAAAAGGAAAGGAACTGAAATTAAGGGAAGGGAGAGACTGGATGGTGGTGCCAAAAGAGAAAGGAGAAAGAGGTTGAGGGACAGTGAGAGAGGTTGGAGAAGAGAGTAAAAAGAGGCCGCTTACCTGATTTAAAATTGGTGAGATGTTCGTTGGGCTGGTTTGTCTGAGGACCCGAGGTCGTAGGTGGATCTTTCTCATGGAGCAAAGAGCGGGAGGACAGGGGATTGATCTCCCAAGGCAGGTCCCCCGATCTGAGTCATGGCACCAAATGTCAGGTACGTCCCTGTGAAGAGACCACCAACAGGCTTTGTGTGAGCAATAAAGCTTTTTAATAACCTGGGTGCAGGTGGGCTGAGTCCAAAAAGAGTGTCAGCAAAGGGAGATGGGGTGGCGCAGTTTTATAGGATTTGTGTAGGTAATGGAAAATTACAGTCAAAGGGGTTGTTCTCTGGCAGGCAGGGGCAGGGGTCACAAGGTGCTCAGTGGGAAGCTTCTGAGACACATTGTCCAGAAGAAGAAATTTCACAAGATAATGCCATCAGTTAAGGCAGGAACCAGCCGTTTTCACTTCTTTTGTGATTCTTCAGTTGCTTCAGGTCATCTGGATGTATACGTGCAGGTTTGGGCTTGCAGGACTGACACCCACCAGTTGCAAATTCCATAGGGGAACAGGGAACCCTCCCATCTCATAAACTACTATGAAATTGTAATTAGTACCATTGCAAATACATAGGATAACACAGTCGAATGCAAGAACAAATACACATCCATGTATTTTATGCATTGAAGAATAAGATTATTTGAAATTTTAATGTTTGGAAGCTGTATGCTTTAAAATTTTCATGGTATAGAATTTTCATGAAAACAACTGTGAAGAAAAATAATTCTTTATGTAACATTTGAAACACATACAAATGAAAGGTAAAATTCTTAGTATTTAAATAAGTTGGCAATCATCTGTACTGATGGTACGATAAATGATGACGAGGAGAACAACAAATATTTTGAGTCATGGAAAACTTGACTGTGGGCCAGGTGTGGTGGCTCATGTCTGTAACCCCAGCACTTTGTGAGGCTGAGGCAATTGGATCACTTGAGTCCAGGAGTTTGAGACCAGCCTGGGCAACATGGTGAAATCCCATCTCTACTAAAAATACAAAAAATTAGTCGGGCATGGTGGCTCACATCTATAATCCCAGACACTACTACTCAGGTGGCTGAGGCACAAAAATTGCTTGGACCTGGGAGGCAGTGGTGGCAGTGAGCCAAGATCATGCCACTGCACTCCAGCCTGGGCAACTAAGGACTCTGTCTCAAAAAAAAAAAAAAAAAAAAGGAAATAAAAGAAACTTGACCGTAAGCTCCACCTCTGTAACTGGCAGTACAAGGAAATCACAGACTCACTCACAAGAGAAACTGACTAAAACTATGAAAAATACAATCAATTAAGGTCTCTGGAATGGTCTTATGGGAATATAGCAAATGAAGTAATATTTATTCAAAAATATCAACTAAAACTGAGAAATAGCAAGCCTGTGGCATTTGAATCACAACCCACTCCTTCCTTCACCTCTTTAAGAGCAATGGGAGAGAAACTCCCCTCCAGGTGGATGCAGCCAAGAACATAAGGCCCTGTGGAGGGTTACAGCCTATTCCTAAAGAAAGGACAGAGCATCAGTATTTCTCTTCCCAATCCCAAGCTACTTACTGTAGAGGTTAGTTCCTGGATAGTGCCACTAAAAGATGTAGGCTTTCTTTTTTTCCCAGCCGTCATTCATATAATGCAGGCTGTAATTTGGGCACATGTGTGAAGAATAATGAGACCTGATTTGTCTCTCCTCAGCTTGTTTTTATGGTGGAGGTTTCATGCTGGGAGAAGTAAGCTGAAAAAACAGAGGACACAACTACTCTCCAATATTTAGTGCCCACTTCCTAAAGTAGGGTTGTCACTCAGAGCAATGTGCCATTTTCCTTGCTCCCAGCTCCAGATTTGTGAGCCAGACACTTTCACATAGGGGGAAGGCAGACAAAGAGCTCCAGCTGTTCCAAAGGAACGGACATTATTTGCAACAGAGTGTGAGAAAATTCAAGCCTAAGGATGCTCTCAAAAACAGTGGATTTTGTGGGAAAAAGCATTAAGATGAGACTGTTAGTTCATCAGAGATATGAGCTAAACCATGGACCAGAAAGTTTACCAAAGAAAACCAGGGCATTATGCAGCTAGAAAAAGCCTTCTTTAAATTATAAGAAACCTCAAACACTGACCTCAAAAACAATCCTTGTAAAGGAGGCCAAAATTAACTGGATCAAGATCCAACAATATGTTATCCATAGGAGACACACTTTAGATTCAAAAATACAAATAAATTGAAAGTAAAAGTATGGAAACAGATTTATCATGCAAACTGCAATGATAAAAAGTTGGAGTGGCTACTCTAATGTTGAAAAATAGGGTTGACCTTAGCTTGTCTATTTGTGTTTTTTCAGACTTTTTAATATAATTATTTAAGGCTATGAACTTTCCTCTTAGCACTGTCTTTACTGTATCCCAGAGGTTCTGATAGGTTGTGTCACTATTATCATTCAGTTCAAAGAGTTTTCTAATTTCCATCTTGATTTCATTGTTGACCTAATGATCATTCAGGAGCAGGTTATTTAATTTTCCATGTATTTGCATGGTTGATTTTCAGATTTATTCCACTGTGATCAGAGAAAATACTTGATATAATTTCAATTTTCTTAAATTTATTGAGACTTGTTTTGTGACCTATGATATGGTCTATCTTGGAGAATGTTACATGCGCTGGTGAATAGAATTTATATTCTGTGGTTGTTGGGTAGAATGTTCTGTAAATATCTGTTAAGTCCATTTGTTCTAGGGTACAGTTTAAATCTATTGTTTCTTTGTTGACTTTCTGTCTTGATGACCTGTCGAGTGCTGTCAGTGGAGTAGTGAAGTCCCCTACTATTATTGGGTTGCTGTCTATCTCATTTCTTAGGTCTAGTAATAAATGTTGTATAAATTTGGGAGCTCCAGTGTTAGGTATATACATATTTAGGATTGTGATACTTTCCTGTTGGTCAAGGCCTTTTATCACTATACAATGTCTCTCTTTGTCTTTTTTTAAACTGCCATTACTTTAAAGTTTGTGTTGTCTGATATAAGAATAACAGCTCCTGCTTGCTTTTGGTGTCCATTTGCATGGAATATCTTTTTTTCACCTCTTTACCTTAAGTTTATATGAGCCCTTATGAATTAGGTGAGTCTTTTGAAGGCAGCAGATACTTGGTTAGTGAAGTCTTATTTATTCTGCTATTCTGTATCTTTTAAGTGGAGTATTTAGGCCATTTACATTCAACATTAGTACTGAGATGTGAGGTACTGCACTACTCATCATGCTATTTGTTGTCTGAATACCTTGCATTTTTTAAAAAATTTATTGTGTTGTTTGTTTTATAGGTCTTATGAGATTTATGCTTTAAAGGGCTTCCATTTCAATGTATTTTGAGGATTTGCTTCAAGATTTAGAGCTCCATTTAACAGTTCTTACAGTGCTGGCTTGGTAGTGGCACATTGTCTCAGCATATGTTTGTCTGAAAAAGACTGTATCTTTCCTTCATTTATGAAGCTTAGTTTTGCTGGATACAAAATTATTGGCTGATAATTGTTTTGTTTAACAAGGTTGAAGATAGGGTCCCAATCCCTCCTAGCTTATAGGATTTCTGCTGAGAAATCTGCTATTAATCTCAGGTTTTCCATTATAGGTTACCTCATGCTTTTGCTTCACAGTTCTTAATATTCTTTCCTTCTTCAGTTTAAGTAATCTGATGACTATGTGCCTAGATGATGATCTTTTTGCAACAAATTACTTAGGAGTTCTTTGAGCTTCTTGTATTTGGATGTCTAGATCTCTAGCAAGAGGAGGGAAGTTTTTAAAAATTATTCCCCGAAATATGTATTCCAAACTTTTAGATTTCTCATTTTCCTCAGGAATGCCAATTATTCTTAGGTTTGGCCATTTACCATACTCCAAATATCTTGGAGGCTTTGTAGATTTTTATATATATATATATATATATATATATATATATATATTTTTTTTTTTTTTTTTTTTTTTTTGAGATGGAGTCTTGCTCTTTCACCCAGGCCAGACTGCAGCGGTGCTATCTCGGCTCCCTGCAAGCTCCACCTGCCAGGTTCAGGCCATTCTCCTGCCTCAGTCTCCCAAGTAGCTGGGACAACAGGCATCTGCCACTGCGCCCAACTAATTTTTTGTATTTTTAGTAGAGATGGGGTTTCACCATGTTAGCCAAGATGGTCTTGATCTCCTGACCTCGTGATCCGCCCGCTTCAGCCTCCCAAAGTGCTGGGATTATAGGCATGAGCCACCGCGCCTGGCCTATATTCTTTTTTCTTTGTCTTTGTCGGATTGGGTTATTTCAAAAGCCTTGTCTTCAAGCTCTGAAGTTCTTTCTTCAGCTTGTTCAATTCTATTGCTGAGACTTTCCAGTGCATTTTGCATTTCTATAAGTGTATTATTGATTTCCCCAAGTTGTAATTGCTTTTTATTTATACTATTTCACTAAATATTTCTCCCCTCATTTGGACTTCACTTTTCTCAGATGCTGTCTTTATTAGCTTAATAATCAACCTTCTGAATTCATTTTCTGTTGGATCAGGCCTTTCTTCTTGGTTTGGATTCATTGCTGGTGAGCTAGCGTGATTTTTTAAGGGTGTTAAAGGATCTTATTTTGTCATATTACCATAATTGTTTTTCTGGTTCCTTCTCATTTGAGTAGGCTATGTTAGAGGGAAGATCTGGGGCTCAAGTGCTGCTGTTCAGATTCTTTAGTCCCATGGGGGGCTCCCTTGATGTAGTACTCTCCCTTTTTTCCTAGGGGTGTGGCTACCTGAGAGCCAAACTGTAGGTCACACCTCAAGTAACTAGAGAAACAAGAACAAACCCAACTAAAACCCAGAAGAAGAAAAGAAATAACCAAGATCAGAGCAGAATTAAATGAAATGGAAACAACAAAAAGAACAACAAAATACAAAAGATAAATCAAACAAAAAGCCAGTTCTTTGAAAAGATAAATAAAATTGATGATTATTCTTGAGATTAACTGAGAAAAGAAGAGAGAAGATCCAAATAAGCTCAATTAGAAACAAAATGGGAGATATACAACCAACACCACAGAAATGCAAAAGATCATTCAAGGCTACTATGAACACCTTTATGCACATAAACTAGAAAACCTAGAGGAGACAGATAAATTCTAGGAAATATACAACCCTCCT
This sequence comes from Homo sapiens, assembly GCF_000001405.40. Lineage (NCBI taxonomy): Eukaryota > Metazoa > Chordata > Mammalia > Primates > Hominidae > Homo > Homo sapiens. The sequence goes on from NC_000005.10 coordinate 44,124,772, forward strand.
AGCTTAAACCAGGAAGAATTAGAAACCTGGAACAGACCAATAAGTAGCAGTGAGATTGAAATTGTAATTTAAAAATTGCCAAGAAAAAGAGTCCAGAACCCTAGAAAGATTCACAGCTGAATTCTATCAGACATTTAAAGAATTGGTACCAATCCTATTGATAGCTTTCCACAAGATAAAAAAGTATCCTTTTTAAATCGTTTTATGAAGCTAGCATTACCTTAATAACAAAATCAGGAAAGAACATAATAAAAAAAGAAGAGTACAGAAGAATATCCCTCATGAATATAAATGCAAAAATACTTAACAAAATACTAGCTAACTGAATCCAATAGCATATAAAAAAGATAATACACCATGACCAAGTGGGTTTCATACTAGTGGTGCAGGGATAGTTGAACATATGCAAGTCAATAAGTGTGATACACCACCTAAATAGAATTAAAAACAAAAACTACATGATCATCTCAAGAGACACAGAAAAAAGCACTTGACAAAATCCAGCATTGCTTTATGATTGAAACCTTCAGCAAAATCAGACTAGAAGGGAAATACCTTAAGGTAATAAAAACCATCTATGACAAACCCACAGCCAACGTAATACTGAACAGGCAGAAGTTGAAAACATTTCCTCTGATAACTGGAACAAGACAAGGATGCTCACTCTCATTACTTCTATTCAACATAGTACTGAAAGTCCTAGCCAGAGCAATCAGACAAGAGAAAGTAATAAAGGACATCCAAATTGATAAAGAGGAAGTCAAACTGTCACTGCTTGCTGATGATATTATTGTTTACATAGAAAACACTAAAGACTCCTCCAGAAAGCTTCTAGAACTGATAAAAGAATTCATCTAAGTTTCTGGATACAAAATTAATGTACACAAATCCGTAGCTCTTCTATACATCAACAGTGACCAAGCAGAGAATGAAATCAAGAATTCAACCCCATTTGCAATAGCTGCAAAAAAAACGAAATACTTAGGAATATACATAACCAAGGAGATGAAACACCTCTACAAGGAAAACTATAAAACACTCCTGAAAGAAATCATAGATGACACAAACAAATGGAAATATACCCCATGCTCATGAATGGGTAGAATCAATGTTGTGAAAATGACCATACTGCCAAAAAAATCTACAAATTCAATGTAATTCCCATCAAACTACCATCATCCTTCTCCACAGAACTGGAAACAACAATCCCAAAATTAACACGGAACCAAAAAGGAGCCTGCATAGCCAAAGCAGGACTAAGCAAAAAGAACAAATCTGGAGGCATTATGTTACTTGATTTCAAACTATACTATAAGGCCACAGTCATCAAAACAGCATGGTACTGGGATAAAAATAGGCACATAGACCAATGGAGAATAGAGAACCCAGCAATGAAGCCAAATACTTACAACTAACTGATCTTTGACAAAACAAGCAAAAACATAAAGTGTGGAAAGGACATCCTATTCAACAAATGGTGCTGGGATAATTGACAAGCCACCTGTAGAAGAGTGAAATTGGATTCTCATTTCTCATCTTATACAAAAATCAACTCAAGATGGGTCAAGGACTTAAATGACATACCTAAAACCATGAAAATTCTTGACAATAACATTGGAAAAACCCTTCTTAGGCAAAGATGTCATGACCAACAATCCAAAAGCAAAAGCAACAAAAACAATGATAAGTTGGTGGGACTTAATTAAACTAAAAAGTTTCTCCACAGCAAAAGAAACAATCAGTAGAGTAAACAGACAACTCACAGAGTGTGAGAAAATATCCACAATCTATATATCTAATAAAGGACTAATATCCAAGAATCTACAGGGAACTCAAGCACTTTAGCAGGAAAGAAACAATCCCATCAAAAATTGTGCTAAAGATATGAATAGACAATTCTCAAAAGAAGATATACAAATGGCCAACAAACATATGAAAAAATGCTCAACATCACTAATGATCAGGAAAATGCAAATCAGAACCACAATGCAATACCACCTTATTCCTGCAAGAATGGCCATAATCAAAAAAATCAAAAAATAATAGATATTGACAGGGATGAAGTGAAAGGGGAACACTTTTACACTGCTGGTGGGAATGTAAACTAGTACAGCCACTATGGAAAACAGTATGGAGATTCCATAAAGAACTAAAAGTAGAACTACCATTTGATCCAGGAATCCCAGTACCGGGTATCTACCCAGAGGACAAGAAGTCATTATACAAAAAAAGATGCTTGCACAACCTGTTTATAGCATCAACAACTCACAATTGAAAAAATATGGAACCAGCCCAAATGACCATTAATCAATGAGTGGATAAAGAAATCGTGAGATTTTATATATATATACATATATATATATATATAATGGAATACTATTCAGCCATAAAAAGAAGTAAAATAACATTTGCAGCAGCCTGGATAGAATTGGAGACCATTATTTCAAGTGAAGTAACTCAGGAATGGAAAACCAAACATCGTGTGTTCTCACTCATAAGTGGGAGCTAAGCTATGAGGATGAAAAGGCATAAGAATAATACCATGGACTTTGGGAACTTGGTGGAAAGGGTGGGATGGGGGTAGGATACAAGACTACACACTGGGTACAGTGTATACTGCTCAGGTAATAGGTGCACCAAAATCTCAGAAATCACCACTAAAGAACTTACTCATGTAACCAAACACCACCTGTTCCCCAAAAACCTATGGAAATGAAAAAAGAAAAAGAAAAAGAAAAGAGAACAAACAACAAAAAAATAAAAACAGAGTTATAAAAAATTCTAAAATTATGGTGATGGTTACACAACTCTGAGTATACTAAAAACCACTGAATTGTGCACTTTATAAGTGGATGAATTATATGATTTGCTAATTATATCTTTAAGCTATTTTAAAAGTTCACTGCAATGTGTTCAAGTCACTAGAGTAGATCTCATCAATATAGGCATATTAAGATACTAGTACAATGCCAGAGCTATGGAGTTGCTTTTGAAAGATGAAATAGTCCCATCTCCATTATTTTTTTCTCAAGTAAATACATAATGCAAATAAAAATACACTTGATATATGAAAGCAAATTCAAGGAAAAAAATCCCTGGTTACCTTTTTCCAATGATATTCTACCTCCCCATTCCTCTACACACAATTCTACTTGTGCAGAAGTTCGGAGGCTACTCTTGTTCTCAAATCCTTCAGCTCACTTTTGTTTAATGAACTGACAATTTTACTAAAGTATGACTTTAAATTGGAGTCTTTCAGTTATTATTTAATGATATGAGCAGTGAGTAATTTTTGTTGTTGTTGTTATTTAAGTTAATTAGCTTATCTTGAGGCAAGGTGCTGGTACAAACCCTTCAAATAATACTAAAAAAACACCTTTTTTCCTGATTAAAATTAAATATCTTTAAAATATAATATGGTTACACAACTTTGCTGAAAATTTAAATGAATGAGTTTAATTTGACAATATAAGGTTACCAATTCCTGCATTTATGCTTACAACCTGAGCATCACTGATGATGTGGAAAATGCAAATCCATGCTAAACATAATGATATTGAGTGAATATCTGAAGTAAATGTCCTTATTGAACATTTCATAGTATTATAAAATGTATTTTTTGCCAAATGTTGTCAATCTAAACAGAAAGGCCTTTTCAATCGGAACTTCTAAATTGAACATTAACCAATTGAGAAACACATTCAGTTTTAAAGTATAGTTGGGTGATTTAATTTTATAGTATAAAATTTCTAGTACTCTTCTTTCAAATTTCTGGATTAGTTTGATAGAACTGTATCCTAGAATTTTAATATAAGTGCAAAATCTTTTTACTAGTTGCAAATAATAAAACTACTATTATATCAAAAACATTCAACTGGAACAAAATAAAAATATAATTATCAGCCTGAGACTAAAGAGACATTAACTGTTATCTTGTTTAAAATGCTGATGTACATCAAAACATCACTATTGTTTTACTCTTTATTTTTCAGTTGAAGACACTTAGCGATTGGCCATGGTCACTTGTTAGTGGAAGATTTAGGATGGGAACCTTAGACTCTTGGCTCTGCTTATTCATATTCTGTATTTTACAACTTTGAATTGAGTACCTACCATATGTCAATAATAATTCTCAAAATTGAGGATTCAATGAGAAACAAAACAAATAAATCCTGTCTTCTTGGGTCTTACAGTCTAGAGAGAATAGAGGCATTACTCCAATAACCACAACTGTGATAAGTTCTACAAAGAAGACAGGGAGTAGTAAGAATTAAAGGCATTGGGCAGATAAGGGAAGTCAGAGAAGGCTTTCCGGTGACAGGGATCTCAACTGAATTGAGATCTGAAGGAAGAGCAGGCACACGTAGGGAGGGGAAAGAAGAAAATTTCAAGGAGGAGTACAACAGCAGCTGTGCAGCTGGAAGGAAAAAAGTATACTTGAAAGTATTTTCAAAAGCCCATTTTGCTGGTTCATTCATATACATGACAACCCAGATCACAAGATTATATTAGAAACAAAACCTTTAGTTTCACTGGATTTGAATTTTCTGCCTAAGGTAGCATTTATTGTAAACTATATATTTCCCATGCCATTCTTCCTGCTTGTTATTTTTTAATAAATATCACTTTTTGACTTTAGGGCTTTGGGAATAAAATAAGTAATCATGGAGAGTGATAGCATACTTCTGTTAAATTCTATAGATTGAGAGTCTGAATAGGTTTTCATGAAATTCTCAAATATTTCCATGTGTTATATGGGAGATTATTATACAAAAAGCATCAATACGAAATAGGACATTCAAATTGTGAGAAAATTCTAGAGTTAGGCATTTTTATACTGCAAAACATAGCAGCCCAAATTTTCATTCAACTTTTGATGTTCTTACTAACATCTTATTTTAATATACTTTTTCTTTATCTTTAGCCAGCAAATACAGAGCAGTTAAAACACAGTGTTAAAGACTCAGTGGTGCATATCTGATTGAATATCCAATAAACAAGATACAGTATTTAATTTCCCCTGAAACTGCAGGCCTCATTTCGGCAAAGGCAGATCATGGAGGCAAAATTATATCTGTTTCTAAGAATTGTAGTGTTTGGTTTCTTTTTCCTGAATTTCTCTATTGTTCTGTAGGTTCCTGTCATGTTCTCTCCCAAAAGTTGCTCAAAAAGTCTGGTTGATTCTAAAGAACAAATTGTGAAAGTACCACTCTATGTATTCTACAAATGAGAAACTTATTTTAAAATGAGGGAAACTATAGAAAGTTTATAAATGAATTACTTTATGCAGTCTATGAGTAGAAGAATCTAGACCTTTGACTTTTGACATGTAACATCTAGACTACGGTAGCAATATCCATGACAGTACTGATTCCATAGACATATTTTATTGATCCCACAACAGTCTTTAGAATTTTTTGATGAGTTAACCAACATTTAAATTTTAGGTGCTACTCATAAAAACAAGAATTTAATTTCTCAAAAAAAAAAATTAGACAACTCTGACAATATTGGTTTAAATGGTGTTATTGGCATTCCAATTGATTATTGTGGCAACTGGGCCACAATTTAAACAGGGAGTGAACTCTCTATATTGTAACTATCTCCACCTGACCTTCTTCATTTATTTCTATTACTTGCCAAGCACCTTTAGACAATTGACACATCTGTATTACTCTTGTTTGGTCTTTACTTTTTGTGAAAGAAAGGAGAACTGAATATGTCAAGAACTCTGAAAAGCCTGAGATATGTACTTGTATGATAGCAAGTTAGACTTGCCACAGTTTTATGCACACTGGCAGAAGACACCAGGCTCCTGAGTCAGAGACAAAGAACATTATTAATAGTAGTAGCCAGAGTATCAACATTTTTTTGGTACCAGATTCCTGTAACCAAATTCCTACCTGGTGATGTGTGGAAGGTCAGTGATATCTATACATGTATGGATTGTGTTACAGGGAGGAACCCTGAGTTTAAAAAACCTGAATCTTTAATAATGGGCAGTAAATCTCTCTGTCTATTGCTCCAAAAGGAGGCATTGTCTCTTATTTCCAGACTATAAGCAAAACTGCCTTTTTATTCTGGGGATAGATACTATCATAATCCTTTAAGACTGTTCATTGTACAAACATTCTTGACAAAAAAAAATCTGGAACAAAGTCTGTTGATGCCTGATATGGTTTGGCTGTCTTCCCACCCAAATCTCAATTTGAATTGTAGTTCCCATAATCCCCGCATGTTGTGGGAGAGACCCGGTAGGAGGTAATTGAATAATGGGGGCTGTTACCTCCATGCTGTTCTTGTGATAGTGAGTGAGTTCTCATGAGAGCGGAAGGTTTTACAAGGGTCTTTCCCCACCCATTCACTCTGCCCTTCTCCTTGTTGCTTCCACTTCTTAATGTGAAGAAGGAAATGTCTGCTTCCCCTCCTACCATGATTGTATGTTTCCTGAGGCCTCCCCAGCCATGCCGAACTGTGAGTCAATTAAACCTCTTTCCTTTATAAATTATCCAGTCTCCGGTATGTCTTTATTAGCAGCATGAATATAGACTAATACAGTGCCTATTCTTGCAAGATATATGTACTAGGCCTTCCTTACATTGCTATAAATAAATACCTGAGACTGGGTAATTGATTTAAAAAAAGATGTAATTGGCTCATGGTTCTGCAGGCTGTACAGGAAGCATGATGCTAGCATCTGATCAGCTTCTGAGGAGGCCTCAGCAAGCTGTTACTCATGGCAGAAGGCAAAGTGGGAGCAAGCACTTCACACGATGAAAGCAGGAACAAGAGAGGGCAGGGAGGTGCTACACACTTTTAAGTGACCAAATCTAATGAGAACTCACTCACTATCATGATGACAGTACAAAGGGGATGGTGCTAAACCATTCATGAAAAATCTGTCCCCATGATCAAATCACCTCCCACTAGGCCCTACCACTAACTTTGGGGATTACATTTCAACATATGATTCCAGCGAGACATCCAAACCATATCAATGTGCATAAACACGAGACATCCCTGGAGAATTGTCTCCCAGTGGAAAGTCCTTGGACACTCAATTAGACCCATGGAGAATCTTCTCCTAATAGAAAAGTCCTTGGGAATTATCTATTTCAAATATTGTGTGTTATGTCTACTGAAATCTTTGAGCTTACTCTTGATTAAGTTCAAGTTGTCTGACTCTTGGTCCAGTGACAGTTGAGGACAATATGTTTATTCAACTGTCATGCTCTGTTTCTGTTCCTCCTACTTATCTTCCTCTTTCTCCTCCTTCTATTCTTTTTTCAAAGCCATAAGGTAGACATGCAGTAGGACTGAAATACTACTGTTCTTTTAAAGTATTTTCAGAAGTTAGGCTCACTGTTGCAACATCTTTGGTTGTGTTAGCCAAGTCCAAGATATAAAAGAATATTAGTTTTTCCCTTGTAAGGCACATACACTTTGTGTGATCTGAGATTCATACATTATTAACTTGAAGAAAATGATAACCTTATTTTGATGAATTAAGCATTCTGTGTCTCAAATGATGCCAGAAGTCGGAAGTAAATATACGTAAAAATTTAAAGAAAAAATGCAAAATCATTTATAATTGTGATGCAAATTTGTGGTCTTCCTTAGATTTTTAAGTTACTATGCAGATATTAAGTTATATTTATTTCTCATCTTAACTGCTTTTAAAAGTTGTTATTTTTGAGAGAAATAGTTTTAGATTCTACAGCAGAATATTTTAGAAAAAATACCCTCAAACCTTAGGCTTGGGCTTTGTAATTTTGTGGAAAAAAAATTTGATGATGATGCTCTCTATTTTAAAAATTTAAAATGAGAGATGCCAAATCAGCAAACTGAGAGAAATATATTTATAGCTACTGCTATGTTCTAGCACAAGACCTGACATTTCCTTCAGGTATCACTTAAAATATTTATTTTAGCCTCAAACTATAAAGTGATCATAGCAAGAATGGGGAGGAAGAGATGTAAATATTGATACTTTCTAGTATCATTTGCATATGTGATTGATACTTTAAAGTGTATGCATTCAATATCACATGCAAATGTTACTAATTCACATTCCCACCAACAGTGTTAAAGGTTTCCTTTTCCTTCACGTTTTTCCAACACTTGTTATCTTCTATATTTTAACAAGAGCTTTTTGAGAGGCGTGAGATGATATCTCTCACTGTTATTTTCCTTTGCATTTCTGTAATGATTAGCAATGTTGAGCATTTAAAAAATACACTTGTGTTAAAAAATATAATGTGTTGTTGAATTTGGTTTACTAGTTTTTTTTGTTAATTTTTGCATCTATGTTCATTGAATATATTGGCCTGTCATTTTCTTTTCTTCTAATGTCCTTGTCTGGCTTTGGTCAGATGGTAATGCTGGCCAAAAAAAGTTTGGAAGTATTCTCTACTATTTAATTTTTTAAGAGAGTTTGAGAAGTATTGTTATTAGTTCGTTAAAAGTTTGGTAGAATTCCGAAATGAAGCCATCAGATCCTGAGCTTCTCTTTGATGGGAGATTTTTTATTACAGATCTGATTTTTTTTACTCACAATTGGTCTGTTTAGATTTTCTATTTCTTCATGATTCAGGCTTGGTAGGCTGTATGTTTTAGTAATTTATTCATATATATTCTTGGTTGTTTAATTTGTTGGAGTATAAGTGATCATACTAATTTTTGTGATCCTTTGTATTTTTGTGGTATCAGTTGTAATGTCTCCTCTTTCACTTCTGATTTTATTTATTCGTCTTTTTTTTTAGATTAGCTAAAGGTTTGTTGTTTCTTTATGTTTGAAAAAGCTGATTCAGTTTCACTGATTATTTGTATTGTTTTTCTAGTTTCTAGTTCATTTCTTTTTATTCTGATATTTATTATTTCATTTCTTCTGCTAACTTTGACTTTAATTTGTTCCTTTTCTAGATGTTTAAAGAATAACATTCAGTTGTTTACTTGAAAGCTTTATTTTTTTGATGTGGACATTTATTGCTATAAACTTTCCTCTTAAAACTACTTCTTCTATATCCCATAAGCTTTGATATGTTGTGTTTTTATTTTATTAGTAGTCTCAACAACATTTTAATTTTTCATTTAATTTGTTTATTGACCCATTAGTTGTTCAGGAGCATGTTGTTTAATTTCCATGTACTTTTGAATATTCTGAAATTTCTTCTATTTTTTATTTATAGTTTCATACCATCATAATCAGAAAAGATACATGTTATAATTTCAATCTTCTGAAATTTGCCAAGGCTTTTTTGTTCCCTGAACATGGGGTCTATCCCAGAGAAAGTTCTGTGTATGTTTGAGAATAATTTGTATGTTGTTGCTATTGGTTGCAATGTTCTGCCTGTGTCTATTAGATCCATTTGGTCTAAAGTACTGTTCCAGTCTAATGTTTTCTTATTAAAGTTTTGTCTGGATAATCTGTCCATTGTTCAAAATAGAGTAGTGAAGTTGCCTACTATTATAGTGTTGCAGTCAATCTCTCCCCCAGATCATTTTAAATATGTTTTATATATATATAGGTGCTCCTATGTTGGTGGAATAAATATTTAAAATTGTTACATTCTCTTGATAAATTGACCTCTTTATTGTTAAATAATGTCTAATTTGTATCAAACAATTTTAAAAGCAAAGTTTATTTTGTCCGAAATAAGTGTAGCTACCTCTGTTGTCTTTTGGTTTCCATTTCCATGGAATTTTTCTTTTCAATCTTTCAGTTTCAGTCTACGTGTATCCATAAAATGAGCTGAGTTTCTTGTAGGAAGCATATTGTTGGAAATGTTTTTCTTTACTTCTAATTCTTGTGGATACATAATAGGTGTATATTTTTATGGGGTACATGAGCTATTTTGATACAAACACAAAATGCGTAATAAATACAATGGTATTCATCACCTCAAGAATTTATCCTCTCCTTGTGTAACAAATAATCCAATTATACTCTTTTAGTTATTTAAAAATGTACAATAAATTATTGTTGACTGTAGTCACCCTGATGTGCTATCAAATATTAAATCTTATTTATTCTATTTTTTTATACCTATTAGCCATTCCCACTTTCCTCTACTACCTTTCCCAGCCTCTGGTAACCATCATTCTGCTCTCTATCTTTATGAGTTCAATTGTTTTAATTTTTAGGTTCTACAAATAAGTGAGAACCTGTGCAGTTTGCCTTTCTGTACCTGAAATATTTCACTTAATGCAATGTCTTATCGTTTTATTTATGTCATTGCAAATGACTGTATCTCATTCTTTTTTATGACTAATAGTACTCCAATGTGTATATGTACCACATTTTCTTTATCCATTCATCTCTTGATGAACACTTAGATTGCTTCCAAATCTTGGCTATTGTGCATAGTGCTGCAATAAACATGGGAGTGCATATGTCTGTTACCTATATACTGATTTCCTTTCTTTTGAGTACATATCTAGCAGTGGAATCGCTTAATCACATGGTAGTTTTTTGTTTGTTTAAAAAAATTTATTTCCATAGGGTTTTTGGAGAACAACTGGTATGTGGTTACATGAATAAGTTCTTTAGTGGTAATTTGTGAGAGTCTGATGCATCCATAATCCAAGTAGTATACACTGAACCCAATTTGTAGTCTGTCTTTTATCCCTCACCCCCTTCCCACTCTTTCCCCAGAGATCCCAAAGTCCATTGTATCATTCTTATGCCTTTGCTTCTTCATAGCTTAGCTCCCACTTATGAGTGAGAACAAATGATGTTTAGTTTTATGTTCCTAGTTACTTCACTTAGAATAATGGTCTCCATCCATGTTGCTGCAAATGCCATTAATTTGTTCCTTTTTATGGCTGAGTGGCATTCCATCACATATATATTTCCAACAGATGAATGGATAAAGAAAAAATATATATACCACAATTGAAAAAGTATATATACCACAATTTCTTTTTTTTTTTTTTTAACATCACGTTTTCTTTATTTCCTCATTGGCTGGTGGGCATTTATGCTCATTCCATATTTTTACATTGCAAATTGTGCTGCTATAAACATATGTGTGTAAGTGCCTTTTTCATATAATGACTTTTTTTTCCTCTGGGTAGATACCCAGTAGTGGGATTGTTGGATCAAATGGTAGTTCTTTTTAGTTTAATCTCCATACTGTTTTTCATACTGATTGTATTACTTTATATTCCCACCAACAGTGTAAAAGTATTCCCTTTTCACCATATCCATGCTAACATCTATTATTGTTTGATTTTTAAATTATGGCCATTCTTTTTTTTTAATTATACTTTAAGTTTTAGGGTACATGTGCACAACGTGCAGGTTAGTTACATATGCATACATGTGCCATGTTGGTGTGCTGCACCCATTAACTCATCATTTAACATTAGGTATATCTCCTAATGCTATCCCTTCCCCCTCCCCCCTCCTCCACCCCACAACAGGCCCCGGTGTGTCATGTTCCCCTTCCTGTGTCCATGTGTTCTCATTGATCAATTCCCACCTATGAGTGAGAACATGCGGTGTTTGTTTTTTTGTCCTTGTGATAGTTTGCTGAGAATGATGATTTCCAGCTTCATCCACGTCCCTACAAAGGACATGAACACATTTGTTGATTGATGGGCATTTGGACGAGTTCCACATTTTTGCCAATGTGAATTCTGCTGCTATAAACATGTATGTGCAAGTATCTTTTTTGTATAATGACTTCTTGTCCTCTGGGTAGACACCCAGTAATGAGATTGCTGGATCTAATGGTAGTTCTGCTTTAGTTCTTTAAGGATTCTCCACACTGTTTTTCATTGTGGTTGTACTAGTTTACATTCTTACTAGCAGTGTATTTTTAGTTTTTTTGAGGAACCTCCAAACTGTTCTTCACAGTGACTTTACTAATTTTCATTCCCATCAACAGTGTCTGAGGGTTCCCTTTTCTCCACATCCTCCCCATCATTTATTATTGCCTGACTTTTGGATAAAAGCCATTTTAACTGGGGTGAGGTGGTATCTCATTTTAGTTTTGATTAGCATTATCTGATGATCAGTAGTATTGAGCAACTTTTCATACACCTGTTTGCCATTCATACGTCTTCTTTTGAGAAATGTCTATTTATATCTTTTTTGCATTTCTCTGATGGCCAGTGATGGTGAGCATTTTTTCATGTGTTTTTTGGCTGCATAAATGTCTTCTTTTGAGAAGTGTCTGTTCATGTCCTTCACCCACTTTTTGATGGGGTTGTTTGTTTTTTTCTTGTAAATTTGTTTGAGTTCATTTTAGATTCTAGATATTAGCCCTTTGTCAGATGAGTAGGTTGCGAAAATTTTCTCCCATTTTGTAGGTTGCCTGTTCACTCTGATGGTAGTTTCTTTTGCTGTGCAGAAGCTCTTTAGTTTAATTAGATCCCATTTGTCAATTTTGTCTTTTGTTGCCATTGCTTTTGGTGTTTTAGACATGAAGTCCTTGCCCATGCCTATGTCTTGAATGGTAATGCCTAGGTTTTCTTCTAGGGTTTTTATGGTTTTAGGTTAAACGTTTAAGTCTTTAATCCATCTTGAATTGATTTTTGTATAAGGTGTAAGGAAGGGATCCACTTTCAGCTTTCTACGTATGGCTAGCCAGTTTTCCCAGCACCATTTATTAAATAGGGAATCCTTTCCCCATTGCTTGTTTTTCTCAGGTTTGTCAAAGATCAGATATTTGTAGATATGCGGCATTATTTCTGAGGGCTCTGTTCTGTTCCATTGATCTATATCTCTATTTTGGTACCAATACCATGCTGTTTTGGTTACTGTAGCCTTGTAGTATAGTTTAAAGTCAGGTAGTGTGATGCCTCCAGCTTTGTTCTTTTGGCTCAGGATTGACTTGGCGATGCTGGCTCTTTTTTGGTTCCATATGAACTTTAAAATAGTTTTTTCCAATTCTGTGAAGAAAGGCATTGGTAGCTTGATGGATGGCATTGAATCTGTAAATTACCTTGGGCAGTATGGCCATTTTCACGATATTGATTCTTCCTACCCGTGAGCATGGAATGTTCTTCCATTTGTTTGTATCCTCTTTTATTTCCTTGAGCAGTGGTTTGTAGTTCTCCTTGAAGAGGTCCTTCACATCCCTTGTAAGTTGGATTCCTAGGTATTTTATTCTCTTTGAAGCAATTGTGAATGGGAGTTCACTCATGATTTGGCTCTCTGTCTGTTGTTGGTGTATAAGAATGCTTGTGATTTTTGCACATTGATTTTGTATCCTGAGACTTTGCTGAAGTTGCTTATCAGCTTAAGGAGATTTTGGGCTGAGACAATGGGGTTTTCTAGATACACAATCATGTCATCTGCAAACAGGGACAATTTGACTTCCTCTTTTCCTAATTGAATACCCTTTATTTCCTTCTCCTGCCTAATTGCCCTGGCCAGAACTTCCAATACTAAGTTGAATAGGAGTGGTGAGAGAGGGCATCCCTGTCATGTGCCAGTTTTCAAAGGGAATGGATCTAGAACTAGAAATACCATTTGACCCAGCCATCCCATTACTGGGTATATACCCAAAGGACTATAAATCATGCTGCTGTAAAGACACATGCACACGTATGTTCATTGCGGCATTATTCACAATAGCAAAGACTTGGAACCAACCCAAATGTCCAACAATGATAGACTGGATTAAGAAAATGTGGCACATATACACCATGGAATACTATGCAGCCATAAAAAAGGATGCGTTCCTGTCCTTTGTAGGGACATGGATGAAATTGGAAATCATCATTCTCAGTAAACTATCGCAAGAACAAAAAACCAAACACCGCATGTTCTCACTCGTAGGTGGGAATTGAACAATGAGAACACATGGACACAGGAAGGGGAACATCACACTCTGGGGACTGTTGTGTGTTGGGGGGAGGGGGAGGGATAGCATTGGGAGATATACCTAATGCTAGATGACGAGTTAGTGGGTACAAAGCACCAGCATGGCACATGTATACATATGTAACTAACATGCACATTGTGCACATGTACCCTAAAACTTAAAGTATAATAATAATAAATAAAAAATTAAAAAAGGAAAAAAAAAAGACAAAAACAAAAAACTTAAACTAAAAAAAAAAAGATCTTTTGCCCATTTTAAAAGATTATTAGATTTTTTTTCTATTGAGTTGTTTAAGCTGCTTGCATATTCTGATTATTAATCCTTTGTCAAATGGGTAGTTTGCAAATATTTTCTTCCATTCTGTGGGTTGTGTCGTAACTTTGTTAATTGTTTTCTTTGCTATGCAGAACCTTTTAACTTGATGTCATCCCATTTTATTTATTTTTGCTATCATTGCCTGTGCTTGTGGGGTATTACTCAAGAAATCTTTTCCACGAACAATGTTCCAGAAAGTTTCCAGAATGTTTTCTTGTAGTAGTTTCACAGGTTGAGGTCTCAGATTGAAGCCTTTAATCTATTTTGATTTTTGTATATGATAAGAGATAGGGGCCTAGTTTCATTCTTCTGCATATGTATATCCAGGTTTCCCGGTACCATTTGTTGAATAGACTGTCCTTACCCCAAAATGTGTTCTTGGCATCTTTGTCCAAAATGAGTTCACTGTAGATAAATGGGTTTATTTCTGGGTTCTATACTCTGTTCTATTTGCCTGTCTGTTTTTATACCAGTACTGTGCTGTTTTGGTTACTATAGCACTGTAGTATAATTTGAAATCAGGTAATGTGATTCCTCCTGTTTTGTTCTTTTGGTCCAGATGACTTTGGCTATTCTGGTTCTTTTGTAGTTTCAAATAAATTTTAGGATTATTGTTTATATTTCTGTGAAGAATTTCAATGGCATTTTGGTAGTTTTTCATTGAATCTGTAGATTGCTTTGATAGTATTCTACCATTGCTTGCTAGATATTCCAGCAATAGTGATTCTTTCAACCCATAAACATGGAATTTTTTTCCATTTTTTTGTTTCCTTTTTAATTTATTGCATCAGTGTTTTATAATTTTCATTGTAGAGATCTCTCACTTCTTCATTTAAGTTTATTTTTAGGTAGTATATTTTATTTGTAGCTACCGTAAACTAGATTACTTTCTTGATTTATATTTCAGATTGTTTATTTTTGACATACAGAAACACTGCTAATTTTTGTATGTTGACTTTGTATCCTGAAAATTTACTGAATTTATCAGTTTTAACAGTTTTTTGATGGAGTCTTTGTGTTTTTTCCAAATATAAGATAATATCATTTGCAAAGAATGATAATTTGACTTCTTTCCAATTTCGATGGCCTTTATTTCTTTCTCTTATCTGATTGCTCTAGATAGGACTTCTAGTACTCTACTAAATAACAGTATTGAAAGTGTGTGTCTTTGTCTTGTTCCAGATCTTATGGGAAATGGTCTCATTTTTTACCCATTTAGTATGACACTAGCTGTGCATCTGAAGTATATGTTCTTCTCTGCCCTTTTGAGTTATTTTTTTCTTCTGTCATGAAGGGATGTTGATTTTCATCAAATGCTTCTTCAGTGTCAATTGAAATGATTATGGTTTTCTAACTTCATTTAGTTGATATATTGTATAACATTGATTGATTTGTGTATGTTGAACCATCCTTACATCCCTGGGATAAATCCCTCTTCATGATGAATGATCTTTTTAATGTATTGTTGAATTTGGTTTGCTCGTATTTTGTTGAACATTTTTGCATCAATATTCATCAAGAATATTGGCCTGTAGTTTTCTGTTTTTATGTATCCTGGTGTGGTTTTGGTATCAGGATAATAATGGCTTTGTAGGATGAGTTTGCAAGTATTCTCTTCTCCTTTATTTTTTGGAATACTTTGAGTAGAATTGGTATTCCTTTTTCTTTAAATGTTTTGTAAAATTTAGCAGTGAAGCCATCAGGTCCTGGATTTTTTATGATGAAAGACTTTATATTATGTCTTTGATCTCACTACTCGTTTTTGGTCGGTATAGGCTTTCAATTTCTTCAGGGTTCAATCTTGGCAGATTTCATTTTCCTAGGAATTTATCCATTTCTTCTAGGTTTTCCAATTCATTGAAATGTAGTTGCTCATAGTAGCTTGTAATAATCCTTTGAATTTCCATGGTATTAGTTTTAATGTCTCCTCTTTTATCTCTGATTTTATTTATTTGGATCTTTTCTCCTTTTTCTTAGATTAGCTAAAGGTTTCGTTTTGAAGTTACCATGAGGCTTGCAAATAGTATCTTATAACTCATTATTTTTAAACTGATGACAACTGAACGCTGATTCCATAAACAAAGAAAAAGGCAAAGAGAAAACTCTACACCTTACCCTCATGCTCCCTACATTTTAACTTTTCATTGTTTCTATTTATCTTATTATATTGTCAATGTTTCAAAAAATTACAGTTATTATTTCTGATCGGTTTATCTTTTAGTCTTTCTACTCAAGATATGAATATTCTACACAAAATTATAGTTTTATATTATTTTGTGTTTTTTTCTATGCACTACTATTACTCATAATTTTTGTACCTTAGAAGATTTGTGTCTTTAGAAGATTTCTTATTGCTCATTAACCATTAACCTCCTTTTCTGTCTGATTGAAGAACTCCCTTCTAGCATTTCTTTTAGGTCAGGTCTGGTGTTGATGAAATCCCTCAACTTTAGTTGTCTGGGAAAGTCTTTATTTCTCCTTCATGTTAGAAGGATATTTTCAGTGAATATCCTCTTCTAGGATGAAACTTTTTGTTTCTTAAAAACTTCAAATGTTGGTCAGGCGTGGTGGCTCACGCCTGTAATCCCAGCACTTTGGGAGGCCGAGGAAGGTGGATCACAAGGTCAGAAGATCGAGACCATCCTGGCTAACAAGGTGAAACCCCGTCTCTACAAAAAGCAATATAAAAAATTAGTCAGGCTTGGTGGCGGGTGCTTGTGGTCCCAGCTACTCTGGAGGCTGAGGCAAGAGAATGGCGTGAACCCATTCTCGGGTTTGCAGTGAGCCGAGATTGCACCGCCACACTCCAGCCTGGGTGACAGAGCAAAACTCTGTATCAAAAACAAACAAACAAAAAAACAAAAAACTGTGAATGTCATGACACTCTCTCAGTCTGTAGAGTTTCCATTAAGACGCTAGTTTACAGATGTATTTGAGCTTCTTTACATGCTACTTGCTTCCTGTTTCTTGCTACTTTTATAATTCCTTATCCTTGACATTTGGGAATTTGATTATTAAATGTCTTTAGGCAGTCTTCTTTGGATGAAGGCTTCTTGATGTTCTATAACCTTCTTGTACTTGAATATTTATATCTTTCTCTAGGTTTGGGAAGTTCTCTGTTATTGTCCATTTGAATAAACTTTCTACCTAATCTCTCTCTCTCTCTCTGTACCTCCTCTTTAAGGCCAATAACTCTTAGATTTGCCCTTTTGAAATAATTTAAAAGATCAAGCAGAAATTCTGGAACTCAAAAATGCAATTGACATACTGAAAAATACATAAGAGTCTCATGACAGCAGAATTGATGAGGAAGAAGAAAGAATTCGTGAGCTATTTCTAGATATTGTAGGTGTGCTTTACTCTTTTTTGTTCTTTTTTTGTCTCCTCTGACTGTGTATTTTAAAATAACCTATCTTCGAGCTCACTAATTCTTTCTTCTTCCTCATCAATTCTGTTGTCATGAGACTCTTATGTATTCTTCAGTATGTCAGTTGCATTTTTGAGTTCCAGAATTTCTGCTTGATCCTTTTAATTATTTCAATCTCTTTGTCAAATTTATCTGATAGTGTTTTTAATTCATTCTCTGCAATATCTTGAATATCTTTGGCTTTCCTCAAAACAGCTATTTTGAATTTTCTGTCTGAAAGGTCACATATCTCTTTCTCTCCAGTATTGGCAACTGGTGCCTTATAGCTAGTACAACTGGGAATGTTCTGGGTCACGTCTGAAACCAGCACAGCTCTGAGTCTCACCCAAGGCCCACGGTAAGTATTGCCCAGCTACTAGTGCCGGACCAAGTGCTCTTTAGTCAGCAGATGATGAATCCTGCCAGAACCAGGTCCTTCATTTCAAAGCATGGCCCAGAGTATGTCTAGGTACGTCATTCTGGATCTGGGGTCTGGTCTGCCTGTTGCCCTATTCTATTGTGGTTGAACTGGTATTCAAATAGCCAGACGAAATCCTCTTTACTCTCCCCTTTACTCTTCTCAAGTGGAAGGAAGGAGACTCTCCCAGAGCTGTGAGCTGTGCTGTCTGGGGTTGGGGGAGGGGTGATGCAAGCACTCCCTTGGCCTCCCTGGCTGGTGTCTCATTAGGTCACATACACCCCAAGTCCACTGGCTCTGAGCCCTGCACAACATAAGGACTTGCCAGAAATGGCTGTCCTCATGGCCTAGACTGCTTTTCAAGTTTATTTAGAACCCCAGAGCACTTTAGCCAGCTGTGGTGGGGCTTGCTAGAACTCAGATTCTGACCACTGTGATAAGACAATTCCACTGCTGGGGAGTGGGAGGAAGAGTGGTGTTGGTGATTCGAGACTGTCTTTCCTACCCTCTTCAGTGCCTCTTTTTTAAATATGATGTTAGAATCAGGTACTCTAATCACTTACTTGATTTTTTGTTCTTATGAAGGTGCTTTTTGTGTAGGTAGTTTGGTTACCATGAGATTTACATAAAACATAATTATAACAGCATATTTTAAGCTAATAACTTAATATTAGTTGCATTGAGCAACTCCACTTTTTTACTCTATTCCAACATTTTATAGTTTTGATATCATAATTTACATTATTTTGTAAAGTGTATTTCTTGACAATTTAATTTAGCTATAGTTGTTTTTAATAGTTTTGGCTTTTGACCCTCATACTAGATATAAAATTGCTTGTCATAAACATTACAAACCTAAAGTATTCTGAATATGGCTCTGTTTTACTTATTCCATTGAGCTTTGTACTTTCATATGTGGTCTTTTGTTTCAGCTTAAAGAACCCTTTTATCAAAAAGGGTCTCCTGATCAAAAAGGTGGGTCTCCTGATAATAAACTTTCTTAGCTTTTGTTTGTCTGGAAAATTTTTATTTCTCACTTTTGAAAGATATATTTGTTGGGTTAAATATTATTGGATGGCAGTATTTTACCTTCAGCACTTTAAATATATCATCTCTTTTTGTCTGTAAGGTTTCTGCTGAGACATTCGTTGATAGTCAAATTGACACTCCTTTGTATGTGATGTGTTTCTTATATCTTGCTGATCTGAGAATTTTTTGTCTTTGATTTTTGGTAGTTTTATTATTATGTGTTATCGTGAACTCCTCTGTGAGTTGAATTTAATTAGAGTATTCTACACTTCCTTTACCTGTATTTTATCCTCTATCCCCAGATAGGAAAACCTTTTCAGACATTGTTTCTTTAAATATGCTTTCTGGCCCTTTTTCTCTTTCTTCATCTTCTTCTATAGGTCTTAATGTGCAAAGGTGGTCCCTTGATGGTGTCCCAAAATTCTTGCAGGCTTTCTTCATTCCTTTTCATTCTTTTGTCTTTTCATTCCTCTGATTGGATAATTTTAAATGTCTGTCTTCCAGTTTACTAATCATTTCTTCTGCTTGATTGAGTCTGCTATTGAAGCTTTCTATCATATTTTTAAGCTCAGTCATTATATTTTTCATCCCTAGGGTATCTATTTTGTTCTTCTTCATATTATTATTGTCAGATTTCTCACTTTGTTCATGTATTAATTCCCAAATTTCATTTGATTTTCTATCTATATAGTCTAGTAGTTCACTGAACTTCTTTAAGAGAAGTATTCTAAATTCTTTGTCAGTCATTTTATAAATCTTGATTTTTAAGGTTTATTACTGGAACTTCATTAGTGTCTTTTAGAAGTGTCATTATTCCTTGGTTATTAACAATTCTTGTGTTATTACAGCTTTGCCTGTGCATTTGAGAAGACAGCCCTGTCTTCTTGTCTTTACAGGTATTCTTTGGCAGGGTAGACCTTCATTATTTAGTCTAGCCTGTGATTCTGGAAGAGCTAGCCAGTGACATCCCCTTGGAGGCAGAGCTTGTTGTAGGTTCTCTAGTTGGCTGGATCACTGCCTTTGTTCCAATGTTGAGTGGGGCTGCTGACTGTGCTCCACTATCTAGAGAGACCAGTGGTTGAGTTCTGCTATTAGGCAGAACTATTGGCTGGGTATTGTGATTGCTTCTGGTAAGACTGGTCACAGGATGTGTTCCTTGGCTGAACAATTCTGCTATTTGGGGTTTTCCGTTGGGTAGGGTTGCTCACTGGGCTCCAGGATCACTCATATTAAGCTGAGTTACTGCTAATAAAAGGGGGGATCAGAAGCTATGCTTCTTAGAAACAAATGATTAAGGATTGCCTTTCTGCCAGAGTAGAGCCATGGGGTGAGCTTTTGGCTGAGTTGAGCAGCTGTTTGACCTTCTGGGCGAAGCAGGTCTAGCTTTTTTGTTTCTCTTAAATGGATGAAAGCAAGAGTACTCCTGCTTGGGTGGAATCACTGGTGTCGGTTCTGAGGATGGGACATAGAGACCAGCTCTCTAGGGATTCAAGCTGTGTTGAACTTTTCATTATGCTTCTGAAGGTGGCTGACTCAGCTTTGTGGGTGAACTATAAAGTGCCTGCTATCTTTGATTGGATGTCACAGCTGGCATGAAGACAGAGTTGTCAAGATTTCCATGCTGGCCATTATGACCTCTGCCTCCTTTCTTTGTTTCTAACTGGCCTTGAGTGGTCTAACTGTGCCATTACCCTCCAGTATTGCATATGAGGTGAGACCAGAGTGGGAATCCTGGGAAGCATCTCAGGATGCCAAGGAAGCTGGATGACTGCCTCCAGTTTCCTTTTTCCTTGTTGATTCTGGGCCTAGATAAATCTTCATATAACACTATACTTACTTGGGGGATGGGAAGTGGTGGTATTACTGTAGTCAGACTTTCATTAAGTTCTTCAGACCACATAGATATCTGAAGCTTGTTTCCAAGTATTTGGATTTTCAAAAAGTTGTTCTGGTCTGTGGATAGTAGCTAGTTGAACTTCCTGGAGGAGGGAATGGGTGTGGAACCTGACACTTCCTACTTCATTATCTTGCTGACATACTGTATTTAATTTTCTTAATCTCTAATCCATGAGAGTTTCTCAGTCTTCCTTGTATTTCATGACCTTCACTCTTTTAAAGAGAACTGATCACTTATATTACAGAGTATCTCTAAGTTTAGGCCTGTCTGATGTTTTCTCAAGGTTAAATTAAGGTTATTTGGCATTGGGTATGATGTATCCTTGTAACTCACCTATGAAGAGGCACATGGTGTCAATGTATATGCCCAGGATTGTAACCCTTGATCACTTGGCTAAGGTGTTAATTGCCAAAATTCTCGATTGTAAAGCTACTCCTTTTTTTTCTTTGTAATTACTCAATATTTGGGGAAAGTTACCTTCAAATTGTGCACATATCTCCTTTCTGCTTAAAGTTCTGTTCATTAATTTAAGCATCCATTAATGGATCTTGCCCACAGCAATGATTATTGTGATGCTCTACTGGTGATTTTCAAATTCTCTAATTTAATATACATTTATTAATTATCATTCTTCTATAAAGAAAAGTTTTCATTCCTCCATTTATTTATTTATGTCAGTATGATCTCATGTATTTTTAGAAGGTTTATAACTCAGTACTATTGTTACTTATTTTGTTGCTCAACTTGTTCCAACTTTGGCCATTGGAGACTCTTTTAGGCTGACTTGTGTGTCCTTTATACTTGCTCTCATCCTTTTGTTTTCTGTTTTCAGCACTTTCTTACTTTCTGGCACCACAGAATCCTCCAGACTTATGTTTTTTCTTGTGCCAGGCTGTACAAGAAATTAACCAGAGCCCAAGTTCTGTTTTCATATTGTCTCTTTTGCTTTTCAAAGCAGTGTTAACAGTAGAAAATATAAAAGATACTTTCATGCTTTCTAACCACTTGTTCTCTGCCTTATAAATTAGGACCTGAGCACCCTTTTCTTTGCCATCAGCTCCTACCCCTGTCTTCACTTTGCCATAGTCTCTTTCCCTTGCTTCCCATTAACAACTAGGCACACAACTTTAAATCCTAGAGACTACTCAGAAGTGATGGAAACTGATGGTGGTTGCTATTGTCCAAATGTTTGTGTTCTCTGTGTCCTCCCCAAAATTCATATGTTAAAACCGAATCACCAATGTGGGATTAGTGCCCTTAAAGGAGGACCCATGGAGCTGCCTTTTGTCTTCTACCATGTGAGGACACAGCTAGAAGGTATTATCTGTGAATCAGAGAGTGGGCCCTCATCTGGCACTAAATCTGCCAGCACTTTGATACTGGATTTCCTAGCTTCTAGAATTATGACAAATAAATTTCTGTTGTTTATAACCTATCCAGCCTCTGGTATTTTGTTATAGCTGATTGAACAGACTAAGACTGTGATACATGCATCTGAAAACTTTATTTTGCGTTAGAAAAGTGTTATAAAGGAGATGCTGCTCTGGTACAAACTGTGATTACATTTTTTAATTTATTATAATTTGTTTAGGACTATCCAAACAGTAGGCAATAAACAATGCAGAAAAGCTACCACATTAGAGAGGAAAGTTCTCTTGTGATATTTTGCCCCGTTGGTTTAAAACTGATAAAAGTCAGAAAAACACCTAGGAGCTGAGCACTTTAACTAGTAAATCTAACTAATTACTTAAAAAAAAAAAAAAAATGACCACCATCATGGTGAACAGAGGAAAGAGAAAAGGGCAATTCAATAGGCTTCGTACAGACAAACATCAGCCTTGCCAGATTTTGTCTTGTTTAAAGACAAGTAAAAAGAAAATAATGTGAATAATATAAAAAGTATAGTGGAATAAAACAAAGAACACAGAATCTTCTCCAAGATTGATTGTAGCATCTGTCAGGGTTTGAATATTTGTCCCCTCCTAAATTCATGTTGAAATTTAATCCCCAATGTAGTAGTACTGAGAGGTGGGGCCTTTAGGAGGTAATTGAGTCATGAGGACTCTGCTTTATAAGTAGACTAATAAATTCATGGAATAATGGATGAATGGGTTATCATGGGAGTATAATGGTTTTATAAGAAGAGGAAAAGAGACTTGACCTAGCATGCTTAACATCCTTACCATGTGATTCCCTGTGCTGCTTTGGGATGGGCTAACATGGCAACCAAAAAAACATTTCAGGAATTTAGGGGTGTATGAAGATATAAATCAAGAAATTAATGGAATAAAAACAAATTTTAAAAGTAAATAAATGGTTTTAAAAAAGGAAAATAACTGACAGAATTAATCTAGAAAAAAGAAACAAATAGAAAAATAAATCCAGAAAATATTTCTTTTATAAAAGTAACAAGTGTCCTGAAAATGAGAAAAGCCATCAATACAAATAATATTTGGAATAAGTATTGAGGCATAATAAATACTAATGAGATTTACATAGTAGAGAAATCATAATAGTAGAAAAACTTAATTGAAATGATTGATTTTTAGAAAAATATTGCCTACCAAATTAAATTAAGGAGAAAAAGAAAATCTAAATCAGATAATAAATGTAGCTGAAATAGAACATGTTGTCAAAAATAGCTTCCCCAAAAGGGGCTGGTCCAGGTGGTCTGACTGGTGAGTACTTATAATCCTTGAGAGACTAGTTTGAATTATTGGACTACATGATGGTTAAAAAATTCCTCATCACCAAATACAAAAAAACAAAATATCTGTACTAACAAAGTAAAAGAAAAACACTGCACTGGAAAAAAATGCTTGTAACCTATATGGTAGATATATTCTACTAAAATGAATGATTTCTCATAAATTAATGAAAAACAAAACCTTAATAGCATTCTTGAAAAGGCAAATTTGTGAAAACACATTTCACAAATGGGAGATACAACTGTCCAAAAACCATGAAATATGTTCAAATTACTAGAATTAACATTTACATTAGAGCCACTATAGTAAACCATTTTTTAATCCATTGAGTTATATCAGAAAACATTTTCCAAAATTTCAAGGCACAACAATAGTAAGACTGCGTAGGAAAACCATTTTCACACACTCAGGTCGAATATAATTTGGCCCAAAATTTAGGTACATTTTGGCAAGTATCGAAAACTAAAACAGACTGACAAGTCAACTCCTAATATTTTTCACCCAAGTAAACCATTTTACAAGTTTACAAAGTAGTAAAAACAAGTATGTTTATTACAGCATCATTTACAGCAAACAAAACAAAAAAGTGTGTGTGTAAACCACTTAACTATATACAGTATGAGGATTAGTAAAATAAATATACTATCACAATAAAATAATATACTAGATAATCATTAAATGGCTTATTGATGGAAAGATATACACAACACATTTAGTGAAAATGGTATAAGCAGTTAGGCATGAGCAGGGCAGGAGACGGCTCTCCCCCACTCATGAGGAGTGTCAGGTGATCATCAGGTGATGGTTCAACAATTATCACATCGCCTCTTTAAAAATGATAATTAAGTAGCTGGCACCAGGGAGAGATAATCTTCTGAAGGTCCACAGCTGTTATATTAAAGTGTAAATTGAATGCAGGCACCGGGGAGAAGCAAAATAAGCTTCCAGTAAAATCTCAGGTATTGGACGAGTGAGCTTAGGTATGCACATTAAGAGACAAAATAAGAGTATGACCTTCCAGAGGCACTCTGCCAGAAAAGGGAAGACAGCCTCAGATGGACATGCACACAACTTTCTAAATACATGTCAGATGGACATGCATACAACTTCGTAAATACACTACACTCCTTGTGCTCACTTCCTAAGCTCAAGGAGGGCACTGGGCATGCAGGCAGCCCATCCTAAGAGAAGTTCCATAGGTAAGGGGGCACAAGATGCTGGAAGTGGGGCAGCCTATAAATCCCTAGGATCAAGGTCAAATGCCACACTTGACCTTCCATGGTGTCCACTTGGGTCTCTTCCAAGTGTACTTTCCTTTCTTTCCTGCCCTAAAGCTTTTTAATAAACTTCCACTCTTTCTCTGAAACTTGCCTCAGTCTCTTTTTCTCTTTATTCCCCTCAGTCGAATTTTTTCTTCTGAAGAGGCAAGAATTGAAGTTGCTGCAGACCCATGTGGATTTACCACCAGTAACTCAGATACCTTCCACCACTAACAAAAATATCAGCTTAAATAACTGTATTATGTGTGTATATATTTATATATGTACACACACATATGTGTGTGTGTGTGTGTGTATATATATATAGTCTTCTATAAATTGGAACATCAAAATATTAGCAGTGGTTTTCTATGGCTGTTAGCATTATAAAGAATTTTCCATCTATTTTTTGTTTATCTCCATTTTAAATATTGTTACTATGGACATAATATAATATGATAAAATCTAAAAATAATTTTAGTTTCTATCAACAGTTAAGCCTTCTAGAAAAGAGAAGAATTCTTAGACTCCCTTCTTATTATTTTTATTTTAACGAGTACATCTATAGTTGATTCTCATTCACGGTAGCTGTGTTCTATACAGTCTTTGCAACACCAAGTTAATGAATACTGAGACATTGCTTCATTTGGTAAATACAGAGTTAGATTTCTTCAGGCCTCTGGTCACAAGGTTTTTCTCAATCAACAAATACATATCCTTGTTTTATGTGTGTTTTTGTGTAAAGGCACTTTAATATATATCGTCGATTCATTAACATTGAATTCATGGAGGACAGCACTATCACTCATGTCTCAACAGAGCTTATCGAACATGAATTTTTTCTGTAAGTTACATAATAGTCTTATTGTACTTAGAAACATTGGGTAGTACTGCAGCACTATGCTGGAGAGCATTTAAAAGGCAAAATCACCAGCAAAAGCACAAAAATGCCTCCCAAAATGGCACTAAACATAGCAGGAAAAGGACACTTGTTTGCATTTTGAGAGCTAATACAAGAAAGCAGAAGATGGTCTCATTGGATCTCAGCTAGGGCCATGAATACTTGGTACCCCAATTTTTTCACTGATCTGTGCATGTCCACAAAGGACCTTTAAAGCTTCTGCAATATTGAGGGCTTCAAGTACATTTTAGCTAGTAGGCAAATTTGCAAATATGAAATCCACAGATAATGAGAATAATCTGTACTATGAAAACTCCATGATACATCCTGATATTCAGGCTCTTTGGGAGGCCTCATCTACTAGCAAATTATAACTGGGGCCCTTGTTATCCTATTAGTCTTACTTGTCCTAGGAATCCTAATAATTTGTGTTGTTTGTGTTACTCTTCTAGTGCCCTAGTTTTCTAGAAGTCATTGTATCAATCCTCTTACTAACCCTGACTCTGTAGAGAATCTTAAAACATTCTGAGAGGAAAATTCAAGCCTCTTGGATCAAAGCTTGGAAGTTACACTATCCCTTCTACACATGCATATAATTGGAAGATAGTGTTAAGGATGCTTTTGAACCTCACTTAAATGCTGAAGTAACCTATAATAGATTTTCCTTCCATTTCCCATAACTTTCAGAATAGAGGAAAAACAACAAAACAGACTTTAAATAAATTTGCTTTGAATTAGTTCTTGCTTGAGTAACACTTTTAGATGCTTTCTGAACAAAGCAACATATATTTGAAAAGCCCTCTGAAGTTAGTTACACAAGAAAATCTCTAACAAGATACAAAAAGAACAAAACTTGAATGTACTTAAAAAGTTTATTTTCCTAGGGTAGTCTCCCAGTTACAGATTTCATACTGGGATATATGCAATTGGGATGTTTTATTTGGTGCAAATACCCTCTTCTTTGAAGTTAATTATAAAGAGAACCCCCCCCGCCAGATCTTCTTTACATTAATAATTTCTATCGTTTAGTAACTGCACTTAAGTATAAATTAATTTAAGGTACAGACTGATTCAGGAATGAACTAATTTACTTGGCATGCTCTGATCTATTTTGTTGCTTCTCCATCACTTTCTGTATCACACCATTGAAATATGATCAAATTGATAGATGGAAGAGGAAGATAAGCGGGAGGGTCCCCAGGGAACCTGTGACTGGCCTGCATACGGTGCACATTGGGAGAACAGGGTAGAGCCAGGGGAAGTTTGTGCCATTTGCATGGGAAAGGAACCTGGCCTCTTCAGTTCCTGTGTGGTGGCCTGGGATTCTGTCTGTGAGGTGAGAGGCTTGTTAGCAGGACTCCATCTCACTTTGATGAGTTTTTTTTTACTTTTTTTGCCCTTTTGGCCCAATAAAATCCTGCTCTACTCACCCTTCAATTTGTCTGTGTGCCTAAATTGTCCTGGTCATATGATAAGAGCCCTGTTTTAGCTGAACTAAGGAACAAAATTCCTCAGCATTTTGGCGCCCAGACATGGGGTTTGAGAAAGGGTAACATGAAAACCAAAAAATATTTTTTCCTTTTCCTTCTAAGCCTTTTTGTCCCCAGACTTCTTCTGAGGGCAGAGGAAACTGCACCCCACCCCACCCCAAAGGCTGCAGGCACACGTGGGATGGAATGATAAATGGCAACTCCCCTGTCCTTCTCCTTACCAGGGCTAGGAATCCATTTGTATAAGAATAACAGGTTCCAATTCTGTGAAGAAAGTCATTGGTAGCTTGATGGGGATGGCATTGAATCTGTAAATTACCTTGGGCAGTATGGCCATTTTCACGATATTGATTCTTCCTACCCATGAGCATGGAATGTTCTTCCATTTGTTTGTCTCCTCTTTTATTTCCTTGAGCAGTGGTTTGTAGTTCTCCTTGAAGAGGTCCTTCACATCCCTTGTAAGTTGGATTCCTAGGTATTTTATTCTCTTTGAAGCAATTGTGAATGGGAGTTCACCCATGATTTGGCTCTCTGTTTGTCTGTTGTTGGTGTATAAGAATGCTTGTGATTTTTGTACATTGATTTTGTATCCTGAGACTTTGCTGAAGTTGCTTATCAGCTTAAGGAGATTTTGGGCTGAGACGATGGGGTTTTCTAGATAAACAATCATGTCGTCTGCAAACAGGGACAATTTGACTTCCTCTTTTCCTAATTGAATACCCTTTATTTCCTTCTCCTGCCTAATTGCCCTGGCCAGAACTTCCAACACTATGTTGAATAGGAGCGGTGAGAGAGGGCATCCCTGTCTTGTGCCAGTTTTCAAAGGGAATGCTTCCAGTTTTTGCCCATTCAGTATGATATTGGCTGTGGGTTTGTCATAGATGACTTTCTTCACAGAATTGGAAAAAACTACTTTAAAGTTCATATGGAACCAAAAAAGAGCCCGCATTGCCAAGTCAATCCTAAGCCAAAAGAACAAAGCTGGAGGCATCACACTACCTGACTTCAAACTATACTACAAGGCTACAGTAACCAAAACAGCATGGTACTGGTACCAAAACAGAGATATAGATCAATGGAACAGAACAGAGCCCTCAGAAATAATGCCACATATCTACAACTATCTGATCTTTGACAAACCTGAGAAAAACAAGCAATGGGGAAAGGATTCCCTATTTAATAAATGGTGCTGGGAAAACTGGCTAGCCATATGTAGAAAGCTGAAAGTGGATCCCTTCCTTACACCTTATACAAAAATCAATTCAAGATGGATTAAAGATTTAAACGTTAAACCTAAAACCATAAAAACCCTAGAAGAAAACCTAGGCATTACCATTCAGGACATAGGCGTGGGCAAGGACTTCATGTCTAAAACACCAAAAGCAATGGCAACAAAAGACAAAATTGACAAATGGGATCTAATTAAACTAAAGAGCTTCTGCACAGCAAAAGAAACTACCATCAGAGTGAACAGGCAACCTACAACATGGGAGAAAATTTTCGCAACCTACTCATCTGACAAAGGGCTAATATCCAGAATCTACAATGAACTCAAACAAATTTACAAGAAAAAAACAAACAACCCCATCAAAAAGTGGGCGAAGGACATGAACAGACACTTCTCAAAAGAAGACATTTATGCAGCCAAAAAACACATGAAGAAATGCTCATCATCACTGGCCATCAGAGAAATGCAAATCAAAACCACTATGAGATATCATCTCACACCAGTTAGAATGGCAATCATTAAAAAGTCAGGAAACAACAGGTGCTGGAGAGGATGCGGAGAAATAGGAACACTTTTACACTGTTGGTGGGACTGTAAACTAGTTCAACCATTGTGGAAGTCAGTGTGGCGATTCCTCAGGGATCTAGAACTAGAAATACCATTTGACCCAGCCATCCCATTACTGGGTATATACCCAAATGAGTATAAATCATGCTGCTATAAAGACACATGCACACGTATGTTTATTGCGGCACTATTCACAATAGCAAAGACTTGGAACCAACCCAAATGTCCAACAATGATAGACTGGATTAAGAAAATGTGGCACATATACACCATGGAATACTATGCAGCCATAAAAAATGATGAGTTCATATCCTTTGTAGGGACATGGATGAAATTGGAAACCATCATTCTCAGTAAACTATCGCAAGAACAAAAAACCAAACACCGCATGTTCTCACTCATAGGTGGGAATTGAACAATGAGATCACATGGACACAGGAAGGGGAATATCACACTCTGGGGACTGTGGTGGGGTCGGGGGAGGGGGGAGGGATAGCATTGGGAGATATACCTAATGCTAGATGACATTAGTGGGTGCAGCGCACCAGCATGGCACATGTATATATATGTAACTAACCTGCACAATGTGCACATGTACCCTAAAACTTAGAGTATAATAAAAAAAAAAAAAAAAAAAAAGAATAACAGGTTCCACCCCCAGGCAACGTTCCAGCGCTGCACTTTAAACTTTTTTTCCTTTTCTCTACCCTGTCAGCAGTTAACTTTTAAGTGAGAGCTTTGTTTTGTTTTGTTTTTAGAAGACATTTAACTAGGCCAGGAATAATAAGAATCACTGTTTATATTCTCTGTAAAATTTTAATTATGAAAAAGGATTTGTGAGGTTGGTCTTAAGTTGATGCCAACCTGGTGTGCTTTGCGTGACTTTCTGTATGATTAGTTGCAGACTTTGCTTTAGGCCTCCATCTTGTTTTACATCCTTGGGAGCATGACCTCTAACCATATGGCAATGCTTTGTCTAGCTTCCACCATTTACAATGGCAGCCAGGGTTCAATCCTGGCTTAGGGAATGAGAACTTTTGGGTTCATATCTGCCTGCCTTTTGCCAATTTGCTGATTCTCTGCCCCACAGTGAACAACTTCTAGCATTTTTATTAAATCTTCCTTTCTCTGGGTTACCTTTAAAGGTTCTAAATTTTGTAAGAACTACCTTTGGAGATACTTCATGCACTCACAGTTAAATTATATCCCTAATTGAGGCTTGTTGGTTTCACCTATGAGGTTACTTTTAGTAAGGTTTGAAAGCCAGAAATAATGGCTACTTGGTGGGACTAAAGTTGGGTAATAAAGGAGTTAAAAGATTGTCTTAAAGCGTGCTCAGCTTAATTAAAAGTGGATATCCAAGTTACAGATATATTTAAATGGCCTTTCTGTTTTTCTTTTCTCAGATCTTGTTTTGCTGGAAAAAGGGTTTTTCCTCAATTGACTGAATTCTTTTTCTCCATTTTGTCTTGCCACTATTAGTGCATGCATAAGAAGCCAATAATTAGGAGATTGGCAAATGAAAAATCCACTGGATCCTTTTCTACCTGTCTGTGTAGTTACATATATGTTGCATGTGTGATGTTTTAAGGGAAGATAAAAGCTGTGGTTCCTTTTAAGATCGTGTGACTTTAATCTTTGAGAAATAAAAACCGCTTTAAAGGTTATTGGTGAAATGCAGATGTCATCAAAATGTAAATATGTAAACTAAACTCTGCAGGTCAGATATTAGGTTTGCTAAGTGCTTTAAGGTTATAAACTGCCTTTTTGGTTTTTGAGAACTGTTTGACTTCCCTGTGTCACAACTGGTAAGGCCTGGAGACCTATGGAATTAACCACACCCGTAATTGTGCTGAAAGGAGTCAAACCTTGGCTGCACCTAGCATATAACTATAAAAACTTACCAGGTTTTAAATTACAGTTAAAAATTGCTAGAAGTTACCATTATAACATGTAATTAAAACTACTGGAAATAGATTTATATGTAAGGTGTGTAAGAACAGTAAAGTGTGTTTTTAGTAAAAGATTATAAGAAGACATAGAAATGTAAATTCTTGCTTAGGGTAGAAGGATTGTTTCGAATCAGATAATATTAGGCTGAAGGTTTAAACAAATAATGAAATGACTGTAAAAATTAATCTTGCAAAAATTTCATGTGTGAACATATTGACTAAATGCAAAAGGATATTATATGTTTTTTCTGTAAATTGATCATTAAAATAAAAGCATAACAAGGCACTCTTAAGGCACTAATCTGCCCTTTAACAAAATTTATAAGGGGTTATAAAAGGTTTTGCTTTTTTAAATTTCTGAGTAATTATTTTGGCAAAATAGCTAACATTGTAATCTGGAATTCTATTTCATAACATCAAGTGTTTTAAACCTCTAACATATTTAACAGGCTTCCCAAAATCAAACTTCGGTTTCAAAATTGTCTTTCCTGATGCCTGGCTTTTAGATGCTACAGAGGGCCCCTGGAGTGTCCACAAGATAGGTAAACAGGATTATTTGACATGTTTCATTACATGGGATTGCCAAAATGGTGTTCAATCTTCTTAAGGTTATATTTTGGTGAATAGTACTAACATATCTGCCAAAATTGTATGGGATTTCTAAAACTCTAATGTCTAAAGTATATGCCATCAATCATAATTAAGGTTGTTATGTTAAGTTATTGTAAACCACAATGACAACCAAACTTCTTTGTCAATTGTGTTTCTGACTGTAACTACCCTGGACTTTATGTTATTCACAATCATTGTCTTGTTTGGTCCTTTTCAAAGGATGCTCTGTAATAAGCTGTAGGAGCCTGAC
Organism: Homo sapiens; assembly: GCF_000001405.40. Classification (NCBI taxonomy): domain Eukaryota; kingdom Metazoa; phylum Chordata; class Mammalia; order Primates; family Hominidae; genus Homo; species Homo sapiens. Next base: position 44,156,639 of record NC_000005.10, read on the forward strand.
AAGTGCTCTCAAATACAGGTTTCTCATTACCTTGGAAATTGTGACATTGGAATAAAGAAAAAATGTACAAGACTCATGAAGAACAGAAATGCTTACTAATATCAAGCAAAACAAGAGCTAACTGGATGGACTGAACTAACACAAAACTGAAGTAATCTTTTTGAGTTTTGCTTGGAACATTGCTAATCCTTGTTTTGTTTTTCAGTCAAGGAAACTCATTTTAAGCTACTTATGGCCTTTAATAATTGAGAAAGGTATACTCCTGTGTACAAAATTTGGAGCATATTTGTTTCTCTTTGCCTGGTTCCTCTAGAATTTGGAAACTATCTGTGAGTATTTTTAACTTATGGCAATACACTTGTTTGCATCAGTGCAATAAGAATCAATTTTCCTTTGCAACAGGATGCAAATGGAGAAGCTGTTTGTTTTACCAAGGTTTTGACTGGAAGAGTTTGCTTCCCTTTAAGGACTCAAGCTCAAATCTCAAAGCTGATAAAAGCTCCTTGAGAAAACTGGCCTCATATTCTTGTCTACATAGTTCTTGTAGGTTCCTAACCTTTGATGAGTAAAGAATGCCATTTTCCAACAGGCCCAGGAACCACATGCTCTTGGGACCTCAAGAAGAGAGGAGTTTACCAAACTTACAAGTATTTGAGGATAGAAACCCATGTCTGGGCTCAGTTTTAAAAGGTCTTATTTGAGATTCCTTGTGGAACAGAGTTCCACCAAAGCCAATCTAAAAGGCCTGGATAGAAATAATTATTCTTTTAGCACTTTTTGCAAATAATTAGGTCAAGTATAAGACTGAAGTCTATTTTGCAAACAACATAGTCCTATCGTGATTTGTTTTTGTTTTTAAGAGAAATGAGAACAAGAGAGAGAGAAATTATGTTTCAAAATTTATCATCATTAAATTTTAGATTCATTAGTTGTTTTTAAGTTTTTGCCTACATTTTAGACTAACTGCTTGTTCCTGTGAACCAACCAGCAATCCCTGGCTTCAGCTCAGAAAGAACAAAAGGGATGAGTGATGTGAAAACCTGGATCAATATTCTAGTTTATGACAGTTATTCTGCAAATCCTGCCAGGAAGAGTATTTGCTAGGAAGAGAAAGGAACCAGGGATGCCTACTTCCCTCTTTCTAGATGAGTAGCCATTCATCTTCAGTCTGTACTACTTTTGAATGCATCCTGAATCCCTGGGATTCCTCTGAAAAAAAAAAAAGCTTCCTTTTCCCTCCTCTGTCCTCTCTTCACTGCTAGGTAATTGTGTCTCTGTACTGTGAGACACTCCCCTCAAATGCATCCTCCAAACTGGGAAGAGTTAAATGGGATGCCCATCACCCAGAGGTTTTCTGTTTGGGAAAGCAAGACCAATGGAGCTAACCAAAGCCAAGTACTATGCACGCAAATCTCAGCAAGCATTACTATAGTCACCAGTTATCTGAGGATGTCACAAGACATCCTTTTCTCTCCCTTGTTGAAGGAGGACTCAACTTCACAGCTTCACTTTAGCATTTGGCCTCTGATAAGGAGTCCATGCAACCCCCTGTGACACATTTTTGCCCCAAACTCAAGTCCAAGCTTTGGTTCAAATCCTTAGTACAAAGTTCTAGTTCTGAGGGATCCAGAGGAAGATGATAACAGAAGTTAAAAGGCACAGCACAGGTGAGCATGACTAATTCCTGCTGATTAAGCCAAGCTTCCTGTTTCATAGATAAAGGTAATGCTGGTATTCATGACATAAATTAGGTCTAAGAAATTCAAAGGCTACTGACAGCAGGGGAGATAGGGCATATGTGGGTAAGAGAGTATATTCCCACCACCTAGGTCCCCCTGTTAACACGGATGAAAGCCACTTTGATGCCCATGGGTGGCACCCTGCTGTTGTCAGGGACTCAGGGATACAAGAAGAGAGGAAAGAAGGAGGAACATCTCACTCTTTCTTTCCAGGTATTTGCCAGGAAGAGAAAAGAACCAGGGATGCCTACTCCCCTCTTTCTAGATGAGTAGCCATTCATCTTCAGTCTGTACCACTTCTGAATGCATCCTGAATCCCTGGGATTCCTCTGAAAAAAATGCCTCCTTTTTCCTCCTCTGTCCTCTCTTCACTGACAGGTAATTGTGTCTCTGTACTATGAGACACTCCCCTCAAATGCATCCTCCAAACTGGGAAGAGTTAATTTCCCAAACCTTAGACTGGTTGGCTTAGGATTAGGCTCAGGGGAAGGGAACCCAGAAGCCTGACATTCTAGCAAAATAGTTTTGTTTTCTTTTTTTTGTTTTTTTGTTTTGTTTTGTTTTGTTTTTTTACCAGTTGCGCTTGTGGTCTCCCCCTCCTTGTGCAAACCAGTAAAACATCTCTGGATTTTTGTGCTGTCCTTACCCCATCCTTATTTTGATACATATTTTCTAATAACCTGGTTTGTCTCTTTTCACCTTCAGGCCATCAAACTCCAAATGGTCATGCAACTGGAGCCTTGAACGATGGCCCCTTCTGCTGGGGACATTCAGATAGTCTTCTGAAGGAGCTCTGTCTGCCATTTTCCCAAAACAGTACTCCCTGTCAGCAGGAAGCAGTTAAGATTGGTCTTCATCCTTTTCCTTATTCTTGTTCTAATGGCAGTTAGATGTACTTCTTTAGAGGGGGAATGACAGATGCAGGAGGAAGATAAGGGGGAGGGTCCCTGGAGAACCTCCAACTGGCATGTGCACTGGGAGAACAGGGTGAAACCAAGGGAAGTTCACACTGTTGAACTTCCAGGCCAGCAGGGAGGAGCCTGGTCTTTTCAGTTCCTGTGTGGCATGCTAGGATTCAATCTCTCAGGTGTGAGGCCGGTTAGCAGGACTTCATTTTAGAGTTTTTTTCTTTTTTTCCCTTTTTGCCCAATAAAATTCTGCCCTACTCACCCTTCAATCTGTCCACATGCCTAAATTTTTCTGGTTGTGTGACAAGAGCCTGATTTTAGCTGAACTAAAGAACAAAATTCTGCAACAAAATGTTAAGTTTAAGTTTTTCCACCCTCCAATTCTTTCATGTATATTTGGAGTCATTTTTATTAGCGAGAAGTTAAACTATACTCCAGAAAATGAAAGCTAATTTCCCCTCAGAAACAAGTAAGTGAACAGATGGCCCTTGCAGAAAACGATATATATATATTTATCTATTAGACTTAGGATGCCTCCAGGAAAAATATATGTGTCTAGTGGCAAAATTTGAAATCCAGTTCTTTCCCTTTATGATATCATTTTTGGATTTCCTTTAAATTTTTTTTTTTAATTTATTAGTCCTGAACCATGAATGCCTTAGGAAGCAAAAGGTCCTGTTACTCCCTGGGCTGAAAGGGCTCTGGGAGATGAGTGATAAATTATATAAGCTATCCAAGGACAGTCAATTACTATTGAAATGTGCTAAATAAGGCCCTGAGGACCGATTAAATTAGTGTCTTTTCTACAGAACTCAGTGTACTTTTGTATTGGTTCCATATAGCTTTGGAAGGTGGGCAAGCTGTTCCTTTCTCAATATGTAGAAGATGTTAGTACCTGGTAAAGAAAAGATGAAACATCTTCATATAGTCATTTAGTACACACTCATGTTCCATTAATATTATTGGAAATTAAACATTTTTAACCCGAATAATAGGAGTTTGTTTAATGGCACTGCAACTTTTTAAGCCCACAGGAATGCTTTTATTTAGAACATTAGTTGTTTGTTTCTTCTTGAGTGTTTGGTCTGATGAGTTCAAAAGGTTTTCCAGAGGACTGGGAACAGAGCTCAACAACAGCTTCCAAATCTTTTTCGAATCTCTTAATAGTGCTGCATACAAAGAATTAGGTATCCCTCGATCCCATTCATAGCCTTGCTTTACTTCATCAGTAATTGGGAGGGGATCACATGAGATGATGTCAACACTAGCATGACCAATATATCATTGTAGAATAGGCTTATGACCTTGGTAAACTTTTCTTGGCAGCCCAACATTCTGAAATATCTGCCAGATTTCAGGTCTATTGACAGTGCCAAATGTTTTTATTAGGTCACCATAGAACTCTGGGTGCTGTTCCTTGTATGAAGCTGCAGAACTCACATTTGGAATTACGCACAGAATGTTGGAGCTCGAAGGGGCCTTAGAAATTTTCTAGTCTGGCCCTCATATTAATGATGAAGAAATGGAGGTACAGTTAATTGAAGTAAACTGCCCAAGATCACAAAATGAGTTAGTGGCAAAACCACAGCTCACTGATCAGTTCCTCTGAACTCCAATTCCCTCTTACTAATGGTTGTTCCACTGTAAAAGTCATTCAACTTTGCTGAACAGATGGAAGCAAAAGAAATGGTGAATCAGTGGGAATGGGCCAAGCAGTGAGGCATATCTATTCTTTACTATTCTCACTCAGAACATAGCTTTAAAAGCAGTTTATTGTTGGTTTAGTGTTCTTTTGTAATCCTTGCTTTACTTAAGGTCCACTCTTCAGTACTTTTTTCTGATTAATTTTTTTACTGAGGTATAATTTTCATATAGTAAAATGCACAGATGTTAAGATCCTATATTTTAAAAATCAATATATACACCAATGAATCCATCAGTCAAATCAAGATATAGAATATTCCCATTACTGCAGAAAATTCCCCTGTGTGTTTTTGCAGTCAATCCACACCCCTTGTCTCCACCAGAGGAAACTACTATTTTGATTTATATCATCATTGATTGTTTTTGCCTGTTTTAGAACTTTGCATAAATGAAATCGTATTGCATGTACTCTTTTGTGGCTGGCTTCTGCTTAACAAAATGTTTTTGAGATTCTTCAATTTGCAGTTGTACCAGTAGTTCATTCATTTTTACCACCATTTATTTATCAATTTTCTTGCTGATAAACATTTACGTTGTTTTCAGTTTGGGGTTATTATGAATAAATCTGCTGTGAACATTATAATACAAGCTTTTGATTGACATATATTTATTCATCTTGGAAACATACTGAGCAGTGAAATTGCTAAGTCATAAGGTAGATGATATTTAACCTTCTTAGACACTGCTGTACAATTTTCCAAAGTGATTGTACCCTTTCTACAACCGCCAACAATATATGTACCTTTCAGTTGCTCCAAACTTGACATTGTAGTCTTTATTTCAGGCATTCTGGTTGGTATATAGTGAGACCTCATGTGGTTTTCATTTGCATTTTCCCCATGACTAACAATGTTGAGCAGCTTTTCATATGCTTATTGGCCAATTATTTGTGAAAAATAAATTTCTTTTGTGAAATTTCTGTTTTTGCCCACTTTAAAAAAATTAAGTTTGTCTTTTTGTTATTAATTTATAATGCTTCTTTCACAGATGTATCTATTAAAAATATTTTTCTCAAGGTCTAGCTTGCCTTTTCAGTTAGTAATGGCATTTTTGATGAGTAGAAATTTTAAACTATGATAAAATTCAATTTTTTTTCCATTCATGGTTGGTGTTATTTTTCTTAACTCCAAGGTCATAAAAATTTTTCTTCTATGTTTTATAGTTTTAGCTTTTACATTTTACTCTTGAATCAATATCTGAATAGATGTAGATATTGCCACTTTGTTCTGAGCCTATCACCAGTGAACTCAAAATAAAAAGTTTCAATTGCATCCTTAGGAAAATATAATACATTGTGATATTTAGTATCTGTCTTCAGACATGCTGCATATACATCTATACAGAAAGTAGTTTTATATCTCTCTAAAGCAATTAAACAACCAGTGAGATGGATCTATAGTCCTCCCAGCTAAGAGTGTCTCTGCCTTCATTCTCAAATGAGAATGGCAGGCTTCATTCTCAAATGAGAATGGCAGGCTTCATTCTCAAATGAGAATGGCAGGCTTCATTCTCAAATGAGAATGGCAGCCTTCATTCTCAAATGAGAATGGCAGCCTTCATTCTCAAATGAGAATGGCAGCCTTCATTCTCAAATGAGAATGGCAGCCTTCATTCTCAAAGTGAGAATGGCAGCCTTCATTCTAAAGTTCCTAGAGCTCTGTATTTTGATATGAAAACTCAAATTGCCATTCTTTTGATTGGTCATTTCAAACTGGTTTTTAATACATTGCTCCAGCTCATTTATGATATCGAATTGTTGCTATTTGTTTTGATAGCTAAATTTGGTGTTTCTCATTCCATGTTTACAATTATGAACTTAACCTATTGTTAATTAAGGGTAATATAGGAAAGAATTCCAGAATGTGAAAATATGAGAAGCAAGTAAGAAGAAAAAATAAGACTATAAGTAAAATAATACCTTTCTAAACTCACTTAAAATGATGATGTATAAATTAAAGCAGGAGGTAATGTAAATTGTGCGAAGCTGATTAGGGACAGGATAGGGAGAGGCATGGAAAGCATGCAGGGGACTCAGCCTTTATACAATAAGAGTTTAGGAGACAAAGCTAATGGAAGGGTTTGAATGGAAGACAATGAGATGGCCTTAGAACTTAAGGCATGCAGAGACTGGAGCCAATGAGACAATAAACGGAACAATTGCAATTTACCAGCAGAGGGGTACTAAGGATTGTTGTTGGAAGAATAGTGGAGGAGGAAAGATACCAGAGTTATTTCAGATTACTGATGTAGGGGAAAGAATATTACACCAAGGATTTGAACATAATGGGTCAGGTAGCAGATAAAGGAAGCCAGCAACAACAGGAATGTTTAGGGAAAGAACATTTAGTTTAGAAATGTGCTGAGGACAGTGTTTGGACTTGGCAGATGTCAAGGCTTCAGTTCCACCTTCACAACTTACCAGTGGCATGGCACGAAGCACATTGCACAAGCTCACTGAATTTTTCTAAACTTACTTTTCTCATATGTAAAAATGATGTTATAGTACCCATCCCAAAAAATGTTTTGAGAAATCTGATTTAGAATATATAAAAATACTCAGTACTCTTGGGTTTGAGGTGCAGTGGAATATTAGACAGACCAACAGAAAGTTTTACACATTATTGGTATTTTATAAACAGTTAAAACTGAGTTATAGGCAGTTCATTGAGTTGTTACTGTTCCATGGTTAAATTATGTTACTTTGATGGACATTGAATACCCCCAACTCTAGCTATTGTAATGAAGTTAAAATGAGCATCTTTGTATACATACCATTTTCATTTTGTTAATATGTCCTCTTATTTTCTCCTAATACTTACTAGAGAAAAAAACCAAATATGGCAAATACCTGGTGAAATTTATGGGCTTTCATTTCCTGAAAAGCTAACGTTTGATTTTCTTACACATTCCAGAATTGTGTGTAGGCTCTGGCTATACTAACTGGATGACATGGTAAAATCCTAAAATGTTCATCTGCAACTTTTTCCAGCCTGGAGTCTGTCTTTGGATCAGCAATAATTGCCTGGACAGCTATAATGGCTTCATTAACTGTTGCTTGTGTTCTGTGTTTTTTATACAGCGATAGAGAAAATGCATCTCCCGTGTCAAAATCTAAATGTGCTTATCTAAACCTAACTGCATCTGATGTAAACACTTGTGATCTAAAATTCAAATTGTATTAAACTGAAGTTTAATGCAATCTAAAATTCAAATTTCATTAAACTGAAGTTTAATCAAAACCATTAAACTAGCTTCAAAATCGGGAGTATTTACTTTGAAATGCATCTATAAAGCTTCATAGTCCACATTGTTTTGTATTAATAGGCACCAAATATATATATATGTTTAGTACTATATTCTTATGCAAAATTTCTACCTAAACCAAAGAGCCATTCAATGACTGTTTATTGATCTGTGATCTCAAAGAAACAGTTAATATCTTGGGTATATTTTTTGAAGAACTTTTCCAGTCACTGCCATATATCTATTTTAAATTTTTTCGGTTTCAATCTTGTAGTGTCTTGAGATTCTAGTCTTTAAGATAAACAATATGATTTCTAGCTTCTGTTTTATCTTTGCAGTTAATTTCAGCAGTGTTCTGAAATATAAAAAATGCTTCATGAGATTTAGTGTTATCGTTATGTTAGGCTATGCCAGTCCCCGCTTGTAAAAATGCTGCCAAAGCCAGAGCCTGTCTACCTGATTTTTTTTTCTCATTTATTACTTTTACTTTCAGCTTTTATTTCAGGTTCTGGGGTACATGTGCAGATTTGCTACATGGGTAAATTATGTCTCATGAGAGTTTGGTGTGAAGATTATTTTGTCACCCAGGTAATGAGCATACCACTTGACAGTTTTTCAATCTTCATCCTCCTTTCAACCTCCTCTTAAGTAGGCCCCAATGTCTGCTGTCCCCATCTTTGTATCTATGTGTATTCGATTTTTAGTTTCTACTTATAAGTGAAAACATCCAATATTTGGATTTCTGTTTCTGTGTTTATTTCCATAGGATAATGTCATCCAACTCCATCCACGTTGCTCTGAAGGACATGATTTTTTGCTTTTTATGACTGCATAATATGCCATAGTGTATATGTACTATATTTTCTTTATCCAATCAACTGTTGGTGGGCAGTTAAGTTAATTCCATGTCTTTGCTGTTGCGAATAGTGCTGTTATGAACATACATGTGCACACATGTGTCTTTGCTAGAATTATTTATATTCCTTTGACTGTATATCCAGTAATGAGGTTGCCATATTGAATGGTAGTTCTAAGTTCTTTGAGAAATCTTCAGACTACTTTCCACAGTAGCTGAACTAATTTATATTCTCACCGACAGTATATAGCCACTCCCTTTTCTCCAGAATCTTGCCACTATCTGTTATTTTTTTACTGTTTAATAAGAGTTATTCTGACAGGTGTGAGATTCCATCTCATTGTGGTTTTGATTGACATTTCTCTTACAATTAGTGATGTTGAGCATTTTTTCATATGCTTGTTGGGTATGTGCATATGTTCTTCTGAGAAGTGCCTATTCACATCCTTTGCCCATTTTTAAATGGGATTATTTGATTTTGCTTGTTGATTTGTTCCTTATAGATTCTAGATATTTGGCCTTTGTTAGATGCATAGTTTGCAAATATTTTCTCCCTTTCTGTAGTTTGTCTCTTTACTCTGTTGACAGTTTCTTTGTGCAGAAGTTTTGTTTATTAGGTCTCCCTTGTCAATTTTTGTATTTGTTTCAATTGCTTTTGGAACCTTTGTCATCAAATCTTTGCCAAGGGCTATAAGAAAACCTATTTCCTAGGTTTTCTTGTAGGATTTTTATAGTTTTTGTCTTACATTTAAGTCTTCAATACATCTTGAAGTTGAGTTTTGTGTATTGTGGAAAGAACAGATCCAGGGTTCAATCTTCTGCATATGGCTAGCCAGTTATCCCAGCACCATTTATTGAATAAGAAGACCTTTCTCCATTCCTTGTTATTGTTGTCTTTTTTGAAGATCCATGATTCCAGGTGTGTGGCTTTATTTCTGGGCTTTCCAACATGTTCCATTGGTTTATCTGTTTATCTGTTTTTGTACCAATACCATGCTGTTTTGGTTACTGTAGTCTTATAGCATAGTTTAAAATCAGGTACTATGATACCTCCTGCTTTCTTCTTTTTGCTTAGGATTGCTTTGGCTATTCAGGATTTTTTTCTGGTTCTATATGAATTTTAAAATAGTTTTTCCTAATTCTGTGAAAATTGGTGTTGGTAGTTTGATACAAATAGCATTGTATCTGTAAACTGCTTGGGGCACTATGGCCACTTTAACAATATTGGTTCTTTCTATTCCTAGGCATGGAATGTTTTTCCATTTATTTATGTTATTCTGACTTCTTTCAGCAGTGTTTTGTAATTCTTTGTAGAAATCTTTCATCTCCCATGCTTAGCTGTATTTCTAGTTTTTTATTCTTTTTGTGGCTGTATTACTTCCTTCTTACACTGCTATAAAGAACTGCCTGAGACTGGGTAATTTATAAAGAAAAGAGGTTAAATTGACTCATAGTTCCACATGGCTGGGAAGGTCTCAGGTAACTTACAACCATGATGAAAGGGGAAGCAAGCATGTCCTTCACATGGTGACAGTAGAGGGAATTGCAGAGTGAAGTGGGAAAAGGCCCTTATAAAACCATCAGATGTCTTGAGAACTCATTCACTATCATGAGAACAGCATGGGGGAACAGCCCCCATGATCTAATTACCTCACATGAGGTCCCTTCCCCAACATATGGAGATTACAATTCAAGATGAGATTTGGGTGGTGGCACAGAGCCAGACCATATCAGTGGCTATTATAAATGAGATTGCATCCTTGATTTGACTCTAAGATTGGACATTATTGGTGTATATAAATGGTGTAAGTTTTTCTACACTTATTTTGTATCTTGAAACTTTGCTGAAGTTGTTTATTAGATCTGGGATTCTTTGGCAGGGACTATGTGATTTTCTAAGTATAGAATCATATCCTCTGTGAAGAGAGATAATTTGGCTTTCTCTCTTTTTATTTGGATGCCTTTTATGTCTTTCTTCTGCCTGATTGTTGTGGGTAGCACTTCCAGTAGTATGTTGAATAGGAGTGGTGAGAGTGGGCATTCTTGTCTTATTACAAATCTCAAGGGGAATGGTTCCAGCTTTCTCCATTCAGTATGATTTTGGCTGTGGATTTTTCATCAATTGCTCTTATTATTTTGAGGTATGTTCCTTTATTTCTTAATTTGTTTAGGGTTTTTTAACTTTAAGGGGTATTGAATTTTATCAAAAGTCTTTTATGTGTCTGTTGAGATAATCATGTGGTTTTTCTTTTTAGTTCTGTTTATATGGTGAATTGCATTTATTGATTTGTGTATGTTGAACCAACCTTGCATCCCAGGAATAAAGCCTGCTTGATTGCAGTGGATTCACTGTTTTATGTGCTGCTGGATTCAGTTTGCTAGTTTTTTTTTTTTTTTTTTTGAGGATTTTGCATATATGTCTATTAGGGATACTGGCTTGAAGTTTTCTTTTTTCATTGTGTCTCTGCTAGGTTTTGTTATCAAACTCATAGAATAAGTTAGGGATCAATCCCTCTTCCTCCCTTCTTTGGAATAGTTTCAGTAGGACTTTTGTCAGCTTTTCTCTGTATGTCTGGTAGAAGTCAGCTGTGAATTCATCTGCCAGAGCTTTTTCTGGTTGGTAGGCTTTTTATTACTGATTCAATTCAAGAACTTGTTACTGATCAGTTTGGGGTTTCAGTTTCCTTATGGTTCAATCCAACAGGTTCTTTGTTTCAAGGAATTTATCATTTTCTTCTAGCTTTTCAACTTTGTGTGCATAGAGGTGTTCAAAATAGTCTCTGATGGCTTCTTGTATTTCTTTGGGGACTCTGATAAGAACTCCTTTGTTATCTCTGATTATGTTTACTGGGATCTTTTCCCTTTTTTCTTTATTAGTCTAGCTAGTAGAATATTAACCTTAAAAAACCCCAACTATTGGTTTTGTTAATGTTTTGTATGATTTTTTGCATCTCAATTTTATTCAGTTCAGCTCTGATTTTGGTTATTTTCTCTTGCTATATTTGGTGTTGGTTTGCTCTTGTTTTTATCGTTCTTCTATGTTGTTAATTTGAGATCATTCTAACTGTCTGATGTCAATGTTTAGCACTATTACTTTCTCTTAACACTGCTTTAGTGTCCAAGAGACTCTGATATGCTGTATTTTTACTTTCATGAGTTTCAAAGAATTTCTTGGTCCTATCCTAATTTTATTGTTTATCCCAAAGTGATTCAGAAGCAAGTGTTAAATTGCTGTGTAATTCTGTGATTTAGAGAGATCTTGGTATAGTTTCTATTTTTATTCTGTGATCTGAGAGTGTAGTTGGTATAATTTCAGTTTTTTTGGGATTTGTTGAAAATTGCTTTATGGCCAACAGTGTGGTTAACTTTAGTGTATGTGCCATGTGCAGATGAGAAGAATGTGTATTCTGCTATTGTTGAGGGGATTGTTCTATAGTTGTCTGTTAGGTCCATTTGGTCAAGTGTCAAGTTTAGATCCTGAATATCTTTGTTGGTTTTCTGTCTCAATGATCTGTCTAATAGTGTCAGTGGAGTGTTCAAGTCTCCTACTATTATTGTATGGTTATCTAGTCTCTTCATAAGTCTCTAAGAACTTGTTTTATGAATCTGGGTGCTCCAGTGTTGGGTGTGTATATATTTAGGATAGTTAAGTCTTCTTATTGAATTTAAGTCTTTATCACTATATGATGTTTCTCTGTCTTTTTTGATCATTGCTGGTTTAAAGTCTGTTTTGTCTGAAGTAAGAATAGCACCCCCTGCTCTTTTTGTTTTCCATTTGTTTGATGGATTTTTCTCCACCTTTTTACTCTGACCCTATTTGTGTCAGTGCATGTGACATGGGTCTCTTGAAGACAGCATACAGTCTTGAAGACAGCATAGATTTGGATCCTGCTTATTTATCCAACTTGCCACTCTTTGTCTTTTAATAACCATTTAGCCCATTTATAATCAAGGTTAATATTGATATGCATGGATTTGATCCTGTCATTTTGTTGTTATGAAGACTTGATTGTGTAGTTACTTTATAGTGTCAATGGATTATGTACTTAAGTATGTTTTTGTGGTGGCCAGTAATGATCTTTCATTTCCATGATTAGCACTCCCTTTAGGACCTCTTATAAGACAGGTTTAGTGTTAAAAAAAAAAATCCCTTAGCATTTGCTTGTTTGAAAAGGATTTTATTTCTCCTTTGCTATGAAGCTTAGTTTGGTTGGATATGAAATTCTTAGTTGTAATATCTTTTCTTTAAACATGCCACATTTAAAGGAGGTGGCTGAGATGGCCAACTACTAGCAGCTAGTGTGTGTTGCTCTCATGGAGAGGAACAGAAGGGGTAAGTAAATACAGCAACTTCAACCGAAACATCCAGCCACTTACATTGGGAATAATCAAGGAAACAACTTGACCCAAAGAGAATGGAGAAAAGTGAGGGAGGATGATGGCCCATCTGGAATGACAGAACCAGGGGAACATCCCTCACCCAGGGAAGTGGTGAATGAATGTGCAACCCTGGAAACCCATGCTTCTCTCATGGATTTTTGCAACTTTTAGGTCAGGAGATGCTCTCATTCATGAACCTACTTCACCAGGGCTTTAAGTCTGACACACAGAGCTATGTGGAGTCTTGGCAGAGCAGCCACTCAGCCATGTGCAGAGACCAAGGAGCTTTAGATACTCAGGGTTTATGGGCATCCTGGCAAAAGCAGCTGCAACTCCAGCAAAGCAGGAGGTTAGACTCCCATACATACCCCTAGGAAAAAGGCTAAATCCAGGAGGCCAAGCAGCAGCAGTCTGCAGACCCCACTTCTATGGCACCTTACAAGATAAGACCCACTGTCTTTGAATTCCAGCCAGCCACCAGTAGCAGCATTACATCTCCCTGAGATGGAGCTCCCAGAGGGATGGGTGGGCTGCCATTTTTGATGTTTAGGTGACTTAGCCATTCCAACCTTCAGGCTTAGGAGACTCCAAGCTGACTGGGGGCAGAGGTGATACCTCAACACAGCACAGCTGGGGCCTCCAGCCACCTGGATCAGTGTCCTCCTGCGTACAGAGATATGAAACCTCTCTAGGACAGAGCTCCCTTGGTGTGGGGGGGTGGGCTGCCATCGTTGCTGTTTGGGCAACTTATCCATTCCAGCCCTTGGGCTTTGGAAAGTCCAAACTAATTGGGGACAGAGGCAGTACCCCAGTATAGCACAGCTGCTCTGTGAAAATGTGGCCTGACTGCTTTTTAAAGCAGGTCCCTGATCCCATTCATCATCACTCGGTAGAGCCTCCCAACAGAGGTCTCAAGCCACCTCCTACAGGTGCATTTGGGCTGGCAATAGGTCCATACCTCCCTGGGATTGAGCTCCCAAAGGGAGAGGCAGGCTGCCATCTTTGCTGTTTCACAGCCTTCACTGGTGACAACTCCAGGTACTTGAAAATGTGAGGCAACTAGAAACTAGACGAGACCCCCAGAATATCACAGCAGCCCTACAGAAAACTGGCTAGACTGTTACATGTGTGCCCATTCCCATATCTCCTCAGCAGGCAGGTCTTCCATGCCTGGGCCTCTAGCCACCCCTGACCAGAGCTATCAAGCCAGTAGCAACTTGGCAATTCCCTGAACAGAGCCTCCAGGAGCAACTGAAAACCTCTCTTCCATTGTCTTTGAAGAGAAACTGTTTTTATTACCCTCAGACTAATGAAGGAGCAAAGACCTTAGGTGCCTCATCCACATCTCCAACAAGCTGCAGTTGACCCAAGCAGAGGAGGCCAATCCATCTCTCATGGGTCCCATACACCCTCTACTGATTGTCACCAGACAGGGAACTCTTGGCTAGAACCCTCCATCTTGGGTTGATTTCACTGAGTGATTGCTGACCCACATCTATCTGGGGTGGAGTCCCCAGGAGACAAGCAAAGTAGTGGGGCAGCAAGCCAGCTGATGTGGACTCCAGAGGGTTTGGTGTGGAGCCGCACCTTTAGTGGAGTGTGGCCAGGAACGGCCATCCTTCTAGGTTCAACTTGCTCCCATAAGAGACGTTAGCCTTAGGGGAAGTGTTGGACTTGATCTCTGCTGGGTGGTCTGGCACATCAGATGAGGTTGGTCAGACCTGAGCACTCCATGGTCCACTGGTATCTAACAGGGCCCCAGCCTGGCCATGACCACTTACAGGGGAGTTCAAGGTGCCCTGGGGCAAACAACATAGCTTCTATGATAGCAGACCGTGCCTGACCAGTGGAGAGGTCCAGTGTGGAAACCCTTATGGCCATGCACCAGCTCACACCTTCCCTTCTTATACTACAGCTTCCCCTGAGCCCATGGCAAGTCCCCACATCATTTTGCTGGCATGTAACTGCACAGGCAGGTTTTGCTTTACTTGCCCTGCCAGCATGCAGAAGTACAGTACACTGCCCCACCCCTGTTGACCACCATTGCAGATGTAGTCTTGGCACGCACAGAACCAGCATGCCCTGCACCCACTAGTGCCCCACCCTTGTCCTAATGCTGGGCAGAAGACAGGGGATCCTCCCACATCCTGAGCAATCACTTCCACTTGCGGAGCACAGGGAGGCACCTAAATCTGCACCAGGCAGCACCATACTCGAAGCTAACACCACCTTGAGTGCAACAGCACACACAGTCTCCAGCAGGGGCCCTCCTGCTCCTGAATGCCCTTTCCCACTAGTGCAGTGGACTGTAAACTTTGAGAATCCAGAGAATAAAGTTGGGGCCCAATACAAGTCCCCAAGAGTTAGAGCATACCGTCCAGAAGTTGGGAGTGGAACGTTAAAACCTCCCCCAAATGAAGCCAGTCTACTGAATCCACCTTATACCACAATGAAACCCTCAAGGTAATCAAATAGGATAAAAGAAAAAAAATCCAAGATCAGCAGCCTCAAAGATTGAAGATAGATAAGCCCACAAAGATGAGAAAGAATCAGTGCAAGAATGCCGAAAACTCAAAAAGTCAGAGTGCCTTCTTTCCTCCAAATGACTGCAACACCTCTTCACCAAGGTTTTGGAACAAGGCTGAGGCTGAAGATGGCTGAAATGACAGAAGTAGAATTCAGGATAGGGGTAGGTACAAAGTTCACTGAGCTACAGGAATATGTGGTAATCCAATTCAAGGAAGCTAAAAATCATAATAAAACATTGCAGGAACTGACAGACAAAATAGCCAGTATAAAGAAGAACATAACTGACTCTATAGAGCTAAAAATCATACTACAAGAATTTCATAATGCAATCACAAATATTAATAGCAGAATAGACAAAGCAGAGGAAACAATCTCAGAGCTTAAAGACTGGCTTTCTTAAATAAGACAGGGAGAAAAGAGTAAAGAAAAAAGAATAAAAAGGAATGAACAAAACCTATGAAACTATGGGATTACGTAAGGAGACTGAATCTATGAATGATTTGTATACATGAAAGAGATGGGGAAAATGGAACCAACTTGTAAGACATACTTCAGTATATTTTCCAGGAGAGTTTCCCCAACTTAACTAGAGAGGCTAACATTCAAATTCAGAAAATTCAGAGAAGCCCAGTAAGATACTTCACAAAAAGGTCATCCCTAAGACACATAATCTTCAGATTCTCCAAGGTCAAAATGAAAGAATAAAATGTTAAAGGCAGCTAGAGAGAAAGGCCAGGTCATATACAAAGGGAAGCCCATCAGACTCATATACAAAGGGAAGCCCATCAGACTAACAGAAGACCTCTCAGCAGAAACCCTACAAGACAGAAGAGACTGTGGACCAATATTCAACATTCTTAAAAGAAATTCTAACCATGGAAATTGAACAACCTGCTGCTGAATGACTCTTGGGTAAACAATGAAATTAAGGCAGAAATCAAGAAGTTCTTGAAACTAATGAGTACAAAGAGAAAATGTACAGAGTATCTAGGTCTCAAATAAGACAGTGGTAAGAGGCAAATTTATAGCAATAAATGCCCACATCAAAAAGTTAGAAAGATCTCAAGTTAACAACCTAACATCACAACTAAAAGACCTAAAGAACAGAACAAACAAATCCTAAAGCTAGCAGAAGACAAGAAAGAACCAAAATCAGAGCTAAACTGAAGAAGACTGAGACACCAGAAACCATTCAAAAGATCAACAAATCCAGGAGCTATTTTTTGAAAATATTAGTAAAATAGATAGGCCACTAGGTATACTAATAAAGAAGAAAAGAGAGAAATTCAAATAAACACAACCAGAAACACAAAGGGAGATATTACCACTGACACTCCAGAAATACAAACAACAATCAAAATATTATGAACATCTCTATGCATATAAACTAGAAAATCTAGAAGAAATGGATACATTCCTGCTCATATACACCCTCCCAAGACTGAACCAGGAAAAAAATTGAATCCCTGAACAGAACAATAACAAACAATGAAATTCAGGCAGTAATAAGTGGCCTACCAACCAAAAAAAAAAAAAAAAAAAAAAGCCCAGGACTAGATGGATTCACAGCTTAATTTTACCAGATGTACAAGGAAGAGTTGGTACTATTCCTACTGAAACTATTCCAAAAAATTGAGGAGGAAGTCCTCCTCCCTAACTCATTCTAGGAGGCCAGTATAATCCTGATACCCAAACCTGGCAAACATAGGAGAAAAAAAGAAAACATCAGGCCAATATCCTTGATGAACATCGATGCAAAAATCCTCAACAAAACACTGGCAAGCCAAATTCAGCAGCACATCAAAAAGCTTATCCACCAGGATCAAGTAGGCTTTATCCCTGGGATGCAATGTTGGTTCAACATACACAAATCAGTAAATGTAATTCATTACATAAATAGAACTAAAGACAAAAAAACCACATGATCACTTCAATAGATGCAGAAAAGGCTTTTGATAAAATTCAACATTCATTCATATTAAAAACTCTCTATAAACTAGGTATTGAAGGAATATACCTCAAAATAGTAAGAGCCATATATGACAAACCCACACTCAACATCATACTGAATGGGCAATAGCCAGAACCACTCCCCTTGAAAATCGACACAAGACAAGGATGCCCTCTCTCACTATTCCCATTCAACATAGTATTGGAAGTCCTGGCCAGGGCAATCCAGCAAGAGAAAGAAATAATGGACATCCAAATAGGAAGAGAGGGAGTCATACTATCTTTGTTTGCAGATGACAGAGTCCGATGTTAGAAAACCCTATTGTCTCAGCCAAAAAGCTTCTTAAGCTGATAAACAACTTCAGCAAAGTCTCAGGATACAAAATCAATGTGCAAAAATCGATAGCATTTCTACACATTAACAGCAGTCAAGCCGAGAGCCAAATTAGGAACAAATTCTAATACACAATTGCCACAAAAAGAATAAAATATCTAGAAATACAGCTAACTTTGGAGGTGAAAGATCTCTACAAAAGAACTACAAAACACTGCTCAAAGATATCAGACATAACACAAGCAAATGGAAAAACATTTTATTCTCATGGATAGGAGGAATGAGTGTCATTAAATTGGCCATATTACCCAAAGGAATTTATAAATTTAATGATATTTCTATTAAACTTCTATTCAGATTCTGCAAAGAACTATAAAAAAAACTATTTAAAAATTCCTATGGAACCAAAAAAGAGACAGAATATCCAGGGCAATAAGCTAAGAAATAAGAACAAAGCTGGAGGCATTACATTCCCTGACTTGAAAATATACTACAGGGCTACAGCAACCAAAACAACATGGTACTGGCATAGGAGCAGACCTATAGACCAATGGAACAGAATAGAGAACCCAGAAATATGTCTGAACACCTTCAGCTATCTGATCTTTGATTAATCTGACAAAAACAAGCAGTGGGAAAAGGGTTTTCTATTAAGTAAATGGCGATGGGATAACTGGATAGCCATATGTAGAAGATTAAAACTGGAGCTTATCCTTACACCATATACAAAAATTAACTCAAAATGAATTAAAGACTTAAATGTAAAACCCAAAACTATGAAAACCCTGGAAGACAACCTAAGCAATACCATTCAGGACATAGGCCCTGGCAAAGATTTCATGAAAAGGATGCTGAAAGCAATTGCAACAGAAGCAAAAATTGACACAAAGGGTATCATTAAACTAAAGAGCTTCTGCACAGTGAAAGAAAGTATTAACAGAGTAAACAGACAACCTACAGGAAGGGAGAAAATTTTGCAAACTATGCATCTGATAAAGGTCTAGTATCCAGCATCTATATGGAAATTAAACAAACTTACAAGAAAAAAAACAATCTCATTAAAAAGTGGGCAAAGAACATGAACAGGCACTTTTCAAAATAAGACATACATGTGGTCAACAATCATATGAAAAAAAGCTCAATATCATTGATCTTTAGAGAAATACAAATCAAAACCACAATGAGATTCCATCTCACACCAGTTAGAATGACTATTATTAAAAAGAAAAAATAACAGATGCTGGGAGGTTGTGGAGAAAGAGGAATGCTTATACACTGTTGGTGGGAGTGTAAATTAGTTCAGTCATTGTGGAAGACAGTGTGGTGACTCCTCAAAGCCCTAAAAACAGAAATATCATTTGACCCAGCAACCCTATTACTGGGCATAAACCCAAAGGAATATAAATTATTCTATTATAAAGACACATGCATGCATGTGTTCATTGCAACACTCTTCACAATAGCAAAGACAGAATCAACTTAAATTCCCATCAGTGATAGACTGGATAAAGAAATGTGGCACATATGCAACATGGAATACTATGCAGTCATAAAAAGAATGAGACTGTGGCCTTTGCAAGGACATGGATGGAGCTGAAGGGCGTTATCCTTAACAAATTAATGGAGGAACAGAAAACCAAATACCCCATGTTCTCATCTATAAGTGGGAGCTAAATGATGAGAACACAGGGATGCATAGATGGGAACAACACACTGGAGCCCTTTGGACGGTGTAGGGTGGGAGGAGGGAAAGGATCAGGAAAAATAACTATTGGCCTAATACCTGGGTGATGAAATAATCTGTACAACAAACCCCCATGACTCATGTTTACCTATGTAATAAACCTTCATATGTATCCCTGAACTTAAAATAAAAGTTAAAAAATATGCTGAAGATAGGCCCCTAATCTCTTCTGGCTTGTAGCATTTCTACTGAAAGGTCCTCATTAGCCTGACGGGGTTTCCTTTGTAGGTGTCCTGCCCCTACTCTCTTTCTGCAGCTAATATTTTTTCTTCTGCTTTGACCTTGGAGAACTTGATGACCACGTGTCTTGGGGATGTTTGTCTTGTATGTTATCTCACAGGGATTCTCTGAATTTCCTGAATTTGCATGTTGACCTCTCTAGCGAGGTTGGAGATATTTTTGTGGACAATATGCTCAAATAAGTTTTCCAAATTGCTTGCTCTCTCTTCCTTTTTTTCAGGGACTCCAGTGAGTCATAGATTTGGTCTGTTTACATAATCCCATATTTGTTAGAGGTTTTTTTTTTTTTTTTTGTCTGTCTGACTTGATTCAAAGAAGCCATAATCAAGTTCTGAGATTATTTCCTCAAGTTGGTCTATTTTGCTGGTAATACTTCCAATTGTATTATGAAATTCTTTTTTTTTAGTTCCTAAAGGCTTTTAAAAAAATTTAAAAAATATATTTTGTGTATAATAAGTTATTAATTGGTGATTTCTGTGATCTGGGGGCACCCATCACCCAGACAGTGTGCATTCTACCCAATGTGTAGTCTTTTATCCCTCACCCCCTCCCACCCTTTCCACTAAGTTCCAATGTCCATGATATCATTCTTATGCTTTTGCATCCTCATAGCTTAGCTCCCACTTATGAGTGAGAACATACGTTTGGTTTTCCATTCCTGAGTTACTTCACTAGAATAATGGTCTCCAATTCCATCCAGATTGCTGTGAATGCCATTATTTAATTCCTTTTTATGGCTGAGTAGTATTCCATGGTGTATATATACATTTTCTTTATTCACTCATTGATTGATGTGCATTTGGACTGGTTCCATGTTTTTGCAATTGCAAATCGTGCTGCTATAAACATGCGTTTGCAAGTATCTTTTTCACATAATGACTTCTTTTCCTGTGGGTAGATACCAGGAGTAGGACTGCTCAATCAAATGGTAGATCTACTTTTAGTTAAGGAATCCTCATGCTGTTTTCCATAGTGGTTGTACTAGTTTACATTCATACAAACAGTGTAAAAGTGTTCCATTTTCACCACATCCATGCCAACATCTATTATTTTGTGATTTCTTGATTATGGCTATTCTTGCAAAAGCAGGGTAGTATCACATTTTGGTTTTGATTTGCATTTCTCTGATCATTAGTAATGTTGAGCATTTTTTTCATATGCTTGTTGGCCATTTGTATATCTTCTTTTGAGAATTGTCTATGTTTTTAGTACAATTTCTCATGGGATTGTTTGCTTTTTTCTTGCTGTTTTGTTTGAGTTCCATGTAGATTCTGGATATTAGTCCTTTGTCAGATGTATACATTGCAAAGATTTTATCCCATTCTGTGAGTTATCTGTTTACTCTGCTGATTATTTCTTTTGCTGTGCCAAATCTTTTTAGTTTAATTTAATCCCATCTATTTATTTTTGTTTTTGTTGCATCTGCTTTTGGGTTCTTGGTCATGAAGTCTTTGCCTGAGCCAATGTCTAGAAGGGGTTTTTTTCAATGTTATCTTCTAGAATTTTTATGGTTCAAGTCTTAAATTTAACTCTTTTAACCATCTTGAGTTGATTTTTGCATAAGGTGAGAGATGAGGATCTAGTTTCATTCTTCTACACGTGGCTTGCCAACCATCCCAGTACCATTTGCTGAATAGGGTGTCCTTTTCCCACGTTATGTTTTTGTTGTTTTGTCAAAAATCAGTTGACTTAAAGTATTTGGCTTTATTTCTGGGTTCCCCGTTCTGTTCCATTGGTCTATATTCCTGTTTTTTGTTTTTTGTTTTTTTTTTTTACCAGTATCATCCTGTTTTGGTGACTATGACTTTATAGTGTAGTTTGAAGTCAGATAATGTAATGCCTCAAGATTTGTTCTTTTTGCTTTGTTTTGCTTTGGCAATGTGGGCTCTTTTTTGGTTATATATGAATTTTAGGATTTTATTCCTAGTTACATGAAGAATGATAGTGGTATTTTGATGGGAATTGCATTGAATTTTTAGATTGCTTTTGGCAGTATGGTCATTTTCCCAATATTGATTCTACCCATCATGAGCATGGGATGTGTTTCCATTTGTTTGTGTCATCTATGATAATTTTTAGCAGTGTTTTATAGTTTTCCTTGTGAGATTTTTCACCTCCTTGGTTAAGTATATTCCTAAATATTTTATTTTATTTTTGCAGCTAATTGTAAAAGGATTTGAGTTCTTGATTTGATTCTAGCTTGGTTGCTGTTGGTGTATAGCAGGGCTACTGATTTTTGTTTATTATTCTGTATCCTGAACTTTACTGAATTCATTTGCCACTTCTAGGAGCTTTTTGGATGAGTCATTAGGTTTTTCTAGGTATACGAACATATCTTGTGCAATCACCAACAGTTTGACTTCCTCTTTACAGATTTGGATACCCTTTATATATTTTTTCTCTTGTCTGATTGCTCTGGCTAGGACTTCCAGTACTATGTTGAATAGAAGTGGCGGAGGTGGGCATTCTTGTCTTGTTCCAGTTCTCAGAAGGAATGCTTTCAACTTTTCCCCATTCAGTATAATGTTTGTTGTGGGTTTGTTATAGATGGCTTTTATTACCTTAAGGTATGTTCCTTCTACGCTGATTTTGCTGAGGGTTTTAATTATAAAGTGATGCTGGAATTTGTCAAATGCTTTTTCTGCATCTATTGAGATGATCATGTACTTTTTGTTTTTAATTCTGTTTATGTGGTGTATCACATTTACTAACTTGTGTATGATAAACCATCCCTGCTTCCCTGGTATGAAACCCACTTCATCATGTTGTATTATACTTTTGATATGTTGCTGGATTCGGTTATCTGGTATTTTGTTGAGAATTTTTGCATCTATGTTCATCAGGGATATTGGTCTGTAGTTTTCTTTATTTGTTATGTCCTTTCCTGGTTTTGGTATTAGGGTGATACTGGCTTCACAGAATAATTTAGGGAGGAGTCCCTCTTTACCTTTTGGAATAGTCTCAATAGGATTGGTACCAATTCTTTGAATGTCTGATAGAATTCTGCTGTGAATCCATCTGGTTCTGGACTTTTTTTGTTGTTGTTAACTTTTTAATTATCATTTCAATCTCACTGTTATTGGTCTGTTCAGAGTTTCTATTTCTTCCTGATTTAATCTAGGAGGGCTGTATTCTTCCAGGAATCTATCCATTTCCTCTAGGTTTTCTAGTTTATGTACATAAAGGTGTCCATAGTAGCCTTAAATGACCTTTTGTATTTCTGTGGTATTGGTTGTAATACTTTCCATTTCATTTCCAGTTGAGCTTATTTGGGTTTTCTCTCCCCTTTTCTTAGTAAATCTTGCTTATGGTTTCTTAATTTTATTTATCTTTTCAAAGAACCAAGTTTTTGTTTCATTTGTCTTTTGTATTTTTTAAAAAATTTCATTTAGTTCTACTCTGATCTGTCTTCTTCTGTGCTGGATTTGGGCTTGGTTTTTTCTTGCTACTCTTATTCCCTGAGGCTTGACCTTAGATTGTCTATTTGTGCTCTTTCAGACTTTCTGATGTTGGCATTCCATACTATAAACTTTCCTCATAGCACTGCTTTTGCTATATCCCAGAGGTTTTGATAGGTTGTGTCACTATTATCGTTCAGTTCAAAGAATTTTTAAATTTTCATCATGAGTATATTGTTGACCCAATGATCATTCAGGAGCAGGTTATTTTATTTCCATGTATTTGAATGGTTTTGAGGGTTCCTTTTGGAGTTGATTTCCAGTTTTATTCCACTGTGGTCTGAGACAGTACTTGATATAATTTCAATTTTCTTAAATTTGTTGAGACTTGTTCTGTGGCCTATCATATGGTCTATTTTAGAGAATGTTCCATGTGCTGGTGAATAGAATGCATATTCTGGAGTTGTTTGGTAGAATGTTCTGTAAATGTCTGTTAAGTCCATTTGTTGTAAGGTATAGTTAAGTCCACTGTTTCTTTGTTGACTTTCCATCTTGATGACCTGTCTAGTGCTGTTAGTGGAGTATTGAAGTCCCCCATTATTATTGTGTTGCCATCTATCTCATTTTTTAGGTCTAGTAGTAATTGTTTTATAAATTTGTGAACTCCAGTGTTAGGTGCATATGTATTTAGGATTGTGATATTTTCCTGTTGGACTAGTCATTTTATCATTATATAATGTCTGTCTTTGTCTTCTTTAACTGCTGTTCTGTTAATGTTTGTTTTGTCTCATATAAGAATAGCTATTCCTGATCACTTTGGTGTCTATTTGCAAGTAATATCTTTTTTCACCCCTTTACCTTAAGTTTATGTGAGTCCTTATGTCTGTGTCAGGTGAGTATCTTGAAAAGATATATGGTTGGTGAATTCTTATTCACTCTGCAATACTGTATCTTTTTTTTTTTTTTTTTTTTTTTTTTTTTTTTTTGAGACGAAGAGTCTCTCTCCATCACCAGGCTGGAGTGCAATGGCACAATCTCAGCTCACTGCAACCTCTGCCTCCTGGGTTCAAGCGATTCCCCTGCCTCAGCCTCCCGAGTAGCTGGGACTACAGGTGCATGTCACCACGCCCAGCTAATTTTTGTATTTTTGGTAGATACGGGGTTTCACCATGTTGGCCAGGATAGTCTTTATCTCTTGACCTCGTGATCCATCTACCTCGGCCTCCCAAAGTGCTGGGATTACAGGCGTGAGCCACTGTGCCTGGCCTATTCTACATATTTTAAGTGGAGTATTTAGGCTATTTATATTCAACATTAATATTGATATGTGAGGTACTGTTCTATTCATCATGTTATTTGTTGCCTGAATTTTTTTCATTGTGTTATTGTTTTATAGGTCCTGTGAGATGTATGCTATAAGGAGATTCTATTTTGATTTATTTTGAGGATTTGTTTCAAGATTTGGAGCTTTTTTTTTTTTTTTTAGCAGTTTTTGTGCTGCCTTGGTAGTGGCAAATTCTCTCAGCATTTGTTTGTCTGAAAAAGACTATCTTTCCTTTCATTGGATACAAATTTCTTGGCTGATAATTGTTTTGTTTAAGGAGGCTAAATATAGGACCCCAATCTCTTCTAGCTTGTAGGGTTTCTGCTGAGAAATCTGTTGTTAATTTGATATTTTTTTAACAGGTTACCTGATGCTTTTGCCTCACAGCTCTTAAGATTCTTTCCTTCATCTTCACTTTAGATAACTTGACGACTATGTGCTGAAGTGATGATCTTTTTGCAATGAATTTCCCGGATGTTCTTTGTGCTTATTATATTTGGATGTCTAGATCTCTAGCAAGGCTGGGGAAATTTTTCTTGATTATTTCCTCAAATATGTTTTCCAAACTTTTATATTTCTCTGCTTTGGGAACACCAATTATTCCTAAGTTTGGTAGTTTAACATGATCCCAAACTTCTTGAAGTTTATGTTCATTTTCCAACAATTCTTTTTTCTTTGTCTTTGTTAGATTGTTTAATTCAAAAACCTTGTCTCTGAGCTCTGAAGTTCTTCTTTCTTCTTGTTTGATTCTGTTGCTCATACCTTCCAGTGCATTTCGCATTTCTCTAAGTGTATCCTTCACTTCCAGAAGTCGTGATTGTTATTTATTCATGCAATCTGTTTCACTGGGGATTTTTTCATTCATATCTAGCATCATTTTTTTGATGTCTTTAAGTTGATCTTTACCTTTTGCTGGTGCTCCCTTGATTAGCTTAATAATTGACCTGAATTCTGTTTCTGGCAATTCAGAGATTTCATCTCGATTTGGATCCACCGCTGGTGAGCTAGTGCGATCTTTTGGGGGTGTTAAAGAAACTTGTTTTGTCATGTTACCACAGTTGTTTTTCTGATTCCTTCTCATTTGGGTAGACAATGTCAGAGGGAAGATCTGGAGCTCAAGGGCTGCTGTTCAGATTCTTTTGTCCCATAGAGTGATCGCTTTATTTAATACTCTCTGCCTTCCCCTAGGGATGGGGCTTCCTCACAGCCAAACTGCAGTGAATTTTTTTTTTCTAATTATACTTTAAGTTTTAGGGTACATGTGCAAAACGTACAGGTTAGTTACATACGTATACATGTGCCATGTTGGTGTGCTGCATCCATTAACTCGTCATTTAACATTAGGTATATCTCCTAATGCTATCCCTCCCCCCTCCCCACACCCCACAACGGGACCCAGTGTGTGATGTTCCCCTTCCTGGGTCCATATGTTCTCATTGTTCAATTCCCACCTGTGAGTGAGAACATGTGGTGTTTGGTTTTTTTGTCTTTGTGATAGTTTGCTGAGAATGATGGTTTCCAGCTTCATCCATGTCCCTACAAAGGACATGAACTCATCGTTGTTTATGGCTGCATAGTATTCCATGGTGTGTATATGCCACATTTTCTTAATCCAATCTATTATTGTTGGACATTTGGCTTGGTTCCAAGTCTTTGCTATTGTGAATAGTGCCGCAGTAAACATACGTGTGCATGTGTCTTTATAGCAGCATGATTTATAATCCTTTGGGTATATACCCAGTAATGGGATGGCTGGGTCAAATGGTATTTCTAGTTCTAGATCCTTGAGGAATTGCCACACTGACTTCCACAGTGGTTGAACTAGTTTACAGTCCCACAAACAGTGTAAAAGTGTTCCTATTTCTCCACATCCTCTCCAGCACCTGTTGTTTCCTGACTTTTTAATGATCGCCATTCTTACTGGTGTGAGATGGTATCTCATTGTGGTTTTGATTTGCATTTCTCTGATGGCCAGTGATGATGAGCATTTTTTCATGTGTTTTTTGTCTGCATAAATGTCTTCTTTTGTGTCTGTTCATATCCTTCATCCACTTTTTGATGGGGTTGTTTTTTTTTTCTTGTAAATTTGTTGGAGTTCATTGTAGATTCTGGATATTAGCCCTTTGTCAGATGAGTAGATTGCAAAAAGTTTCTCCCATTTTGTAGATTGCCTGTTCACTCTGATGGTAGTTTCTGTTGCTGTGCAGAAGCTCTTTAGTTTAATGAGATCCCATTTGTCAATTTTGGCTTTTGTTGCCATTGCTTTTGGTGTTTTAGACATGAAGTCCTTGCCCATGCCTATGTCCTGAATGGTATTGCCTAGGTTTTCTTCTAGGATTTTTATGGTTTCAGATCTAACATTTAAGTCTTTAATCCATCTTGAATTAATTTTTTGTAAGGTGTAAGGAAGGGATCCAGTACTTCTCTTCTGGATCCAGCCACCCAGTGGTGCTACCAGGCTCCAGGCTGACACTGGGGAGTGGCTGCAAACAGTTCTGTCATGTGATCTATCTTCAGGTCTCTCAGCCATAGATACCAGCACCTGCTCTGGTAGAGGTGGCAGGAGAGTAAGGACTCTGTGAGAGTCTTTGGTTGTATTTTTGTTCAGTGTGATGGTTTTGTATTGGTTGGCTTCCAGCATGGAGTAACGCTTTTAAGAGCACTTCAGCTGCAGTAGTATAGGGAGGATACAAGCTTGCCCTAGGGTCAGGCAGTGGGTGGGGCCATAGAGCTCCGAAGAGATTATGTCCTTTGCCTTTGGCTACCAGGGCAGGTAGAAAAAGACCATCAGTTGGGGGCAGGATTAGACTTGGGCAGGGCTTACTGCGGCTTCTGTGGGGGATGGGGGTGTGTTTCCAAGGCCAATGGAGTTATGTTCCCAGCAGGATTATGGTTGCCTCTGCTCTGTCACACAGGTTGCCAGGGAAGTGGGGGAAAACCAGCAGCCACAGGCCTTAATCAGCTCCCACACAGCCTGCAACCGAAAGGCAGGTCTCACTTTCACCATGCCCTCTTAACAGCACTGAGTTATTTCCAGGCAGCCGGTAGCAGGGCTGAGAACTTGCCCCAGGTTACAAGCCTCCCAGCTTAGAAAGAGAGCAGACTCACAGTTCCTTGGCTTGTCCCATGGAGCCTGCAGTGGCAATCCATCCCTTTAAAGGGTCTGTGGATTCTCTCAGCTTCCCTGATATGTTCCTATGGTAGTTCTTCGAGCAAAAGTTCACGATGTGAGTCTCCACACGCTGCTGTGTCCATTTGAGTGGGAGCTGCAAGTTACTCCTGCCTCCTATCTGCCATTTTTTTTCCTTTTTCCTCTGTATTATGAAATTTTTATAGTGAGTTATTCAGCTCTATCAGATCAGTTTGTTTCTTTCTTAAAATGGCTATTTTGTCTTTCAGCTGTTGTATCAGTTTATGGGATTGCTTAGATTTCTCGAATTGGTTTTCAACTTTCTTTATGGCTACGCAAATTCTGAATTCTATGTTTGTCATTGCAGATATTTCAGTCTGGTTAAGGACCATTGCTGGGAAGCTAGTGTGGTTATTTCGAGGTAAGGAGACACCCTAGCTTTTTGAGTTGCCAGAGTTCTTGCACTGTGTTGATCTGATTTTTAAAACACTGATGGCATGAGCAATATCCACTTCTTTTAACTTTCTACACCATGTTGTACTCTGCAATTTCTCAGTTGATTAATGATAATAATATTAATGTTACATTCATTAAGAAGTTAGTATTTTGTCAGGCACTCTACTAAGTACCTTAGTGATATCTTCCTCAGAACCTTATTCTCATCTTTATGTTAGAGGTGAGAAAACCGAGAAGTAAAAAATTAATGAGTTTGATTAATGTCACCTATTTAGTAAGTTGCAGATCTCGGACTGTAACCCAAACTGTTTGGTTCTAAACCCTTCTGAATAACAATCTTATTGTATTGCTTATTAAATAGTAGATTAGCAGAGCACTAAATTGTCTTTCAATACCTACGAAAACTTTGAATTTCCTATAGACGTCTACTGCCCCTAGTAAACATTTTCATGCCCAAAGGCTAAGCAATAACATAACTTTGAAGACCTTTATGATATTTAGTTTCAATTTCTCAGGGTGCATCTTAATTGCTTTACGTTTGAACACTGGGTTTAATTAAACACACATGTAGACGTATACACACACCTCACAATATCTTTTATTCTTTGCTTAGTAAAACAGCACATATTAACTTCAAATTAGAGATTATCCATGTTTATTAAAATGTAAAATAATTACCAAAGTGTGATGCTATTTTAAAAATAAATATTTGGTGTTATTTTATCAACATGTATAGTTTATTAACTGTTTACTTTCAGACCTTGCAATAAAACTGTTCCAAATCTGTCTCTTGGGAACTGTTTAGTTGGCTTATTATATATTCCTTAAATTTATAGCTTTCATCCAGGTCTGTTTTCAATGTTCACAACTTGAAAAAATTTAACTAGGATGTAACTGCTTTGCAGATGACTTCATCAATACAGTCTTCCCTCCATAGACTACTGTAATTTAGGATCTGTCAGAGGGTTATTTAATGAGCCCCTCCTATTTGCAGTATTTATAACCTACTAGGATAACTACATCAATTTCTGAGATGCTGAAGAAGATTGTAGAATTTATTTTGTTGTAAATCTATGATGCTTTGCAGGTGTGCTTTGCAATATTTTTTTTCCTGAGTTAAAAGAAATTGTACTCAGTTATTTTTAAAAATCAGCTTTGAGATTAACAATTAGATATCAAAATTATTCTAAAAGTATATTTAAAACATACTTATATTTGTACATCAGATTTGCTTATGCTCACTTTTATAGCCAGCAAATAGTTCCCCCAAAGACTAAACCAATTTAGGTCAATTTGGTAAAAAAAAAAAATTATGGATTTACTTTTGGCAAATTTCTCTAAAATTAGCTCGCTTCATAAATCATATGCCAAATGGATTTCAACATGTTTTTGTTTAAAGCATTTAATATTCTCCCAATGCAAAGAGAAAATCCCAAGCCTGTTAAAGTTTTTCAGTGAAATTTTATTGGGTTTCTTCGTTGTATCATTAAAATCAATTTTATCAAGAGTTTCTTCCTTCTCCAGTCATCTTAGATTTGTAGAAATTGGTGCTGAAGACTTGTATTACAAATAGCTTATCTTTTATAAACTAAATTATAGTGTTAGCATAATAACTAAAAAAATTCTTAGTTTCATGGGAGGTAAATAATTTAATGATTTTATAAAAATTTTGAAGGAATGAAGGTTAGCTACTTCCCCACCATTCCCTTCCAAGTATAACAAAAGAAAGTTTTAGACAAAAATCTGCAATATGTACAGACAGTAATTAAACTAACAATTATTAGTAAGCAGGCAAAAAATAGTTTGCTCAACCTGCTTTATAAGCTTGATGAAGTTCCAGCTTTCTATTCTTTCTGGAGATCTACTACCTTTTTAAAGCATCTTCAATCTTGCATGAAAGATCACTCAAGGGATATGCAACACATTTCAGAAGAAGAATTCTGCTACCCTGAGAGTATCAGGCCAAGAGAAATCCTACTAAACTAATGGTTGCATACAGGGCTATTTTGGGATTAAACCTCAACACTGTTACTAAGGAGAAAGGGGAAAGACTTTGTAGGATTCTTATATCCTGTACATAAAAGTATAGGGAATTGTCTCTAAAATAGTTTTAGCCAATTCACTTTACTTGAATAGCTTCTGATTTAACTTGTGAAAGCTAATATCTAACAGGTATTCTGCTAATAAGAAAGTCATTAATTTTATCAATAGAAACATATTTTTGACATATGGTATTCAAATTACAAAGCTCTGTTATCAAGTAAGATGTGAATAAGAGAAGGTGGATTATTATTCAGCAAGAGGTGAAAAAGAGAATGCGTATTATTATCAAGCAAGATGTGAATTACGTACATATATAATGTATATCACATTGAACTGTCTATGGTGAGGTATTTGTGTAAATTACAGATATCACAAAAGCTCAGATTAGGAGGAAGCAAAGAAAATTGGAGGTATGTCTTCAAAATTCCTTACTCCAAATTCCATGTGTGGCTTTACATTTAATTAACAAAACTTCTTGTGTTTTAAAAATATAATCTTTGTTCCAATATAAAATATAGTTAAAGCTTTATTTATAGAGAAAGCCATCTACCTTTCAATTTTCAGTTTTCCCTGTCACTGTCAGGGCACTTTTGCTCTCATGACCAGAACTCATTTGTGGTTCTGACTTGTTAGTGTCACAGGTCAGTATTCCCAGAATGAGACTCTGAGATAGATTTAGGGGTGTCAAGTTTCACTGGAGAGTAATCCTATAAAAGGAAAAGTATGAAAACAGAATTTCAATCTGACAGCCTGGGAAAGAGCTCTGGAGTAAAGAAGTCCTATTAGAGAAGTCAGTATTGAGTAGAAATAGCTAGGCACTGGTATCATTGCCTATTCATTGACTTGAATGAATTGGCTACCCCAAGTAGTGTATGTCCTCATCTACTGCTATGTAATTGATCAGGAAGTATCCTGAGACTAGCATAACCTGGGCTAGAGAATGAGGTGGACTCTGCCAAATCTAACTGCTGGAAGCTGTCGGCCACATTCTTCACAGCTGGGCAGCAATTCCTTTGCTTCAAAAACATATTTTCTTTCAAAAACATATTGAAGTATGTTTTGAGTGTTACATCTCCGTGTTTGCCACAGTGCATGCTTTGTGCTGTGCTGATCCTCTTCTCTATACTCATTTGGGGAGAAGCTTCTTCAGTGCTGTGGTGGGCCTCTCTTGCTAAGGGTAAACTTAAAAGAAGTTAGTGCTATATTGCACGTATAAAAGTTTAGTGCTATTAGGTTTGTGCAAAAGTAATTGCAGTTTTTGTCATCTATTGCGTGGTATAGTAAGACCCTGATGGGTGGGAAAGGCAAATATATGTTGGTAATAGGTGCTTATTCTCATGAGCATGAACCCTTGTCCCTTTTAAGACAAAAGAGATCAAATGTAATTAATTTACCACTAGTGGCGAGTAGAATATCTTGAGGAATAATGATATACCAGGGGTGCACGTTGGTTACTAGAAAGTTGCACTTTCAGAGGTGGCAGAGCTAGATCAACCCTGCTAAGCAGGAGCCATAGTTACCAGGCACATGCATAGCCTTCATCACTACCATGGTGACCAGCTGGTTCATGTGCTCATTGTATCAGTACTGAGGCGGTTGTTGACAATGGCTGGCTATTATCAGTTGGCCAAGACATTTTGTCTACTTGAGTGTTTAGTGCCTCTTCCATTATAAGTAATTTATGGTTACCATTAATGTGTGATACAAAGAACTGTCCCCTTTGTGGCCTCTTCTTATGCTCACCCACATGCCTCTACTCTAGAGCTTCTTGCCTCTGATATTACAAGCTTTCTTCCTCCAGGCCCCTGACAAGTTGGCCAGGTCAATTGCTGCTTCCCGTGTGCCTATGTATATTCTAAACATACTTTGTTCAATAACATAGCCACTAATCACATAAGGCAATTGAACACTTGAAATGTGATGTTCCAAATTGAAATGTATTGTAGTTGTAAAATACAAACCAGATACATAAAACCTATCATGAAACAATGTAAAATATTTTATTAATTTTAAAGTAGTTATTATAGGTTAAATGATAATGTTTTAGGTATATTGAGTTAAATACTTCCTTTAAAATGTAGTTACTAGAAAAGTAAAGCTCATATATGGGGTTTGCATTTGTGGCTCACACAAGATTTTTTATTAGACAGCTTTGTTGTATACAAACAAAGCAGATGGCCAGTTTCACTACCTTTGCCAATGTCTTTCAAGACAGCTTTTGAGTAGGGCTGTGATACAGCTTGTAACAGTTTTGGTTTTTATAGTTACTCAACATATCCATCCATAATGCAAACTCATACCTTTTTAAGCTCTTTAAGGTGATTGCATAGGATTTTCCATTTATCTATTACTGTGCAGTAAGAACGAGGCATTGATGCAAGTGTGATGGGTGACATGTGAGACTGAGCTTCTGCAGCTTCCTTATGCCTGCTTGGCTTGCTCATGCTTGGTCCTGGATGTATTATTTTCATGTTGAGATAGATTATGCTAGGCTTGCCTGACTTTATGACTTGGTGTAGGATAAACACATGTAAAAGCAATAACAAATACACCTTTGGAATTACCCTGAATGGCAGATACACCCGAATGTGTGTTCTGAGCTATGGAATCTGGGAATGGCCAATCCTGAAACAAATTCCTTGTCTATGAGTGACATCTGAGCCCCTATCCTATCTAATGGAACAAGGGTCATACAGGGGATTGAGGCCATGAGTTTTGGATTGGATGAAGGTTGCCAGGTGGAGGTCATTAAGGGGAGGGTGTTAAGTGAAAATGCTATATAAGCAGCATGCTGTTTGCAAGTGGTTGCGGTTTTCCTGCCTAGCCTCCCACCACTGGGCCATGTGGTTATCTTGTCCAGCCCGCTGCCACTGAACTGTATGTAGGGCAGATATGTTGTCCAGCCCACTGCCACTGGACAACATGTAAGGTGGATATGTTGTCCAGCACCCCCATCACAGGACTCTCCCCATGGTATGGAA
Source organism: Homo sapiens (assembly GCF_000001405.40). Classification (NCBI taxonomy): domain Eukaryota; kingdom Metazoa; phylum Chordata; class Mammalia; order Primates; family Hominidae; genus Homo; species Homo sapiens. The sequence goes on from NC_000005.10 coordinate 44,189,598, forward strand.
GCCCTTAATAAAATTCTACATCTCATTTGCTGGCTCTGGGTCTTTTCTTCAGCCTCTTGAAATTGGTGCCTTCCCTATTGAGGGTAATAAGGATTCAGCACAACACTTAGTAGTTCAACAGCATTGTCCAGCTGCAGTTCCAGCTGCATTGTCACTTGGTCTCCATATGTTCTAGCATTCCATCATTACCAGGGCCAGTAGCATGCCAGAGGCTGTTTTCCTAATAGTGTATAACTCTCCACTGCAGATGTTATGGCCTTGCTCCAAAATCCCAGGAGCCTGCTTTGTGATTCTCTCAATGGTGCTTGCCATAAAACAGATATTGCATTTTTTTTTTTCTAGTACTAATGCCTCCAGTACCATAGGGTCTGCTGGATAGAATGGTCCAAGTGGCAACACTACTTTCATTGCAGTGCAGGCCTTCTGCAGAGTCTTCTCCTGCTATAGTCTCCACTCAAAGCTAGTAGCCTTCCATGACAATCATATATGAGCTGGAATAGTATTTCTAAGCCTCCAGAACACAAAGAAGCCTTCCAGGCACTGTGCTTCCTTCTTCATGATAGGAAATGTAATATGAAGCAAGTATGTCTTCTGCTTTGGAGGGGACCACTGGCACCACTGACCAGTGGACCCTAAAAACTATTGAAATGATACAGACTTAAATCTTCATAGGGATTATCTTTACCCTCTGGAATACATGAATCTCACCAGGGTCTCCAACATGTGAATGACCTTTTGTCTGTACTTATTGACTAACATGATGTTATTGATATAATGGATCCATATGATGTTTTGTGGAATGTCTACCGGATCCAGATCTCTTTGGATAAAATTAGGACAGAGGATAAGATAGGCCACACTGTAAATAAAAATTCTTTTGTATTACCTATGTATACAATCAGTTTCTGATACTTTATCTGATTTTGAGGAGGGAAGTAAGGCATTCATTAGATTAGGGGCCATATACCATGTACCTGAGGCCAATTAACCTGCTGTAGCAACAAAACCATGTGTGCTTTTGTTGTGATCAGTTGTGATCAGGGTTAACTTTTATTTGGTTGAGCTTATGATACACAGTTATTCTCCATTATCCATATAGTTTCTGAAGGGTCTAGACAAGTGAATCAAATAGGAATATGACTACTACCCTGCATCGTTTAGATTTTTAAAGGTGGCACAAATGTTGCTTTTGTTTTACTGTTTAGATTCAAATGTGTGAGTGGACACTTTCAAAGGATTCTACTTGGAATTATACACAAGAACGACTGTTATCCTAAAGGCTAAGGACCCAATGGGCCCTTATATGTCAGTAATCATTATATATTAAAGGATTGGAGAAATGACCCCTGGGTGAGTCTGTGGACCCAGTGGACCCACTGTATGTCAGACTTTGGCCAGAATCTTATTTTTAATCTAGCTTCCAAATTCCCCCACTCTACCAGATGCATAATACTGACATTTTTGGTCTTCAGGTATCATAGCCATCTTGGACTCTATACCAAAAGTTTTCCAATATCAGGGTATTCCCTTTGACTCAGTATACAATCCCACAAATAATGACTGCAGGTCCCTTGAGGAAGAACTGGGAAAATTATTACAGTGTTTATATTTACTTGCCATGTTGTTACAGGGCACTTTCCCCTGGGGAACTAGAAATTTTTAGTCAATAGATCATGGGCCTGAAAACTAGCTCAGATCCAGAAATGAAGCAAAAAGTTATAAATTTTAATTGGGGAAACTGCTCATTCATTCTTGGCTTCTTTAGATTGTATATGTAGTTCCTTTGTTGGATTTCCATTTATTTTGCTTCTAGAATGCTGTGATCTCTATTACTCTCTACAGGTGAGGCTCACTTAGCTGCCACTCAGATTTGTTGATCCTTACCATAATTATAATCCAGTAACATCTAGTGATTGAGGACACCATCTGCTATTATTTTGGGATTCTATCAACCTCATGCCTATCAATGAGCCAAGTTTTACACAGCCTTGCCCATTATTATTCTGGCTTACAGAGGACAGCCATCACTGAACTTCTTAGTGATGTTGTTGCCCCCTCTCCAGTGCATTCCTGGTGGCCCCGGTGAGTGGTGTAACTTCTAAATTATGGTTCCTCCTGTGGAATGTAATACTCTGGTGGGTCTTTGGCCTTATGTAATACTTCTACTCCAGAATGCTCACCTCTCTGAGCCTTTTTATTCCTTCTGTCTTCATAGTAATTCTGCAACTTAAACTTACTTAGCATGAGCTATTGCTTTTTACAGGCTAGCAGACACCCTGGCAGAGAGCTTGCACCACCCTCTGAGATTCTTATTAGGGTGGTAAATTCTCCAATCCAAGAGAAAACCAAGTCAATAAAGTCTCTTATACATTCTAACATTCTAGCCTCCTTAATTTGACATTTTGAAAATCTAGTATGATGGAACATGCTTGCTAGAACTTGCAGCTGGTTTGGAGCATAGTCTTTTTCTTCCTTCATCAGACCTAGCACTTACCTGGATGGATTATGTTCCTATGTAACTCTCATTAAGGGCCTGTTAGCCAGAAGAGCCAGGAAGTCTTTAAAGGAGCACATTTTTCCTTGTGAGGGGAAAGTCTTCTGAATTGTCTTCTCAGATGGGGCAAGAGCTGGCTCTTAATGGGGACTGGCGGCCCAATTGCACAAGTTGTGAAGGTTCAGATAAATCTTGGGAATCAAATCTTTGGGGATAGCCACCAAACATTCCCATTCCATGTGTCAGATTACTAGGTTTTCCAGACATACATTGATTAAGCATTCAACCATCTTCAGAATTTGGCGACTGTAATTCTCAAATCTTGGACTTGATTTTCAGTTTTTCTCTGCTGGCATACTTCATGAGATGAGGGCTTCTTTGCAAGCATCAGAAAATTCTATGTGTCTTCTTATGCTCTCAGCTTTGCAATATCAAATCTGTAACTTAGTAACAACCATCCAATCCTAATATTCATGTATTTGTTATTTTCTTCATGTATTTCTAACCCTGGGTTATGACATCTTGATACTGAATTCCCTGCCATAGGCAGGACATCCAAGCTCACCATCAATAAACATTTAACAAGTGTATGGCCATATTGTACAAGGGGTCAATTGAACATGACCTGCCATTGGACATAAGAGCTTCACTGTTGTCTGCAATATTATTGAGTCCACAAATTCCATTTTACCAGGTGATGTTTTGGATTACTCTTGGTGTCAACTGTCATAATTTGGGTTCTCCAAAAAGCAGACTCTGAGATGGAGCTGGAAATGGGAAAAAAAATACTGGGGAGTAACACCTGTGAAAGAAATAGGGCACAAATAACATTCCACAAGGGCACTCATCAGCCTCAATACCCACCTGAGAAACTGTCTGCCAGTCCAAAGTTATACTTTCTGATTAAGCCTAGTTTATCTATTTTTTCATTTGTGAGTTGTGCATTTGCTGTCACATCTAAGAAGATATTTCCAAACCCAAGATTATAAGTATTTCCTATGTTATCTTCCAAGAGTTTTATAAATTAACTTTTACATTTAAATATATGACCCATTAGACATTACTTTTGCCTATGATGTTATTAATTATGTCCAAATTAATGTTTTTGCATTCTCAGTACATTTTGTAGTTATTCGTAAGAACTTTAGGCAAGAAAGAAGGAAGAATTGGGTTGGTCTAAGGCCACCTGAAAACTGTCCTGCAATATGTCTACTTTAATTTCTTTCAGCAATGCTTCATAGTTTTCAGAGTATAAGTTTTGTGCTTCTTATAAGTGTCTTAAGTATTTTTTCTTTTTGATAGTATTGCAAGTAAAAGTGTTTTCTTATTTCATTTTTGAATTGTTCAATTTTTGTTGTTCAGATTGCTAGTGTTTTTTTCAGTCTGATGAACCCTTTTTGGTTGAAGTGTTACCATCTGATGGATCTCATTTCCTTACTCCAATAAGGTTTTCTCCTTTGCACTCCCCTTTTGCTGTTATTTTTAAATATGTTACATTTCTATGTTATAAATCAAAAAACACAGTTGTATAATACTGTTTTATTCAATTTATTTTAAGGTCAGTTAAAACAATAAAGAAAAAATATGTATTTATACTGTCTTATAATTTCATTCACTTACTTTCAGCATGTATAATTTTCTTTTGTACTTATAGTAAAGTTAGTCTGCTAGCAACAAATTCTCCATATTTTTGTTCATCTGGAAATGCCTTTATTTTGTCTTCCTTTATGAAAAGTAGTTTTACTTGATAAAAGATTCTTGGTTGACAGTTTGGTTTTCTTTCAGCACTTTGAATATTTCATTACACTGCCTTCTGGCCTCCATCGCTTCTGATGAGAATTTAGCTGTTACTCTTACTTTGCTTTACTTGTATGCTACAAGCTATAATTATATTGCTGCTTTCAATATTTTCTCCTTGTCTTTGGGTTGCAACATTTTTATTATAGTGTACTGAGTACGTATCTCTTTGCATCTATCTTAGATTTTGTTGAGCTTCTTGAATGTGAAGATTAAGTTTTAACATCAAACTTGGAAAGTTTTCTGCCACTATTTCCTTGAGCATATTTTCTTCTCTATTCTTCCTTCCCTCTCCTTCTGGTACTCTGCTTACACATGTGTTGGTATACTTAAAGATGTCCCACATTTCTTGTCACTCTGTTTATTTTTCATCATTCTTTTTTTATCCCTGTCCTTCAAATTGCCAAATCTATTGATCTATCTTAAGTTCATGGACTTTCCTTTTTTCATTTCAAATCTGTGGATCCTGTCTACTGAATTTTTATTGGAGCTATTGCACATTTTTCCTACAGAATTACCATGTGATTCTTTTTAAACTTTCTTTTTGACATTCCATATTTAATGAGACATTTCCATGATATCTTTCTTTACTTCTTTAAAAATTATTTCCTTTAGTTCTTTGAATTTATTCATAATGGCTTCTTTAAAATCTTATTTGTTAATTAACTCAAGCAGGATTAAAGCATTAAATGTAAAACCCCAAACTTAAAGACCCTGGAAGACAACCTAGGCAATACCATTCAGGACATAGGCAGGGGCAAAGATTTCATAATGAACTCACCAAAGGCAATTGCAACAAAAGCAAAACTTAACAAATGGGATCTCATTAAACTAAAGAGCTTCTGTACAGCAAAATAAACTATCAACAGAGTAAACAGGCAATCTACAGAATGGGACAAAAATTTTGCAAACTATGCATCCGACAAAGGTCTAATATCCAGCATCTATAAGTACCTTAAACAAATTTAAAGAAATAAACAACCCCATAAAAAAGTAGACAGAGGACATAAACAGACACTTCTCAAAAGAAGACATACGAGTGGCCAACAATCATGTGAAAAAAAAGCTCAATATCACTGATCTTTAGAGAAGTGCAGATCAACAGCACAGTGAGATTCCATCTCACACCAGTCAGAACGGCTATTACTAAAAAGTGAAAAAATAACATTCTGGTGAGGTTGTGAAGAAAAAGGAACACTTATACACTATTGGTGGGAGTGTAAATTAGTTCAACCACTGGGGATGATAGTATGGTGATTCCTCAAAGACCTAAAAACAGAAATACCATTCAACATAGGAATTCCATTACTGGGTATATACCCAAAGGAATATAAATCATCCTATTAAAAATACATGTGCACATATATGTTCATTGCAACACTCATCAAAATAGCAAAGACATGGAATCAACTTAATGCTCATCAATGGTAGACTGGATCAGGAAAATGTGGTACATATTCACCACGGAATGCTATGCAGCCATAAAAAAAAATGAGATTTGGTCCTTTGCAGGGACATGGATGGAGCTGGAGACCATTATCCTTAGCAAACTAATGGAGGAACAGAAAACCAAATACCACATGTTCTCACTTGTAAGTGGGAGCTAAATGATGAGAACACATGAACACACAGAGGGGACCAACACACACTGGGGCCTATTGAAGGGTGGAGGGTGGGAGGAGGGAAAGAATCAGGAAAAATAACTAATGAGTACTAGGCTTAATACATGGGTGATGAAATAATCTGCACAACAAACCCCCATGACACAAGCTAACCTATGTAACAAACCTGCAAACAAACAAACTTGTATCTCTGAACTTAAAAGTTAAAAAACAGTCTTATTTGGCTGGGCGCAGTGGCTCACGCCTGTAATCTCGCACTTTGGGAATCTGAGGCGGGCAGATTTCCTGAGGTCAGGAGTTCGAGACCAGCCTGGCCAACATGGTGAAACCCCGTCTCTACTAAAAATACAAAAATTAGCCAGGCATGCTGGTGCATGCCTGTAGTCCCAGCTACTTGGGAGGCTAGGACAGGAGAATCGCTTGAACCTGGGAGGTGGAGGTTGCAGTAAGCTGAGATTGTGCCACTGCACTCCAGCCTGGGCAACGCAGTGAGACTCTGTCTCAAAAAAAAAAAAAAAAAGAAATAAAGAAAGAAAGAAAAAAAACAGTCTTATTTGTTAAACCAAACATCTGGTTGCTTTCAGGGGCAGTTTCTCTGGTTGCTTTCAGGGGCAGTTTCTATTGCTCGAGTTTTTCTTCACTGTGTATGGTCATTCTAACCTCAGCTTTGTTTTTTGCATGTCTTGTAATTTTTGTTGGAAACTCAATATTTTAGATAAGATATTATAATTAAAACAACTCTGTATGCTGATTCCCACCTTCCACTTCAGGTCTTCCTATTGTTATTCTTTGTTTATTTGTGCAGTTACTTGAATAAACCAGTGCAGTGAAGCCTTCTCCTTCCCCTCACTCACCCACTAAGTGTGAAGTCTCTGATGTTACTCCACAGAGTGTGCAATTTTAGGCATGCACACAGTCACTCTTGAATGACAGTGGTTTTAGCAAGCCTGTCTTTGTCTCTTTCCTTGATCTCTCTGTCAGTCTCTGTCTCTGGATCACTCTCAGATGTTGACAGCTAATTACTTCATTTTTAATTTTTTTGGACAATACCTGGGGGAATAAATTGTACCCAAGTCTGATCAAATTAAGTTGGGTCCTTTTGCAGGAATAGTTTTAGAGGACTGTGTTTGATATTTTTTTCTTACGCTAGAGAACTCTTCTTCACTATCTCCTCTCTGGTTCTCACTAGTAAACCAGCTGACCTATGGTTTAGCCTATTGCTTTCACGGAGCTACCATCCTAATCTTAATTGTGTACCACCTAAATGTCCATGTTTTTGGGAGCACTATTAGCTTGAACTTCCTCCCATTCTGTATTAAATAATGTTAGTTCCTTTGGGAAGTGCATCAGATCTCTTTGTTTTTGTACCTTGCCTCTCCTCTTTGGCAAAGTCTCTTAACTGCTACTCTGGATTAGGGATGAAGATAATGGCCCACTTCTCTCAGTAACAACCCTTTTTGCAAGCAGGATGCTGGGTGGATGCAGTCACCTTTTTGTCTTCCTAGCTTGCCTCTTCTGGTGTAAAACCTCTGTCCTATTAGCTAGCTGGAATGAGTACAATCTGGAACAGAGTATTCTCTGTTTGCCATGACTGAGGTAGAGCCTCCACCCTATGAGTGAGACCTCTGTGGGAGACAGGATCCCTCAACCTCTTGGCCACACTTGCTTTGAACTGTAGCATCTGAAGCACAAAGCTGCAGGCGGAAGGAGATAAGAAATTATGATGGTCTTCCCCTACTGGGACATCTTCTTTCCTGGGAGATGAAGAGAAAAGGAGCCCCATATTCTTGGCCAGATTTACATTGAGCAGGAATTCTGTCTTGTTGAGCTGAGAGAGGCAGAAAGGAGTGAATTATGGCTCAAGTGCACAGACTATCACTGCACAGACTATCACTGTTCTCATGGAGACTTGTTAGATATTTTTGAATAAATGTTTCTTCATTTGTTCAATAGTTTTGGACAATTTCAATTTTAATAAAAGCCTTAAATGGTTGTTGTTTTGTGATGGTTTTGCCAGGGAGAGGGTCTACAGAGCCCCTCATATCACTACTGAAGTGGATCATCCTTAGAACTTACCTAATGGAAACTCCATAAATACAACTTACATTTTCCATCTTTCTTGGTTCAAATATATGGTCTATAGTTTAAAAAATAAGAGTAAGGAAAAAATGTATATCCTCTAACTCAAAAGGTAACATTTTCCCTTGACTTGATTATCATGATTTAATATTTGCCCTATGGCATAAATATTTTATCATTTTTTTAAATGTGAAAATATTGATGGTATTTTATGACCTGATAAATAACTACTTTTTAGTAGTAGACAAACTTTAAGTTTTGAGGGGCATCAGAAAAAGAAAACATTTTTTACATATTTTTAAGTTTACACAAAACTAGATCTGTCACATATCTGGAAATTAACCTTAAACTGTTCTTTTGCTTTTGATAAAATCCATGTCACTGCTCAATTTTCTTATTATTATATGAATTCTTAAATATATTTAGTAATAACTTTGATAAGACTTTCTGATATTTAAGATAATGTTGTTATTCAACATATATCCTGCATAACTCATTTACTTTTCACCAGAAATGGGAAGTTAGGAAAAATTACAGTAAGATAATGCCAGTTTTCCTAAAACTCACCCTAGCCCTAAGAACATACACACATAAAAGTGCCATGGTTTATGAAAACAGAAAATTCAGGCAATTTTCTTCTAATGGTCTCATCAAAACACTATCTCTCTGTTTGAAGTATTTGAACATAAAGTGTCTTTTCATTTAAAATGTGTTTGAATGTACTTTGACTACAACTCACTGAAAAGCCAAAATTTAAACCATATGTTAATAAATATGAATACAGATCACACAGAGGATATTGCTCATAAGCCAAAATTTGGTGGCCATTTTTACTCCATTTGTTTGCTAAACATGACTTATGACTCCAAATTTGTTCTAATTGCTTAATATATTTTGCCAGCTGAAATGACCCAAGGGGAAAAAGATGTATTATGTTTTGTGAACTATGCAATGATGCTATAACTGTAATTATTGTTGTTTCAAAATGGTTTCATTATGTCTTATAGGAAAATCCCATTTTTTCAGAGTTAGAATTATATAATTCTAATTAGCAATTTAAAATAATCAATAACTGGTCATGTAAATTCGAACAAGATCTCTCTGAGCCATGGTTTCCTCACGTATAAAACTGGGAAAATTCTACCTAACTGGCATGATTAAGTGTGAGAATATATGTGAAACTGGGCACAGTGTCTGGTACTTAGTAGGAACTCAATAAAGTTAATCTCTTCTCTCATTTAAGCAAAACAAAAAGCTACTAGTGAAATAAATTTCATTTAAAATCATTGGAAATTTTTTTCACATTAAAACTTTCAAAGTTTAGCAATTAAATCATAATTTTGACAGATGGAATTAATATATATGTACTTTTAATTTAATAGCAGAATATGTTTTCTTCTAGAGAGTTAGGGCAGGTATAAAACAAGAAAATCATAAGGTTGTGTACATTCTATAGATAATTCCAAGGAAAGAGTTTGAAAAATGTTTTGGACAACATTTTTGGAGCATTCTTGGAATGCTTGATAGCATTCTTGGAAGCACCACAAAATCTGTGTCAAAATGGAGACTTTTCAAAATGGAGTAAGTGCTTATGAGATCTGGTTGTTTGAAAGTGTGTATCACTTCCCTGTTTACTCTCTCTCTCCTGCTCCACCATGTGAAGACTATGCTTGCTTCCTCTTCACCTTCTGCCATAATTGGAAGTTTTCTGAGACCTTTCAAGAAGCAGAAGCCTGTATAGCCTGCAGAACCTTGAGCTGATTAAATTTCTTTTCTTTATAAATTACCCAGTCTTAGGTATATCTTCATAGCAGTGTGAGAACTGACTAGTACAGAAAATTTGTACCAGAGAAGTGGGGCATTGCTATAAATATACCTGAAAATGTGGAAGCAACTTTGGAACTGGGTAACAGGCAGAGGTTGGAACAGTTTAGAGGGCTTATAAGAGGAGGGGAAGATGAGGGAAAGTTCGGAACCTCATAGAGACTTGCTGAATGGTTTTGACCAAAATGCTGATAGTGCATTAAATGATGCATTATTAGTGGCCAAGCTGATGAAGTCTCAAATGGAGATGAGGAACTTATTGGGAAGTAGAATAAAGCTTACTCTTGCTAGGCTTTAGCAAAGAGACTGGCAGCCTTGTGGCCCTGCTTTATAGTTCTGTGGAACTCTGAATTTGAAAGAGATGATTTAGGGTATCTACTAGAAGAAATTTCTAAGCAGCAAACTGTTCAAGATGTGGCCTGGCTGCTTCTAAAATCCAACACTATTTTACATAAACAAAGAAATGACCTGAAACTGGAAGTTATATTTAAAAGGGAAGCAGAGCATAAAAGTTTGGAAAATGTGAAGCCAGGACATGTGGTAGAGAAGAAAAACCCATTTCAGGGGAGTAATTCAAGCCAACTGCAAAAATTTGCATAAGCGAAGAGGAGCTGAATGTTAATAGCCAAGACAATGGGGAAAATGCCTCCAAGCCATTTCAGATACCTTCATGACAGCCCCTCCCATCACAGGCCCAGAAGTCCAGGAGGGAAACATAGTTTTATGGGCCAGACTCTGGGCCTTGCTGCTCTGTGCAGCCTCAGAACATGGCGCCCTGTGTCGTAACTGCAGCCATGGCTAAAAGGGGCCAAAGTACAGCTCAGGCCACTGCTCCAGAGGATGCAAGCCAGGAGCTGCCAAGACTTCCATGTGGTGGTAAACCCGTGGCTGTGCAGAAGGCAAGAGCTGAGGCTTGGGAGCCTCCGTCTAGATTTTAAAGGATCTATGGAAATGCTTTGATGTCCAGGCAGAAGTCTGCTCTAGGGGTGGAATCCTCATGGAGAATCTCTACTAAGACACTACAGAGGGGAAATGTGAGTTGGAGCCCCCACACAGAGTCCCCAGTGGGACACTGCTTGGTGGAGCTGTTGGAAGAGGGCCACTGTTCTCTAGACTACAGAATGGTAGATCCACCAACAGCTTGCACTGTTTGCCTGGAAAAGTGGCAGACACTCAACACCAGCCCTTGAAAGCAGCCAGAAAAGAAGCTGTACTCTGCAAAGCCACAGGGATGGAGCTTCCCAAGGCCATGAGAGCCACCTCTTGCATCACTGTCATCTGGATATGAAACATGGAGTCAACGATCATTTTGGAACTTTAAGGTTTAATGACTGCCCTATTGATTTCAGAATTACATGAGGCCTGTGGCCCTTTCATTTTGACCAATTTCTCCTATTTGGAACAGATGTATTTACCCAATGCCTATACCCCCATTGTATCTAGAAAGTAGCTAACTTGCTTTAGATTTTACAGGCTCATAGGCAGACAGTACTTGCCTTATCTCTGATGAAACTTTGGACTTGGACTTTTGAGTTAAAGCTGGAATGAGTTAAGACTTTGGGGGACTGTTGGGAAGGCATCATTGTGTTTTGAAATATGAGAAGGACATGCGATTTGGGAGTGGCCAGGGGTGGAATAATATGTTTGGCTCTGTGTCCCCACCCAAATCTCATGTTGAATTGCAATCCACAACGTTGAGTGAAGGACCTGGTGGGAAGTTATTGGATCATGGGGATGGATTTTCCCCTTACTGTTCTTGTGATAGTGGGTGAGTGTTCATGAGATTTAAAAGTGCTTAGCACTTACCCATTCACTCTCTCCTGTGCCACCATGTAAAGATTGTGCCTGCTTCCCCTTCACCTTTTGCTATGATTGTAAGTTTCCTAAGGCCTCCTCAGAACCAGAAGCCCGTACAGCCTGCAAAACTGTGAGCTGATTAAACCTCTTTTCTTTATGAATTACCTAGTCTCAAGTATGTTGTTATGGAAGTATGAGGACTGACTAATACAGTAGCTATTCATTCAAATACATCTTTCATAATAGAATAAAATTAGCATTCATTTTGAGTTAAATTATTTGTTTTTGTGGAATTCTACCAAGCTTTCCTTTTCACTCACATCCCAGGGACTTCAAACAAGAGAAATTATTTATTCCTCACTCTTCATGTTCATGTTGGGTAAACAGAAGATTCTCGTGCATGTATTTCTCCCTAGGATTCCAGGGAGCAGCACTATCTGGAAAGTTGTATCAGAGGAAAAGCTAGAGCATTGGTATTGTTATACCTTTACATCTACATAGTCAGTGTTGCTTACAGATAATTTTTTTTTTAATTTTACTTTAAGTTCTGGGACACATGTGCAGAACGTGAAGGTTTGATACATAGGTATACATGTGCTATGGTAGTTTGCTGCACCTATCAACCCATCATCTAGGTTTTAAGCCACACATGCATTAGGTATTTGTCCTAATGCTTTCCCTCCTCCACCACCCAACTGGTCCCGGTATGTGATGTTCTCCTCCTTGTGTCCACATGTTCTCATTGTACAACTCCCACTTATAAGTGAGAACATGTAATGTTTGGTTTTCTGTTCCTGTGTTAGTTTGCTGAGAATGATGGCTTCCAGCTTTATCTATGTCTCTGTAAATGACATGAACTCATTCTTTTTCATGGCTGCATAGGATTCCATGGCATATATGTGCCACATTTTCTTTATTCAGTCTATCATTGATGGGCATTTGGGTTGGTTCCAAGTCTTTGCTATTGTAAATACTGCTGCAATAAATATACATGTGCATGTGTCTCTATAGTAGAATGATTTATAATCTTTGGGTATGTGCCCAGTAATGGGATTGCTGGGTTAAATGGTATTTCAGGTTCCAAATCCTTGAGGAATTGCCACATTGTCTTCCACAATAGTTGAACCAATTTACACTCCCACCAACAGTGTAAAAGTGTTCCTATTTCTCCACAGCCTCACCAGCATCTGTTGTTTCCTGATGATGAGCTTTTCTTCATATGTTTATTGGCCACATAAATGTCTTCTTTTGAGAAGTGTCTGTTGATATCCTTCATCCACTTTTTGATGGGGTTGTTTGTTTTTTTCTTGTAAATTTGTTTAAGTTCCTTATAGATTCTGGATATTAGACCTTTGTCAGATGGCTAGATTGCAAAAATTTTCTCCCATTCTGTAGGTTGCCTGTTCACTGTGATAACAGTGTATTTTGCTATGCAGAAACTCTTTAGTTTAATTAGATCCCATTTGTCAATTTTGGCTTTTGTTGCAATTTGCTTTTGGTGTTTTAGTCATGAAGTCTATGCCCATGCCTATGTCCTGAATCGTATTCCTCGGGTTTTCTTCTAGGGTTTTTATGGTTTTTAGGTTTTACATTTAAGTCTTTAATCCATCTTGATTTAATTTTTGTATAAGGTGTAAGGAAGGGATCCAGTTTCTGTTTTCTGCATATGGCTAGCCAGTTTTCCCAATATCATTTATTAAATAGGGAATACTTTCCCCATTGCTTGTTTTTGTCAGGTTTGTTGAAGATCAGATGGTTGTAGATGTGTGGTGTTATTTCTAAAGTCTCTGTTCTGTTCTATTGGTCTATATATCTGTTTTGGTATCAGTACTATACTCTTTTGGTTAATGTAGCCTTGTAGTATAGTTTGAAGTCAGGTGGCGTGATACCTCCAGCTTTGTTCTTTTTGCTTAGGATTGTCTTGGCTATATGGGCTGTTTTTTGGTTCCATATGAAATTTAAATTAGTTTTTTCTAATTCTGTTAAAAAAGTCAGTGGTAGCTTGATGGGGATAGCATTGAATCTATAAATTACTTTGGGCAGTATGGCCATTTTCATGATATTGATTCTTCCTATCCATGAGCATGGAGTGTTTTTCCATTTGTTGGTGTCCTCCCTGATTTCCTTGCTGAGTGGTTTGTAGCTCTATTTGAAGAGGTTCTTCACTTCCCTTGTAAGTTGTATTCCTCAGTATTTTATTCTCTTTGTAGCAATTGTGAATGGGAGTTCACTCATGATTTGGCTCTCTGCTTTCTCTGTTGTTGGTGTATAGGAATGCTTGTGATTTTTGCACATTGATTTTGTATCCTGAGACTTTGCTGAAGTTGCTTATCAGATTAAGGAGTTTTGGGGCTGAGATGATGGGGTTTTCTAAATGTACAATCATGTCATCTGCAAACAGAGACAATTTGATTTCCTCTCTTCCTATTCAATACCCTTTATTTCTTTCTCTTGTCTGATTACCCTGGCCAGGACTTTCAGTACTATATTGAATAGGAGTGGTGGGCATCTTGTCTTGTGCCAGTTTTCAAAGGGAATGCTTCCAGCTTTTGCCCATTCAGTATGATATTTGCTATGGGTTTGTCATAAATAGCTCTTATTATTTTGAGATATGTTCCATCAATACCTAGTTTACTTAGTGTTTTTAACTCGAGGGATGTAGAATTTTCTCAAAGGCCTTTTCTGCATCTATTGAGATAATCGTGTGGTTTTTATCATTGGTTCTGTGTATGTGATGGAATACATTTATTGATTTGCATATATTGAACTAGGCTTGCATCCCAGGGATGAAGCTGGCTTGATCGTGGTGGATAAGCTGTTTGATATGCTGCAGGATTCTGTTTGCCAGTATTTTTTTGAGGATTTTTTCATTGATGTTCATCAGGCTTATTGGACTGGAACTGTCTTTTTTGTTGTGTCTTTGCCAGGTTTTGGTATCAGGATGATGCTGGCCTCATAAAATGAGTTAGAGAGGAGTCCATCTTTTTCTATTGTTTGGGATAGTTTCAGAAGGAATGGTACCAGCTCCTCTTTGTACCTCTGGTAGAATTCAGCTGTGAATCCATCTGGTCTTGGGCTTTATTTTGGTTTCTAGCCTGTTAATTACACCTCAATTTCCGAACCTGTTATTGGTCTATTCAGGGATTCAACTTCTTCCTGATTTAGTCTTGGGAGGTAGTATGTATCCAGGAATTTATCCATTTCATCTAGATTTTCTAGTTTATCTGCATAGAGATGTTTGTAGTATTCTCTGATGGTAATTTGTATTTCTGTGGGATCAGTGGTGATATCCCCTTTATCATTTTTATTGTGTCTATTTGATTCTTCTCTCTTTTCTTCTTTATTAGTCTAGGTAGTGGTCCATCTATTTTGCTAATCTTTTCAAAAAACCACTCCTGGATTCATTGATTTTTTGAAGGGTTTTTCTTGTCTTTATCTCTTTCAGTTCTGCACTGATCTTAGTTATTTCTTGTCTCCTGCTAGCTTTTGAATTTGTTTGCTCTTGCTTCTGTAGTTCTTTTAACTTTGATGTTGGGTTGTCAATTTTAGATCTTTCCAGCTTTCTATTGTTGACATTTAGTGCCATAATATTCCCTCTAAACACTGCTTTAGCTGTGTACCAGAGATTCTGGTACATTGTTTCTTTGTTCACACTGCTTTCAAAGAACTTGTTTATTTCTGCCTTAATTTTATTTACCCAGTAGTCATTCAGGAGCAAGTTGTTCAATTTCCATGTAGTTGTGCAGTTTTGAGTGAGTTTCTTAATCCTGAGTTTTAATTTTATTTCACTGTGGTCTGAGAGACTGTTATTCTTCTGCATTTGCTGAGGAGTGTTTTACTTCCAATTATGTGGTCAATTTTAGAGTACCTGGTAGGTGGTACTCTGCAGAATGTATATTCTGTTGATTTGGGGTGGAAAGTTCTCTAGATGTCTGTTAGGTATGCTTGATTCAGAGCTGAGTTCAAGTCCTGAATATCCTTGTTAATTTTCTGTCTCATTGATTTGTCTAATGTTGACAGTGGGTGTTAAAGTCTCCCACCATTATTGTGTAGGTATCTAAGTCTCTTTGAGGTCTCTGATAACTTGTTTTATATATCTGGGTGCTTCTGTATTGGATGCTTCTGTCTTTAGGAGAGTTAGCTCTTCTTGTTGCATTGATCCCTTTACCATTATGTAATGCCCTTCTTTGTCTTTTTAAATCTTTGTTGGTTTAAAATCTGTTTTATCGGAGACTAGGATTGTAACCCATGCTTTTTTTTTTCTTGGTAAATATCCCTCCATCCCTTTATTTTGAGCCTATGTGTGTCTTTGCACATGAGATGGTTCTCCTGAATACAGCACACTGACGGGTCCTGACTCTTTATTCAATTTGCCAGTCTTTGTCTTTTAATTGGGGCATTTAGCCCATTAACATGTAAGGTTAATATTGTTATGTGTGAATTTTGTCCTGTCATCACAATGCTAGCTGGTTATTTTGCACATTAGTTGATGCAGTTTCTTCATAGTATCATTGGTCTTTATATTTTGGTGTGTTTTTGCAGCAGTTGATACAAGTTTTTCATTTCCATATTTAGTGCTACCTTCAGGAGCTCTTGTAAGGTAGGCCTGGTAGTGACAAAATCTTTCAGCATTTGCTTGTCTGTAAAGGATTTTATTTCTCTTTCGCTTATGAAACTTAGTTTGGCTGCATATGAAACTTTGGGTTGAAAATTCCTTTCTTTAGGAGTGTTGAATATTGTCCCCCACTTTTTTCTGGCTTATAGTGTTTCTGCTATTAGTCTGATGTGTCTCCCTTTGTAGGTAACCTGACCTTTCTCTCTGGCTGCCTTTAATATTTTTTCCTTTGTTTCAAACTTGGAGGATCTGACAGTTATGTGTCTTGGTGTTGCTATTCTCGAGGAGTATCTTAGTGGTGTTTTCTGTATTTCCTGAATTTGAATGTTGGCCTGTCTTGCTAGGTTTGGGAAGTTCTCCTGGATAATATCCTGAAGTGTGTTTTCTAACGTGATTCCATTCTCTCTTCACTTTCAGTTACTCCAGTCAATCGTAGGTTTTGTCTTTTCACATAGTCCCATATTTCTTGGAGGCTTTGTTCATTCCTTTTCATCCGTTTTTTCCTCTAATCTTGTTCACACCTTATTTCATTAAGTTGATCTTCAATCTCTGATATCCTTTCTTCCTCCTGATCAATTCGGCTATGGATACTTATATATGCTTCATGAAGTTCTCATGCTGTGTTTTTCAGCTACATGAAGTCATTTGTGTTCCTCTCTAAACTGGTTATTCTAGTTAGCAGTTCCTGTAACCTTTTATCAAGATTCTTAGCTTCCTTGCATTGGGTTAGAACATGTTCTTTTAGCTTGGAGGAGTTTGTTATTACCCAACTCCTGAAGCCTACTTCTGGCAATTCATCAGTCTCATTCTCTGTCTAGTTTTGTGCTCCTGCCGGTGAAGATTTGCGGTCATTTGGAGGAGAAGAGACATTCTGTTTTTTGGAGTTTTCAGCGTTTTTGCACTGGTTTTTTCTTCATCTTCATGGATTTATCTACCTGTGATCTTTGAGGCTTTCAGATTAGAGAGAAAGGTAAAGGAAGTCTTCATGGATTTTTATCTCTCTCTTTTTTTTTTATCTGAACAAGGTGAACTAATACCTTTGATTTTTCTCTCTAATCTGAAATTCGCAAGAGGCATTATGTATCAGGTTCCTACTACATCTCTTGTGAAAATGGAGAATTATGAGCTGTACTGAGGAAACAGCAAAACTTTGGTTAAGTGAATTATATAATTAAATTCTGCATTCTGACACTCCATGAACTTATAGGATGTACTGTGTAGTTTACAGAAGAAAGAGCACTGAATTTATTTATGACAGATATGCACTTAAAACAGGAAGATTATATTTACTTCTACATAGCTATTACAACGTAATGAAAACCATAAAACTACATTACCTGAATTTCAAAGCTAGGACATATTTTCTCTTTCCTTGGCCTTACTGACCGCAGTGCTCTCCGCTGATCATGCAAGGATCATAGGTGAAGGCTGCAGTTTGGCTACTGTGAGCTTGACATATATTTTAGTAAGGTTTTATTTAATATTTTGTTCTACTTTTAAGTAGATTGATATAGAAAACAATAAAAATTTGTATGTTTGTTGGCAGAAACAAACCTAGGTTATGGCTGAAAACAAAGGTCACTTTTGTTTCTGTGGTCTGGGAGTGGTTGGGAAGGATAAAGAGTTGTTTCAAATAGTAGGTGCTCAGAAGAGGTCTGATCTTATGTACAGGTATTTAATACATCAATCATTGCTATCATTTTGCAGTGAAGAAGCAGGAATATAAATGACCTCTAATCTTCAGATTGCCTTTGTACATGACTGTATGTGGACCTTTAAAAATGTTGATATGGAGCATCCACAGTTACTTTTACCATGTAACTTTCCCAAGCGAAATAGTTTTAGACTGCTCATCTCCTATAGTAAATCTACTAGAGGGAAAGTTTTGGCAAGAAATGGACTTTCAGAAAACATGAACCATGTCTTTATTCAAGGCATGGGGAAATATGCCAGATGTCAAGTGTCCACTCCAATCAATTCAGCTTATTCCACCCATAATCACTTGCTTTTTATAGGGGATTTCTGACTCCTCCATAATGGCCCACTTGGATCAAGGCAATATTATTCAGGGATTTGACAACATGTGTAAACTCTTTTTGAATTAATTTTCAAAGTCTTTTGTGACTGGTGTCAATTTGGCAACAGCATTCTTTCATATATTTAGGCTCAAGGTCTGGATTTTGAGGGTTGTTAATGTTAAGAATTTCCACTCCAACAATTTCCTTTCACTTTCCAGAAGACAGAGGTACTGTGAGTATCTAGAATATTACAGTAAAAATGGGAGGAAACCTAAAAGTTTGGGGTTATGAGGTTAACTTTTCTACTCTGAAAAGAACTTTTAATAGCAATACAATTTGAAAGTAAGACTGAAGCTTAGAATCTGCCTCATTCAAGTCCTCAAAAACCTTACAGTAATAAAATGCTTTTCATATGTAAATGTGGCTCTTATTATAGAATGTATCATTTATACTACAAAAAATCATCATATAGCTGCATTGTACAAGAAAAATAAATTAGCTAAAATGAAAACAAAATATTGGCTCAGGTTTTAAAATTCCTTCTAAAAATAATTTTTTATAAAAATTGAACTAAAGAAGTCAAGAAACATTTCACAACTTAATTTTACTTAGTGCCACCCTGAAGAACTCATGAAACTCATGAAAGGACATCATACTCATGTTCACTGCATTGGATTGAGCACAGTATGATAAAAGCTAGGAAAATACAGCCCTTTTCTTATCAAAGCCTTTGGGGTTGTATCTAGGGGCCTTGTGAAGTTCTGTGACCCAATGTGTCAGGGAATCTTTTTTTTACTGGAGGCTGTGAGTGATGTTAGAACTTTGTAGAACAGAGGCAATGGCCAGCAAGATAGTGCTTTAGACAGCATGGTGTCTTCTCTGTATTAGCAGTTCATGTTATAGGTACAGAGATCACTTATTTTTGTGGTAATCTGTAAATGATTCTTTTAAAATTCTCGTTTTTTTTTTAAAGTTAAGATTAAACATAAAAAGTCATGCATACTTTGTTGTACAATGTATCAAACCCATAACCAGACGCATTTGCAGGAGTCTATGATTGAAGCTTGGTTTTGAAAATTCAACTTCCTTTTTAGATATGCCTTTTATAAACTAATGCATTTAGTACAACATGTAATTTTTTTGTGTTAACAATATTGCCACCAGTTTTACATCTACAGGAAATCATTTCTTAGGGCCCTATTATTAAAGTCAAAAGTAACAAGTTTTAATGATAGTTAATTTTATTTGTAGTACTATTATAAATTTTCTTAAGTTCATTCTCTTAAGTTTTTGTAACACATTCTGGCTAACTACTTTGACTGTATATACAAAGGAAAATGAGGATTTGGTCAAGGGACCTTCCATTAACATAAAATAATTCTTTTTTTTTTTTTTTTTTTTTTTAGATGGAGTCTTGCCCTGTTGCCCAGGCTGGAGTGCAATGGCCCGATCTGGGCTCACTGGAAGCTCCACCTCCCGGGTTCACGCCATTCTCCTGACTCAGCCTCCCGAGTTCCTGGGACTACAGGCACCTGCTACCCTGCCCGGCTAATTTTTTGTATTTTTAGTAGAGACAGGGTTTCACCGTGTTAACCAGGATGGTCTCCATCTCCTGACTTCGTGATCCGCCAGCCATGGCCTCCCAAAGAGCTGGGATTACAGGTGTGAGCCACTGCACCCAGCCAAGAATTCTTTTATTCAAAAGACAGATTTTAACAAAAATTTAATTGGTGGTGGTGGCCACAGTGATACCATTTTGCTATGACGTTAGTGTTACCTAAGCAAACATACACAACTGATTTTTGCCAAAATGTTTCTCTACAATCATGCAGATTTTATTACAATGTCTACTTAGTTTTTTATTTTATTTGACATAATAAGATTCAAGGCCAAACATAGCTCTATAAAATTAGGTGTTATTATCTTCGTGTTTGTTAAGTCAATTTTTTTCCTTAATATTACATAAAAACAATTAGGTTTTGAGGTTTAAATTTCTTTCTTTAATGGAAATGTTTATGGGGTTTATATATTTCCAAATAAAATATATAGTAATGGTGATGGTCCACATTTAAAAACATCCAAATTAACTATAGATATAGCTAGTTACCCCTAGTATGTTTAATGGTAAACCTATATTTTAGTTATAAATATTAAGTTTTTAGATAAGAATATTTGTTACATGAAATGCAAGAGGACAACCCTAGTTTTAGATATGTTGATAGTATAAACTAATTAGAGACAAAATGCCTGGTTTTTACTACTGATATTCTGACTAGTTAGATTTCATGATTTCTCACCATCATCTGATTTCAATTACATATTTCAACTATATAAAAGATACTCAAAACAGATTTTAGTTAATGTCAATCTTGATGTCTTAAAGGTGATCGCATGTATTAAAAGATGGTGCACTCACATTCTAAAACAAGACCATCAATTTTTTTAGAATTATTATCCTATTTTATTATTTTTTCTATTTAACTTTTATTTAAGGTTCAGGGGTACATGTGCAGGTTTGTTATATACGTAAACTCATGTTACAGGAATTTGGGGTACAGTTTATTTCATCACAGTGCTCGATAGGTACTTTTTCTGATCCTTTCCTTCCTTTCACCCTCCACCCTCAAGTGGACGCCAGTGTCTCTTGTTCCCCTCTTTGTGTTCAAGTGTTCTTATTGTTTAGCTCCAACTTATAAGTGAGAACATGTAGTATTTTGTTTTCTGTTCCTGCATTAGTTCACTTAGGAAAATGGCCTCCAGGTTCATCCATGTTCCTAAAAAGGACATGATCTTGTTTTGTCTTGTTTGTTTGTTTTGGTCTGCATTGTATTTCATGGTGTATATATGCCACATTTTCTTGATCCAATCTATTATTGATGGGCATTTAGGTTGATTACATGTCTTTGCTCTTTTGAATAGTGCTGCAGTGAGCATGTGTGCATGTGTCTTTATGGTAGAATGATTTATATTCCTTTGGGTATGTACCCAATAATGGGGTTGCTGGGTTTTATGGAAATTCTGTTTGTAGTTCTTTCAGGAATTGCCACACTGCTTTCCACAGTGGTTGAACTAATTTGCACCCCCACCAGCAGTGTATAAGCATTCTCTTTTCCCCACAACCTCACCAGCATCTATTATTTCTTGACTTTTTATTAATAACCATTTTGACTGGTGTGAGATGGTATCTCATTGTGGTTTTGATTTGCATTTCTCTAATGATTAGTGACATTGAGTATTTTTTAATATGCTTGTTGACTGCATGTATGGCTTCTTTCAAGAAGTGTCTATTCATGTTCTTTGCCCACTTTTTAATGGATTTTTTTTTTTTTTTTTTTTGGCTTGTTGATTTGTTTAAGTTCCTTACAGATTCTGGATATTAGCCCTTGTCAGATGCATAGTTTGCAAAAATTTTCTCCCATTCTGTAGGTTGTCTATTCACTCTGTTGATAGTTTCCTTTTCTTTGCAGAAGCTCTTTAATTAGATTGCATTTGTCAATTTTTGCTTTGGTTTCAATCTTGTGGTAGTGAGTTCTCACGAGATCTGATGGTTTTCTGTGTTTGGTAGTTCCCCCTATATTCACTCTTCTTCCTGCCACCTTGTGAAAAAGGTACCTTGCTTCCCCTTCACCTTCTGCCATGATAGTAAATTTCCTGAGGCCTCCCAAGCCATGCTAAACTTAGAGTCAATTAAACCTCTTTTCATTATAAATTACCCAGTCTCACGCAGTTCTTTATAGCAGTGTGAAAACAGACTACTACAGTAAATTGGTACTGAGGTAGTGGGGTGCTGGTATTTAGTTACCTGAAAATATAGTAGTGACTTTGGAAGTGGGTAACAGGCAGAAGTTGGAACAGCTTGGAGGGCTCAGAAGAAGGCAAGCAGATATGGACATGTTTGGAAATTCCGAGAGATTTTATGAATGGCTTTGACCAAAATGCTGATAGTAATGTGGACAATGAAGTCGAGGCTGAGGTGGTCTCAGATGGAGATAAGAAACTTGTTGGGAACTAGAATGAAGATGACCCTTGCTATGCCTTAGCAAAGAGACTGGCAGCATTTTGCCTATGCCCTAGAGATCTTTGGAATTTAGAACTTGAGAAAGATAATTTAGGTTGTCTGGTGGAAGAAATTTCTAAGTGGCAAAACATCCAAGAGTTGACCTGGGTGATCTTAAAAACACTTAGTTTTATGCATTCTCGAATAGATGGTTTGGAATTGGAAGTTTTATTTAAAAGGGAAGCAGAGCATGAAAGTTTGGAAATTTTGCCACCTGACAATGTGATAGAAAATAAAAATCCATTTTTCTGAGGAGAAATTCAAGCCAGCGGCAGAAATTTGCATAAGTAACCAGGAGCCAAATGTTAATCACTAAGACAATGGGAAAAATGTCTCTAGTACATGACAGAGGTCTTCACAACAGCCTCTCCCATCACAAGCCCAGAGGCATAGGAAGGAAAAATGGTTTCATAGGTGAGGGCCAGGCCCTTGCTGCTCTGTGCAGCTTCAAGACATGGTGCCCTGCACCCCAGTCATGGCTAAAAGGGGCCAACATAGAGCTCAGTCCATTGCTTCAGAAGGTGCCAGTCCCAAGCTTTGGTGGCTTACACATGGTGTTGGGCCTGCAGGTGCACAGAAGTCAAGAATTGATGTTTGGGAACCTCCATCTAGATTTCAGAGGATTCATGGAAATGCCTGGATGGCCAGGCAGAAGTTTGCTACAAGGGTGGAGCCCTCACAAAGAATGTCTGCTAGGGCACTGCAGAAGAGAAATGTGGAACTGAAGTCCCCACACAGAGTTCCCAATGGGGCAATGCTTAGCGGAGCTGTGAGGAGAGGGCTATTGTCCTCCAGACCCCAGGGTAGTAGATCTACTAACATCTTGCCCCATGCACCTGAAAAAGTAGCAGACACTCAACTCCAGCTCATAAAACCAGTCAGAAGGGGGGCTGTACTCTCTAAAACCACAGACGTGGAGCTGCTCAAGTCTGTGGGAGCCCACCTTTCACATCAGTCTGACCTAGATTTGAGACTTGGAATCAAAAAGATCATTTTGGAAATTTAAAGTTTAATGACTGCCCAGCTGGATTTTGGACTTGCATGGGACCTGCAGCCCCTTTGTTTTGGTTAATTTCTCTCATTTGGAATGGAAACATTTATCCAATGCCTGTACTCACATTGTATCTTGGAAGTAACTAACTTTTTTCTTTCTTTTTTTTTTTTCAGCCTCCTAAGCAGAAGGGATTTGCCTTGTCTCAGATGAGACTTTGGACTTTGACTTTGGGTTAATGCTGGAATGAATTAAGATTTTGGGAGACTGCTGAAGAGGCATGATTAGTTTTGAAATGTGAAACAGTCATGAGACTTGGAAGGGGCCAGTGGCAGAATAATATGGATAGGCTTTCTGTCCCCCCCCCCATATCTCATGTTGAATTATAATCCCCATAATCCTCATAGAAATCCTCATAGAAAGACCAGGTGGAGGTAATTGGATCATGGGGGTGGTTCCCCCATGCTGTTCTTGTGATAGTGAGTTCTCATGAGATATGATGGTTTTATAAGTGTTTGGTAGTTCCTCCTGCATTCACTCTTCTTCCTGACACCTTGTGAAGAAAGTGCCTTGCTTCCCCTTCACTTTCTGCCAAGATTGTAAGTTTCCTGAGGCCTGCCCAGCCATGCTGAACTGTGAGTCAATTAAACCTCTTTTCTTTATAAATCACCCAGTCTCAGGCAGTCCTTTATAGCAGTGTGTAAACAGACTAATACATTCATCTTGAGTTAATGTTTGTATGTGGTGTAAGGAAGTGGTCCAGTTTCAATAATCTGCACATGGCTAGTCAGTTATCTCAGCACCGTTTATTGATTAGGGAGTCCTTCCCTCAGTGCTTGTTTTTTGTCACCTTTGCCAAAGATCATATGGTTGCAGGTGTGCAGCGTTATTTCTAGGCTTTCTATTTGGTTCCACTGGTCTATATGTCTGTTTTTGTACCAATATCATACTTTTTTGGTTACTGTAGTCCTGTATTTGAAGTTGGGTGAAGTAATGCCTCTAGGTTTGTTCTTTTTGCTTAGGCTTGCCTCAGCTATTTAGGCTCTTTTCCGGTTCCTTGGGAATTTTAAAATAGTTTTCTAGTTCTGTGAATAATGTCATTGGTAGTTTGATAGGAATGGCATTAAATATGTAAATTGCTTTGGGCAGTATGGCATTTTCATAATATTGATTCTTCCTATGCATGAGCATGGAATGTTTTTCCATTTGTTTGTGTCATCTCTGATTTACTTGAGCAGTGTTTTGTAGTTCTCCTTATAGAGATCTTTCAGCTCTCTAGTTAGCTGTATTCTTAGGCATTTTATTCTTTTTGTGGCAATTGTGAACAAGGTTGCGTTCCTGATTTGGCTCTTGGCTGGGATGTTTTTGGTGTATAAGAATGCTACTGATTTTGTATCCTGAAACTGCTGAAGTTGTTAATCAGCTTAAGGAGCTTTTGGGCAGAGACAATATGATTTTCTAGATATGGAATCATGTCATCTGCAGAAGGTAATAGTTTGATTTCCTGTCTTCCTATTTGGATGTCTTTACTTCGTTCTCTTGCCTCATTGCTCTGGCCAGGATTTCCAATACTATGTTGAATAGGAGTGGTGAGATTTTCAAAAGCTTTCAACTTTTGTCTATTAGTATGAAATTGCCTGTGAATTGGTCATAGATGGCTCTTGTTATTTTGAAGTATGTTCTTTCAATGTCTAGTTTATTGAGAGTTTTTAATATGAAGTGATGTTGAATTTTATTAAAAGACTTTTCTGCATCTTTTGAGATAATCACGTGTTTTTGTCTTTACTTCTGTTCATGTGATGAATCACATTTATTGATTGGTATATGTTGAACAAACCTTGCATCCCAGGGGTTAAAGCCAACTTGATCATGGTGGATTAGCTTTTTGATGTGCTACTAGATTCAGTTTGTTAGTATTTTGTTGAGGATTTTTACATAGATGTTCATCAAGGATATTGGCCAGAAGTTTTCATTTTTTGCTGTCTCTCTCTCAGGTTTTGATATCAGGATAAAGCTGGCCACATAGAATGAGTTGGGGAGGATTCCCTCCTTTTCAATTTTTTGGAATAGTTTCACGAGGAATGGTAGCAGCTTTTCTTTGTATATCTGTTAGAATTCAACTGTGAACCTATCTGGTCCTGGACTTGTTTTTTTTCCCTTTTTTTGTCAGTAGGATGTTTATTACTGCCTCAATTTCACAGCTCATTATTGGTCTATTCATAGATTCAGTTCCTTTTGGCTCAGTCTTGGGAGGGTGTATGTGTCCATGAAATTATCCGTTTCTTCTAGACTTTCTAGTTTGTGTGGATAAAGGTGTTCATAGTAGGCTCTGATGATTATTTGTATTCCTGTGGAGTCAATGGTCACATCTCCATTATCACTGCTATGTGCTTATTTGGATCTCTTCTCTTTTCTTCTTTATTAGTTAGTTAACAGTTTATCTTATTATTTTTTTCCAAATAACCAATTCCTGGATTCGTTGATCTTTCGTGTAGATTTTTTGTGTGTCTGAATCTTCTTCAGTTCAGCTTTGATTTTGGTTATTTCTTGTCTTCTGCTATCATTAGAAGTGATTTTCTCTTGCTTCTTCAATTCTTCTAGGTGTGATGTTAGGTTGTTAATTTGAGATCTTTCTAGCTTTTTGATTTGGATGTTTAGTACTATAAATTTCCCTCTTAACATTGTCTTAACTGTGTCCCAGAGATTCTGATATGTTATATCCTTGTTCTCATTAACTTCAAATAACTCCTTGATTTCTGCCTTATTTTACTATTTATCCAAAAGTCATTTAGGAGCAGGTCATTTTATTTCCATGTTATTGTATGGTTTTGAGTGTTGTGTGTGTGTGTGTGTGTGTGTGTGTGTGTGTGTGTGTGTTGATTTCTATTTTTATTGTTCTGTGGTTCAAGAATGTGGTCGGTAGGATTTCCTATCTTATTGAATTTGCTGAGGATTGTTTTATGTACAATTATATAACCAAATAATTTTTTTTATAGTTTTATTATGGGCTAGGCACTGGCTAGGTGCTAAAGGTTTATGAATAAATAAAATAAATTTTCTGATTTTGAAGAACTCACAGCCTAAGATGGACATGTAAAATACTAATTGTAATATCCAGCATAAGAGCTGTAATGGAGAAACAAAATTATCTTTTTTATTGTCTAATGATAATTGATATTGAGTATTGATAATTTCATATGAGCCATCCAAATAAAAAATGATAGAATATCAAAGAGGGTGATAAAAATTTGCTTATGTACAGTGACAAAGTTTAACAGAGAAGATATTGTTTAAGCAATTATCTGTGTGACATTTTCTCCACTGTTTTCAACTAAGATCTGCCTATTCTTATAGAAGTACCACTCTACTTTATTACATGCAGCTCTATAATATGTTTTAAATCCTGGGAAGGCAAGTTTCTTTTATATTGTCATATTTTGCTTCTCTTTTACCCCTCAAAAAATCCCATTGAGATTTTAGTTGGAATATATTGTTGTAATTTAGTTTATTTATAAACACCTCTTTTTTCGGTGCTCCACCTAGGAACATTGCATATTTCTCTACTTGCAAGTTTTATAGGCTTATTAACATTTTTCTAACTTATTTCTTATTAGGCATATGTCTAAGTATTTTATACCTTTGGTTTAAAGTATAAAATGACTCATTTCCCATATATTATCTATTGTCACTGTTGATAAATAAACTTGCATTATTTTCTAAGTATTTATCTTATATCCAGCTACTTTGTTAAATTTTCTTATGAATTGTAATAAATTTTGATCTGATATTCTTGGTCTTCCTAGGCATAGAAACATCCATTTCAGATAATTAAAAAATATATTTTTTGATTTTATTATTTACACTCTCTTTGTGTCTAGTGGTTTATTACATTGGTTATATATCCCAAGATAATATTTAAAATTTATTTTGTTTATATTCTTAGAGAGGTTTAGAATCAGGAAGCTATAGTCTCTGGAAAGGTATACAATGCAGATACTCTGTATTTACATTAAATGCTTGATTAAACTGAAACTAAGGATGTGTATTTTGAAAATATTATGTGAATATCTGATTATGTCTTACTTATTAGGCCGTGAGCTGAGGGATTACCAACAGGTAAGGGCCAATAACTCTTTATAGAAAAGCCCTGATTTAAAGATTTTCCCAAACACACAAGATTGACTTACAGCATTAAATATGAAGTAATAAACTCCTTTCACATCTCTCCAGCTTTTCCAAATTTAAAAGAGCTTTCCTACACACAGTTCATTTTATTGTCACAATAATTCTGACATATAAGAATGTTATTATATCTGCTATTATTGATAAAAGGTCTAAGATTCAGGGAGGTTAGGAATAGAACAGACTATATAATTCATCAGGGCCTTTCATTTTCAATTAAATCATTTCATAAATTGGCAAATGTCATGTGGCCAGAGGTGGTAGCCTTGGTCTAAAAATTGTGATTATTTTAAATCTTTCATCAATTTTTCTTTCATTCATTTTATTGACTAAATCTAATGTTTGCCATATGTTGCAGATCTTTGAGACATATATGCATTCAGCCATTTAATGTTCATTGAGGACTTAATCATTGCTATGTCCCAGAGACACACAGAAGCATCAGACATGACCTCAGCCTCAAGGAACTCAAATCTAACGGAAAAATATTATGTAAACAAATGATTACAATTTAGTCAGGTAAATGGAAAGGGAATTTGGGTAAGACTACACCTGGAGACTCAGAAAGACTTTAGAGAGGAGTTGATTTTTGAAAAGTCTTGAATGAGCAACAGGAGGTTTCTATATAGGCAAAAATGGAGGATGCATTATTGAAATGTGAATAGAATATGAGAAAGTGTAAAGTAGTGACTCTATAACATAACCAGGGACAGCGACTACCAATGAAGAAAAAAGTGTAAAAAGTTCAGGGCCTTTTGTATGTACCCAATGCATTCTAATGTTGTCCAGTTATTAAGAGCAAGCCAACAAAGTTTTTTTTTAGTTTTTAATTTTCATGGGTACATTGTAGCTGCATATATTCATCTAACATATGAGATATTTTGATATAGGCATACAATACATATTAATCACATCAGGGTAAATGGGGCATCCATCACCTTAAACATTTTTAATTTCTTTATGTTACAAATATTCCAATTATACTCTTAGTTATTTAAAAATGTACAATAAATTATTGTTGACTGTAGTCACCTAGCTGTGCTATTAAATATTACGGCTTATTCTATCTAACTTTATTTGTGTACTGATCAACATTTTTTGAATAAGGAGAAGACAGTATCCATTTCATATGTATGAAAGATAATTCTGGTATGAGGCAAATGTTGGGAGAAGAGATTGATGTGCAGAGAAGATATGGAGACAGATCTTTTAGAAGATTGCTGCACTACCACCTTAGGTAGAGATGATAAGATTTTGAACATAAACACACTAGGGAAGGCATATTCAGACTATATTTCTAAAGCAAAATTATGATTCACTGGATAAGAGAAGGTTGAAGATTAGGCTGATGTTTCCAGCCATTGAGTAGGGGATTTTGCCCTTATTCAACTACAAAAAAGGGATGAATTGGTGTTAGCAGAGTAATTGGTTTGTAGGGAAAAACAAGGCCTTCATTTTATGACAGAGTTTGACTTACCCATGTTCAGTCATATACAGAAATTCAATAAACAGTTGGAAATATATGCTTAGAGTTCAGTAAATCTGAGTTGGAGATAAAACTATAACAATAGTGAGTAAATAAAGTAAAAAACAAACCAAGGATGTACTCCTTGGTAATACCAGTATTGAAAAGGAAAATGTAGAATAAAAAGTAAGCAAAAGGTAATAAGAATGAATGGATTAAAAAGTAAGAAGGAAATAGGAGAGAATGAGGTCATAGTAATCAAAGAAGGAGAGTTTAGAAAAGGGAGACATTCGGTGTAATTCAACATTTATTCCTGATAAAAACTTTTTAGTAAATTTGGAAGACTAGAATGAGGCTTCTTTAATGTGATAAAGATTTTTATATCAAACCAACAGTGAACAACGTTCACATTCCAGGAAATATTGAGTTACTCTCCCAACCTGAGAACCACAGAAGGATGCCTCATGTGCT
The DNA here is from genome assembly GCF_000001405.40 of Homo sapiens. NCBI lineage: Eukaryota > Metazoa > Chordata > Mammalia > Primates > Hominidae > Homo > Homo sapiens. The sequence continues at coordinate 44,219,010 of NC_000005.10, forward strand.
GAATTATCTCATAACAACTTGACAGCTATCTCCACTAGGTACTGAGGTCTACTTTGCGTACTGCCTAGGAGAAGTCAGGAACTACAAATCCCAGAATCCCCTTCTTTATATGGGTCTGGGTTAGAGATTATAAATGAGAGGCATTCAAGTGAGATTTGCAGGGTGGAAAGGAATGAGAGACTCTTTGTCCCAGAAGAAATTGCGGTCGTAGGCATAGAAAAAGAGAAAATTTCAACAAAAATCTGTTTTTAGATGAAAAGGCAATAATAAAGACATAAAATCTTCAGAACAGAATTTCTGCAACAAAATATCTTAGGCATATGTAGGGGTAGGAGAAAAATAATTTCATAAAGTAACACTCACGTGGAAAAGTAAATTGGTAAATGTAGTCAATAAAGAATTCAAAGAAAAATGAGACAAACTTTTGTGAGATAACAAAGAATACTTAGGGAAATACTTCTATATACTGTTTTAAAACAGTAATACTTGCCAAAAAATAGAATATAATAAAATGCTCCCCAAGACAGACTCAGATACTTAATAAATTATAATGTTAAAGTGGTGGTATTTCAAACTAGTGGAACAAGAATAATTAATCTATAAATAATGTTGGGCATTTAGACAAATCTATAAAATGAGGTGAAATCTCTCTCTCATATCATACACTAAAATAATTGGACATAAATTTAACAGTTGAATATAAAATATAAAGTAATGCAATGATAAAAAGTCAATTAAAATAAGGTTTTCTTAAAGAAAATTGAGGTTAGATGGCCCTTTTAAGCAAAAGAACAAAAAAAAATGACAGCTGTTCGCTCAGCAGTTTTTTTTTATTTCAAACATTGTGTCAAGTATTTTATATGTAAAAACTTATTTAATCCTTACAATAAACCTGTAGAGTAGTAGGGGATTAGATTCATTTTCCAAAAGGTAGAAACCAAAGTGTTGAGAAATTAAACTTGTCCATGAACTCTCAGCAAGTAGTTATAGAACCTGAGGAGAACTAATGGAATCTTACTTCAGAGTTGATACATTTACATGACTTTGAAACCTTGGGGCTGAAAAGGGACCATAAACAAAATAAAAAATTACATGACAACCAGTAGGTAAATTTAAATATAGGTGGAAAGGGGATAATAACTATAATAAATAAATAGCACTTTCAAATTAGTATGAAATTGATGAACACACCATTAGTAAAATGGGCAAAGAATATACATTGGTAATTCTAATATGTAGGCATTCAAATGACCAATGAGCACATAGAAACATATTCAGTCTCCTATGGTGATAACTATTTTGGTTGTCTTCATACCTTTCATCGAACTCCCCTAAAAGTTCCCTCTATTATGCCCTTGCGGCTTGTTTAAACAATATAGAGTCAAGTGGCCAGTGATGAACGGGCATCTGTCTTAAGTCAAACCAACCAAAGTCCTCCATCTACAAATTAAGATTTAGTCTCACTACATGTATGGTCCCATAATCAAAACTCAGGAAATTTAAAAGACCATCTGCCACCATGCAGATTGGACAGTGAGGAATCTACTTAGCAGAGGGAGAGGGACAGAGAGAGACAGAATAAGCGGATTCACACAAACATTGAGAATTGATAGGCTGTGAAGAACACTTTCAGAGTTACCGTGGACTTTCCAGGCCCTGGTTTGGCTCCAGTCTTTCCTGAGGCTCTGCTGTGCTTATGCCCTTGGCTCTGGGAGACACATCTGTCTCTTTTTTGGCTTCAGCAATCTACAGTGGTTCTCTGATACCTGTAACAAAAAGGTACTGAGTGATGCACTTTACTAGTGATAAATATAACAAAAGAAATTACTAAAATAAATTGATAGAAAAATGCAAACCTATTTTTGACAAATTTTTAAAAATAATAATACCTAACTTTTGGAAGCTGATAGAATACAGGCTCTACTAGTGCCAATGTAAAACCAACAACATCTCTAGAGGCTATCCAGCAATGCTTACTTACAGCCTTCAAAATAGGCATACCAATAATTCTACAACTAAGATTTTTCTGCTAAGTAAATAATCAGTTATTCATAAGAATATGTTTAAAATTGAAAGACTGGAAAATAACCTCAATATTCAAAAATAGGTAATTGGTTAACAAAATTACTATCCATTTACATAACAGAATTCCATGGACATGAGGCACAGTGGCATGCTACTATAGTCCTGGCTACTCAGGATGCTGACACAGAATGTTTGCTTGAACCCAGGAGTTGGAAGCTGTGATGTGTTATTATGGGGTCTGTGAAATAATTTTATGGAGTTTTAAAAATTAATATTTTGGATTAAGTACCAAAAATCCAATGCCTATATGAATCAGGCAGGAAATGTATGTGAGTGGAATAATTTTAGTTCAAGCACATATGCATACAATATGTGAATTGTGGGGACTATGGTTGACTAGAATGCCCATATCCTATCTAAACAGGCAAAGAGATATTCATTCCCAGCAATTTTTGTCCCCAATGAATGCAGACCTAACAATGCCTGATCATTTTTTATCAAAAGATAGAAATTTAATTTGATTTTAAATGTGAAAACTCCTAAATCCTAATTATTAGCTCAATTAAAAGTTGCAGAAAGCAAGTCCAAATAGTATGCTACATTGATTGGAGAGACCAATAGTTTTCAGTTTGTGTTTGAGAAAAATATTCAATTCAGTAGTTGTATATTCAGTATATTTAGTAGCAGTTCTTTTGAAATAGCTGGTTAAAAATAGCAGACATCAAGAATGATTTTTTTATAGTGTTAGGAGTAAGCCAACCATGTCTGTTTACTCCACTGTTACTCTGGAGATTTAGTCAAAACAACATCCAAGAAACAAAGCAATACATGAATAAAAATCCAGACAATACCATTCAGGACATAGGCATGGGCATAGACTTCAAGACTAAAACACCAAAAGCAATTGCAACAAAAGCCAAAATAGACAAATGCAGTCTAATTAAACTAAAGAGCTTCTGTACAGCGAAAGAAGCTATCATCAGAGTTAAGAGGCCACCAACAGAATGGTAGAAAATTTTTGCAATCTACCCATCTGACAAAGGTCTAATATCCAGAATCTACAGGGAACTTAAACAAATTTACAAGAAAAAAAAAACCAAACAACCCCATCAAAAAGTGGATGAAGGATATGAACAGACACTTCTCAAAAGAAGACATTTATGCGACCAACAAACATGAAAAAAAAAAAGCTCATCTCACTGGTCATTAGAGAAATGCAAATCAAAACCACAATGAGATACCATCTCATGCCAGTCAGAATGGCAATTATTAAAGTCAGTAAACAATAGATGCTGGTGAGGCTGTGGAGAAATAGGAACAACACTTTTACACTGTTGGTGGAAGTGCAAATTAGTTCAACCATTGTGGAAGACAGTGTGGTGATTCCTCAAGGATATAGAACCAGAACTATTTGACCCAGCAATCTCATTACTGGGTATATACCCAAAAGATTATAAATCATTATGCGATAAAGACATATGCATACATAATGTTTATTGCAGCACTATTTACAATAGCAAAGACTTGGAACCAATCCCAATGCCCATCAATGATAAACTGGATAAAGAAAATGTGGCACATATACACCATGGAATACTATGCAGTCATAAAAAAAGAATGACTTCATGTCCTTTGCAGCAGCATGGATGAAGCTGGAAACCATCATTCTCAGCAACTGACACAGGAAGAGAAAACCAAACACCACATGTTCTCACTCATAAGTGGGAGTTGAATAATGAGAACACATGGACACAGGGAGGGGAACAACACATACCAGGGACTGTCGGGGGTGGGGGGCAAGGGGACGGAGAACATTAGGATAAATATCTAATGCATGCAGGGCTTAAAACCTAGATGATGGATTGATAGGTGCAGCAAACCACCATGGCAGACATATGCCTATATAACAAACCTGTACATTGTGCACATGTATACTAGAACTTGAAGTAAAATAAGAAGAGAAAGAAAGAAAAAAAGAGAGAAAGAAAAAAGAAAGAAGAAAGAAAAAGAAAGAAAGAAGAAAGAAAAGAAAAGAAAGAAAGAAAGAAAGAAAGAAAGAAAGAAAGAAAGAAAGAAAGAAAGAAAGAAAGAAAAAGAAAGAAAGAGAAAAAGAAAGAAAGAAATGAGGGGAGGGAGGGAGGGAGGAGGGAAGGAAGGAAGGAAGGAAAGAGTTTTTACAGATGTTAAAACCCAGCAATTCTACTTCTAAGGGTTATTCTTTAAAATATAATGGGCTAATTGCATAACAATATATCTTCAAGGAGGTTAATCAAGATGTATTAAACTAGAAAAATGGAAATAATCTAAATGCATGATAATGATGCATGGGTAAAACAAATTTGGTGCATTCCAACAATGAGATATTCTATAGTTATTATAATATGATGTAGATGTGTGTGCATACAATTTAATAAGAATAAATATAACATATTTTAAAGTAAAAAATTAGTGTAAAAATATTGTAGTAGAATCCTTTCTATTTAAAAATTTTGTTTGTATGTATGCAAAATACACATCCAGTTTTTGAACTGCCTATCTCGAGTGGTGGGATTTGAATTCTCTTTTTTATTCTTCTGATTTTTTTTTTTTACAACAAGCATGAATCCCTATATAGTCAACCAATAACACTTTACATATTATTTTTAAATTGGAAGTTTTATTACTTCAATCATAAGAAATATATTAACAACATACATTTAATTTTACTGAAGAACCAGTCTCCCACCTATTTGTTAAGCCATAATAAATTAAATCTCTATTAATTTTTTGAAGAAGGAGGTGCTCAGGAGTGTCAAATAACCCAGAGAACTCAAGAAAGGTAAGTACTGAGGAGTGTTTGTGGGATTTGGTAATTGGTAGGTCATTCATTGTGACCCTACAACTTCACATTAAAAAGGGAGAAAGTGTATTTTGTTCCTAAAATCAAAGAGAGGTCATTTTCCCTTGTCGAAAGCAATTTGTTCAGTTTTAATGCTGCTTAATAATGTGAAGAAAGGCTGGTGGGAATGGTTTTTGTTCCTCCACCTGCATTAAATACAACAAGTATTTAATCAAACTTTGAAAAACTTATTTTTACCAAGTTGTGTTATGGGAGATGTTGATTATTGTCCATAAATGAGTAATACATGACAACGAAAATGCATGTTAAGATTAAATATCTTAAAATGTTCATTAATTTATTCTTTAATTCATTTATTTATTCAATGAATATTAAGTGCCTACTATGTGCCCGATATCATTCTAAGTGTTCTGGGATTACATTTGAGAGCAAAATAGACAGCATATACCTGGGGGCTTATATTCTAGTTGGGAAAAACAGAAAACAAAAAAATAAAACCAGTTGGGCTGATGTTGATAAGTGCTATCAAAAAAAATGAAACAAGAATTGGTATTCTGGGGTGGGATAGGATTAAAATATGAAATAGGGCAGTCATGGTGTCTCATACTGAAAAGGGACATTTGAGTAAAGACCTGCTAGAGGCAAGGAAATGAGTTATTCTGAATCTGCAGGAAGAATGCTCCCAGAGAACAGCACGGGCAAGCAGTGAGCCTGGAATGCTTGAGGAATAGAAGGTGACTGGTGGTGGGTAGAGGGAAGGTGGTCGAAGGGGAGAAGTTAGAGAAGAAGGTGGGGTGCATGCCATGCGGGGCCTTGTAGATCTTTGTGAAGATTCTAGTCTTCCTCTTGATGAGGTGGGAAGCCACTGGAGGTCTTGAGTAGAAGAGAAGTTGACACCTCTGACCTAGGTTTAACAAGACTCACTGTCACGGCTGTGTTGAGAATAAACTATGGGAGCCTGCAGGCCAGTCTTCAGTTGCCCCTCCAAATCCATTTTCTGCCCTTTTCTGCTCTGATGCCTGCCATGGCATCCTTGGGGCTGCCTTGACTTCCACTTCCAAATGGATGTGCGCAATGGGAGATAGTTGGAGGAGATCCAAGGGAGAGGAGAAAGAGATTTGAGAGTTCATCTCCTCTGCAGTCCTTCTTCCAACTCATGATTCTGCTAGTGTCTCTACTGTTAGCTGAACATCATGTCATTTAAAATCTTAAGCAACTAATACAGGTTTCTAAAGACAATAATGTTTAATATTTACATACATCTAGTTTTTCTTAGTACAATTTAATCAGATCTTTAAATGCACTTTTAAAAAGCTGTCCCTCATCTACGTTTTCTTTCTCAGAGCTGCATGGCAACGGCCATGTGACAGGTCCTCTTCTTGCTGGACTTTCTTTGGAAAAATATTCTTGTGTTGACCACATCCCTGATGGTGACAGGAAAGCCAGTGCTCTGCCCTTGCCATTTTGGGAGGTCTGCCCAGCAGTGCACCATGGGATCTCGCCCACGTTTTTACCCATAAGAAAAATACACACAAATAATAAGAACCAGCTGCTTATTTTCTACACTGCCCTAGTGCAGTATTTAGCCTGTAACTCTGGCTCATGGACCTTATGTTCCATAATAAAAATTGGGAAACGTCTTGGCTGGTGGATCCAATTGAGTATGTTCATTTGTCTTTTTACTATTTGGGGTGAAACATAGTATTTTCCCTATTTGGGCAAGTTTCTCTGTGGCTTAAATTTATTGGTGGCCTTTAAATAAGACTAGTTCCACAGTTAACCTTTCTTTTCCCCATCTGGGCTCAGTTATCATTCAGGTTCGTTTTTTTGTTTTTTTTTTTTCAAATTCATTTTCTCATTCTTGGTCTGTGGCTGACTTCCCTCTGGGAGGTTGGCGATACCGCCCAGTAACTGGAATGAGTGCCTGATTAAAGATTGCATCTAATGACATTTGGGATGGACACAATGTTGTTATGCTTTCATGTCTCTCTTTATTTCTTCTAATAGTTTCTTATTAGTTAAGACCTTAAGTAATGCATGTGAGTTTCTTGGAAACATTAAAACATTTCTTTTTATCTGCTATAATTTAATGCCAGATTGTTTGTAGGCTAGTGACCCAGAAAAGCCATTTACTGATATATGGTGTGTAATTTAGCCAAACTGGTTTGATTATATTACTGGGTATGATTTAGGCCCATGGACGAGTCAACCGGCAATTTGATTGAAGCCATACTCTGCCTTGTCATTCAAAGACCAGAACAGAAGCCTTAATTAGCCTGGTTGATTAAGCAAAAATCCAATTTTAGTCAGTTACCTGGAGAACTATATCACAGGAGTCAACATGAACTTGAACATTATTTTTTTAAAAAAGAGAATAACAATCACAGAAGTACGTACGTTGTTTTTCCTATGTTTTCAATTGGGTTTGTAATGTCACGGCATCCGTTTTTGATCAAATGATGGCAACTGCAACTGAATGATTTTAAAGATCAGAATGAATCTGATTTCATTTTACTTATGTTCTATTCACTTCTAGCTAGAAGGCACACACTTTGGAAAATGAATTCTATTTTTTATGCTTGGTGTTTGGGACATTGAGCAAATTTTGAAAGGCAGCTTTCAGAGATAAGAAAAGAAGGCTAGAATCAACTAGAATTCATTTTAGTGATATCTTTGGGAGAATAATCTTTCTGTTGATATTTATTTGCCAAAGAGTTTAGATGATGATCTAGATTATGAAAATTTCTCATTGAAATAAAATAATTTGAAAAATTATATTCATTTTACAATTGGAAGATATGAAATAGAAACTTTTTATAGCAATTACTCTCTTGTATATTATTTCCTTTTTCTACTCTTAACTGGTTTGGCTTTTATCTCTATGGGCTATTTAGGAATAACTCCTGCCAGCTGGATACTGACAATTATGTTTGGATTTACCTATTCAGGTCTTTATTAGAGATATTGCTGAAGAGTGATCTTTTGTCAACCACTTATTTAAGAAAATAACCAGATTATTTTGTGTGTAATGTGAAATGGGAGAAATTAGATCAACTGTCACCTTTCAGTAGGTGCTTTACTCTGTAGTTTTACCTCAGTAGGTGCTTTACTCTGTAGTTTTACCTCTAAAATCTTTATTTTTGCTAAAAGAAAGATCTTTTCTACTTACAGGGACTTTTTGAGCTATGTTACTTGGGCTTTTTTGTTTGGTTTGGTTTTTGATTGAGAGAGAGAACAGGGAGTGTGAAAACATAATAATCTTTGTACTATTTTTTTTCTGACAATGCCTACATTTTGGCAAGTAAACTCTGGAATACTCTAAGAAATAAATATTTGATTTTTTTTCTCTTATAGAAAGAAAAAAATGTCAGATTGCTAGAAGTGTATAGTCCGCAAACCTTTGTAGAAATATGCACATTAGATGTTTATTATCTTTAATTCCATAGTCTTAAATTAATGGGATGTGTTGAGATATAGCGTAAATAGCCCTGAGCTTGGAATCAGGAAACCTATATTGTGGCCCCAGTTCTGCTATTTTTTAGTCACAGAATTTAGGTTAATCATATCGTGTCTTTGCAAATGTTAATAAAATAGCGGCAGAAAAAAATGAGTTATTCTCCCAGAGATCGCTAACATCAACTCCAGTTATTCTAGATTTGAACGTGATTGAATCCAGCACCTTCCATCTTACTTAATCAGGGAACCACACCAAACAAAATCCTATTGAATGAGATCTGCACAAAGATATTTAGGAAATGCTGCAATAGATGGTTATTCAGGCTCTGTTTAGATCTAACATTTACCATTTACGATGTTTTCTTAGCATAGCTAAAGTCAGAAAAGATTTCATATTGTTTTAGTTTAGGTTCCTTTACTGTTTGCAGAACTTCTTTAAGTGGATTTAAGAAAAGGGGTTTCAGGAATGGGCCTTGGTTTGCAAAGATGGGAAGAGTCGGTATCCTTCTGTTTATCTAGTTCTGTTTCCTGAGTATTAAAGATGTTAAATAATCTTATTCCCAATTACAGCTGACTTTCAAATCAGAAAGGAATTAAAGCTTAATATTACCTAATTTGACCAAACACTGATCTCTTTATGCAAGATGAGAGCAAAAAAGTTTTAACTTATCTGAGAACTTTTCTTGGTTATTGTTCTAGAGGGTTTTATGTATCTTTCTTGATCACATGTTTATCCATTTCTCCATCCTTGTCTGCAACTTTTAACTAAACCCCAAACTACCAACAATTTTTAGGAATTCCAGAGTTTCCTCTCTGAACTTTTGCATATTCTGGGAATATAGGTAGTATATAGGACAATTTTTTAAAAAATCCATATGAAAGCTACCGTGAGAAGTGGGCCAGCATAAAAACTGTTGTCTAAAAGGAGAAGATGTGACTGGTCTTATGAAGATGAGTGGGTGGAGAAAACAGCTAAGTAATATTGACAATAATTCAGTTAGGTTTGTAATTAAGACTAAATCAGAAAGAAGGAAATAGGAATTTAGCCTTCACACAAAGAAAACTGGACGAAACTGAGTAGGCTAAGGATAAGGGGTAACGAACTGGTAGGAGTGGAGACAGTTGGAAAAGGGAGGAATGCTGAGAAATAAATTACTGGCTCTCTGACGGATATACTTGTTCTCTAGTTTTAAGTGAAACTTTAGAAAAAGTTAAGTAGTAATGAGTTCAGTAGTGCTCAAGAAATTTAGTAAAAGATTAAAACAGTTAAAAAAAAAAACCCAAATAGCTGAGTACTTGCAAATGCTACTTTTCTCTTACTTTTTACCTCTTCTTCTATAGCCTCCATCGTCATATATTGAACAAGTCTAAGTTCAACTTGGAATAATTGTGTCTTAATTGGACACATTATTAGTCAATTATTATTTTCCAAATAAAATTTTTAGTACTATTAATTTAATTTCATGGATAAATTAGTTACATAAATATGACAATGCCTTATCTTTATTTTTAAATTTTTTTATACAGACATTTGACTATGTTAAAAATTTCAAACAATTCTTAAGAATGTAGAGTGAAAAGGAGTTTACCCTAACACAGTACTTTAGTACCCCATTGTATTTTTCTCCAATAGCAAAATTAAAAGAATTTTACATTGAGCACATATATACTCACTATGTAGAGTCTGCCACTAACATTTTACTATAATTTTTTAATCACATATTTATCCATTTCTCCATCCTTCTCTGCAACTCTTAATCCATTTTGTTTTAGATGCATTTCAAAGTAAATTGCAGATGTCAATATATACTTCCCTCTAAATATTTTAGAGTACTTAGCTAGATTTTGATACTTATTTGTTTTTTTCTTTTGATGTGCAATTTATATACAAGATAAACAATCATAAGCATACATTTGCTAGGTTTTGACAAATGCACATATATAGCACCTATGAATCCAAACCTGTTTCTAGACACAAAACATCTGTGGCAGCCAGAAAATTCCTTCATCACTTTTCAGTCAATCTTCACTCCTGCCCTCTTCCACAAACACATTTTTTCTGTCATTATAGTTTTGCAATTCTAAAATTTCATATAAATGGAATCATACAGAATATTCTTTTGTATATAGGTTTTTCTTTCCATCAGTATATTTTAATTAATTCACATCTAGTACCTCAGTAATTTGTTTCCTTTGAATGTGTAGTGGTATTTTGATTTTTATTTGCATTTTGCTGATAACCAATGATTTTTATTCCATAGGTTTGTCGGCCATTCTTTGATCTTATTCAGAGTTGTTTATTTATTATTGAGTTGTAATAGTTATTTATTTATACTGGATAACACTCCTTTGTCAGATATATGTTTTGCAAACACTTTCAATAATATTTGGAAGAGTAGTCATTTTAAAATATGATAAAATTAAATGTATTGATTTTTTAGTGGTTGTTCCTTTTTGTGACTTGTCTAACAAACTTGTAGATTAATCTCCAAGTTACGCAGAGATCCTCCTATGTCTCTTTCTAAATGCATTTTGGTTTTTGATTGTTGTGGTTTTAGCTTTTATGCTTGGGTCCAAAATCTGTCTTGAATTACTTCTTGTACGGCGAGACAGAAATCCCATTATATTTAACATATTGATATTTACATAGATTTACAATTGATATATTATACTATATTGTATGGTAAAATAGCTCATTATTTATTCCATTCTCAATTATATACTGGGTTTTCTCAACAGTTATTATTTCCTTTCTGTATGTACATTGCAATCAATCTCTTATGACCTGTGAGACCAAATGATCATGCTTGGGAAAATTTTTCCATCCCACAAATATTTATTGAGTAGCTACACTGTGAACTGTATTGTGACAAATGCTATAGATAAGAAAAAAAATGAGATCCCCTGACTTGCCTCAGCAGGGCAATGTTTACTGAGGACACAGATAAGTAAATGGATAATTGCAGCAGATATTTTTAAAAGGTGATAAGAACATGCACAGAGCTGTGAGAGCACAAACAAGGAACACCTAACACAGAATTTTAGAATCAGATAAAGAGAAATACAATGAGTGATCACATGAATAGAAGAGGAACTAGAATGGCTAGTGTCCAGAAGGAATTGTTGGTCGATAGTCCATGATGTCACCGAGAGGTTGAGAAAGATGGAAACGGAAGCAAAACAACACAGAACAGCATTAGAGTTGGAAGTCTGTCTGTACTTAAAGACCTTTGAAAGGGCAGTTTCAGAAAAGTGATGAAGGCTGAAGTCAGATTTCAAGGAATTAACAATGGTTTAAGGGTGGAAACTAAACATCACAAGTACAGTTTATTTGGAAACAATTGAATGGTAAAAATAAAAGTAAAGAGGAAAATATGATAGTAACTTGAAAGGATAGTAGAAATGAGCTTAGGATTTTTGGCATGCCAGTATTTTTAGACTGCGTCAGGGGAGAGAGATAAATTGTATTGCAAGTAGAGGAAAGATTTTCTAGAAAAAAGCCTCCTAAAGGAGTCCTGAAAAAAAGAATAAAGGCATAAGTTAAGAGTTGCTAATGGAGAGACAATTTGTTCTCTATGACAGAAAGATGGAAACAAATACAAGTGAAGAGAAAATAATATTAATAAATGCTCATGGGGAGAAAAGAATTTCAAGAAATTCAAAGAATATACAACTTACCATAAAGTGGGAGGCAAGGCCACCCAGAGGGCAAAATTAGATAGATATAACCCAGAGCTGAAGACATGGGAATGGCTTTGAAATAAATTCTATGATAAAAGTGTTAGGGAGGTTTATTAGTTTTCTATTGCTGAGTAACAATTACCACAAACTTAGTGGTTTAAAACAACACCGTTTATTGACATACAGTTAGCATGGATCAGGAGTCCAGACATGGCTTAAGTGGGTCCTCTGCTCAGGGGCTCACAAGGCTGTTATAAAGATGTCACCAGGCTACATTTTCAACTGGAGGCTTCACTAGGGAAGAACCCACTTCCAAGTTCATTCAGGTTGTTGGCAGAATTCCTTTCTTCGTGGTTGTGTCACTGAAGGCCTTATTGCTTACCAGCTACTTAAAAAAGGTAGCTGGTAGCTTTTAAGGTAGCTTTATCACAATTTTAAGGCCTGAGAGCATAGGGGTTGCCTGCGGTTCTGTGGTCATGTGACCTTTTCCACAGACAGTTCACAAGACAGTGTTTCTCAAAGGATCCAGAAGAATCTCTTAAATTCTTGTCTGCTAAGACAGAGTTTTATACAATGCAACATAATTATACAAGTAACATCCGCCGAGTGTGGTGGCTCACACCTGTAATCCCAACACTTTGGGAGGCTGAGGTGGGTGGATCACCTGAGGTCAGGAGTTTGAGACAAGGCTGGCCAACCTGGGAAGACCCCTTCTCTACCAAAAACACAAAAAATTAGCCAGGCGTGGTGGAGCACACCTGTAATTCCAGCTACTCGGGAGGCTGAAGCAGAAGAATCACTTGAACTTGGGAGGCAGAGGTTGCAGTGAGCCGAGATTGTGCCACTGCATTCCAGCCTGGGCAACAGAGTGAAACTCCATCTCAAAAAAAAAAAAAAAAAAAAGAAGTGACATCCATCGACTTTGCCATAAATAAAACCTACTCAAGGGAGTGACATCCTTTCACTTTTGCCATATTTCATTGGTTGGAAGCAAGTCACAGGTTGTGTCTACACTGGAGGTGAGTGGATTACACACAGGTGTGACTCACTGGGCAGTGGCAGTGGGGGTGGGGGTCCCTTTAGAGCCTATCTACTACAGGAGGCACTTTAGAGCAGTTCGGAACACTTTAGAACTCCTTTAGAGAGGGCTCAGTGTGGCTGGGCCCAGCGAGTTGCTGTTACACACATGTACAACATTCAAAGTTCTAGAATAGAAGCAGAGAAATCGGAAAATATGGTCCTCTCCTCATGGTGGAGTTGGCTATGAAAGTTCAGCAAAAAGACAAGAGTGCAGAAATATCAGAACTGTGATGAAGAACATCTTTGAATATTTTAGCATGTGACTCAGACTGTTAGGGAGGCAAAAGAGGTCAGAAGGAAATTGGTTGTCTTAGACGATGAAAATTTATTAAAGTACTGAAGGTACCAAAGAGCCACAAGATTTTATTCATTTACTCAGTAGGAATTTATTCTTGGGCATACAGAAATGTGGCAGAAAGACATGGTGATGGTAACATCCATCAACTTTGGCACCAGATAGTCTGAGTTTAAATCCTTTTTATCTATTTACTAGCCATGTAGCAATGGCTAAGTTACATAATCTAGGTGACTCAGTTTCCTCTTTATAAAACAGTGGAAATAATATCTTACAATTTGGTTAATGTGAAGAATGGGTTCCTGGCACATCGTAAGAAGCATGATAGCACTATGTTTATATGTTAACAGTTACATTGATGAAATAAACAAGATTAACAAGATAACAGTCTGTATATCTAAGTTGTATATTGCCTTCTGGGAGAAAAAGATATAGAAAAAGTAATTATAATACCATGTGGCAAAGAAAGCAAATGCATCAGTATGGATATGCTATGATTTATTGCTGTCGAAAACAACCCCCAGATCATAGTGGGTTATAATTTATTTCTTATTTAAGTGACAAGTCCACTGAGGATTAGATAGGGGCTCTGTTGATTATAGTCATTCAGAGATTCAGGTTAATTGTCTGCCTCGACAGATGCTTTCTCAAACATTGAGACAGAGGAAGACAATGTGGCAAATCACATACAAATTCCTAAAATGTCTACTTAGAAATAACATGTCACCTTTGCTCATTTATTAAGCCACAAGTCATATGGCTGCTCTAACTTTAAGTGGGAAGAGGAAGTGCAAGTTTAGAATGTGACCCTCTGAAAGACTAGAAATATTTGGTGGACTGAACTGATGTCGACCACAGTCTTTCCTCTAGCTCTCCATATTGGGAAAAGCCTCCTTCCTACATATACAAAACTCTCCCTTCTCAAAGAAGATAATTTAAAAATTGTACCTAATAACTGCACCTAGCTCAAAGGCCAGGATGTCTGAGTGGTGCCTGACTAGGATGCAGCTCCCGTTTCTCCAGATACCTTAACACTAAAATGATCACTTATGTGCTTCTTTGAAACTCCCAGTGTGTACAATGGTGTCTAGAGATAGCATAACCATAATAAACTCACTCTACTATTCAGAAACAAAAAACAGGAGACATACAGCAGGTGGACATACACAGGTAACATTTGTGAAATCTTACTGGATACTTGTTGGGTGGGAGCTCCCTACCCTGATGATGGAAAACATTTCATAATTAGGCCCAGATTCTGCCTCTTGAAGGGAGTTTCCTATTACATTGTTCTCTGTGGTTTTTAGGTGATCCCTCTGAAAGTTTCTTTATTTTATCCTCTTTTGCCACATCTAAAGTGGGCATTAGAAAATATGCCGTCCTTATGGGCTGAATTGTTTTCTCAGCTTAGTTATTGCCTGTAGACTACTGGGAGACGAGTGCTTTGTTTCTAATAGTTGCATTCTCTCAGGATGATGGTTCTTTTTGGCAGTGCAACTCTCAAAAACTTAGTTGCCTATTTGCTTCTAGTTAGCTCCATGTGTCAATTGCCACACTCAAAATTCCTTTCTAGATAGAATTCTCACATGCTGAATTTCTTTGCTTCATTCACAAGCCTCTTTCTAGATTTCAATGCAAGTACTCTGAGCCTAGCCAGCTTTGGTAGGATAGTCACAAATAAGCTAATTTTTTTTCTTGTTAAAAAGACCCTTACTCTCAGACTATTTGATCCACCCAGAGATTTGAACAGTGGGTAGGATGAAAATGTTTTTGAGTTGACCCTTGGGAAATAGGGCTTAAATATTGTCTCAGTTTAGCTTTATACGTTACAGGTTGGAATTGAAAAGTAGTTGTTTCTGAATTTCTGTACTATATTCCTCTTCCATGTTGCTTCCCATTAGGCAGCAGAGGGTCACAGGCTGACTTCCTATCATCTAGAACATTCTTCTCCACATTTTCTTTCTTCTTATCTTGGCAGGAATAACTATTCTTTTTCCAAATACAGGATCCAAATGTTTAAAATAAAAAAAGGAAATAAATTAAGCTGATCTGCCTTTGTAGAAGTAGAGGAGGAAATGTTCAATTCCCAGGTGGAAAGAAGAAGTCTCCAATGGAGAGTTTAAAAACCACCGATCTGGAAGACTTAAGTCCAAGTGCTTAAGAGAGCATATAAAGCCCTCAAGAATATGTCACCTACCTTATCCTTTATGGACTTGTATATGATTATTTTGTGCCCCTAAATTTATAAGCTGACAACTGGAAGCTGTTTTTAGAGGTTCACATTATGATTTCTCTCACATTGCTTATTCAGTGTACCTGTCTGGAAATCTTCTCACAGTTGCCCTTTAACTCCAACTCAGTCTAAGGACCTCATAGGCTTCCTCGTCTCCTGAAGGTTGGGAAAAGGTCCACTTTTCCGTATTTCTGCATATCAGTATCACACTTTCTCTCAAAGGTTGTCAGCAAAGTGATTGTGTATTATTTTGGTATAATACACACTAATTTTGTACTATTTTGATAATATTTTGCATTTTTTATATTATTTTGGTATTTTGTAATTTTTTGTATTATTTTGATAACAAATAATTTTGTATTACTTGATACAGTACACAATCGCATAATTTTATTATATTTGATATAAGTATGATAAAATAAGTATGTTTAAAAGATTAAACATATAAAAGAGTTAATTAAAACTATAAGCAAAGAACAAGACACTATAAAAATGAAATTACCATAGTTGAAAAAACTAGACACAGTTAAAAAAAGAATTAGTAAGTTGACAAAATTCCAAAAGATGCAGCACAATGAAATAAAAAGTTCAAAAATATGGTTAAAACATATTAAGAATAGAACTAAAAGATCCAACAGTCAACTAACAAAAGCACCTGAAGAAAAGACAAAAGGCTTTGGTGAGAAGCAGTGAGTGAAAATACAATGACTATAATCAGATATAATTTCTCAGATTAAGGAAATACAAGTCTGAACCAGAATGAATATAAGTAAATCCCTAATAGCAATTCTAAACTTGCTATGAAACTATGTAACATCCAAGAAACTGGTAAAGAGTCAAGTAAATTTCAATACACATTAATTAAACAAAACAATGAATAATAATAAAAATGGACAATTTGATGGTGTAAAAAGAAAGTTCGTAAAATTGTGGATAGCAGTAATGTGTCACATGGGAAGAAGTGAATGAAGGCAGATCTCCGAATCTTTATTAAAAGAACAGCAGTGTTGACTGACTTTGACCATTATAAGTCAGTATGCGTGATATGATTGTAAGAGAAACAATTTAAAAATTGGTCATTGTAATTTCCAAATTAGTAGAGGATATAAAAATGAAAAAGGGAAATTCAATTCAACAGAAGGAAAAAAAGAAATAAAAAACAAGCAAAAAAAAAAACACAGTAAGAGAGCAAAACAAAATAGTGGCAGAAAGTTCAGGTTATAAATAATTTCAATAAACATAAAAGTACTGAATTTCTTCAGCTAAAAGTGTTTAGATTGGATTTTTTTTTAAAAAAAAGCCTTTCCTTCTTTCTTTATAATTAAATCCTAAAGTCACCAGATTGTCAATTAATACTGGTGTCTAAAAAAAAAAAAAATCAACCAGCTAAGTTCAAAAAAGAGAGGCATATGCACTGTGTATGTATGTGTATGTGTGTGTGTTTATGGGGGGAAATGGTTAGTATTAGACCCCAAACAGAATAACTAGGACATCTGCAAAGAGGGGCAGAGCAGACGGCCTGGTGTGGGGCCTCAGAGCTTGAGTAGGGGAAAGACTACCTGCATCAGGTGGCAGAGATGATGGCAAGAGTAGCAGCCTTGCATGGAGTGGTGAAACCTGTTGGGTCATGTTGGTGACCGCATAGTGGAAGCAGTGGTGGTGGTCTGACATGGTCATCAGGGACTGAGCAAGTTAAAAAGAGTGTTGAGTGTCTACATAGGTGTCAGGCCTCTGAGCCCAAGCCAAGCCATCGCATCCCCTGTGACCTGCACGTATATGCCCAGATGGCCTGAAGTAACTAAAGAATCACAAAAGAAGTGAATATGCCCTGCCCCACCTTAACTGATGACATTCCACCACAAAAGAAGTGTAAATGGCCGGTCCTTGCCTTAACTGATGACATGACCTTGTGAAAGTCCTTTTCCTGGCTCATCCTGGCTCAAAAAGCACCCCCACTGAGCACCTTGTGACCCCCACTCCTGCCCACTGAGCACCTTGCAACCCCCACTCCTGCCCACTGAGCACCTTGCAACCCCCACTCCTACCCGCCAGAGAACAAACCCCCTTTGACTGTAATTTTCCTTTACCTACCCAAATCCTATAAAACGGCCCCACCCTTATCTCCCTTTGCTGACTCTCTTTTCGGACTCAGCCCGCTTGCACCCAGGTGAAATAAACAGCCATGTTGCTCACACAAAGCCTGTTTGGTGGTCTTTTCACACGGACGCTCATGAAAATAGGGGGAGGTGTGTTTGCAGCAGCAGCAATTGGAATTTGTTTTCATACAAGGAAACGATCTGGTGAAAGATCATATCAAGGATAATGGGTGTCATGAACTAACTGTTTGCATCTCCCTCAAATTCACGTATTGAGTCCTAACCTCCAATGCGATGGTATTTGGAGACAGGGACTTTGGGAAGAAAACTAGGATTAGATGGGGTATGGAGATCAAGGCCCTCATGATGGGATTATTGTAGTTATAAGAAGAGACACTAGAGCGTTCTCTCTCTCTCTCTCTGCAAGCCAGGAAGAAAGATCTCATCAGGAATCGAATAGGCTGGCAGCTTGATCTTAGATTTTCCAGCATCTAGAATTGTGAGAAAATAAATTTATGTTGT
Organism: Homo sapiens; assembly: GCF_000001405.40. Taxonomy (NCBI): domain Eukaryota; kingdom Metazoa; phylum Chordata; class Mammalia; order Primates; family Hominidae; genus Homo; species Homo sapiens. Next base: position 44,237,237 of record NC_000005.10, read on the forward strand.
TTATGCAACCCAGGATATGGTATTTTGTTATGGCAGTCCAAGCAGACAAACACAATGGGAGTCATATTTCTCACTGTAGTAAAAGGGGGTTACAAATATGGAAATAAAAAAAACTGGAATTAATCCTATGGTATTGCACTGAAATCAGAGACATTGGTATTAACTCATTTTTTAAAAACATATACATAGATAGTTGAGTAAAACATACACATAGATGTAAACGTGTATTTACATATATGCCCTGGTTATGTCCATTGAGAGACCCGAGTAATCACAATACCAATGTGCACACTGATCTTCATTTCTAAATATAATTCTCAGCCATAAGGAACTAGGGCTCCTTGGAGAAATGGCTGGTTCCAATGCTTGGGCAGGCAAAGTACAAGATGAGCATGGAAAATGTTATTGTACCAGAAAGTGAGGAAGTATTCAGAAAATGATGTACAAAATTGGCTTGAAGAGGCCCACATTAGACAAACATTGGAATCATTTGTACATCAAAATAATGACAGTAATAGATTATAACCTGGTGATTAAATTGTTATTTCTTCATACAGTTATAAATAAACAAATGCATAAATAAATGGAGACAAAAGAAAGCTTTTTGTTACAACAGAAAGCCAATTAATAAGTGTAGATGGAATGATGGAATGAAAAATTATTATTTGGCAACCATCTTACCAATAATTCAGTCATAAAGACATCAATGGATGGGAAAACTAGTGACAGAAAATTTGACAAGGAATGGAGTATTTACTTAGTCTCAAAGATTTGTTAATTGCAAAGGGAAAAACAACTTTATAGGAAAGAAACTTAGAAGACATCACATTTATCAAGTGATAAAAGTTAACACAACTAGTAGTAGGCCAAATTGAAATTGCATACCATCTGGTAAAACAATGAGAACACAGCATCACTTCTGTGATATTCCTCCAATAAATATATATAACCCGAATTTAATAATGAAGGAATATCAGACAAATAAAAGCTTAATAACATTCTACAAAATAGTGTTATTTTGGAAAGTGTCAACGTCATGAATGTCAAGGAGAGTCTGAGGAACTATTTCAGATTGAAGGAGAAAAGCAGAGGTTAATATAAAATATAGCTGAGGACAGGATAATTTTGCTATAGAAAACATTATTGAAAAAAACTGAAATTTTAATGGTAGTCTGTGGATTATATCATAGCCATCTGTCTATTCTAATTTCCTGATTTAAATGGCAGTATTATGTTTATGTAGGTAAATATTCTAGGAATTACACATAAATATTCTGGGGTGATGGGGCATGATCTCTCCAATTTACTCTTTAATCATTCAGAAAAAAATTCTGAGTATAGTTCTAAATTTTCCATTAAAATATTAAAATATTTCAAGATAAAAATTTTAAAAATCCAGCTATATGATGATTACAGGAGACATACTTAAAACATAATAAAAGACTGTGTGGAGTGGGGGTAGAGAAAGATATAGAAGGAAGATGTTAATCAAAAGAAATCTGATGTAGCAACGTAGCATAAAACACAATTGTAAACAGTTCATTCTTCAACAGTGAATCAAAATGGATATTTACAAGGGAACAATAATATCAAAACCTATAGGATGCAAATAAAAGAGTGCTTACAGAGTAATCTGTAGTCTGCAAAACCATATGTTAAGAAAAAAAATTTTAATGGCTCTTCTTAAACTAAAAAACTAAGGAAACATCTAATAAATAAAATAAAGCTGAATAAAGAAAATTATAGGAATATTTTACGAAATAAAAAGTACCCAAGTATAAGAATAAAGAAAATCAACCAAAAGACAGTTCTTTAAATATATTGGTAGAATATATTTACTATAGTAAGAACAACGAACTAAAAAAAACTCCTAAATTGTTGCGGGAAGTCAGGGACCCCAAACGGAGGGACCAGCTGAAGCCATGAGAGAAGAATGTGGATTGTGAATATTTTATGGACATTTATTAGTTCCCCAAATTAATACTTTTGTAATTTCTTATGCCTGTCTTTACTGCAATCTCTAAACATAAATTGTAAAGATTTCATGGACACTTATCACTTCCCTAATCAATATCCTTGTGATTTCCTATGCCTGTCTTTGCTTTAATCTCTTAATCCTGTCAGCCGAGAAGGATGTATATCATCTCAGGACCCTGTAATAATTGCATTAAGTACACAAATTGTACAGCATGTGTGTTTGAGCAATATGAAATGTGGGCACCCTGAAAAAAAGAACGGGATAACAGCAATTGTTCAGGGAATAAGAGAGATAACCTTAAACTCTGACCGCCGGTGAGCCGGGCAGAACAGAGCCATATTTCTCTTCTTTCAAAAGCAAATGGGAGAAATATCGCTGAATTCCGTCCCTGAGAAAGAGAATGCGCACCTAGGGGTAGGTCTCTGAACTGGCCCCCCCGGGGCATACCTGTCTCTTATGGTCGAGATTGCAGAGGTGAAATAAACTCCAGTCTCCCATAGCGCTCCCAGGCTTATTAGGAAGAGGAAATTCCCGACTAATAAACTTTGGTCAGACCGGTTGATCTCAAAACCCTGTCTCCTGATAAGATGTTATCAATGACAATGGTGCCAAAACTTCATTAGCAATTTTAATTTCACCTCGGTCCTGTGGTCCTGTGATCTCGCCCTGTCTCCACTTGCCTTGTGATATTCTATTACCCTGTTAAGTACTTGATGTCTGTCACCCACACCTATTTGTATACTCCCTCCCCTTTTGAAACTCCCTAATAAAAACTTGCTGGTTTTTGTGGCTTGTGGGGCATCATGGATCCTACCAATGTGTGATGTCTCCCCAGGACGCCCAGCTTTAAAATTTCTCTTTTGTACTCTGTCCTTTTATTTCTCAAGCCAGTCGAAGCTTAGGAAAATAGAAAAGAACCTACGTGATTATCGGGGCAGGTCCCCCGATATCCCAGCATTGTTAGGAATTGTATTAGTCAGGGTTCTTTAGAGGGACAGAACTAATGGAATAGATATGTAATATTTAAAGGGGAAGTTTATTAAGTATTAACTCACATGATCACAATGTCCCACAATGGGCCATCTGCAGGCTGAGGAGCAAGAAGAACCAGTCCAGGTTCCAAAACTGAAAAACTTTGGAGTCCGATGTTTGAGGGCAGGAAGCATCCAGCATGGGAGAACAATGTAGGCTGGAGGCTAAGCAGTGCCTCTCTTTTCACTTTTCTCTTCCTGCTTATATTCTAGCCATGCTGGCAGGTGATTAGCTTTTGCCTACCCACATTGAGGGTGAGTGTTCCTTTCCCAGCCCACTAACTCAAATGTTAATCTCCTTTGGCAACACCCTCACAGACACACCCAGGATCAATACTTTGCCTCCTTCAATCCAATCATGTTGACACACATTATTAACCATCACAGGAATGAAAAAGGGAAAACTACAGACACATAGAAACTGAACAAATCATAAGTTAATTCTATGGAAAACTTTAGAGACTAGTTTGCTAAAATGGACAATTTTCTAGACAAATATAACTTAACAAACGTAATCTATCTATAAATCAATTGAAGTAATCAAACCAGTAGTTTTTAAACCTTCCATCAAGAAGGTATCATACGATGAGAATTTTAGAGGAATAGCTAGGTCAGATAATTTCCACCTTCTATGAATTTTCCACGTACTAGAAAAGGCCGGGAGGCTCCCTAGCTCACTGTATGTGGCTGTATTGGAAGCTTGCTCTAAAGCTACCCTATGTCCTCTCTCCCCTCCACCTCACCTTTAATTTCTAATTGATCTCATATCACCATGAATTCCCCTATTAATATGATCTGACAGTTGCAATTTTTACTTCAACTCAACAATACTTATTGAGTAGCCTATTACATTCAAGGTCCTATGATAGTTTTGGGAATAAAAGAGATATCTACATAGCAGATTGGCTGCTAGGTTGATGCAGTTAAAGCCTCAGTCTTAGGTGAAAACAGTTGGGAATTTTACAAATCCCTAAATCAGCAACTCATTTTTATTTTACTCCTTCTTGCCTTTTCCCAAATATTTTGAACTTTTTTGTAGATAGTGTTTTAAGTGCAAAACAAATGACAAAGACCCACACAAGAGATAAAAATGGCAAACTAATTGCAGTTGTATGGCATGAAACAACACAATCCTAAGGAAAAAAAGCATCATTGAAAGTTAAATGACCACGTTTATGCATGTAGCTCCTGAGTTACTTAAGGCAAATCACTTGGTCCTTCTGTGCCTCAATGCAAACAGAACTACAGCTACCTCTCCAGCTGGTTTTGCAGTGTTGCTGAGAAGTAAATGTAATAAAATTAAATAACAGAGCTGAAATCCCTTGAAGGGTATAATATAAATAAAAGTGAGTTATTATCATCTTCATCACCATCATTAATATGTAGTACATAAGAGGCATTTCCATTTAAAAATGAATTGTGAGAGATTTTTGAAAACAAGTTGGGTATAAGTTCATAGGGAAAATGATTTTTCAGGGAAGTATTATTATATCTTTTCCAATTTGCATATTCCATAGTGTACAATTCCACAATGCTATGGCCTTCTAAATTCTGACTACAATTCACATATATTTTGATTCAATATACAAAATACACACACACACAACCATATGTATCATATGATATATGAATAAAAGGTCTCACAAAACAGTATTTACCTTTTCAATATTAAGTCAAGTTTGATATTTTCTATTTCACTCTGCTATATTCCATATAATTCTATTTTATCTCATTTTTAAAAAATGTATTTATCCTACGACTCCAGTTTGAAAACTGGTATTTCAGTATATATCTCACATCCATTGTTTTTTAAAACAACTCCATGAAAACAACTTATTAAAGCTAGTGGGATAAGGCCAAGCAAGTCAATTTTTTTTCTGTTGGATTCCAGAACAAGAAGTACTAAAAGTTTATATTCTGCAGTTGAGGAGTGTTGCATCCAGACTTTTCAAATTGTAGCATAAAAAGTTGGTTAAAAAAAAAGTCTCCAGACTTTCCAGTTTTCTTCCAATGACCTTTGAAAGGAAGAATGATTGAAGGGAATTCTTAAGGATGAGCTCACAAGTAAGATGGGAGGAGGTTGTACCCTGCTATATTTTAGAGTGTGAACTTATTAAATCCAGCTGAATGTTTTGGACTATCATCTCTGTCTTTTGTTAAAAGGGTAATTATCTACAAAAATTATAATTTGACAATTGAAACCTGAGATATCTCCACATATTTTCTCAATCAACTTAACCTTTGGTATATACAAATGATGAAAATCATAATAGTTTATGATAGTACAAAATACTAACTTTTTATAAAGAGAGGGTTTCATTTGCTGAGATATAATTAATTTTTAAATTTGTATATTGAATTTCAAGAGTAATTATTATATATACTGAACCAGAAAGCAGGGTAATCTATTTTTAAAAACCTCGATGAATCATAATGTTAAGTATATATTTATATTTAAATATGTCAAATAATTAAATTATAAAACAATTGAATTTGGAGGTACTTATTTCAATTATTTAAACAATCCTTTATAAAATAATATATTAGTATTGGTTAGAGTTCTTCTGAGGAACAGAACCAATAGTATATAAGGAGATTTATTATAGGAATTGATTCACATGGTAATGAAGGCTGAGAAATCCCACAATCTGCCATCTGCAAGCTGGAGAACCTGGAAAGCTGGTAGCGTAATGCAGTCCAAATTCAATGACTGATAAGCAAGAGGGGCCAAGTGTGTAAGTCCTGGTCTGACTTCAAAGGCCAAAAAGCCAGAAGCACAGATGTCTTAGGGCAGGAAAAGATGGATGTTTCAGCTCAACAGAGAGAGTGAATTAACCTTTTCTTATCTTTTTGTTCTATATAGTCTGTCAAGTGGTTTGGATGATACCTGCCCACATTGGTGAGGGTAATCTTCTTTTCTCAGTCTATTGATTCAAATGTTAATTTCTTTCAGAAACACTCTCACAGATACACCCCAAAGTAATATTTACTAGCTATCTGGGTACCCTTTAGCTCAGTCAAGTTGACATATAAAATTAATCATCACTAACATTTTAAACATTTTAAATTATAAAATTAACCATCACTAACATTTGCTTTGAGCATTTTTAAAAGATAATGACAGGCCAGGCACGGTGGCTCACGCCTGTAATCTCAGCACTTTGGGAGGCCGAGGCGGGTGGATCACAAGGTCAGGAGATCAAGACCATCCTGGCTAACATGGTGAAACGCCGTCTCCACTAAAAAATACAAAAAATTAGCCGGGCGTGGTGGCGGGTGCCTGTAGTCCCAGCTACTTGGGAGGCTGAGGCAGGAGAATGGCATGAACTCGGGAGGCGGAGCTTGCAGTGGGCCGAGATCATGCCACTGAACTCCAGCCTGGGCAACAGAGCAAGACTCCGTCTCAAAAAAAAAAAAAAAAAGATAATGATAATGTACAATTATTATGTTCCTTTTATATGTTAAGCATCCTGCTTGTTGTTTTACACATTTTAAAATCTGTTATTGAAGAAGTCATACATGATAGATAATAATAGATGGGAAAGCTGAGTTTTTGATAATTAAACAGTTAGAAGTAAATCCATTTTGCAAACTCTGGCTGGGGTATCTCTCTAAAACCTGAGCTGTTAACTTCAGAGTACACATAGTTTCCAGAAACCCAAATATTATTATGGCAAAGAACTCCCCAGTATTACTACCACAGACATTTTACCAGTGTTGACTGTCCATACATACACAGACGGCTCTACCTTAATGTGTCCCAAAATGAACACCTCATCTTCTCACCTCCTCTCACCCCTGCTCACCTTCACCCTCCCCAAAACACCTCACAATCTGACCTCTTGACAATCTCCTTGTTTCTCCTTTCAAAAGCCGCTCTCAGTTACCAAAGCCAGCAACCTGGAAGACCTCCTTAACATATTTTGCTCCATTACCACATCCACTCCACTTACATCCAATTGTCCGCTAAATCTTATTGGCCATCTTGATAACTCTTAGGTCCATCCACTTTTCTCAAGACCAGCTTTAACTACTTGGTCAAACACCTTCTTACCAGTTTGTTCTTGGTTATTGTTATGGTCTTATTTATTCCTGTCTAAAGTTTTCCTCTGCTCTTATCTATTCTCTGCACAGCAGCTACACTGATTCTCCTAAAATGCAAACCTGATCACATCTTTCTTGCTTAAAATCCTTCCATGGCCCCTTATTTTCAGCATAAAACTTATGATCCTTAGCCTGACATGCAAAGCCACTCATCTGTAATCTCATCTCTCTCCAGTGTGGTAACTCTCAACTCTCTCTGTACCTAGGCTTTCTAAATTGCTACCAATTTTCTGAACTGCTATGCCCTCAACTCCAAACCTTTGGTATTTGCTTCTAAATCACCCTAAAATGCTCCCCTCTAACGCTGTAGTTTAGGAATTCCTCAAAAGTTTTTTCATAAAGTCCTGGAAATACATATATAATAGTAATTTTCATACTATATTATAATTATCCATCTTCCTACCTACATTAGACCATGAGCCCCAAGGCTCAGCATAATACATGGCACATAAAAAAAGGCCAAAAATATATTGTGTGAAACACTATAATGCAGAATATATTTCATGAGTAAGCTTCTTCAGTACACTAAATGGTAATAAATGGCTTGAAAATTAAATGAAACACCAAAATGTGCTTGATTTACTTATAGGACCCTAGGAAAAACACTTATTTTCAAAAGGGTACCTTCAATCCTGAGAGAGGATATTTGGCTTAAAATGAGAATGACTACTATTATTTACCATGTGCTGAGAAATAAGTGAGAACTGAGTAAAAGCCAAAGAAAAATAAATACATTGGAGATTAACTTTACTATTATGAAATAATGGAATATTTATAGAATTAGTCTGATAAGACCCTCACCTAGGGAGGTATAAAGTAGTAGAAAGAGGACAAAAGCAGGAGTTCAGAGGACATGAATTAAAACTCTCCAGGCCTCTGGTGTAATTGGGAGTAACTCTCATCAGTAACATGGGAATAAAAAAGCTGCCCCATCTAGCTGTACTAGCCCGGGGTGAGACTTGGATGAGAAAAACTACATGAGAAATATACAATTTGTTATGAAATGAAATATACAATTTGTTATAACTAAGTTAAAATATAGCCTACTTCAGGGAGTGTTCCTGCATACTTACCAGAAGAAGAGCATCACTGGAATGGAGTTCATTGTGGGTCATCTTCATTTCCCCCCACTGCAGCTAGCTCTCCAAGCATCATGTTACAACTTGGCATCCCCAATGCTCAGTATAATACATGGGATACAGCAAATGCTCCATATATATTTCCTGAATGATTAACCAAAACAATGTCACTATAAGGTGTTCCTAAGGTGACTGAAGAACATTTGTTACAAGCCAGTGTTACAGAAAGACTCAGGCATACTTTTTTGTATTTGGTATCACTACAGATGTTTTGACTGTTTTAATAAATTAACAACATTTCAGGGACCTTTAAGAAGAGGAAAAGAAATATTTAAGGGCTAATAAAGTTTGAAAATAACCCATAAAGTTACTCTAAAGGATTTCCTACCTTCCTCTACTTTCAGAATCTTATTATTATTTTTTAACTTTAGCCATCACCTTATTCCTCCTAAAAATGACCTATATCAGACTTTTTTAATTCAACTTTTTGTTTTAGTAAGAATTTATATTTACCTAAAAGTTGCAAAGAGAGTACACAGGTTTTTGTACATTCTTCAATGTGCTTTATGTTTCCCTATGTTAAAATCTCACATAACCCACTTATTTTTTAAAAACTAAAATAGAAGGCAATTTGAGCAACTCTTTTGTGGAATTGTCTGAGAGAATTATGCAATATCCATTGGAATGGAATAGAATATTTTAGTTACAATACCCAAGTCATGAATCACTGGAGTCAATCATGATCAGTTACAGGCATGTAGAAATACCTGAATGTAGAATTTGGGCTTCATAGAAAAATAACGTTTAAGTCTGAGAATAACCTCTGTGGATATGTTGCTTTACTTGAAGCAATTCTTGTAATAATGAACACAAAATATATGACTCTCTGAAAAATGCTGAAAGAAAAGACTGAGTAATTTTATTCAATGTACATTAGAAAAGATCCGAAGTGATTCTGTATACTACATACAATTGACTAAAGAAGATGTCATAATTAAAATGAAAAAAATTGAAATAAACCTGCTTATTGATAGAAAACCATATATGTTCACACATAAATTATAATTATAAAAAATGTAAATTATATATAATTATATATAAATACATATAATTATAAAAATTATAAAAATGTTAATTATAAAAGTATTCATTTTATTTCAGCTGCATATATGTAGATCTGTACTTATGGTAGAATTATTTCCTTGAAATATAGTTGTTTGGATTTACTATGAACTTAATTTTTAAATATTATTTGAGGTTCTTTATGAAGAGTAGCATACTTTATCTAGTAAAGACAAGAAATTATCCAAGCAAAAATTAGCACTTATAAATTTTTATAGTATATAAATATAGTAGAATATATGATATATGAAATAAATGAATATGGCTACACAGAAACAGGTTTCTGCTAATTTTTTAACCACTGAATATACTCCATATAAACTCCCTTCACTACATTCTTGCTATATTATGCAATGTATATAATATCTGTGGTTCTAATAATCAAATATTTTAAGTTAGACTGCTTCTGAAGTTAAGACATATAATTTAATAAAGGAGATCTGGTGAACATATTCAAATTACAAAACACTTTTCCCTTCCTTCTGCTACATTTAAAAATATTAGGATACCAAGTGATTCACTCAATGAACTGTGGTTTTCAAGTGGATGTTAAGTGTGCATTACAGGCCTGACAATGACATCAGTGGAGTTCCATACCAAGATATCCATCTACTACTCAAGGGAGAGAGGCTGCTTGCCCTAGATTCACTGTATGTTCTTGATCGAGTCACCTCACATTCTTGAACCTCGGTCAACCCATTTGGAGAATTAGGTGAAAGCTAAGCCTTAGTGAGAAACAGATGCTACATCTGAGATGAGTTTTCTTGTGTAAACAAGTAATTCCAAAGTTTAATTCCAAAGAAAGTTGCTATGTGGATGGCCATGATACATGACCTATATGAAATAGACAACTGGGTTAAAGCTTTAGAATAAATGTTTCTTAATACAAATTATAGCATCATATTACATCTGGGTTTCTTAAAATATTTTTATCTAATTTTTATTTCTTCCACCTTGTTTATTAGATATATACTATAGTGATTTTTATTTGAAATTTATTTAATGCTTTTGGAGCTTATTATTATTTTTATCTGGTAACTTATACTTCTAACAGGTCAATTAAGTTGTCAAGGTAGGGGGAAATAGAACTTAAAATAGGCCACTTATTATCTAGTGCAAGTCAGTAAAAGTTAATTCTTCTTTTGGGATAAAAGTTAACAATCAACGGATTTAAAGACATGTGGTTTTAAAAACAACAGCTAAGTTTGCATTTTGGTTTAATTCCCAGTAGATTACTTGTCATTTTAGTAAGGTCTTACATTGGAAAACACATTGCTACTAAAGATGCAGATAATTTAATAAGTTGAAAAGAATTCCTCAAAGGAAAGAAGAGCCCTCTTGAGAAATGCTAGTTCAAGTTGTCTGACTGCTTTCTCTCCTCTACAACTATTTGTCTGATTGAAATAGCTAGAAACATCAAAGTAAGAGCTGTGGTTCCTGAAATTCTCCGAGCTTGCCGTAGCTCTAAACTTATATTTCCTGTGTTGACTCCATGTCTTGCTATCAACGGTGCACATTTCAAAGCTTCAGGTTTAACGTACTGTGCTTTCCATTACACAACTTTTTGTATTTTAAACTGGGAATAAGTAACATGTGAATCAGCAAGCTATTGGATAATGTTGACAATTCTGTGTTAGCTAGTTTGTGATTCTCTGGTTTGTTTTTTGGTGTTCCCGCATTTGACATTAGCTAAAGGAGCCGTAGCTTGGCCTTTGAGTGGAAAACAATCCAGGAATTTCAGAGAAGAACTAAGCAACAAAAGGCCTAGAGCTATTATCTTCTGAAGAGAGATGAAAGCACTCCTGTCCTTGTGCTTTCCTCGGTTGCCTGCACAGAGCCTTTTGACTTTAGTGTGAAAAGAACATAATCTGTGCTACAATTTGGCCCTAGGTTTCTTTAGAAACTAAGCGAAGTCGAATTGAGTGAGATGCAAAATAACCGTTGGCTAAGGTACGATCATCCTTGGGAGACCAAAAATGTGATGGGTATAGATCTAAAAACTTGTTGGGGAGGTGGTGGTGGATGATGAAAGTCTAAGTTTAGACAGTATCGAGAGAAAATATCCAATCAAAAAATTTACTGACCATCTTGGGAAGCAGGCTGGATGAAAGCAGAAAATGGTTCATCATTTTGACATTTTGAAAGTAGACTTGCATCATAAAGAATCTTATACTAGTTTCATTTGGAGCAGTTGAATTGTAAATATTTTTCCCTCTAAAATTCTCATGTGAATGGTGTGAACTCTAGAAGAAAAAAAAAACAATTATTCATATAGTATGTTCTTCATATGTAATGTGTATATATTCTTCATATATATATTCAATTATTCATATATATGTGTTTATACATAATATGTATATATGATACCCTCAAATGTACACATAATATCTCTCCAGGCTCTTGCCAAAGAATATTATTTTGAAGTGTACAAAAGAGGAGAAGCTTTTCATCCCATGAAAGGCCTGTTTTCTTCTAGTGCACTCTGAATCACTTACTTACTTTGGACCTCTGACCTCCTTACGATTCCCTGGATCTGGAAGTGAGATTGATGAACACAAAGTGGGACATACATGTGGGAGCTCTTATGAATTGGAGCTATATTAAAATAATTAGTCTAAGTTTTATCTGGCATAGAGTTCAGATTCTACCATTACTCTGTGATGTAAGCATATTTAAAGAATAAGGGAGTTATAATCGCAAGGAAAGTTGGGAAGAATGAATTCATAAGTTAGTCTGTGGTCCTGAAAGCTTACAATAGGGGAATCAATAGTATTAAATGTCCTTTTTTCTTTTTTTTCTTTTTTTTTGAGATGGAGTCTTACTCTGTCGCCAAGTCTGGAGTGCAGTGGCACAATCTTGGCTCACTGCAACCTCCGCTTCCCAGGTTCAAACAATTCTCCTGCCTCAGCATACATAGTAGCTGGGATTACAGGCTTGCACCACCATGCCCAGCTAATTTTTGTATTTTTAGTAGAGACAGGGTTTCGCCACGTTAGCCAGGCTGGTCTCAAACTCCTGACCTCAGGTGATCCTCCCTCCTCAGTCTCCCAAAGTGCTTGGATAACAGGTGTGAGCCACTAGACCTGGCAAAATATCCCTTTTTCAACTTCAGTGAATAAAATTGCTCTTCTGAAGCCACCTTCAATGGAATTAATTTTTATACTTGAATAAGATGAAACTTGAAAGGCCCAAAAGTTTTGCAGAGTAGATGATTCACGACGGTTGTTCATGAAAAGTTTACAGAAAAAAACCTTTAGATGTTTGTTCAGCTCTCTCTTATTTTAAGAGAGACTGCAAACAAGAAAATAAAACAAAACAATAAAACTCCAAATAAAATAAAAGAAAACAGGAACTTAAGTTTCTACTGCAATTCTTGGCAGAAGGTTAAGGTAGTTTTATATAAGATTCTGAAACATGGCTTTTTAGTTATGTATCTATTTTTGAGGAAAACGTTTTTCTGCCTATAGACATCACTGAAGTCAACATTTGGTATATATATTATTTATGCTCTGATGTTCTGAGTATATATAACAGTGAGTGTGTAAAGTAGAATAAATTTTAATTTGATAAAATGCCAATCACAAAAGGGTTTTTTTTTTACATCAAGGAGCTTAATCTGTTAAATATGACTGGAAAATTATTTTTCATTTTCTTGTGGTGTAAATATCTAAATAACTGCATTTCTAAGTGTTAATATTTTTACCCATGGATTTTGTTCTATTTAGAGACTTTTCTTTGAAGAACTCAAAGCTCTTTGATTAGCATCTCATCCAACAATTTTTAAGTCAGCGAATTTCAAGAAAAACATATGGGGGATAGGCAAAGAGACTTCTTTAAGAAAAATGTAATCTCATAAAACCAACAACTTATTCCCATTTTTCTTCTTCCCCAACATTAACAGTGATCACCTCTATGCGCCTTGGAATTAAGACATGGGGAAAGTGTTTCTGTTAATAACTGCTCTACCTCTGCATTGAATTGAGATAGATTCTTAAGTTTCCATTCTGTGGTTCAAGAAATACTTTGTGTGCCTTAGAAGGGAGTTAGGAATATGAGGTGATTGTTGGTTTAACTAGTATGATTTCATAATGCCATCTGTTTCTCTTCTATTTTTTTTACTCAAAAATTTTTTTCAGGACATCAAATAATTATGAAAAGCATTAATGGATGTTCCACATCACTGTGCCTACTCACTAATCCTGAGCATGCCCTGCTCTTTCCTTCTTTATCTTTTTTTTTGTAAAGTACATTAGTTGTGTTTGCATGTACAGAATCTAACCACTTCTCTTTTGGGAACAAATCTCTGATTTTCATTTGAGGAGTCACCATTCTTCCATTCTCAGCCCATGTGGTTTAGATGGGGTTACTTTTTCCACTTGGATCTATGGGTTGCTATATGCCTGAGGCTCTTTCATTGGAACATTTCATTTCTCTGACTGCAGTGAGATCCATCTCAGGTTAACAGTACTTGATTCTGGGACTTCTGATGGAGGCAATGATTTACAAAAAGTTATTTTCATCAGACTGATAAGTTTTGGTAAGATGTTATTACAAGGGGGGAAAATTACCTAAAAAGGGGGGCAAACCAGAGGAAAGCAGAGCTGCAATATGTAGAGGGACAACTGCTGATAATATCATTTGAGTACCTTCATCCAACTAGGTAATCTGACACATCTGAAGATAACCAGTCCTGGACTTTTTATTATAAATACTTGCCTTTCAACTTTTATTTATTTAGCTTAATTTAGTTTGAATTGAGTTTCTGTCATTTGGGTCAAAGGAATTCTTCTATTCACATTACATTCCCAAAGCACTAGTGTTTAGTATCATAAAAACAAAATAGCAATATGATGCTTATGAGACTTATCTGTGAACTAATTAAAAACTTTCTGCAATCTCTAATGTGTAGATACTGAAGAATGTCATCTTCATAATCAATTTTCACTATCATTTTATTTTGAATTTAAAATATAAACTGTCATAGAATTATAGAATTTTCAAGCTAATTTTCAAGTTCATTTCCTCCAATTCCTTCATATTATTTGACAGTGCAGTACAACTTAGAAAGCGTTAGGGTATAATGAGAGGCTGTACAGCAGACTAGGAAGAGCACAAATCTACACACCCACATTGTTGTTTGGTAGATGAGTAATTTAGAACACATTACTTAAGCACTCTGAGTGGCAGTTTACTTAACTATTGTTCTGAAGATATCTGGCTCACAATTGTCACTAAATGTGGTAATTTTAATTTTACTATTATTGTCAAGGAACATAGCTAGTTAATAACATTCTTGCTTTGAACACAAGGCATAAACCAATGTCAGTGTGGCCTTTCTTGCTCTTCTGCTACTTTAAATTAGAAAGGGGAGTAACATATGTGTATTTGAATCTATTTATTTATTTTTTTAAAAAATTGCAGGATAAACCAAATCTAAAATAATAGTTATCTGTTGGGGTGAGAGAAAATAGTGTGGAAAGGACAGGGATATAAGCTATGTGTGTCTGAATATATAATGTTTTATAGATTACCTTACATTATTATGAAATGAAAATTAATCCTTGAAGGCATAATGAGATTCGTGAGCTTTGTATCAATCAGGTGCATAACCACACAAAGTGGAACCACTCATGTATCTTCAAAACACATAATTTGACCGCACATATCTAGTGGAGTACATGAACAAAATGATTTGCAAGATACTCTTAAAATCTTTTCAGTAATCATGTTGCTTTGTTTGTAGAAGCTATCTTTCACTACAAACTGTTTAGTAACAAACACAAACATAAATAAATAGTTTTCCAACTTTATTGGGGTATAATTTGCAAGTAAAATTGTATATCCTTAAGGTATACAATTTGATTATTTGAAATACGTATACATGTGAAGTGATTACCACAATCAAATCAGTTAACACTGTTAAAAGACCAACAGGTTTTATGCCTGCTGCACCATAACAGACTAATACAGCAAGACAGCAGGGTTTGTTAGAGAGAAATAGTTTAATTGCAGGGCTTCAAGTAAGGAGATGGAGAGAGCCCCTAAAATCCATCTCCTGGAGGAGTTCTGGGCTAGGGTTTTTAAGGGGATCATTGAGGGTGAGGGAATGAAAAATTGGGTTGTTGATTGGTTGGGTAAGGGGAATGAAATCATCAGGATGTGGAAACTGCATTTTTTGGTGAGTCAGCTCCTTGAAGGATCCTTCAAAGCTACCTGGCATCAGCAGTTTTGCTGATACGCAAGGCCTCAAAGAATATCTCACATGGAAAACTTAAGTTGCACAGCTGGACTAGACTGCTAGCTGGGAGCCTCAACCATGGAGAACAGCTGACTGTGCTCCTTGGCAAGATGGGATCACCAACTTGGCTCCACATATGAGTGGGGCCTCGGATTGGCTTTCTAATGGGGTAAGGCCCCTGGCATAGATGTGGTACCACCATCAAGATACACATGCTGGTCGCTGTGAGCCCTGTTCCCTTTCTTTGTTTCTACCTGACTTCAGGTAGTGTATTCCTGCAAATTTCCCCACTGTTTTGTAGGAGAAAAAACAAGAGATTCTCCTTGGTGTGGTGCTGTGCACCCGGGGGAGACCTGATGTAGTTAAAATCAAACTATTTCTCTTACTCTTCTAATGTGGCTTTTCTTGGTTTTTGAGCTCCAAGCGGGGCACCTCCACCTCACCCTCAAGTTATAAAATTTTCATAAAGGTGTTTTTGTATATGTATAGTTATTTGCCAGTCAGAATTTTTGTGAGGGGTTCTAAAGGCAGAGACCTTTTAGTCTTCCATCTTGCTGAATCACTCTTGATAATAAATATTTACTTAGCTTACAATCCTGCAGAATCTAGCTGATATGGTCTGGTCTTGCTAATGAGTATGTAGTCAGTTTTAGGTTGGCTACATAGATCTGCTCATCTTGGTGGGCTCAACCTAGGAGTTAGTTGGCTATCAGCTAATCTAGAGTTATTTGGCTAAGAGACACAGCAGGGCCAGTATGGTTGTATTTTTATATCTTTAATGTCTTTTGGCCCCAGGTAGCTCCAGCAAAGTAGCCCAAGCATGTTCCTGTGGTAACTGTAGAAGTGGAAAAGAGCAAGTAGAAACAGGCAAGTTTTTTTTGTTTTGTTTTGTTTTGTTTTTTTAAATCCTCTTCTTGTTTCATGGTTGCTGAAATCCTATGGGCCATGGCAAGCCACTGGGCAGAGCCAGAATAAGAATGAAAAAACACTACAAGTTTACAAAGCAAGGTGTGTAGATGTGAGTACTGGTGAAAAACTGGGGCAATAGATAACAGTAATCTACCACAGTATTTTTCTAAGATCGTCATGTACATGGCATAGAATAAAACAAAGGAGTTATGCTAATGTTTATGAAATCTAGAGTTTTTGGGATGGGAAAAAGGAGATATAATATCAAAAAGATTAAGCAAAAAACTATTATCTTGTATTTGAATTGGATGTATCATTATAAACTTGTAATGTATTTTAGCTTCAAAACAAGTATGACACATAGCTCTGTCTACTGAAAAAGCCTAGACATCATGACCATCCCAGTGGCAATAAGCACACTAGCATACATAATCTAGTCTCTAAATTTCTCAGTAAAATAAACCATGAATCTTTGAAAAAAATGTCTAACTTCAGGAAATGTAAAAGTTGAGCCTAGAATATCTTATCGCATCACCTTGTCACATCAAACAGCAAGAAAATTATCAACAATGTCTGAGATAAATTGTCAAAAGAAGACAATTTGAGGATATGTCCCTGGTCAAAGTTGGAAATTTGAGCATGAATTAAAAAATGATTGCTGTGGTTTTCAAATATCAAAGATGCTTAAATCTATAAGCTCATGGTAATACCAAATGATACTCAACCCTGAACTTAGTCATGCCAGGAAACCAATTCATTATTTAGAAAACTGGTGGTAAATAAAATGAAGTAATTAAAATTTTATCCTGCCTTTAATATAGAAACTGCTGCAGGGTAATAAACTAGTTATTGAGAAAATATTCTCTCCAGAAAAGTTTCAAGTAACAGATGCAGAATAAATTATAAAATTATAATACCAGCATTTTCTAATCCTTGGTAAAGTAATGGCTAGAGGATGTATATCAATGGCTGCTAACTTAATAACAAAGTGACAATCAGAAATTATGTGCCTCCTGGTAGAAGTCCACAACAATACTTGTGATATCTTCTTGACTAAAAAATCAAGTAAAAAATAAATGTAATCAAGACTTTAGACCTAACTACCACTTAGAGAAAATAAAAAGAATAGCAATAAAATGAAACAGCACCTCAAGAATGCAATAATCAAAATCTACCCTGGGAAATACTACAAGACCAGGAAGGTTGTCTCTTTAACAAATGCATTGAAGAGAAATCGAAAAGAAGAGGAAGGAGTAATTTGTGGATTAAAGAGATACTTAAACTATATGGATATTATTGAGATAAAGATTTAAACAATCTGTCAAAAAATAGAGAAAAGTCAGAGAAATCTGAACACCTATTAACACCTATTAAGTATATGATGATATAAAGGGATTATTGTTAATTTTTTAAGTGGGATAATGGTGTCATGGTTACAGTGCGGTGGCTCATGCCTGTAATCCCAACATTTTGGGAGTCTGAGGAGGGTGGATTACTTGAGGTCAGGAGTTCAAGACCAGCCTAGCCAACATGGTGAAACCCCGTTTTTACTAAAAATACAAAAATTAGCCAGGCGTGGTGGTGTGTGCCTGTAATCCTCGCTACTCAGGAGGCTGAGGCAGGAGAATCGCTTGAACCTGGGAGGCAGAGGTTGCAGTGAGCTGAGATCTTCCCACTGCACTCCAGCCTGGGCAACAGAGTGAGACTCCATCTCAAATAATAATAATAATAATAATAATAATAATAATAACCTTATCTGTTAGAGATACATACTGAATTATACAGGTATGATGCTATGGTTTGAAACTGTCCCCAAATTTCATGTGTGGAAAACTTAATTCTCAAATTAATATGTTGATTGGAGATGGAGATCTTGGGAACGTAATTAGATTAGATAAGGTTATCACAGTGGAGCCCCATGATGGGACTGGTGGCTTTATTAGAAGAGGAAGAGAGAGCTGAGCTGACATACATTCCCTTGTGCTATTTCCCTGCGATGCCTTTTGCCATGTTATGCAGGAAGAAGGCCCTCATGGATACCACCACCATGCTCTTGAACTTCCCAACCTCCAGAATGATAAGAAATATATTTCTAGTTTTTTGCAAACTACCTAGTCTCAAGTATTCTGTTATAACAACAGAATTGAACTAAGACATATGGAATAATATCATGTCTAAGAACTTCCTTCAAAAGAATCCAGAGTTGAGAGAGTGAAGCAGGGTGTGGCTGAAGCATGATTGAGCCATTTCAACAATTGTTGAAATTGGGCATTGAATATGTAGGGGTTCATTTTACTATTTTGCTTGTTCTTGTTATATGTTTTAACATTTCCTTATTAAACATTTTTGAGAAGCTATTTCAATATAATTTTTATCATATATATAGGAAACTGTTGTAGTTAAAAAATAGTCTGCTCATGATTAGGAACTTGAGGTCAGCATCAGACTATTTGAATTCTGTTTACTTACTACTGAAGGGACCTTGGACAAGGTACATAAATTTTCAGCACCTCAATTTAGTTAGGTGTAACATGAGAGTATTAATAGGATGTACTTCACAGAGTTGTTATGTGAATTATAAGTTAAAATATGTAACGTGATGATTAGCACAGTGTAACACACGTAGTGATCACTCAGTACTTTTTATTATGCTTATTGATGCTATCACATATATGTCCAGCTGAATACATAGATAAAGGGCTGAAGGATATATGTAAACTTGTAATATTGGCTACCGCTGAGGCAAGAAGTAGGAATAGAGAGAGAAGAAAGAGAAGACATTTTGAAATTCTATATATTTAGTCATGATAATGCAAATATTATTAGAGTGTGCGATAATTTTAAGACTACTAAATATTCTCAATATAAAAACGATTTTCTAGAAAATTACATTTAAAATCTTTAGTTGGGCACCTTGTCTGATACCCAGCACTGTCCAAGGTTGAGCAATGAATAAAACATTGTGCCACCACCTCCAAAGAGCCTAAAATCTAATAGAGGAATAAGAAGAGTACTAAAGATAACTAGATAAAAGAATGTGATATAGGTTCTAAAACAATTTATAAACATAGCAATGCAATAATTTAGAATGTGACGCTGGACCAAGTTCTACCTTAAAAACTACCAATTTAAGTGATTTAAGTTTATGCAGAAAGCTTATGTTAAGGTAGAGAAACATCTAGATTATAAAGGAGAGAGTATGAGAGATAATAGGAAATCACTTTGTGAGTGATAGGACCATTGCCACCACCTTATCGTTACAGAGATTGCCATTATCTGATTATTAATATGAATTCATTTGTGTAAAAGTCAGAGTAATGTCAGGTTGTTTTGGATCTCTCTAAGGGATACTACTTGTTAAACATGTTCTATGAGAATTGTCTTTGAGAGGATGCCCTGGCATAAGCCCTAATAGCAGCACTGAGTAAGGCTTCAACATATTTATATTACTACATTTTACTGAGAGGAAGGGAAGATTTAAAAGCCAATGATAGCTGTTGGTGTTATCACATTTAATTAAAAATGACAAGGGTCTATTTTTACTATTAAACATTTCATTCTGTGGACCTAGTATAGTGTATCAAATTCTTGCAAGCTGCGTACCCAGCTGAGGAGGCAGCATATCCTCCTGGTTTGCTGTTCCTGCCCAGTGGACTCTGGAAAGGCTCATTCATCCCTGGAAGCCTGATCCATATCTTAGAAAGTGGTGATAATACCTATCTCATTGAGGTTCACATGCGGATTACAGGACGTAATGCATGTGAAAAGTTAAGCCTAGTGGAAAGCACACATCAGTGTTTAATAATTGCCAGAAACTGTGTTTAATTACTGGCTCTGCCTGCCTTGAATAGGAGGTCCTTGGGGACAAGGACAGTGTCACATGTACTGCCATGTCCTTGGTACCCAACTTCATGAGGATATAAACTGAGTATTTATTTCTATTTACTGTTTTTAGAGGTACTTGTGTTGCAAGAAGTCCCCCATGGAGGAATTCCATATGTAAAACCTCTACTGTGGGAAGATTTGGCCCTGAGAACCATGCTGTTTCCTCCTCAGATTGGTGGGTTCAGCTGAAAAGCATAATCCTGTCCTCACTGGAGACTTTTTTGAAAGGGTTTCTGCTGCATTTATATGGGGGATTGAAAATAAGGGAAATCGAACATATGCCAAGGGACCACATTTTCCCTTAAGGGTAATAAATGTAAAGTAAGTAAAAGAACTGTGTTAAATACATGCTTGTCTTTCTCATAAAATTCTTGGTCTTTTGTCTGAGGAATATTCAAAAGGTAATGTATCACTGTGGGCAGATCAGCCTGGCCTTTATTTATTTTCTCAGCAACTGTCTTATTTTGGATAAAAGGCAGGAGAAATATAAAACGTCAGGCACTAACAGGGATTTTATTATTTATTTTCTGAGCTCTGTTATGGTTGATGTTGTTTCATTTTTTCCATTATAAATCCCTTTTTCTCAAGGGGCTGTAACTCTCCCAATAAAAAGAATGGCTTCAGGCAAACACTTGAAGCATTTGTTCTCAGCTTAAGAGGACTTTTGTTTTTCCAGGTCTTGAAAATAAAATCCATTACATTCTTTTTAAATTACAGGAGTGTTAAAGTGAAAAAGCCCAGGAATTGCTGCTTTTATATGTGCGCTCTTACCACCTCGGCTCAGAATTTCTTTAAGCAGCAATTCTGCAGCTCCTCTCACCACCGATTATATGAGAAGCCTCTCTATCTATCACTATTGATCATCTGTACTGAGTCCATCGGCTTCCTCAGAGATGTTTACAAGTGCTGTTTGTTGGTTAGTTTGTGCCGGGTCATTTCTTTTTGCCTGATAGATGTAATGCCTCCCAGAAGAAACAAGTCCATTCAGTACATGGTCACCTTTCTTCAGTGAAACAATTCAGTGGTCTGCTATCCAGAGGGCAATGAAGTGATACTGGACCTTGTCATCCTGAAGGTGGAGACATGCTGATAACTTCAAAATATCCCTTTCTAATTTACTCCCAGAAAAGTGCTGAGCTGAATCCTGGGTTATAGGCTAAAGAAAAATTCAGGCTGAAGATGAGATCTTACAGACACATTTCAGAGGCTCGCTATAAGTCTGAGGTCTCTGCATGGCAGGAGTTGGAGACTCTGGTCAGGCCAGAGTAGTCCTAGGTTTCCGGATGTGGCTGGGGATGACATCTATAGCCTAGTAACATCAAAAGTGCCCATGTATCTTTAATATTCTTTTCTTCCCCCTTTGCTTGCTAGCTGAGACCACTGCATAGTGAATATTTTAAAAGCAAGATTTCCAGGAGTTTAACGCCTCTGGAATACAAACACACACACACACACACACACACACACACACACACACACACGCTATACATTAAGTTTCCTGTAGCTACTTTTGTCCAAAAAGATAGCTTAAAGGAGAGAATATTCCATTTAGAATGTGCTGCTATTATCTAGACAGACTATTTTTAAGAATAGATTAGGCTGGGTGCTGTGGCTCACTCCTGTAATCCCAGCACTTTTGGAGGCCGAGGTGGGCAGATCACCTGAAGTCAGGAGTTCAGGACTAGCCTGGACAACATGGTGAAACCCTATCTCTACTAAAAATACAAAAATTATCCAAGTGTGGTGGCAGGCACCTGTAATCCCAGCTGCTCTGGAGGCTGAGGCAGAAGAATTGCTTGAACCTGGGAGACAGAGGTTGCAGTGAGCCGAGACTGTGCCACTGCACCCCAGCCTGGGCAACAGAGTGAGACCCCGTCTCAAAAAAAAAATAGATAAATACAAGAATAGATTAGAGACAGAATTATAAAGCAATGACAATAAATAATTATGTGAAGAATCAGTTGTTTAGAATAAAAGAAATTAGATTCTTATGTCACACTATGCAAAGAAAAACACAGGGGGATTTTAGAATCAAATATAGGAGAGGGTCTCAGAGAAGACACAAGACTTTTAAACTATAAAATAAAATATTGGAAATTTGACTATATCAAAGTAAAAATATTCTAAACAACCATGGACCTCATAAAGTTAAAAGATAAACAATAGTTATTTAAAATTCATATGGCCAGCACAATATTACCTAGGATACATAAAGAATATCTACTAATCAACATAAAACAGTAGGTAAAATAGTTGAAAATATATGTAAAGCATATAATATGCCATTCGTAGGAGAAGAGCAACCAATAAAGTTAAGAAATATGCTACTTCACAAATAATCAGGAACTATAAATAGAAACAAAGGAGAGATACCATTTTACAGATGTTAGATTGTCAAAGAAAAATTCTTATGTCATCAAACATTACTAAGATATGGAGACATGGGGAACTTCATATGCTACTTAATGGAAGTAGAATTTAGTAAAAACCAGTTGGAGAAATTTTGACAATAGATAGCAATGTTGAATATTTCATGTCCTTTAAAATTCACAAATTTCAGTTCTAAGTATATGCTTTTGAAAAACTCTTGCATATGTATTTTAAGAGATGTATGCATGAATATTTATTGTAACAATGTTTGTCTAAAGGTGAACACCTGGAATCAACCTAAATGTTCATTCATCGAAAAATGAGTAAATTAATTGAAGTATAGTCATAATGTGAAATACTCTACAGTAGTTCTGCTTTTCATTTCTTTTATATTCCAGTTTCATCATACTTTTCACAAAGTACTGTAACCATTAAGCACCAAAAATGATGTACTAGGTGATGAGAGAAAATCAATTTTGAGTAGCGAAGGCTTGAGCAGTAAGAATGCAAAGCACTAGAACAAGAAAAACCTGAGTCAGGCGTGATCTCATAGAACTGGGAAAAGGGGTTGTCCCAATTCAATGTATGAATAAGAAGAGTCCTGCAATGGAACTATGAAGTGAGGCTTATATTAGTGTAGGAGAATCAGAAGAAAACATGGAAGGTGGACTTTATCTAATATCAATCATCTCGGCATTTTCACCATTCATTCAGCTCTGGATTAATCATTTAGCAAAATAAACAGATGCACCAAGAGGAAAGGGTACTAAAGAGTTTCCCTGAACTGACCTCAGTTATCATGGCCAAAAGTATTTCACTACCTCCCTTAACTTTAGTCTATTTTTTTTTATCTTTATCTGTCATGTTTGACTTCAATTTTCATTATTAAATGGTTTTTTTTTTTTTTTGGCATGGTGAGTGATCAAGTTTAGAAGTTTGACTTGAAAGTTTTGTCAGATACTGCATTTGTTTGAGAGATACTGCATGGCTTGAGGGTTTTGCTTCCATCACAGCACAGTTGTTGGACTGTGCTGAAGGCATCAGTTGGCCTGAATCCAGCCTGGAACTTATTGATTAATTCATCTCATGTGTTTTTAAAACCTCCCATGTGGCAGGCACTGTGATGTCACTGAAAAGACATTGGCATAATGAAAAGGACTTAATCCTACTTCCCTTCAAGTTTATAATAGTTGATGTGTCAAGCTGATAAGTAAAGAGGCAATCACAATGCAATGTATTAAATATTGTGATAATCTGTTTAATCAGTACTCTTAGTCATGGGTCAGACGATGTGTGGTAGTGACATTGACCCAAATGTCTTCTTTCCACCAGACCGAGTTGATTTTACAGGAAATCAGAAAATGAAACTGAATTTTTTTTTGAGAAAAAACAAAAGTCACACTAGGCCATAATTATTTATAAACATATATATTTCTACCTTTCTATTTGGAGCAGCAATTCTCAAACCATAATTGTTTAATTCCAACTTCTATTGTATGTATGCATCCTCCTTGCAACCAAAGGTAATTATCTCAAAGCACATGTATCTAAAATTTGGATTGGGACTGCTAAAACCACTCTGGAAGTGCTGAAACTACAATACAAGAAAGAATGAGTACAATACCAGTGTGGGTTGTTAGGCATAAACAACAAGACCTGAATAGAAACAACATGAATCAGTAGCTGTAACTAAGATCGTTATAACTTTGCTACAACTGATATAAATTTATGAATCCTCATTTAATCTTACAATTGTTTGAAGGAACAGTTTAAAATTTTCTATCTTCAAAGTTAGGTTTAGGTTATGGGTGGGAGAAGGAGGCATTTTTTTTGCATCCCTGAGAAACTAACACTTTATCTGTATCTGTATATCTATATCATTTATATCTATATTTCTTAACTATATCTATCTTCTAGTTCATCCAAATTCACAGAGACTTGGGCTATAAATAAAAGATCTGTGTAATACTTTAAATTGTCCAAACATTTTTTCATTTATTATGATAGGTAAAGGTGAGTCTGACTCTTAAAAAGTGAGGAAAGTGAGGCTTGGAGATATTCTATGACTCTCCCAAGATCATACAGCTATTTAGTGGCAGGATGAGGAATGGGCCTTAATGGTTTTTCAAATGTGCCTGAGGAACCCCATTATTTTTTTTGAGAGTCCCCCTCTGCGCTCTGTCATCACCCAGGCTGGAGTGCAGTGCCTCCTTCTCGGCTCACTGCAACTGCCACCTCCTAGGTTCAAGCAATTCTTCTGCCTTAGCCTCCCGAGTAGCTGGGACTACAAGTGCCCACCACCACACCTGGCTAATTTTTTTTTTTTTTGTATTTTAGTAGAGACAGGGTTTCACTCTGTTGCCCAAGCTGGTCTCCAACTCCTGAGCTCAGGCAATCCGCCCACCTCGTCCTCTCAAAGTGCTAGGATTACAGTCGTGAGCCACAGCGTCCAGCCCCAACTCAGTTTTAAGAGGACATTCTACAGCTTTCGTTAGTATAGTATTTTGTACTTACGCAGTAGTATTGATATGGTAGTATTGATATGATATGGCCGCTTCCCCCATGCTGCTCTTGTGATAGTGAGTTACTTCTCAAGAAATATGATGGTTTTATAAGAAGCTCTTCCTCTTTCGCTCCTCACTCTTCTCTCTCCTGCCGCCTTATGCAGGAGGTGCGTGCTTCGCCTTCTGCCACGATTGTAAGTTTCCCGAGGCCTCTGCAGCCATGCAGAACTGTGAGTCAATTAAACCTCTTTCCTTTATAAATTGTCCAGTCTTGGTTATTTCTTTATAGCAGTGTGAAAATGGACTAACATAAGTATGTTCCCTCTTAGAAAGCTGAAAACTATCATTTCTATTTTTAAAATGAGGAAATTGAAGCTTAGAATAATTAAGAGACTTCCTGCACAAGACATGGCTAGAAGGTTCAGCTGCCAGGACCAGAAGTCTGGGTCTTAGGCTTCTAATTTAGGTGCTAAAGCAATGGTTCTCCTGGGACTGAGGCATTGTGGGGTGCCTCAGTGGATGTCGGGGGACATCACTAAATATTGTAAATTTTCAAAGGAACTAAAGTAACATATTTTGGATGTACATGAACTACTAATGCTTTCAACCTTAGGTTTTTTAATGTTCTATTTGGTTGCATTATATCTTTATGAAGCTGGGTTTTGTAATGATAAAAAGTGGGGAGCACATGAAAATCATTGAAAATCATTTAGGAATAGGAAACGAAGATAGCAGTGTCCCATCAGATTCCAAAGTCTAAGAAGTTGTACTGTGTTCAGCACGCAGTGAGGATTTAAGTACTTATTTAACTACTTAATAAATTGTTTGGTTCAGTGTGCTGTGAAAAAATTTCTGTGAGATTAAGAGCATTGTAAACTGAGAAAGCATGTCTTCTCTGGGGACATTACCCCGCTAGGATTAAAGTCCTAAAGAAATTGAAATTGCTGGATGGGAAGGCTGTACAGGAGGGAAGAACTAACAATTTATTGGATTGGTCTTGCAGAATTCTGGCCACCTTGTGGGCACCACCTTTTTTTGCTTTTTTATCTGAGAAGTAAACATTGGCTACAGTGGAAATAAAATGACACCTAGTTTAGCAATTTGAAAGCCAAGGTCATCTTTACAAAGAAAAAACTGTGGATATCCTCATACTGCTTTTAACCTGTCCTTCACATCAGGGAGTGCAAAATCTGATAGATATCTTGCTGGATTATCAAACTTCAAAAACCACTGCAAAACCAGTATGGCACATCATCCCTAACACCTGTCAGTGCTTGTTGTTACCTCAGTCTTTGTCATGTGCTCACTGAGAAGCTTAACCGTGGCAATAAGGTTTCCATTTCTTTAATTGTCATTCAGGGGTTAGGTTTTTTCTCCTTCCAAAATCTAATTCTTGAAATGATTTTTATATCTTGAACACTTCCTCCTCATTGCTGTACAGACCTCTAAAATGTGCCTTTTTATGAAAACTACACCTGACAATAAATTTACCAAGAAGCATAGACATTTTAAAAGATCAAAGAAAATAGGGATTGAAATTTGTAAGTGATGTTATCTTAAACAAAAATGGGTGAAACTGATATCCTGTGACATTATGGAGTGCTACGATACTTTTTACTCTAGGAACTAGAGAAATAAAAGTCAAAAGATGAGGGACAGAAATCTGAAAGAAATCAGTTTCAATATTCTTTAAACAGTTGCCTTATTGTGAGTTAGGATGGAACTAGAGTCAGTATAATTTCAACAAAAAAACCTCTCACTTTAAGTTTATAAATATGTACATTACAGGTGCTGTAACTTCTTAATGTGCAAAAGTTCTCAGTCCTGAATATGAATCAAATCACTTCTGGAAATTAAAAAAATACACACATGCCAGGGACCTATACCAGACTTAACTGAATCCTAGGGGTTAGGACTTTTGAATCTATGTGTAAAACACAATTGATAGACAGTCATTGAAATCAGGAGATTATTGAATTAGATGTTGTCTGGCTTAGAACTTTAGACCAGCAGCATTGGTATTGCTTGGGGGCTTGTTAGAAAGGCAGAATTTCAGGAACTTCCCTAGACCTACTGCCCTAGAATCTGCAGTTCAACGAGATTCCCAGGGATTAGTGTGAAAGTTCTAGGAGCACTGAACTAGGAGAGACAAACACGAAACTGGGATTCTGGGCATTTGTATGCCATTGCTCTGTCACTTCTACAAGTCGTATATCCTTTGTGAGTCTATTTCTACAACTAAACTAACAGACATAATTATACCTTTCCAACTGACTCCAAGACTGTTCTAAGGATATAAAATGGAATATGGAAAATATGTGGAAGTACTTAAAAAGATTTAAACTGCACTGTTTATGTAAACTGTTACTCTAATGTGGGCAATAGAACCACAAATGTAGAGCTACTTTGCTCTTCAATTTATTCCACCTCTATATTTTGAGCCACATCCTTGATTGCTACATAGTTTGCCACCCCCCCACCCCCAACACACACACACTTATTTAGCCTCCCACTACAAGCGCCCAAGGTAGCATTACATTACTGTTTTCTCATTACTTTCAAGTCATAAGGAAGTAAGAATACAAGCAAAAGGATAGCTCAATTACTATCTGGAATATGCTATATACATTAATGTAACTCTGTATTTGGAACTTTGGGAATGAAGGATTTTAGTAAAGCCACTTTGTCATTATGAATCCCATAGTTTCTCTCTTTGTGGTGAATTAAAGTTTGACACATGTTTTCTTGATTAATGGATGATCTTGTCATGAGTTTCTTTGTGACAGTAAGGTGAATTTGGTACTGGAACTCTGTCATTCATTTCTTGGGAAATAAAAACTGGAAGAACGTAATCATTAGAGCTTGCCTGGGCCCTGTTCTCCCATCTTCTTTGCTCCATTTCGACCACCTGATGCTATTTGGGGGTTCCTGGCTTTTTGAGCCACCCTTTACCCCCAGGCCCTTCCTTTCCTACCAACCTCCTTCTACCAGACCCCCATCCTAACTGGTGGCCTAGAGCTTCCTCAGTACAAGCTTGGATTCACCTCTAATTCCACTCTTCACTTTAGATGGCTAAGCCAGCTATAACCCCAAGGTTCTGTTCTGCCTCTGCTATTTTGAAAGTATTTTTCTGCATGCATTTGGCGTTCTGTAATATCTCTCAGTATTCTGTTGTGCTGGAGGCAAATTCTAATAAAGTTTAAAAAAAAAACTTTTGCCTCTTCTCCCACATACCGCCCCCCCCCCCTTTTTTTTTTTTTTTTTTTTTTTTTTTTTTTTTTTTTGCATTTCTTCCACCTGATATTGTGGGAGAAATGCAAAAAAAAAAATGAATAATACATTCATTGCTCCACATGACCCTAGCTTTTCCATGCTAAAGTCTTTTCTTTGAATTCTACTGGGCTCAGTTACCATCTTTTGTGCTCAGATTCATTGTATTTCCCTTCAATCTGATGTCTGTCTCTAATTTAAAGCTGTGTATTCCTCAGCCATCTGTTGCTAAGGGCAGACCTTAGGATAATAAAGTATTTGACTTCACTGTTCACATGTTTCTTACTCTCATTTCCTGGATGGTGGGGGGCACTATTTAATTCTGTCAAGAGACATTGTCATTCTGGAGGTATAATATCTTAGAGTGCAACTAGAAAGTCAGCCCTGAGGAAACAAAACCAACCCAGGCTCCACATTTCCTCTGATACTTTCTTGTCAAAAAAGAGGTAGCACAAATTAGTCAGTCAGTCATCCAACACGATTTTGAGAAATTGTACAAATGTCTTCTCTTTATACCTCTTTGTGGTGTCTATTACATGTATGGTACACATATGGCATTTCCAGCAGAGGTTTTTTTGTTGTTGTTGTTGTTGAGATGGAGTCTTGCTCTGTCGCCCAGGCTGAAGTGCAGTGGCGCAATCTCGGCTCACTGCAAGCTCTGCCTCCCACGTTCATGCCATTCTCCTGCCTCAGCCTCCCAAGTAACTGGGACTACAGGCGCCCGCCACAACGCCTGGCTAATTTGTTGTATTTTTAATAGAGACGGGGTTTCACCTTCTTAGCCATGATGGTCTCGATCTCCTGACCAGAGGTTTTATTTTTATATGAGTAAATTCAGACAATGTATCACACGTCTTACTATTTAGCTACATAGCCACAGGCTAACAGCAACTAGCAATCAGATTAGAATTCAAATGATAACAACTTATTATTTGTATCATTTGAATTTAATTTGTTTGCAAATTTCATGAGATCGCTCCTACACATTATTCTGTTTTTCTTAGTGTTTAGAGAGAGTACGAAATCCAATCAGTAATCATGAGGTATCCATTACTTTCAATGTCAAAAATCACAATTACTTTTGCATTAAACTAATATTATTGAAAGATTTAAGAGAAATATTAAAATAAATGAATCAAAGGAAGGTGGATGTCCTAGGATCTCACATCAATTTGGTCACTTGCATTTGGGTTTCATTTTAAAGTATGAGTAGTTTTTGACAGAAACTCTGTGCAGTATTCCCAGAAATATTTCAGTACTAAGACATGTGTCAACTATTCATGCTCTGAAATTCTTACTGTCAATTACCTTGAAGTCTGTTGTTTGCGATTATCTTTTTGTCACTGTGTTTTTTCCTCCCCCTGCCAGACTAGATTGTTTTAGCTCATTTCAAGGATCTCTGTTATCTGATAGTCACACCATGGTAGAGTTTCCTCTCATGTTGCATAGGGATCACTTGTGTAAGCTATAGGATATTGTGGAAGTAATGGAATGTAACTTCTGAAACTAGGTGATACAAGACATTGTGGCTTCCTTTTGCTTTTTTGGCTTACTGGATTTTGGGAAAGCCAGCTGACATTTCGTGAGGAAAACCAGGAAGCCCTGTGGAAAAGCCTGTGTGGCTTCCTGCCAGTGAGGAACTCAGGCTTCTTGAGAATAGATGTGAGAATAAGCTATTCTGGAAGCAAATCCCCCAACTCCAGCCAAACCCTCTGATGACTGCAGCCCTGGCTGACATCTTAAATGTCATCCCATGAAAGAACCTGAGTCAGAACTTTTCAGCAAAACCATTCCTGAATTTCTGACCCACAGAAATTATAACACAATAATTGTTGTTTTAAGCAGCCAGGCTTTGGAATAATTTATCATATAGCAGTAGGTAACTAATGCATAGACTCAGTATCATCAATATGAAGATCTCTGAACTGAATGATAGTAGACAAATACAAGCCCCATATTAAACTGCTAAAGAAATTAGGATTACCCATGTCTAGTTGATTTATATTTTTGTATGTCTTAAAATTACTATCCATTAATTTTATGGTTAAATACAATTTAAGTTAAAAGTAAAAAATAGTATAAAATCAAATAAAGAAGGAATTATAAAATCATAAATAGATTATTAGAAGACTTTAAATAATTATAGAAATAATTATTCTATCTCTAAATAACTGCAGAAATTAGCAATCTCTATTCAGATTGTCAATTTTTGAGATATATTAAAGAAAGTAGGATAACATAACTAAGTGCTATTTACCAATACTTTCCAGTTCTGTGTAAAGTTAACTGAACATATAAAACATATTTTCTCCTGCTATTGACTTTTTATTGTCCTGTGCCTGTAGTAAATGTAAAGCTGCTATGCTTAAGGGTATAATTTTGTGCAGGAAACCACAATATGGTCTGGAAATAATTGCCACAAAGACCAAGATGAAAAGATAAAGTTAACAAAAATCATTTGACATGCCTATCAAATCTGTTCTCTGAAAGAAACATTTCAATTATTTAATGATGAAATCAATATTAGAGGAAATGCTATAGATTTCATTTTGTCCTATAGCCAAGCAACAATTATACCTCTATATCTGTTCTTACTTTAGGCAGAACAAATTAAAATAGACTCTTAAATCTTTCTTTGAGTCAAGCTATAGAAAATTTATAAATTTTTAGTTTTTCTTGGCTTTACATATTTCTATTATTTCCATCTCCCCATTCACAAAATCAATCACTCCAGATATTCTCATTCCATTTTTCTTTATGACGTTATAAAAAGTAAAACAAATTTGGGCCAAAGAGTGTACTATTATTATGGGAAGATGCTGACGGTCCCCTGGGGTGCCACACAGAAACCCTGGAGGAGGTCTTGGCATGCTTTTCCTGATCCCAGCTCTCTCTAAATTGAGGCCCATGGGGTGTTCAGAGGCAGCATGCCTAGCCCAAGAGTTCCTGTATCTTTTTGCACTTTATTTGGAATGCTTAGGTTACTGTAAGGCTTTCTTCAATGTACCTGAAAGGGGTCTATAGTTTTCCATTTTAACTCATCTGTGCAAGAGATCTTTGAGGAAATATGCCAAGTCCTTTGTTTCATCTGCATCTTTACAAAAGGGTCTCCCTGAGCCAAAGTAGGGGAATGTTCTCTGTCCACATCCACACTGTTGCAAAGAGTTTGCTCCTCATATCCTACAAGCCCTGCCTTGGGATAGTTCACTAGAGCACCATCAACATTTACTTGGAGGATTTAATGGAGAGATCCCAAAAAAGTAAGACCCAAAGATGGTTCTGGTGGTTAATTCTTTGTCAGGAACCCCTCCTGAATATAGAAAAACATATGAATGTGAAAGAAATGGGGATAAAAAGTCTGATTTCACAATAAAAACGAGGTATCATTCTTTCCTCAAATATTTATTGGGCATATTACTGACAGACAGCTCATGTCATATGCAGAGAAGAAATTTTAAGACTTGTTTTAAGTAGAACCTTAAACCCTTTAACTAATACAGACATAGATTTGCCAATAAGAATGCAGAATATTAAGGCATCTTTTGTTTGTTTTTTTCAGAGGAGCCCTCAGCTTTTGTTGTGAAATTGTTACTAGAAAGATAACATGCTATCAACAGATAAAGTCAATGATAGGGCTCCAAATTATTAAAAAGTGTTAATCCCCAGCTCTCTATTCAATATATTAATCTACATAGGTTCAACATATGAATCCATCATTATTTGAATAGGACTTCCATTAAGTGATGACTTGGTCAACATCTTGACAATTCACTTTTCTTGTTATGATTTTGTGCACAAAAAATTGTTGCTGAATAGAGAAACAATGAACAGTAACTTCAGCTGGTAGAAATCCAAAGCCCTGTTTTCCACAGACACATAAAATTAGTTGAGGGTAGCCAATATTCTAACCTGTACAGCAGTCTGGATGTGCTCTGTGGGCTTCTGTTACTACATCCCGTCTGCAAACCAGGTGCACAAAACCTTGCAAGGAAGTGAAGTCTGGTTAGTGGTAATTAATGGAGTTGTTTGGTGAATAAAGTCAAAGTAGTAGCAATATATTATTCTGAAGAGTGTAAGAAAAGTTATCCTGAAGCTAAAACAAGACCTTGCAAATGAAAGCTTCCAATCTCAGTCAACAAGGATATTCTTACACTCAATTAAAATTCAATGTCTAATTATCAACCCCTGCTTAAAGAAGAGGGGAGGGAAAAAGATTTTTATGGGGTGGATAAAATGTTCCCTATAAAGCAAATAAGGCAAAGCTACTTGTGCTGATGAACTGTGAAAATAATGGCCCACTAAACAACTTACTGTGCTTAAGGGCTAAAATTAAGGTTATGTCTCATTTCCGCTCTCCAACCGTATGTCCTCTAGATAAGCCTGGCTCATGATTGGTGCCGGAATCTACACTTTATGTTCTCCTATATTTGAAATTATTTTCTGTAAATTGAATCATAATTTGAATCTTGTTTAAAGATTAAGATGTTAGTGCTTGTTAAGAAAAAATGGAAAGAAGTATTAGAAGGCATTGGTTACAGATAAATTAATTATTTATGCTGAATAATTATTAATAAATAATTTTTCTTTCATAAAATGGAAATGTGTTAAAAAGTAATGAGAGTTTTTGGAGGGTTTATGGATTATATATTCATATAATAACTCTAAGCCTCTTTATAATAATCATGTCAAGGACAGTTGAAGGATAATGATTCTATGGCTACATTTGGATTGAGATTCAAACAACTGTAGTCAACAATAACTTAATTGGACATTTAAAAATAACTAAAAGAATGTAATTAGATTGTTTATAACACAAAGGATAAATGCTTGAGGGGATGGATACGCCATTCTCCATGATGTGATAATTTCGTATTGCTTGCCTGTATCAAAATATTTCATGTACCCCATAAATATATATACCTACTATGTACCTACAGAAACTAAAAATTAAAAAAATTTAAAAACAAATTCCTAAACAGGAAGTGAAACAAAAACAAAAAAATACAAGAATAAAAAGAAGAAAAAACCTCCAACTTTCTTACAAATTGGAAAACTGTCACTCTTATATATTAAATATTTAGACAAATTTCCTGCTGTTTTGGATAGGAATCACTTTCTCAGTTAACAAGTGCGTATCAGTACATACTAGATCTTTAACACTGGCCCAGACTGAGATACTATGATTTGTAACAGAAATATCTGGGCAGTTTGTAAATGCAGATGGCTGGGCTAAGGCACCAGAACCTGTTATTAGCCCAATTTGAGCCTATTATTCTGGGGGAGTTATAAGGAAGTGAAACACCTAAGTGAGACACTTTAGTCTTTCCATAGGGTGTAGAGTCGGATAGGAGAAATTACTGTATAATTTAGAAGGCTAGATCTTTACACAGATACAACAGCGGGTAATTGACAATTTGTAATTCACCTTTGACTATAAATGGTACCTCCTAATTTTTCCCCATTGGAACAGTAAACTGATGATTAAAATTTATTCAGTCAGTAAGAGGTGATATATTACTTGCCTAGACCAGTGATGCTTGATATTTTCTTGATGTTAGTCCCCTTTCGAATCTGATGCAGATTTGAAACTTTTACAAAAAAAACCTTTTAATTATTGTATTTTTTAATCAAAAAGAAAAAATTAAGAATCAACTACATACATTCAAATTATGGCACATATACTGTATATATATACATGTATATGTATATTGTGTGTGTAAGTGTATTATATATATAACAAAAGTAGTAAAAACTTCTACTTTTAAACAAAGAAGAAGACCAGTTATTTGGTTTCACTGATGGGTGAATTTACATTTATTCAAAAATGTAAATGAAAATTTCCATGGGAAGTGTTTAGAACACAAACAGAAATGGAATAAGATGAATACTGGAAGACATAAACAATTACAGAGAAAAGAAAAAGACAAGTCCATGAAGTAGAATAACAAGCAATAGCCAGAGAGAAAGAAAAGATACCAGAGAGTATTATGACAGTGATGGGAGAGTTTATCATCAAGGACTAGCTGAGCATTAGCAGAAAGTGTTATTAAAGTCAGTTAAGATAAAGAGGTCAACCATGAGGTTGTCTGAGAAGTAAAGTTTCTAGGACTTGAGGACGTCAAAGATCTATATGAATAGAGCTTAAGTTGTTTTTATGGATTTTGAAGTCCTCTGACATAATAGCAGGGCTTGATGTGAAAATGGTGACTGATCTAGGACTTCTTCATCCCATGTGAGTTAGATTCTGGGAAGTGGTGAAAGATAGCAATAAGTAAAAAGGCAGATTCATCCTGACATGCAGGTTCAAGCCAAAATTGATGACAGACACCAAACAACAGATCAAGGAAGCTCACAGAACACCAAGAAGGATAAATACCAAAAAATCTACATGTAAGTATATTCTATTCAAACTGCAGAAAACCAAAGACAAAGAGAATGTCTTGAAAGAAGCCAGAGGGAATAAAACACCTTACCTATAAGTAACAGGATAAAAATTATGCAAACTTCTCTATAGAAAGCATGCCAGCAAGAAGACCGTAGAATCAAATATATAAAGTGTTGAAAGAAAAACTCATTAACCTAGAATTCTATATCCCATGAAATGATCTTTCAGTAGTGAAGGAGAAATAAAAATTTCTTAGGCATTTCAAATTGACAGCAGAGTTTGAGAACCACTGGTTTAGGGAAAGGTGGCTTATATTGCAAGAATGTATGCAATTATTCTCATAAGTAACTTTGGTCAGAAAATTTTAACTTAAATTTGTCCACAGCTCTTCCTCTTCCACTGACCACTAAAAAGAATTTTGGCTTTGTGAGCTGTTTCTCTCCCTCTTAGTTTTTTGGAGTATCTTACCTAACACAAAAATCAATAAAAGATTGGGTAGAGAAAAAGATTAACCCTGACTTAGAAAAACATTTTATTTTTTCTCTTGTATGTGTGTATTTTGAGAGATAGCAACATAATAGCAATATATGAACTAAATGAGGAAAACTTACAAGCTAGAAAGGGAGTTTTCAAATAAGTGTTGTAGAGTTTATTTCTTTAATGGTGTTTGAATGATATAAGTACATAGGTTGTGTTACCTTTTACTTATTGCTCTGTGTTCTGTCTCTGGTGTAACACTGGATGAGTGGGTTATGAGTTGAATAAGTTTATCGTAAAGATATATTCCACAAGTATCTGATAAGGTTTTCCCTAAGCTTGTTGAAATCACCATATGTGTATTAAGATTTCCATTACCATATAGTTGATAGGGATAGAAATTTTGTTTTGAGTGTGAATTGCCACATGTTCAGGGAGGCTTCTACTTGTTTTGGCAAGACATGGCACAAACATCTCACGGGAAAGGCTGTCTCATACCACTTGATATATGATTTGCAGCATATTCATTACTAGGATAATTTGACCACAGAGATATCAATAGGTTACTTATTTTCAGAAAAATTGGACAATTAAAAAAATTATTTCACAAAAGGGAATATATTATTGTCATTTTAATGAAATTCAGTTGTTGCACAAGTTTGTCTGAAAACTAAAAATGTGCCTTGAGCTTCCTGGGGTCAAAAATAAAATAATGTTAGATATTAATCAAGCGTTATTTCTTCCCCTTACCTTCTATCCATTTTTCTTTGATTTTATTTTCTCCAAGTGAGGATATAGCAGATAGATTCTAGGATTATGAAAGGCATTGGACTTATGTACCTTAAGAGTTTGAAACTGTTTTTTGTTTGTTTGTTTGTTTGTTTTGTCTGTTTGTTTGTTTTGCTGCTTCTTTTGGGAGATGAGTTGGGGAGATGAAAAGACTGAATTCATGCTCTGTTATAAAACTTTCACTTTGACTGTTACTTTTTAACTAAAACAAGCCATGAACAGGCTACTAACCTAGAGATAGGCCAAGCGATTTGGATCTCTTAGCAGGAGTGGTGCAGGTCTAGAGTAAACACTACTGTGTTCATTGATCTCTTAATACAGATGGAACTTCTTTATCCCAGCAATCAAAGACTCCATCCAGTGTAAAGGGTTGGAGGAAACTGGGAAATTTGGGCATTTGCTTATTCCTTCTGCATAGAATTAAATTATGTATTATGACAACAACTAAGCATATTAAAAGGACACACACAGATACATAATATAAACACACATATATAAACCATATATATACATATATAACCTTATTTAATTAAAAAAACCTGCTAAATTGTATAATACATCTGGGTCAATGGATATACCTGCCAAACAGGTAAGTTACATTGTATAATAATAAAATGCTTAGGTATGAAACCCAAGTCTCTGAAGCCTCATGTGCTCCTCTTTCATCCTAATACCTTGCTCTCCCTACATCCACTATCCTTAATGTTGTTTATCATTAGCTTGCTATTAAAAATAGTTTTTCTACTATGTATTAATTCTTAAACAATCGAGCTTTATAAAAATGCTGTCATGTTATATATAGCTTTCTGGGTCTTGTTTATTTTACCAGTATGTGTTATATGTATCTGTAACTTATCCATGTTTTTGCATTTCCTGTTGATGCTGAAGAACATTTCAGTTTCCATTGTTTTGCAGTTATAAATAATGTTGCTGCTCTGAATACTTTTATACATGTTTTCTGTTGTACATTTCTTCTGGTGCACATATGTTAAAATTTCTCTGGGAGTTTAATTGCTGTGTTTTAAGGCATAAACATGTTTAACTTTATAAGATAGTGCCTAATTATTTTTAAAATGGTTACAAAAATTCACTTTCCCAAAAATAATGTATATGGGTTCCTGTTGATAGATATTACCCTCTAATATTAGCACTATCAAACTTCTTAATTTTTGCTAAAGTAGTTGGAAAACACACATTCTTCAGAATGTAGAAGAGAGGGAAACACTGCTTGATTCATTTTATGAAGTCAGAATTATTCTTTTGATGAAACCAAAGACATTACAAGAAAGGAAAACAATAAGCTGATATTTGTCATGAATACAAGTGTGGAAGTCCTCAACAAAATGTCATCAAATTAAATTCAGCAACATTTAAATATATTATGATGCCAAAATTGAGTGGATTTACTCCAAGAAGGAAAGGCTGGTTCCACATTCAAAATCAATTTGGTCATTCAGAAAGCCAATAAACAAGAAAAGCCAAATGATTGTATTTATACGGAAGAAGCATTTGACAAAATTCAAAAACCACTCATGATTAAAACAGCTGACAAACTAGCAATAAAAGAGAATTTTCTCAACCCAATAAAAGGATCTGCAAAAAAAGACACTAACATAATACTTAAGTTATGTGAAAGACTCAATTCTTTCCATTTAAGATTTGGAAAGAGAAAAATGCACTTTCTCACAACCACTCCTATTTAACATCATACTGGGGATCCTAACCAATGCAATAAGGCAAGTAAATTAATAGTTATATAAATAAATGCTATAAATATTGGAGAGAAAGGAATAAAACTCTGTTCAATGATGACATTTCTCATTGTCTCTGAGGTATCTACAAAAAAGATAAGAATTAAAAAGTGAGTTTAGCAAGATCACAGAATACAAGGTCAAAATATAAAAATTAATCATATTGGTATATACTACTTAAGAATAATTTAAAATTGAACTGAAAACCTGAAAAGGAGTATAACTCATGGCTAGCTACTCATTAATTCAATTAACAAGTTTTTCCTGTGCAGTTTGTGATTAAAACACTTAGTCAGGACTTGACTTGGATTTTCAGATCACTTCAAATAAAATAATTTGTTTATTGGGTTAGACTTCTCATGGGTCAACGTTCTCCTAGTCTCATTCTAAGTATTTGATGATGCAATCACAACTCAGCAGTTGTTATATTTAATACAGATTGACAAGAGCCTTTATTTCCAAAAATTGGTCTGAAATAACTGTGATCAAGTTAAAATAATCTGATAAATAAAACAGAAAATGCATCTGATCTGCATCATGGCATCTCATCACTCAAGAGCATATGCTTAATAAGTTACAAAAAGAAGAGAGAAAAAGAAAGATGTCCTGAATAGGGTGGTCAAAGATGACAGTTAAAAAGACCTCCAGATCTCTTTGGAATCCAACATATCACTATAGATTTCATAAAACAATAATTGTCTTTCTGAATTGCTTACACGGTAAACGAATTATTAAATAATAACTTGAAAGTGAAGCACAGATGTGATCTGGCTGTGGTTCACCTATTGTTTACTTTTAATGGAAATGTTTTTTCTTCAAATCACTGACTTGAAACATGGTGGATTTCTATCTGTAATATAGACTTCTTTCAGTCTATGTTTTACAAGTTACATTATACACTATGCCATTTCCACATTCATAGACTACCAAAGTGCTTCTTCCAAGTTGCCTTGATGATAGATGTACCTTATATGTGTCTTCACTAAAGCTATAAAGCATTGAAATCTTTTCTCAAGGCCTTCAAAAGAGGAAGTAATTATTTTCAAGCCTCCACGATGTCCTAAGTAAAAACATCTGGTATTTCTGCACTCACTATTACAGTAAAAAGGAAGCCACACTAGAAGCTACCCAATTTCTGGGTACATAGTTACTTAGAGACTGTTATATATTCCATAATGACATAATTTTGGTTT
Organism: Homo sapiens; assembly: GCF_000001405.40. Classification (NCBI taxonomy): domain Eukaryota; kingdom Metazoa; phylum Chordata; class Mammalia; order Primates; family Hominidae; genus Homo; species Homo sapiens. The sequence goes on from NC_000005.10 coordinate 44,276,322, forward strand.
TTTTCCCTTATGGATTTTTCTATATACATTACTTTGTTTATTTGCTCATTTGTTCCTCAAATATTTGAGAACTTAGTATGTGTCAGGCAGTGAACCAAGTTACATGAGTAATTGTGTAGGAAACAAAGTGAAAAAGATTATACGGAATTACTCCCTAAGAACTAATCAATCCAGAATAAGCAAGATCTTTAAATCTATAGGTAGTAAAATACTCAGATTAGTTCTGTATAACAATCTGTATAACAATTAGTTCTGTTTAACAATTATATACAGTAATGTTACTTTTCCATTCTGCTCTCTAGAACAGAAATGATAAAAAAGATAGTTGTCATGGGGCCTAAGACTATCACTATTTTATGGCTTGAATATCATGGCCAATTTTATTTATTACTTGTTTGTTTCAGAGAAGAATGCCAGAGTAAATGTATTAGACATTAAAAATATGTTGTGAGAAAGGTAGAGGTCTATCTAGACTCTTGTTGCTCTGTCAGAATAACTCAACAATATACTTGAGTTGGAAGAAAAAGAGGTTGCCCCTGAAGGCTTGTATTGGATTGTTGCTTTATCCTGTGGATGGGTAGCATCAGTTCAGAGACGGAAAAAGAAAGGATTCAGCAAGTGAAGTCTAAGAAGCTTATGTCAGAAATGCTTGGTATTCGTGTCCTTGAATTCTGTATACCCAAAGGAAAAACAAGGTAAAAAAGCATGGAAAATTTTTTTAGGCAGTTTTTGTAGTTCAAAACCAGCTTGTTTGCTTTGGTGGCTAACTCTTTTTAAGCAAAAATCCCAGTTTTTCCAGCCACAGTACCCACATCATTCTTCAGAGGAGTATACTCTCTGTAATATATTAATAACCAGGAGTGAATAGTTGCCACAAATGTGGAGAAGAGAAGAAATAAAACTTAAAACAAACATATTTCTTTTGTATGAATGATGCCATCGGAAAAAGAATTTTATTAAAAGTAGAGGCAAGACTTAGTACACATAAATGGCATCTATTAGTTTGTACAAGGTTGTTTTGAACTCACAATTTAAGTCTGACATTCTAGTTAGCAGAGTGCATTATTAGAAGTCTGCAATCTGGTGATCTCAATTTAGATAAAGCCAATAAGAATATATGAAAATTCTTAATAGGATTTTTAGATGAATTTAAGTATTTGCACCATCCTAGTAGATAAGAAGGAAAAACATCACTTTGGTAATAGTTCTTCAAACCAAAGGCTCTTGTGTGGCCAGACAGGATATATTTAAACTCCAAGAAGTATCGTAATATCTATGGAAACATATTTCTGTTGAGGTAATTGTACCTCCAGTAAAAGACTATTTGAATCAGCTTGAGTTCTGCCCTAGCTCTCTAAGAACACAATACACATTCTGCATTTGTTAAGTACAGAATATGAGGTCACATATCAAATAGTAAGGATTCATTGACCATGAGAAGAAATTTTAGGACATTAAAAACTTCTTACCAAAGAGTATCTAAGTTCAGGTAATTATGCATTTCTTTTTACTTCATTTCAGGAGGTAAGCCAGACTATAAGAAGAGGAGAAATGGCAAAGAGACCGAAGAAGAGGCATTGCAATATGGTGTAATCATATAATAGAATTTGGGTGAGAAGTACAATTTGTGGTAATATATAGTCAGCACAATGAAGAGTGGATTCCAGAAATACAAGTTCTTGCTTTAGGAAGCAGTTCTGCCTATGTCAATACAGAATTCTCAGACGTAAAGTTGGCGATTATGTAGCTTGCAAGATTATGAAAAGCAGTAGCATATTGCTTGCTTCTAAGCTTGAAACACAGTAGGTCTCTAATAATATCTGGCTTCCCCTTCTTACTACATAAAGCATTTATTGTTCAGTATGGCAATTATATTTTAAGCATGCTGCATTATGAGGTCATTGAGGAATGAACCATTTCTCATTTACATTTATAACTTCAATATCACATATCTGGTGATTATAGAGCTTAAAAATATCAAATGGAAGTAGCAGAATTGTTGTATAGAAAGACCATGAAGGGAAATATCTCAAAAATAAAATATTAGAAGTATTCTAAGCATTATTGGTAGTATTACAATGGTAGTAATGTTGGCAGAAAAAGAGTCAGAAATGGTTTTAAAATGTGTTGAAGGATTTGAAAGCCAATGAAGTACGGTTCAGGAGAGTTGTTTATCAAGCACTAAAAATGTTCATTGCTTCTCAGCAATTCTGTAAGTATCAATAATGTACTTGACTATTCGAATCCCAATTGCTCCAAGAAGTCTTTCCAAGCTCACTGGATCAAATTAACTCTCCCTCTTTGGCTTGCTGCCACATTCACAGTCCAGGATATGGTCAGCGACTGTTCAGTAGCAACAGAGTTTGTTGCTATTGTTGCTACTGTGTTCCACCCACTGTCCTAAGCCCTGAAGATGGAGCTGAATAAGACAGTCTGTCAAGGATCCTGCTGCTATGGAGCTTACATCCTTGCTGGGTTACTAACATTAGACTGAAACCTGATTCACACTTAGTTCCTTATTTCAACTGTATAAATCTTGTCTCTGTTTTTTGAATTCCCAACAAAACAAATAGTTCCATGAAAACAGAAAATTGTCATATCCTTCTTCCACAGCATGAACCCTTTTTAGGAATAAATGTCTAAAAAACAAGCAAAATAAACAAAAAGCCGAGCAGCTGGAAAGAGACAGTAAGTTCTCAATTTGCTGCTATCAGTCTCGCCATTCTACCTTGGTGTCAATTGGATAGATTGAGGTTAGGAGATAGAGATGGGTTACTTAGGCATATTTCTAAATAGGAATGGTTGAAGAAACTTTGAAGAGAGAAGTGGTTAATAATCAAAAGAAAATACTTTGTGTATCATGTCCACAGTGGGTACTCAATTGACATATTTTCCAAAATAGTGGGTTGTCTTAATTATTTGTCATACTTTTTACCATGTATCACAATGTTAGAGAAGTTACAAAAATTTTTTTTAAATTCTGAGTTGTCAATGAAATTGATCCAGTGAAATTCCAAAACCTACATGTTCCTAATTATTCTACAAGCTATTGAGATGCAGCTGAATTCTTTTTATCCCCTTGGATCCACTGGGCATAGTTATGATGTGACGTAGCTGAGAGATTTTCAAATTCATTTTACAGGGTACTCATCTGTGGTATGAGTATTATCCAGTACAAAAACAAAAACACAAAATTATTTAACTATAAAAGCTATTCAACAACTTGAAACAAAAAAAATCATAGAATTCCCCTTTTCTCGTTTAGGAAAAAAAAAAAGTGCAGCTCACTGAAAGCACTCATTTAATTTTACATAAACATGCTCTTTAAGGCTAAAGCAAATATGACTGATATTCAATGCGAAAATACAATATAAAAACTGTTCTTGGAGTTATTTCTAAACAGAACTAACATCAGAATTGTCTGTTTGGGAAAAATCAGATTCCTCAAATGAATCTTCAGTCAACACCTGTTCAAGAGTGATGATGTTTAACATGCATAAGAATGCTGTGTTTTTTAGGATTTGACATTTTCAGCAATCTAGAGTTACTATATTTTGTAAATGGAAATACCACTACTAAAAATAGAATGTTAAATAGAATAATGTCTTTTGTTTCCAAATTTGGCATACTAGAGCAATGCGAAAGTCATAATAAAAGTGAGATATTTCATGGCAAATTTAACTTGGGGTAGAAGCTGCAACTGCAAGTGCTGCTGGGGAGTATTCTTGGAACAAACAGGAAGGGAGTTAATGAAATAGAAAAATGATAGCAGAATAAAATCTTTTTTTTGTTTGTTTTTTGTTTTTGAGACAGAGTCTCGAACTCTCGCCCAGGCTGGAGTGCAGTGGCTCCATCTTGGCTCACTGCAAGCTCTGCCTCCCAGGTTCACGCCATTCTCCTGCCTCACCCTCCCGAGTAGCTGGGACTGCAGGAGCCCGCCACCACGCCTGGCTAATTTTTTGTAAGCAAAATGAAATCTTAAAACTCCAAGAAATAATTACAAAGTAATTAAATTACTCAAAAAAATTATATTATCATTTAACATGGAGAAATTAGGTTTTGCTCAAGCAGTAGTATCTATAAGCAGTAATTTACACACACACAAAAGGTCAAATGAAGTGACAGAACACTTTTACTAACAAAATGTATTGACATAATTAAGATGAAAAATTATGGAAAAGATTGTTCCTTCCTCAATATCTATCTCTGTGTTTCCAAACATAAAATAAAATCAGTGAATAATTCCACATCTAGCTTTAATTGGTAGTGCCTAATAATTTAAGGTGAAACACAAAGCATCAAGAAAAATTTTTAAATGGAATCTATTAAAGTATGCTAAAATTAGACTAAAAGTTTTACTTCACTAGATTAAACCCAAGGAAGATATCAAATGGGTTTAAATTGTGAAAGCGAATATGAGGATGGTAAACAAATCATCAGTGCAATAAAGCAGCACCTCACGTTAAGAACGCTGGGCAAGGCAAAGTTATATTTCTCATCTCCGTTTCCTTTTAACTGTTCTTTATGGTGAACTAATACAATGTGTTTTGAAAATACCTGAGTTACCTATTATGGAAGAAACTTAGGGTGAGGGTGAACCTTGGTATTTGTGAAACAGAGTTGAAGCCCTAGTTGCAACTTCTTACATGGAATAGCTAGTGTCTTAGAGGGCGCAGTCATTCTTGAAGTGATGGTAAACATCTTGTCCTAAATTAGGCAGATGATGAACATACTAAGAGGTTTTCCAGCCTTCTATATGGTGTAGGTGAAGAATTTGAAGGTTGAGAGCAAAAGGATGAGAGTAAGACATATTTCTGTCTCCAGTGTGAAGAACTGATCTTTCTATTATGCCTAGAAATGTGCTCAGAGAGTAAAGTTGAAAATAATATATAAATATGAGCAACTTCAAAACATCATTATATTGAACATTAAAATTTATAGATACTATGCATAAACATTTCTAAAACATGGAAACAGTACGATTTCAAAGGTAAGTTAAGGGAAACCAAAACAAATAGAGAGGTTCTAAGAAACACTCTCACACTCTTGGGTTTTATGAAGGGGAAGGGCTAATTTCCCAAGAAAACCTCTTTGATCTCAGAAGAGAAGTTTCATTTGCTTGTAAAGAATGACATGCTCATACTTGGATTAGTAAAAATATTTAATTTGGTGCCAGCATAATTCTATTGAACCCTTAATAGAAGCTATTTTTTCAAAATTTTTAATGTTTTGTGTTTTATCCTAAATTATTAAGTACTACTATTAAAGCTAGATGTTTGAATTATCTATTGATTTTATTTCATATTTAGAAATATAGGCCGGGCGCAGTGGCTCACGCCTATAATCCCAGCACTTTGGGAGTCCGAGGCTGGCGGATCATGAGGTCAGCAGATCGAGACCATCCTGGCTAACATGGTGAAACCCCATCTCTACTAAAAAAATACAAAAAATTAGCTGGGCGTGGTGGCGGGCGCTTGTAGTTCCAGCTACTCAGGAGGCTGAGGCAGGAGAATGGGGTGAACCTGGGAGGCGGAGCTTGCAGTGGGCCAAGATCGAGCCACTGCACTCTAGCCTGGGAGAGAGAGAGAGACTCCATCTCAAAAAAAAAAAAAAAAAAAAAAAAAAAGAAAAGAAAAAGAAATATAGAGATAGGTATTGAGGAAAAAACAATCCCTTTTATAATTTTTCATCTGACTTATGTCAATGCATATTGTTAGAAAAAGTGTGTTACTTCATCTTTAGTGTGAGTGTAAATTACTCATCATAAATGCTGTTGCTTGAGCAAAACCTAATCTCTGCCTGTTAAAGAATATTACAATTCTTTCTTTTTGGAGTAATTTAATTACTTTGTAATTATTTCTTATTTTATTTATTTTCTGTAAATTAACATTTACTATCCTCATTGAAATAATGAGACTAAACATATTTCTTTTTTTAAATTTAAATTATGTGTATTTAGTATGGTAGGAAACCCCAAGTATGACTAATTTTAACAGTGAATATATATTCATGAAATTAGGCATCCTAAAAATATAAAATTTGTAGCAGCAAATATATAACTGTTCCCAAATATTAATGACGTAAAGAATAACCAAAGATTCTGAGAACTACACAGTAATTTGGTTTTAAAATAGGTCTTTAATAAGAAAAATATCCATTGGCCTTTTGGACTCTGTGGATAATAGTAAACATATGAAGATTATTTGAGAAATATAAAGGCAAAATAATAGTTTTCTACATGATTTTTATCTGTTCAAAGAAAAATGAGGAAAAAGTGATAAAATAAAATATGATTGAAAAAGGGAAGGAAAAAGTAATTGCAACGATCTACTACAGTGGTTTAGCGTCAATATTGAAGTAATAATTTTTTGATATGTAGAATCTAAGGAAATCATAGGCTCAAAATCTGGAAGATATATTGGGGTAGAGGAATTAATAAGAGAAAGAGTTGCACATTTAAAGACCTGGAGGCAACAAAGGTCATGGCACATTCAGAAACCTGAAATAAATTCAGTATGGCTGGACTTATGTTTGATTCAACAAAACACTAGGGGCATTTCTCTAGTGGGTATTGAGCAGGTGATCACAATGAATCTGTGGTCATGATTTGTGAATATTCATGTGCTCTTTAACTACATATATGCTAAATAATGTTAGTAAATCAATTCTTAAATTGCCTATTGAACAGTTTACAAAATTTAAGAGCAAGCTAATTCTATCTTAGCATTACTGTAACTGGAAGCAAACATTCTTACATATCCAGAGCAAATGATAAGAAAGATAGCAGTTTAATAAGAAACATACCAATCTACTTTATTTTTACTGAATCAATTACAGCCTTAAAATGTAATATACACCAACATTTTCCAAATAAGCATGGTTCTCAAAATTCTTTGCACTCTAAGATTGGTAGGATTTTGTTATAACACTATTCATGATTCAACAGAATTCATATAATACTGTTTGATAGTTCATTTATTAATTCAGAAAATAGTTATGAAAACATACCTTGTGCCACAAATGACCCATAAGCATATGAAATGCTCATCTTTATTAATACTCATGGAAATAAAAGTTAAAACATCAAGACAGGTTGATGAATAGATACTAATATACAGCTAATATAAAGAAGAAATAAGACCTAGTGTTTCATAGATCAGTAGGGTGACTATAGTTAACAATAATCTATTGTAACTTTCAAAAAAAGCTAAAAGAAAGTAATTCAAATATTCTTAGCATAAAGAAAAAAATAAATATTTAAAGTAATAATTATCCCAGTTACCCTGATTTGATCTTTATGCATTATATTAATCAAATTATCACATGTATCCCAAAATAATATATACATCATATTTCAATTTTAAAAACCTGGGAAGAAAATACTATCAATTGTAAAGCAAAATAGTTAAAGTAAAAACGAGTTATCTTTTCACATCATTATGTTACTAAAAATATTTTTTTAAAGTTCTGAAAATACATTGTTGGTGAAGATGTGTTCTAATAAGAACACCATGGGAGTATAACTATTACCACTATGAAAACTCATTTTATATCATCTTGTAAAGTAGTAAATGCATACACCCCCAACAATTCTACTCCTAAATGTGTGGGTACTAGATGTTTTCACAATAGTGAAAATGAAAAAATAAAAATAAAAATAAGCAAGCAAACAAAATTTAGATCCCTTAATTGTAGAATGAATAAGTAATTAATATTTTTATAAAAACATGCAACAATGGAAATGAATTAACGACAGCCAAACTTACCAATATGGATGAGCCTCAAATCCAATCTTGGGGAAAAAGTCATAGAAAATACATGTAGTCTGATTCCTTTGTACATAAAGGTCAAAAGCAAGTTGAACTTGCTTTTGCTCTTGCTTTTGAAGCTGTAAGTTGTCTAGTGATGCATCCGTATAACTATTATGAAAAATAAGTTGTTGATAATCACAACATTCCCTTTTGTTATTATCCTGTCCTGTCTTCCTTTGATAGCACTATTTATTCTGCTTTTTGCTTCTCCTGTCCTCTACTTCATCTAATATTCACCTGTTTCAATCTTACCATTTTTTTTTTTTTTTTTAGACGGAGTCTTGCTCTGTTGCCAGGCTGGAGTGCAGTGGCACAATATTGGCTCACTGCAGCCTCCGCCTCCCGGATTCAAGCAATTCTCCTACCTCAGCCTCCTGAGTAGCTGGGACTACAGGCGCGCGCTGCCACAACCGGCTAATCTTACCATTTTTAATATACAAATTTGAATGTCTTTTCCTCTGTGATTTGTTTTCTTTTGTAATGCAAATTTATCATATTACTTATCACATTATATCTTTACAAGATTACTTGTTTGTGGTTAATTTTATATTGCAACCACCTCAGAGACAGAGATTACAGGTCTTTATTTTTACAATCTTAGAGCCTTTAGCAAAGTGTCCAGCATATACTACAAACACATACATGTTTCTTTGAATTGTATTTCGACTTAAAGTCAGTTTGTTGTAAAAACCTTTAGCAAGCCTCATAATGAGGTCTTAGCGTGGAGGAACACTTTGCTGGATATTTTTAAGGTTTAAATAAAATGTAAAGTGAGAAATTGTTTTAGAGGCAAAGCTATGAAAGTAAATATAATGAAAATGGAATTAGGAAAAAGGATTCACTGTATGGATGTATGTGTGCATAAGTAATAAATGTGCATCACTTTCAACATATAATCATGTAACAATAGAAACGTTTCCAAACACTTTATTGTCAAATTATACTCACCAAAAAATTAGTATATACATTTTAAAAGCTTTACTTTCAAGCTTATTGATAAAACTTTACTATGAAGAAATAGTGTTATTTCTTCAAATACTGTTGTAAAATTATTTTTGTTGTTTTTAACCTTGTAGTACAGCCAAGAGCTTGTTCCAGGAGTAAAAGTGCCAGTTCTACAACTTTTTGGTTATTTTCTTTTGCTTCTATTAGTAATGTTATTTTTATTATGGCTATTTATAGAAATCTTTTAAAGCCATCTTGTTAGGATTAGTTTAATTAAAAATAAATAATATAACTTATAAGTCTACTTAATTGGCCATATGTAAACTCCACCATATGCTAATATGCTAAAAGCAAAGAAATCTGGAGGGAGTCACCCTCCTCTTCCCTCACGGTGCCTCACCTACTATGATTTCTCTCGACCATCAGACAAAAGGTGGTGTGTTTATTAGATATTAGGAAAACTTAGTTTCTGTCTTGCGTTTTCGTTAAAATATATAACAAAATTTTTCTTGTGTCACACAAATTATGTGGCTTTGCACACCCCACATTTGAGCGCTTATGAATTAATCTCATAACTTTCAATGGAGGGTGGGGAGATGTATGATCAACAAGAAATTTTTTCAAAATTGTCACATTCAGATTATTGCCTCTTCACTACCCCAGTTAAGGACCATCATATTAGGTTATAGTGGTCTTTTACTCTAATATAAAGAAAAAGAAAATTCCAATTGAATGAGCATAAGTTTGAAGATAGATGAGTGGCCAGTTTAATACTATCAAACAACAGTAGTTCCCCAAACAGGATTTTTTAAATGTGTTTTTTTCAACTCCATCTCTCCTTCCCCCACTTCTTAATTCATAGAGTTAAAAAAGAAATGTCATAAAATTATGTATAGGCTATAATCCCAACACATGGGAAAAAATGTCAAGTGAGAAGAGATGGGAGGAAAACACCAGGAAAATAAAAGCTATAGATCATAGAACTATGAATTTCATTTTTATGAACTTCGGATTATTATTGTTTTTTTTCTCTCTTTTTTTATTATTATACTTTAAGTTTTAGGGTACATGTGCATAATGTGCAGGTTAGTTACATATGTATACATGTGCCATGCTGGTGTGCTGCACCCATTAACTCGTCATTTAGCATTAGGTATATCTCCTAATGCTATCCCTCCCCTCTCCCCCCCACCCCACAACAGTCCCCAGAGTGTGATGTTCCCCTTCCTGTGTCCATGTGTTCTCATTGTTCAGTTCCCACCTATGAGTGAGAATATGCGGTGTTTGGTTTTTTGTCCTTGCGATAGTTTACTGAGAATGATGATTTCCAATTTCATCCATGTCCCTACAAAGGACATGAACTCCTCATTTCTTATGGCTGCATAGTAGTCCATGGTGTATATGTGCCACATTTTCTTAATCCAGTCTATCATTGTTGGACATTTGGGTTGGTTCCAAGTCTTTGCTATTGTGAATAGTGCCGCAAAAAACATACGTGTGCATGTGTCTTTATAGCAGCATGATTTATAGTCCTTTGGTTATATACCCAGTAATGGGATTGCTGGGTTAAGGGCAGCCAGAGAGAAAGGTCGGGTTACCCACAAAGGGAAGCCCATCAGACTAACAGCGGATCTCTCGGCAGAAACTCTACAAGCCAGAAGAGAGTGGGGGCCAATATTCAACACTGTTAAAGAAAAGAATTTTCAACCCAGAATTTCATATCCAGCCAAACTAAGCTTCATAAGTGAAGGAGAAATAAAATACTTTACAGACAAGCAAATGCTGAGAGATTTTGTCACCACCAGGCCTGCCCTAAAAGAGCTCCTGAAGGAAGCACTAAACATGGAAAGGAACAACTGGTACCAGCCGCTGCAAAATCATGCCAAAATGTATTATTGTTAATTTAAAAAATTGGAAAACCACAGTGTCTGAAATTAATCATGAGTTTATGCTTAAATCCCTGTAGGAAACAGAAAAATTCATAAGAAACTTCCATAAAAATCAATTTCATCAAATTTTATATTAAAACAGAAGAGTAAATATACACATGCAGGTGTATACAACACACCAGTGGATGAGAAAGCAGTTTCTGGGGCTTTCTGGAAGAGTGGCACATTTGAAGCCAGGCTGCCCAAGATATATTCTTTCTGTCACTTAATTTCTCAGGACCTCTGTTTCATTGTCTCTAAAACGAGTGAGTTGAACTAGTTAATCTCTAACCCTTCCAATGCTAACATTATATAAGGTGTATGTGTCTGGAAAATTTGCAGGGCAAATCAATTTTTTATTTGAAACAAATATCAGAAGGAAACCTTCTAGATTTTTCTTCTTCAAGTGCAATTGGTTTCACACTTATTGAACATTTTCCATAGGCCAGAAACTGATAGGAACTTTACATGTATCGTTTCAAATTTTTATAAAAACCTTCAGGGATGAATTATAATCTCTATTTTATCATAAGTAAATTGACCATCAATGCAACTAACAAATGACTGAGCCAAGATTTGAATGTAGGTATGTCTGACCCCAGTGTTTCTATTCTCTCTACCACAGTGAGATTGTTTATTGAAATAAATTATGAAAAAATGTATTATTTTACCTTGGAGGTGAGGGCAATAATTAAAAGATATGAGGACTAATAATGATTTTCATTATTGTTGGTTATACTCTTATATTACTGGAAGGAATGGAGGACAGCCCTTTTTCTCAAACTCAGCAACAAAGTTTGGTTTGGTTTATAAAATATTTTCTACATGTGTTTATTTTTTATTTTCCTGAATGTTTGAAAACTATCATGTGCGTAGATGCACCATCATGTATATTTATTCTTGAATCTGAAATTCCATCTAGGTGGCAACAAGTCTGTTGCATATTTTATGCTCAATTAAAAAGAAGTCTTACAAGATTTTTATGTATTACGGAAAGATCACCATCTGTCCCCTATTTAATTAGGTCCATCCTGATTATGTTACATGTGTTCTGGCTCCCTTTAAGAAAATTTTCTACATATACATGAAGGAGAGGCTTGCTAAAAATGAATTGTCAGCAAGAAACAGGAGAGATTTAAACAAAGAAACTCCAAGAAAACCTTAACAAAGAGAAATATCTCAAACCTGAATCCTTAGATTCAGTAAAATAATAACCCTTCCCCTTCACCTCTCATGACTTCTATACCAAAATACAAATGCAACTTGAATCCTATCATTTTAGAAGCTTCAAGAGTTAATTTTTCTTTCCTGTTACTTTTCAGTTTGGAACACCTTTATGCTTTCGGAACAATTTTAGCCGGGAGGGGAAATGCCAAAATACTATAGAGAAGGCTCTTTCTTGGGTAATTTAGACTAGATTTGAGGAAGCAAAATGTTGCTATAAATTTTATGTTTAAAAAATAACTCTGCCCATGAAATTTCCAGTGGGTTTAACAGATGCAAGAATTTCAGATAACAATAAAAAATCAGATTATCATGCAAAAGTAAGGAATTGTTAGAGGCTTCAAGGGGATAAAGGATAACGTATTGAGCTCTGGGTTCTGAGACTTGGGTTCTCTCCTTTGCTTTGCCATTAATTCTCTGATGTTTCAAACATTTACCAGAATTTTCCTACCTTAAAAATATGTAGCAACAAAATCTCCCCCTGCCCAGTCACTAGAAATATATAAGCATTGTAAGGATGTGAAAATTCCCTTTTTCATTCATTTACTGTTTGCCAACTACACTTCAGGAATCTAAGTTCTGGAGATATAACAATAAATAAAAAGTATCTACTCTTATGTATCTTAAATTCCAGGAGTAAATAAACAAATAAACATATAGTATGTTAGAATTTATTAAGTGACATGCAGAGAAATGAATCCATGTAAGAAATATGTAAGAAATATTTTCATAGAATGTTTACGAAAAGCTTTTCTGAAAAGTGTCACTGAAGCAGGTACCTGATGAGTGAATGAGCCATACAGATATCCTGGGGAAGAGCTCCCTAAAGTAGGATCAGCATGTACGAAAGTCCTGAGGTGCCCTGCACATGTGGATTTTGGAAGCACTCAGCCAGTGTACTGGAAAGGAGTGAGCATGATAAAGTGAATGGGAAAAGACCTATTCAGAGTATTAGCAAGAAACAAACACAATTCCTAAGTCTAGAGTACGTGTTTATCTGTGAAAGAAATGGTAAACAGTAAATTCATTAAAAACTTGCTATTCTACCACAACATAGGAGCATAGCTGAAAGGGCTTTGATACTTTAGAGTTGCAGAATTTACTCCACACCAAATTGGTCAAGGCAATTGTTAGGAATGTAATTAAAAAGGAGGGAACATGACCAGGCAACTGGCAAAAATTTTCCGTAATTACACTATGCATTTTGAATAATTCAATCATAATTCCAAAATGACGCTTCTTATTCCTCTTCTCTTTCTTTTTCAAGCCTTGTATTGCCTCCCTTTCCTTTCCATTTTCTTTTCCTACCTTTCCTTCCTAACCCTCCTCTTCCTTTTCTTTGCGTCCCCTTGCTTCCCCTCCGAAAAGGTAGCATACTGTATGATTTCATTTATATAACAATCTTGTCATGACAAAATTATAGAAAAGGAGAACAGATTACTGGTTGCAGGTGTTAAGGAGAGGGAGGGAGTCAGCAAGAAACAAGTGCTATAAAAGGGCAAAGTGGAGGATTCTATAGCAATGAAAATGTTCCCCTACCTTTATTAATTTTAATACCCTGTTTCTGATGTCGTACTGTAGTTTTTCAAGATGTTACCACTGGGGAGAATTAGATAAATTCTTTATTATTTCTCTTGTGAATCTACAAATATCTTGGAATAATAGTTTAATTTTAAATAATGAGCATCATGATACTAGAAGACATTTTGAGTCAATTGAACTCCCTCACTCACAACATACTTCCCCTATCATCTTCTGCTAATGCTGCCTTGGCCCCAAATATTTTCTGATATGTTTATCCCTAGTGTAGTAAACGATCATTACCAATAATTTAAATTCATCTACTCTCCTAAGCAAGCAAGCTGTGAACTGTGATGGATGAGCTTTATATATTGAGGCTTATGAGTACAGCCAGTTGAGAACAGAAAAAACACTTGGATGAACAAAGACGTTTTTAAAGGAACACAATAAGCTGATCTAAAGCTCATATAGGATAGAAAAGGGTCAGGAAACATTTGGAACATTTTGATGAAGAAGAAGAAATTAAGTTGACTGCCCTCCTCCTTGCCACTTTCTATCAAGACAATGGTGGTGCATGAATTTTTCCATTTCAACAAATCTTCTCCAATACTTGATGTTATTAGAATTTCTATTTTTTCTAAACTGATGAGTATGAAGTGGTGTCTTGTGTTGTTTTATTTTCTAGGAATTTGTAGGACTTCTTGGTATATTCTGAATACTAGTATTTCTCAATAAAATATGCTGCAAATATAATTTCCCATTCTAAAATGTATATGAGTTCCTGTACTATATGGTTTTGTCTTTCTTAGAAAATGTTTTGCTAAAACTTAACTGCAGCCATTAAAACCTTTAGTCACTCAAAACTGTGTGTGCACAGCAGTAGAAATAGACAAAAGTTTTAATAGGAGAGGTTAAAGTTTCAAAAAGTAGACCCACATATATATATATATTGGAATCTGGTTTACAAGTAAAATGGCTGTATGTCCTAGCTTGCTGGTGATACTTCCCACTTATGCCTGCTGTCCAACCATAATAATTAATAATGTCCCCATTCAATTTCAAAAGCTTTTCAGTATATATGGTCATTCTTTTTTTTTTTTTTTTGTAGAGAGAGTCTTGCTCTGTCACCAGGCTGGAGTGCAGTGGTGCGATCTCAGCTCACTACAACCTCTGCCTCCCAGGATCAAGCGATTCCCCTGCCTCAGCCTCCCAAGTACCTGGGACTACAAGTGCGTGCCACCACGCCAAACTAATTTTTTGTATTTTACTAGAGACGGGATTTTACCATGTTGGCAAGGATGGTCTCGATCTCCTGACCTTGTGATCCACCCTCCTTGGCTTCCTGGGATTACAGGCATGAGCCACTGCTCCCAGCCATATGGTCATTCTATATATGACAGGAGTAGACTTTAACATAAATAAGGGTACCATTGGCTATCCTTATCAAAAAGAATAAAACTTTATCCATAGCTTAACCTGTAACAAAAATAAATTGGACATGAATTGAAAATATAAATGTGAAAATATATATTCAAACTTTCAGAAATAATTATGAGAAAACATTTACAACTTTAAGTTGGGGAAGAATATTTTTAATGATAGGAAAACACAAACCATGTTAAAATTTAACATTTAAATCTTCCCTTTTGGAGAGCAACGTGACAACCTGTGTACAAGCTCAAAGATACTCAAACCCTTGGGTCCACCTTTTGTTACACACTGAAGAGGTTTTTTGCCCTTGTACATAAAGGGACTTGTAGAAGACAATTTACTGCATCAATGTTTATAAGTATTTAGAAATGACCTATGTATCAGTTTGAAGAAAGATAAATACATTATGGTAGCTCAAAAAATGGAATGCATTGCATCAGTTAAAACAAAAGAACAAAATAAAAATTTTTACAAAATCACAGGGAGGCAGATCTTGACCCTTTTCTCTCCAAATTGACTGGGTCACCTGTTTGCTGTGTTCTGCATACAGGGAGTGCTGAAGGCAACTGTACATTTCATCAAATACTATTTCTGTAAAAGTGGGGAAAAACGGGACAGTAGATATTTTTTATAGCTTAAGATTTCTTAGCAAATAGAATTTTTTTAAAAGCTTGTCTATAGAATATTGTGTGTTAGCCACCAAGTGATGTCTTAGATGTAATGAAAAGTGTGATCTTAGAAAAAAGTTCAAGGATACATTTTAAAACTTAAAACACTTCAAAAATTGCTATCCTATCCTATATTAAACTCATAAATATCTCATATTAGTTCATACGAAACTTTGGAGCTCCCAGAAAAAAAAAACACATGGAACCAGAATTTAAATATATATTGTTTTCACTTTTCTTGGGTCAATCTGTTATTTACATATGATTACCTCTAACACTTGTATTAATCTAAGATTATTTTTACTTTAAAAGGCTTTTTAATTTTTATCTATATTTCTGACTTTTGACTGTTGAAATGTTTTCTCTAATCCATTAAACTAATATTTGCCCTTGCCTCATGGAGGTTTGGTTATCTCCATTGGGCTTGAAGAGTATTTCTGATTTTTCATCTTTTGTTTCACTACTGACCATCAGTTTAGCATGGTGTTAAAACTGAATATCAAGAAGCAATAGATATATCAGTCCTGAAAAAGTAATCTGCTCTCTGAGATTGGCAATTTGGCATTGACGATGAGGAACCCCACCATGAACTAAGGCTCTGATCTGTGTCATAAATAGTATTGAAGGTGCGGGGTGGTGGCGGTCAGTTTTAATTTTGCTTCATCATCTTTAAGCTGAAAATCCCTCATATTTCTCATTTCTCTTATAAAAAGCCTCGTCAGACGTCTCAGAGATGACAAAGTAGTTATTGTGAGTGTTTGGGGCGGGAACGATGACAAGGAGGTTTCAGTAGAATAATCAAAAACCTATTTTTCTCTACTTTGCATCTTGATTAGAAGTTGGATTGTGTTGTTGATAATATGAATTGCCCTATTTGGGGACTATTAAAGTATACTTTAAAAATATATTTCACAAAATAACTGTACTTTGCATTTTATTCTGTGTTTCTTCAGAGACATCCAGGGTGTGCTCATCAGAACATAAACTGGCAAATACCAACATGCTTAATGACAATGTGGCATGCCATTTGCCTTGTGAGAAGTGCTGTATTTCATTTCTTTGACTGGCTTTGGCTGTTTGGTAATTGTCAGGGAAACATCTGGTTACTGTCACATACTTTAGCATCCGATCTTATTGCATGACATTTTGTTCTGTGATATTTGGTTCCCACTTGGGACTAGGAATTGGAAACCTCAAATTAAGTTCCATTTCCAACATAATAATAGGGAATTGTCCTGAATAATGATGTTCGAGGTTCCCAGTAATGGAATTTCAACACAGCACTTTGGAAACATTGGAAAAAAAATAGCAAATTGTTATCAGTAATTTTCTTTACAAAAATACAAATACATAATTAGGCCTCAAACTGTTTGAAGAGGCTACTCTGGAACTTTTCTTAGTTTTGAAAATATTACTCTTTAGTTTTTGGACTCAAGACAAATTCTGATGAACTCTCTTACGGTGAAGTCATATACCTACATACCTTTCATTTTCCCTTTCAATAACTTTTTATTTTGTGTAAAAAAAATTTAGAAATGTTCCTTTTGGAATTTCTGGGTATATTTCTGTAACCTTTAGGTTTTCTGCACCATAATTTGTATGTTCATAGGTTCTCTTCACTGGTTCTCCAATAAAATAAAGTAGGAAGAACTTAGGTAATTACCATTTTGCCTCTGCCTGAACTTGGCACATAGCTCAGTGCTCATGAGACTGTAATTCATATTCTGGAACCAGATTGGTAAATGCACTCTTACCATTCAATACTGTTGCATCTCTCCAAACTAGTCCTAAAACTTGCTGCTTTCCTCATCTATTTGCTCCTAGAAAGTGTTGTGTGATTTCAGGTTTCTCTAGGAGACTTATTAAGCTCACATGCTATTAAGCTAAAACTGAAGCAATCATCATTCAGAGAAAGGGATAAGCTATGTGTTAGTTTTCTCAAATAACTCCTTTCCTAAAACAAAATGCACAAATAGAATATCTTAGAACTAATTCTAGAGGAAGTCGATTTTGTGGAGATTTTCACATAGGAAATTTATTGGGGAGTGCTCCTGGGAGTCTCTGAGAGGGAGCGAAGAAATAGGATTGAGAAAAGGAAAGAGCTGATATAAGACTAAGACACAATAAATGTCTCAGCTGATTGCTCAGGGGATGACCCTATAGAATCATCCGCAATTGAGCAAGGAGGCATGATTTATGAGCCTTCACTGGATGTCACTGCCCTGCGGGGGCCACACAACTTGCTTTTAGCTGTTGGGGAATAATGCCTTGTGTCTAGGATCCAGGCAGTCCTCCAGCCATGTACCACCCAGGATTCTAAAATCTGAATTGTTTTCTTAGAAATAGAGATGATAGGTGTGTTTGTCCTCATTTCCCAATTTATTTATGCAAGGATTAAGAATTTAACAGAACAGGTGGTTATACAGAATAGAATATTCAAGATAGATTTGTCCATTTTCTTATGCCCCCTATTCCCTGTGGGTTAAAGAATTGTCACTTTCACTTTCAATAAAAGTGATGATTTGTATTGGTTGGGGTAAAAAACTAAATTATTGTTAAACCATTGTTTTACTAAGACATGTAACTTTTCTAGAAGCCCTCACGGTAGTAGGGCTGACCCTTCCTTTCAAAAGAACATTATGAAATATCAGTTTCTCTTGGTCTTTAAACCAATCATCTAACAGACATTGTCACCTCCTTACCACCTCCTGTGGTAAGAAAGCCCTGTCCATGCTTTGGTTCTTTTCACATTATCTTCGCCTCTTGTATTCTGATGCTTGAGAAAGCCCATCTTCCCAAGAGCAAAAATTGTGGTTCAGGAACAAACTACTACCTCATGAGCTGGCCCCATGCCCAGGAATCCACAGTGCTGAGAGAGGCATGACTTTAATATAAAATGATGATCTAGTCAATAGTCAGAAAAAGATTTTCTGGAAAAGAAAGAAATACTACACAAATCAAACTTGAAATCTGTGTAACGAAGTAATCACTTGAGCACATGTGGAGAGTTTGAGGGTGACCCAGTCATTACTTTAGCACATAAGGAAACTTTTAATAAATGTTCACAATTGACCAGAAAGGGGAGGAAACCAACACGTGCTGAGCACTTAATTCTGGCCAGGCATTATAGAAAACAGTGAACAAATACGATAACATTCAATGCTAATGACTGTCCCAAGTGTTAGGAATGATTATCCAAGATTTTTGTTCATTCTTTTTTTACCTTCAATGAGGTAACTTTTCTAAGTTTACTTCTAGAAATTGGCAGAGTTGGGATTAAAAGTTATGTTTCTCTGATTGAAAAGTACATGCTATTCCTCCCAAAAAGTATCCACAATGTGAGATGTGTCATTAAAGTGAAAAACTTTCATTATTCTTAGAATTGCATTTCTGAAAAATTGAACATTGGGCTATAAAGAATATCATTCTGATTTGTTTTATTTTTTGGAAAGTACACATATAATGGGAAGAAGAGTGATTTTAGTCAGGATACCAGCTTCATTATCTAGCAGTAAGCTCTGGGAAGTAAAATGAACTTCAATTTTCTCACTTATAAGATTAAGATATTAAAGTAGAAGGATAGGCTGGGCTCGGTGGCTCATGCCTGTAATCCCAGCACTTTGGGAGGCCGAGGCAGACAGATTACAAGGTCAGGAGTTCGAGATCAGCCTGGCCAACATAGTGAAACCCTGTCTCTACTAAAAATACAAAAATTACCCAGGCATGGTGGCACACGCCGGTAATCCCAGCTACTCGGGAGTCTGAGGCAGGAGAATTGCTTGAAACCTAGGAAGAGGAGGTTGCAGTGAGCTGAGCTGTCCCACTGCACTCCAGCCTTGGAGACAGAGCAAAACTCAGTCTCAAAACAATAAATAAATAAAATAAAATAAAATAAAATAAAATAAAATAAAATAAAATAAAATAAAATAAAATAAATAAAATAGAAGGATAGAGATAAACATTTCAAGTAATGTGCTGCATTTGATATAGCACCCAAATTTTAAACAAGTTTTCTGGTAATAGGACTGTGTTGTGTCTTAAAGTCTATTTATGGTATTTTGAATGTTGAGTGCTTCTATAATCACCTAGCATTGGGTTATCCCACCATAATTGTATTTCCTTTACAGAGGTCTATTTTGTTGTAGGTCTGATAGCTCCTTGCTTGTTTAACTACTAACAGCACAATGGAGATAGAATTTCACATGGTGAAGACAGGAGGATAAGATACAAAGCACTGTCAACCTTTTAGATATGATTGGCTTCACCAGTAAATTATCAGCGAAGGATGGATTTTTCCCCCAAGTACCCACTAGACAATACATCTTCCCATGTGAACTTAAAATTACATAAACTCATGGTTAGTCTAAATATATAATGAACGGAGATCACACAACCAAAACAAAAATCAAAATGGAAAAGATTATAAAATACGTAGCAATAAACCTAATGAGAAATGTGCAGACCATATAACAAGGCTTGAGGAAAAGAAAAATTAAGTACGTGGTTGGAGAAAATTCAATATTATACAAATGTTTATTTACCCCAAATTAATGACATTTTTGGCTGTCACAACTGATAGAGCATTACCGGCATCTAATTAGTAGAGGCCAGGGATGCTGCTAAGGATCCCTGCTACAAAGTACAGGGCAGTCCAGTGTAAAATATCAATAGCGGAGAGGTTGTGCCCTGAACTGTCTTTAACAGAGAAAATCATGAATATAGACTCTCTTATGGGTCAAGTATAATTTGAAAACAAAGGTTCTTGGCCCAAAGGTTTAGATTTTCAGTCAAGATCTTAAATTTATTTTTACTTTCCTATAACATTAAAGGACAGTTTGAGATTTTTGTGTTTATCAAAGAGGAATGATAGATTAGAAAGTCTGTGAAACATTAGGTGGTGATTAAAGAATTATGGTGCTTAAACCTGGGTAGATGTTAATGGTTCAATAACATTTTTAAGAAATAAGATAATTAAGAGAGAAGATTTGGCAAATGTGACTGTATTTACAAAAGATCCTTGTAGCTTTTGGCTACGTAACACAAGCATTCCTTTGTTTTATTCATTGTTTGTTCCAGATGGATTTACTAAATTGTTCAGAGAAGGGGACCCTTATTATTTACCTGTCTTATAGTTGCATACAGTAGGAACATAGGAAAGGAACCAATTTAGTAATGCATTTGGACTCAAAAGTTAATTCTGCAATTATACTGGGAAAAGGAAGGCTAAAAAAGACAGAAGCTAGGACTGTAAATGATTGTGGGACCCTGGGTATAAACTTCCATGGATAGGATACAAAGTCACTGGGATCAAACACATGCATTGGCAGGGCGTAAGAGTTAAGAGAGCATCTGATTTCTAAGATGAAGACTAGTAATATAAATAGTCTTCTAATGTTCTAATCTGAAGTGGGAAATATTTATTTGAATATATAAATTTTGATATGTTGGCCAATTCAATTACTTTGTAGTCATGTCTCCTTGATCATGTAATTTCAAACATTTTTGTGTAAAAAATCATTAAGAGCGGTGTTACTCCATATAAACTGTTGTAAATTATCAGAAGTTAGTGGAGGCTGCCATGAATAGATTTATATTGTATGTAATGGTCTGATTATGTTTTTTTATTATTTCTCTAGTAAACAGAGAAGGTCAAGTATTTTTAAAAATCACAACCCTCAATAGCATGTCTATTTCACACTGCATTTTCTGGCCTACACCAAACTCACCTAATTTGCATATTGAGATATAAGTCAAATGTAGTTATTCGAACCTATTATGTGTAGGGCCATTTGGACAACCATACAAAAACTTTAAGGGAAAAGTGTACCATAGTCAGATGGCATCCCCATGACTATGGGAATATTCCAAAAAAAAATCTATGGGTTGATTAAGTAAAGATTTACTGGGCAAAACTGTACATGCATGCCTTAGGAGCTAGTTAAGGATTTTTTGTTAATATGAAGGTTGGAGCAAACAATTCTTAAATTGACTTATGATTCCAGGTGTGAAAGACCAATTCCTAACTATAAGTTCTGTGGTCTTAAGTTACGTGCCCTATATTAGTTTCCTAGGATTTCCATAACAAAGTGTCACAGACTGGATGGATTGAACAACAGAAATTTATTACCTCACAGTTTTGAGGGCTAGAAGTCTGAAATCAAAGTGTTGGCACAGTTGGTTCTTCCTGAGGGAGAATCTGTGCCACACCTCTCTCCCAGTTTCTGGTGGTTTACTGGCAAGCTTTGGTGTTCCTGGGCTTGAAGACTCACCCTAATCTCTGCCTTCATGTTCACCTGGTGTTCTTGCTACAGACTGAATGTTTGTCTCCCCAAAATTTCTATGTTGAAACCGAATCCCCAATGCCATGGTAGTAAGAGGTGGAGGGGGCCTTCGGAGGTGATTAGGTGATGAGAGGAGAGCCTTCTTAAATTAGATTAGTGCCTTTATAATGGAGATCCTGGAAGCCTCCTCCTCCCTTCTGTCATCTGAGGATACAGTGAGAAGGCAGTCATCTATGAACCAGGAAGCAGGTTCTTACCAGAATTCAGCCAAGCTGGCACCCTTGTCTCAGACTTCCAGAATTATAAGAAATAAATTTCTATTGTTTATAAAAACCACTATATTTATAATAATATTGTTATAGCAGCTTGAATGGACTAAGACAGTTCTACCTGTGTGCAAGCATCTAAATTTCCCCTTTTCATAAAGATTAGAGGTCAGATTAGAGTCACATTAGAGGTCCACCCTATTCTAGCCTGATCTCATATTAACTAATTGCATCTGCATCGACCCTGTTTCTAAATAAAGCCGCTTTGGAAGGTACTGGGAATTAGGACTTCAACCCATAATATTCCTTATGTTTAGTTTTTTTCCAATACTAGGTTTAATTAATTTAAATGATTAGGGATAATTAATTTTATCATGAGAGAATACTTATATGTGTGGAGAGAAACAGAAATGTTTAAAAATGTGGAGAATGTAACAATACTTCCAGGTTCTGAATACTAATTGCCTCCAAAAATCTCTACGAACATTACTATGGAGTCTACTCACTTGAAGCAGCTGAAGTAGATGATTTGTCTAAATAAAGTCTATCATTTTCTTGTGAGTCTAATAAGGGAATACATATCACATAGCTGTTTAATATAACCTGGCATTGAAAATGAGGAGAAAGAGAAAGATAAGCTAATTGTTGCAGTTGAAATGTACTGATTTGACTATTTCTTAGGAGATACTGGAGGATGAAATGCAGAACTTTATAAGATGAGGAGAAATGATTGCTTATACTGACTTGAAAATAGCATTTAGTTTCATGTTTTGCTGCATGAGTATAAACACCAATTGTAAAATGCATTTCATGCCCAGTATCTGATTTGTCAGGAAAGCAAATAAGATATTGTTTGTATCTTTACTTACATGCATACCATCTTTCAGTGTTTCTCTTTTGTCTTCCTTAGTGGGAAAGCCCCCTAAAACAGATATTTTTCTTGTAACATTTTATAGGTATTGACTTAAACACCATTGATATCTGAACATATTGATTATGTCACTGAAAAAAATGGCTATCAAGACATTTAGTGTTTATATACCTGATGTTAAAATCTTTTTAATGCTGAGTTGATTCGACTAGTGACCCCAACCCTAATACTTCTTGTAACCATAAAAAGCAGTCTTTTAAAAATTGTAATACCTCATGAAACACTAGTTTTAATTTACTTCCCCTTGAAAGACCTCGCTGGGAATATTTGCATTGTCAGCAGCTTAAATTGACCACAGAGATAATAACTAAATAATTTAGAAAACCGTAAGATGATTTAGGCATTTAAGATGTGTATAAGGTAATTAAAACCAAACTTTCGGAGGGGTAAGACCTCACTGTAGTTGGTTATTCTATAGCTGGGGTCACTGCCTAAGTTGTATGAAGGCATATGTTCAATTTACAGTTGTAATGAGGAACATGGGGTGTTTTGATCCTTCATTTGTTGTGCTGATCTCTAGAGGATGCAATTGCCTGTATTAAACAATGAACATGGACTCTTTTGTGGCGGATAATAAAAATGTGTAAGATAATACGTGCCACGTGCATGTATGTTTGGCATGTGGCTTTTCTCTGTTTATGGAATTGTTGCCCTTTGTTGCTATCATGGAACAGGCTCATGGAAATGTTCATTATTAGCCACTTAGGAACAAGACCAATTCGTTTGACCTCATTAGTTTGATCATGATTATTCCATTTTAACTAATACATGGTATTTATGAAGGTGTTTTCCAAAGATTATTCACTTGCAAGGGCATTTTGTGTTTTATTTTACTATTCTGCAAAAAGACAAATAGATAAAGTTTAGGTGATAAAGTTTTCTTTTGTCACATGTTGAATGTAGTAAAAGACAAAGCAGGTTTTTTTCTGTTTTTTTTTTATTTTACACTTAAACAATGAATGACATCAGGGTTTCAGATTTTTTCTATATGTCGATACACTTGAAAATACTAGCACATACTCTTGGGATAAACTGAAAGAAACATTTATAACATCATATTGTGATACAGGTTGAAGTAGGAGGACCAGCTTTTTATTCAGTGAAAACTTGCATTCATCCCAATATAAAGTTTGCAAAACCACAGTGAGCCTAGCTATATCCAGGGCCCTACTCTTGGCTTAAAACAAAACAATGCAAATGTAATCTTTCAATGGTAAAGAACATATGAAAGAGAATGATCTTAAAACCTCTCTAACTTGGACAAACAAACAGGTGAAGAATAATTGGAATTGGTGGGAAATATAGGAATAGAAAATGTTTTTATGTCACAGCTTCATTTAATAAGATGTAGCAAACAACCATTTGGTTTTTGCACCTGCAGCACTGCTGTCTCCTTGGTGTACTCTTCTTCACTAGTTGCGGTTGTGTGGGCTGCCAAAATCTTCACCTTGCCTCTCTGTGGTCATGTCACTGAAGATTGGTCAATCACAATTCCCAAATCTCTTATACTGATTGGTCTAGAGGTTGGTATGTTATCCAAACCTGGCCAATAAGAGTTATATCTAGGATGTTTACCTTTTTGGATCTTGTAGTAAAGGAGTTTGGGGTTTTGGGTTTTGGAGTAGGAAAGAAGTAGACTAGAAGCAATCTGGCCTAACCAAATAAAACCAATGAAGGGTAACAGAAAATGAATGTCTGAGAAGAAGCAGATCTTCGTTACTTCATTTCTAAGTACTCATAGAACTCAGAGTTCCTTTTTCTCCTGAGCATCCTTCAAAGATATTCCTCTTCCTTTTTATTTTTTTTTCAGTTTAAGTTGGAAAAGTCCTGCTTCATGAAATAAACAAGAACTCTTAATCAATATGGTATCTGTTTGCATGTATATGTCCTACTTCTAATGTACTAGACATCTTCTCTTAAATATTTTAAGCTACATATATAACTTTATTTAGACAAAGTTTGGACCAGCTGAACCCTTCAGTAATATGAAAAAGGTAAATTTTACTTCACTGAATAATCACAAACCTTGAATTGGCAGCATCCAAATTATTAGAACTGTGCAGCATTAATGCTGATCTATGTAAATTGGGTTCATAAACTTGCTTGGGCCCTGGAAGCAACTTGCATTATTATGTATTTTTTCTCTCTAATTTTCAAATCAAATTCATTGGTCATTCATCCCCTTGAAATCAGATTCTGCAGCCACCTGGCTTTCCTCCAAAAGTCTTCCATTGTTTCATAAGCCATCCTCGTTTCCAATTCATTTTTCTTTATCCACTGTGTAAATTAGGTGGACCTGAATATTTAGAAAAGATTGAAAGCATTTGGTTGTTATTAGAGTAAAGATAGCTAACTCACACATGTGAAACATTAGAGAAAACTTACAAATGTTTGAGTAATTTTTTTTTCTGTTGTTGTTGTTTGGGGCTGTGGGGCATTTAACCACATCCTGCCATGCACACACTTGAGCTTCTCTCTTTATTACCAGGTAGAGTTTCTGACTAATAAAACAAACAAGGACAATATTTTAATTTTCTTTTCCCAACATTTTTATTGTTTTTATTTAAATGTAACATACTATACACTGTTCAGCCTTTTGCGAGTTAGGAGGAGGGAGTGATTCTATATCTTTATGAGGAGTATTCTCAGAACCAAAACTCAAATGGACACATATTTGTGGCTGATGCACTTTAACTTTGTGGGCCTGGGACCATACTCCTACAGAGGCAGATCTCTCAATAGCTCCAATTTTTTTTTTTTTCAAATCTACAACATTCAGGGCTGAAACTGCTTTTTTTTTTCTTCAGTAGTTGCAAAAGGGACCAGAATTCTATTTCCATTTCAAGCAAATATGCCACTTTTAAATGCAAGAGAATGTCATTACTCCTTACCAAACAATCTTTCTTTCTCTCTCCTTCCTTCCCTCCCTTCTTTCCTTCCTTCCTTCTTTCCTTGCTTCCTTCCTTCCTTCCTTCCTTCCTTCCTTCCTTCCTTCCTTCCTTCCTGTCTTTCTGTCTTTTCTCTCTTTCTTTTCTCTTTTCTCTCTTTCCTTTCTTTCTGGCTCTTTTTCACCCAGGCTGGAGTGCAATGGCAAGATTATAGCTCACTGCAGCCTCAAACTCCTGGGCCCAAGAGATCCTTCCGTTTCAGCCTCCTGAGTAGTTGGGACCACAGGTATATGCCACCACGCATGGCTACATTTGTTTTGTTTTGTTTTGTTTAAGAGAAGGATGTCTCACTAGGTTTCTCAGGCCTGTCTAGAACTCCTGGACTCAAGCCATCTTCCCACAGTCTCCCAAACTGCTGGGATTACAGGTGTGAGCTACTGCACCAGGCAGGTTTTTTGTCTTTCTGTGAGGGAAATGTGGGAGAGACAGGGAGATGTTTTCTATTTTTGGCCTCTGCAAGCTTTAATATATTTTGCTAGAAGCTGTTTTAGTGTCTTGAGTACTATAATGATGACTGTTTACACATAGTCTCTTTAGTAATCTAAATGTCTATGTGAAATAAGAATCCAGTTTGTGCCCTGTTTGCTGTTACTGTGGTCATCCAATGTGTATTTGTCTTACCAAACATTTAATTTTGGTTGTGGGTGGTCTATGTTTATGTGTCAGGTGCAATTATTATTTTAAAATAAAGGAAAAAAAGATACCTAGTTTTGATAGGAATGCATTACATTATAGCTCACAGACTGAGTTACCAATTAAATTTTAACATCCAGATTCCAACCACAAAAATTAAACATTTTTATAATCTCATTTGCCAAAAAGCAAGTTGGAAGCAAAGTATGATGAAATGCAATTTAAACTATAAGCCAAAAGACAGTGCCTCAAATGTGTTTCTTCTGAAATACAGTTTTTTTGAAGAATGGGAAAAATATGACCTTTTATGGGATTATACAAAAAATTTCTTAATAAAGCAATTTTTAAAAATAACAGATTAACTGGAAGTGCTGGTTAAGTATTGACACAAATAAGTTTGTTGGAGAATCACAGAACGCCAGCATTTCCAAAGGTTAAACTTTAGTAAGACACATTTAGTGAGTCTTTTTTTTTGTACCAAAATACTGTGTCCAAACAATAAAATGCTTTTTCAAAACAAGAAATATGAAGATAAAACTGCAGCATCAATATACTATTATAGTTATTGCTTAAAAGTATTTAGAACAAATAGTATTTTTCTACATTTTTAAAATCACTACAGACACTGCAAATAAGGCTTATGTATTTATTTAGTGGAATACAATGTGATGATGATTGGTAAACTCTTATGTACTCTTTTCTATACCTGCTCTAACAAAATGAATTTTGATATGGTTACATTATGGAACTTTGTAAAGCTCTTTAAATTTACAGAAAACAAGTTTTATTTGGTTTTGTAAAGACTAGATCATACAGCTAGAACAGGTTTTTGTATATGGTTACACATATACCAGTATATATTTGATTTGCTCAGTTTAAGCCCCTGGGAGAGTTGCGCTTCATACCAAATTCTTTGATAGTTCCTTTGGGAAAGATGCATTATGTGGAATTTACAGAGGGTTTTTAGAGATGTGGACAGCCTCTTTACCGCCATGACATTTGGCAAGAAATCATGAGTAAATAATGAGGCTAGGCTATTTAAATGTATTTAGCAATTAATTTTCCTTTTTTTAGTATATTCTTGGAGGCAAACTGATGTATTGAAAGAGAAGAATTTGGCCTTCTGGTCTATTTCTTGAGACAGGAAGCCTCGAGAGTAATATATGTTTTCAAATGATAGCAGACATCTCTCACTCAAGCCATGGCACAGCATTGCCATATTTATTGTTGATGGTTATTACTGCAGAAGTGCAAATTAAGTCAACTGATAGCACACGGGCACTCATACTGCTTCCCTAATCCCAACTCCTATTTTTGAAGTGTTCGCCAAGTTTTAAAAACACTTTGTCGTGAACATGCATGTGGTGTGCTGAATAAAAAGAAAAGATAAATCAGAAGACAGCTGCTGAGATACTCTTTAAAACCCCAAAAGATATTTAACATCCTATTAAATAAATAACTTAGAAAGAAATAGAAAGGGATGAAGGCAGAATGCACAAGCATACCATACTATTTGTATTGTTAGAACAGTTTCACACTAACATGTTTATATTTTTAAATTCTATTCAATTATTCCATGAGACCACATCCAGAACTCCTTTGGTTGTGCATATGATATGACCCAAGTGCTTTCCAGTAAATGCTTGCATGTATTACTGTTCATTGATTCATTAGGCTTGAATGAGCAATGAAGTCTTTGATATGAGTTCGTATTCCATAAATAACTTTCCCGAAGATCGTTCTTTCAACAGATTGTTCTATGTCCTTTAAGTTCTATCTCAGAGGTTTAAAAACAAAAACTTGACAACAACAACAAAAAACCCAGCCACAATGTTTTTCACTTGGGAATAACTTCTATCCCATTCGATCTGCCTATATCTTGATTATAAGACATGACACAGAACTAATTAAAAGAACATCATATGTCAGCAGTGAATACAAAAACCTTCAAAGGCTGGCTTTCTTTTAAGCAAGCAGACATCTGCAACGTGTCTTTGCCTTTCAATCTACTGTCTTCATGAAGAATATCCACTATTCTTGGCAAAAGAGCCATTGGTTCTACTGCATCCACAAACGTTGCCTTCCTCTATGAGTGTACCACCATTGGAAGAAAGTGAGCAGAGGTGTTTTTCCTTCGTGTTTTCTGTCCTCTCCTTGGAGCTCCTTTTCCATTCAATGCCACATACATTTGCCTCCCATTATGCTGCCAGTTAAATGATGCATAGGTATTGTATCCATTTTCCTCTATCCTCTCCTTCAGCTTACAGTCATTGTTAAATTCTTTCTGCAAAGGAAAAACAGAATCTTTTATTCCTATGGTGATTGTACTTGATTTCATTTGATACAAGCCATCCAGAGAACTCCAGTCCAAGGATTCTGTTTGTAGTTGCCATTTGTACCTAAGTTGTGCACTTAATACATAATGTCAACAATAGAAAAGTAAATCTCAGAACCACAAAACACATTCTGTTTGAAAGCACATGATACATTTTAATTGATCATCATAGCCACTTTTTGAAAGCCCTTTTAAAAAGCTGATGTGCTTTGAATATTATATGGTTTAAGTGCCTAGAGTGATTGTCAAGAAGTAGACATCTCACTAACAATATTTGTGATGAGTCAGTAATAAAGAATAGTGTTATAATGCTTCTTTTACAGTAATAACCAGGGGCCCCATGGGAAAAAATAGAACTGAAGGAAAGATATGGGCTTGTCAAGTTTGCAAACTTTACCTACAAATCCATAATAAATACACACACACATTCATAAGAAAGCAGAGCTTATAGCAAAACCACAATAGTTCTGCATAACCAAAAGGGGGGGATGTCTTTCTTCCAAATATCAAATTTCTTAATTTAATGAAATTATTTGCAATATTCTATAGCTTGGAATTTTGACAGATTTTGCTCGTGAACTCTAGGGATTGAAAACTAGGACATGGAATTCCTCGTTTTGTGAACTACTATGTTGAAGAAATTATGAGCATGGTGAATAGCAATGCCTACATTGTATCTTAAGGACTTGGATCCTGGGAAGTTCCATCCCATAGCCATAGAGCTTTGGTTTTGTTCAGGAGGCCAATTGGATTTAAGGAGACATTCCTGGACAAGGCTTCGCTCTCACTCACTCCACAAATCCAGGTTCTTACTCTGGAGTTAATAACAAAGAGGAAGTAGCTCAATGATCTCAAGACTCTGGCTTTAGAAGTAGCCTCCGCAGTGCCTCACGCCTGTAATCCCAGCACTTTGGGAGGCTGAGGCAGGCGAATCACAAGGTCAGGAGTTCAAGACCAGCCTGGCCAACATGGTGAAACCCCGTCTATACTAAAAATAGAAAAAATTAGCCAGGCGTATTGGTGGGCGCCTGTAATCTCAGCTACTCGGCAGGCTGAGGCAGGAGAGTAGTTTGAAGCTGGGATGCGGAGGTTGCAGTGAGCCGAGATCATTCCACTGCACTGCAGCCTGGGCAACAGAACGAGACTCCGTCTCAAAACAAAACAAAACAAAAACAAACAGAAAAAGAGAAGTAGCTTCTTTTCTTATACTCAAACTAAAGTAGTTAAGAAGCTAAGGAAT
Organism: Homo sapiens; assembly: GCF_000001405.40. Lineage (NCBI taxonomy): Eukaryota > Metazoa > Chordata > Mammalia > Primates > Hominidae > Homo > Homo sapiens. The sequence continues at coordinate 44,306,484 of NC_000005.10, forward strand.
TGGAGCACTTGCCCTCTGGTTCTATCTTCTTCATCCAAAGCAAGGGCCCCGTGGGCATAGTTCAGTTGAGGACTGTACTTGGCAGTTTCTCTCACCTTGAGACTTTTTGAAATTTCTACAAAATTCCAAATTCCTGAAAATGTATATGTTTATATACCTAGGTGTCTGTAGGATTTATCACAGTTTAGAACATTATCAGAACCATAAGAAGCAGATGTATTCTATGTTAATGCTACCAGCTCAAGTTATCTGTCCTGAAATTTTTTAGTCTTAAATGCTTCTCTTCTATAAAGTAATATTTAAATATAACATTCAAATGATGATTTAACTGGCTGAAAGTAAGAAGGAAAGGTAAATTATTTAAGGTAAGGATTTTGATAAAACAAAAATAATTCTGTATTTGAAAGGAATATAAATCCTTAGTGTGGATTTACTTTTATTCTCTTTATCTCAGTCTGTCTAAAACTATATACTTTTCAAAGCAGAGTAATTTTTAAAATATGGATAATTATGTTCATTTCAATCAATAAATGGGGTACAGTTTAGAGACTAATGAAGGACTGAGATTGTTTGAGGTGATTTCATATTTCAGATGAAGCTAGGTATACAAAAGTGGGAGTGTATGCTTAATGTTAATTTTCCTCCCCAAAATTAATTTATAGAGTAATGTTTCTTAAATTGAAGTGCACATGTATCAGCCTTTTTATTTCAGATGTTTTAAATATTTGGGCCAAAGGTACCAAATCTCTAGAGGAGGGGCCTCAAAATATATGTTGTTGACAGGATCTAAGCAAATCATAAGCAGTTATGTATAAAAAGAAAATTCAGGCTACAGCAAGGACTCAAAAGCAGGGTTCAGGGAGTTTTTTTAAAAGAAGTTTGGATTTTTTCCAGCTACCTGAAAATTTTCTTTGGTCCTTAAATCATGCTCTATGAAGACCTATTCTATTTAATTCAGTTTTATACTTTATTTACTGAATCCCATCAGTCAGGAGAAAACTCAAAATACAATAGATAAATTGCTTAGAGAATGAATAATGAAAATATAAGAAAGGTATACAGTTTCCAAAAAGGAATAGAGGAAGATAATTCAAGAGAATAGATATAAAACTGGTTTAATCAGTCAGTCTGAATCTTTGCCCAAGTCAGATTTTTAGGAGGGCTTACGGAATTGATGGATACTGTATGAAACAAAAAATGAAGGTAGGAATTACAAGAGTTGTCACCTAATATACAGAATTATATTAGATATGCACTTATAAATTTTGATGTTAGTTCTATTCCACTCTGAGCAGAATATTGAACTTGAATAAATTTTTCGTTTAATTTGAACAAACCATAATTTTTCATTATTCCTAGTAGAAATGTAAAGTTACACAAAAAAGAATGTTATGGTTAGAGAATGAGTTTCTTTCTGAGACAGGCTGGAAGTGGAAAGTATGTTCTGTAATTGGCTGAGCTTCTACCAGAGGTTAGGTTTATGCAGTGTATAACTGTGCTCTGTATGGTTCTAAGTGCTGAACAAATAGTGGGGGACAAGACTGACCTCACTCTCTCCAAGGTCACAATCTATTGGGAGAAGACAGTGAACAACAAACACATTAATGAGAGAAATCTCAGATAAGTGCCACTGCAGATAATAGAAAGCCACCGGACTCTACTTTAAATAAAGAATTTGAATGAAATAATTCACAGAGCTTAGAGCTCAAGATGAAGCATAAGCACAGTCCATGAGCTGTGTTGGGGCAGAAGAAAAAAAGAGGAGAAATGTGAAGAAAAGTATTAAATATTTTTATGTCAGAGTTTATTTGAAAGTTATCCATTTCTCCTTGATGTCATGTTTTTAAATAAGTATATTTTATCAATTAAAAGTATTTAAAATCTTTTATATTCATTAAAATTATTTACATTTTCTTCCTTAATCTAAATTAGTGTTAGCTGGCTTTAGGACGTTGGGTCTAGACTAAGTATGTGTGTTGTTATCTCTTCAAAGAATATGTACCTGGTTCTCTTCCCCAATAATTCTGATATAGTAGATCAAGGAAGAACCTGGACATGTTTAATGAAAACATTAAACATGCCTCAAAAGAGATTATGATGTGAACCCCTAAATGGAACCACTTTTTATAATGGTCTGTTATTCCTCTGGGTTCATTAGGGGAGCAATGGTAATGGAGAAATTTTACTAAAATTCCTCTGACCCCCATGCAAAAAAAAGCATTTGCCCTAGTCCCAGGGACCAACTCAAAGCATGCCTGACTCCCCAGTTAAAAGTGGACCTGATATTAGTAAAATACAAGGCTACTCTACATCCAGACCAGCGGTTCTCAAATTGTGGTTACTGCACCAGCAGCATCAGGAACACCTGGGACCATGTGAGAAATGGAAATTGAACTGCACCACAGACTTATTGAATCAGAAAATATGGCTGTGGGTCCCATTATTCTGTCTTTTAATAAGCCCTTCCACTGATTCTGATGCATACTCAAGTTTAAGAGCTGCTGGTTCTAAATGGTCACTAAATGGTTCTAAATGGTTCTCTCAGCCTTATGCTAATCAACAAAGTAAGTTTATTTACAAATTTAAAGTGAAATTCCTTTTTGATTACATAAAAATGTAAAAATGACACAGGATCTGTTTACAAAAGTAAAAATTATTTAAAAGATTTGTGTCACAGGTTTTATTTCTGGCCATATATAATATTACATGTCCTCCAAAAAATTAAATTAAAATTTTTCCAAGTTTATAGTTGCCTTCAATACACTCCCCTTCAGTAGAATCCAGAGAAAAAAATGAAATTCAGTTAGCATCCCCTTGATCTGTCTCTGGGAGGGACACAATAAGATGGATCCACATGCACAAACTAATATACTCCTGTCATCATTCAAATGACAGCTAAGAGATTGAAACCTAGTTCCCAACTTTATTATAGGGCTGCTTTGCTATAGCTGATCCTTTCATACATGTAACAACCAATCATGCTGTAATTATTTCATATTTGTTAACATTTCCCCTAAATATATTATAAATTATTTGAAGTCAAGGCCCATTTCTATACTTCTTTCTTATGCATCTTTGATATGTCAAACAATATCTGGCATATAGTAGATGTTGATATGATTGATTGATGCATTTTTTTCTAAGGACTTGAGCAGGATAAATTGTCTCACTGCTTGTAATTTAATTATTATTACAATTGCAATTATAAAACAACTATTTGGCATTTTAAGTGAGATCTTAAATTTCTAAGAAATTGGTTTAAAAGAGTTTGATCCAAGATTGCAGAAGTGGTATTCCAAATACTTAACACCTGGTATGGAATATAGGCATGGATGTGCCCAAAGCACTGCAGGGATACCTGCTCCACAAGGACCCTATTGCAAAGAATATTTCCCACATATATATATATGATTTTGAGGCATAATTTGAATTAAAGGTTATTGTCTAGGTAAATAAAATTCTAGAGTTGATTGAACAACAAGCAAAATGGTGTTTCTTGACACATTTCCCCATTTCAGATTTTAACAAAATGCAAAACATCTGAGCCCTTGTTTCATCTTCAGCCGTAACGCATATATAATACATGGGTTTCTACTCAATTCAAGATCTTTGTTTTTAGTGTTTTTTCTCCAAGTTGTCTTCATTTTCCATGCCAATCTGACCGGATGCTTCCGTGAGAGCCTGACTTGGTTAGCAGTTTAGAACATTCACAGACAAATGCCAGCAGCAGCCTGTGTGGTAGACTAATGGGTGAACAACAGAGGAGATTACAGAATTGGAAGAGCTGCTTTGCCAGCCCTTGAAACAGTGGTGACTAACCCACTGTGGCTCTATTTACTAGCAATAGAAGGATAACAAAGCTATTCGGTGTCTGGAGGAAACTTTCCAAAACTATGGTAATGGTTTACTGGAGTGGATTTGAAAACAAAAGCAGAATACTTACTGAGCCATAGAGTTTCCCCTTCTTGTTCATGGCTAAGTAATAGTTGCTGTTAATGGCTTTGACGGCAACAACTCCGATTTCTACTGATGTTATCTCCAGGATGCCTAAAACATACAATTTTAAAAGGCTAAATAAAGAATCCTAAATATATTTGGAAGAAAAGTAAAATCAAAAGAAACTATTGAGTTGTTTTTTGTGTGGTTCTAAAAACAAAAGGCACAAAACATTGGTAAACAAACAAGCAAACAAGCAAATCTTTTTCAATGTGTCTTAAAACCCGGCAAGTATTTCCAGCAAATATATAGAAAAAAGTAATAAGGCTTTAAAAGAATTCCCCTTCATTTTACTCTGAGCATACATAGAAAATATTGTTTTAATTAAAATGCTTCCTTTGCTAACTCTGCATTTTCAACCCTATAAATATTGAAACAACTCTACTCATCTTAGCCTAGATTTCAAAATAACTTATCAGAGCCCATATCTGTACTATGGTATTAAATTAAATCTGTAGCACATGTCAATAATATGCCAGATTACCTCAATCTCTAAAAACAGTGATAAACTATTTCTTCTTGCTAGGATATAGATAATCTAAATCTCTTGGCTACATTTAACTGATAGATTCATTTTTGGCAAATGTGTTGACATTCTGAGATACAGGGAGACTAATCCCAACATCTGCACTGTCCCTGAAATAGCAGAATTACTGCTCTGTGTTGGGGGAAAATCCATAAACATGGATTTTTAAGGTTTTTTTTTTTCCTAGGAAAAATGGAAAATCGAGGGAAGTAGTAAGAGGTAGACAAGAGCTCCTTTTCCCCTTATACACAAGTTTCGATTGCTGCATCTAAAGATAATTTTCTCGGAAAAGTTTGTAGATCACAATAGGGAAGTCAGTTTATCGTCTACTAAAAGTGCCCACCCATTTTAGTTTAAGAAGACCTAGGGAACTAAAACTACTTATTTCATAACTCTCAGCAGTTTGTTCAGGGTAGAGAAGTAGCATCGTGATTAGCATGTGGCCTCTGGAGCCAAAATGTCTGGGTTCAACTCCTGGCTCTACATTTATTAGTGAATTACCATAGGAGAAGTCACTGAAGTGTCCCATGACTCAATTTTATTTGCAAAATGGGCAACATAATAGTACCTCCCTCATAATTTTGTTGTGAATATTAAATGAGATAGTACCTATAAAATTATTAGAATTTGCCTGGAGCTTAGTATCTTCTTAATTATCATCAGAGGGTAGTTTTTCTCCAACAGTGCTAGATTTTGGAAATTCTTCAATGGGCTATGTAAATCCTGAACAATACATACAAATTCCCATTGGCTTAATACATGAAATCTGAAAGTTGAGCATATTATCATTTGTCATGTATCATGAGAAACACCATCCCCAATGCAGTCTACAGATTATATGTTTTCACTCTTCCCATAGAGATAGAGTGGCTTAGCTTATTCTCGAGAGATGAATACCTTCTTTCCTATTCCTTCACAGGTTAGCCTTATGGAGGCCAATAGAAATGCTTGAGTTTCCCCTGTTGCCAAGTTGACATAACCAGAGACTTTGCCAAGACTACATGTCAGAGACCCTTCTGTCCATGTATCTGTAGGAAGTCTCTGACCTAACACAGCACTCCTTTTCATCAAAAGAGATATATCTCACTCTATTTGCAAGCCAAAACCAAGGAAAGATTGTGAAGGATGAAGGAGACATTATTTGTGTTTTTTTACATCCATTTCCCTTATGCTGGTAGTTTCCCTAAGGTACACACACACACACACACACACGCACATTTATTTGCATATTCTGAAAAATATTTTCTTAATTCACACAATAGCCCTCTAAGGATACTGTTGTTAGTCTCGATTACAAATATAAAAACGGAAGATACTTAGGTTATTTAACTCACACACACACAGGTGGTAAGGTGATAAAGGTCGGTAATAATGGATGTTAACACTTAAGCCTCTGACTTTTAGACTCTATTGCTCCCCATCTCTGACTACTTTGCCTCTCCATCACATCTTCCTCCTCTTTCCCATTCCTACAAGGGAACCCTGTTGCAAACCATCTGACAAAATGACTCATCAAGATAATTTTCTTTAATGACTTAATGTGCTGTTCCTCCCAAGGATGATGGCATGCCATAGAGGATAACGTCTGAATCTTAGAGAACAAAATCTAACATACTTTATTTATGTCATAAGCAGAAGATACAGAGCAGAGCAGGAGGTAGAATTCAGGGGCAAAAGATTAGGCAGCTGCTTACATTGTCTGGCCAAAAGACAAGAAAGTACTGTCAGTAAACTGCAAGATATTCTCTTATGTATACTTTTGAAACTGAAAATTAATAGAACAAAGAGGAATGAAGGATGATTTTAAGCAAAAAATAAACCAATATTTGTGAAGGTGCATGCAACGTCCTGGGATTAAACTATACTAACAGACTGAGCTATAGTAATAGTATAAGATACAACTGAATTTTTGACCCGTTATTTCTGAGGATGAACTGCAAGTGGTATTGTAGATTATATTTAGCTTAGATACCCCTTTGTTTCTTTCTGCTTTACCTGAAATGGGAGCACAATATTCAAAGACTCAATCAACCATTTTTTTTCCACTTTGCAACTAGTTTAGGCAAGCTTAAAAAGGTTTAGCTATTATTTTTATATTATTATTTAGTTATTGTTTCAAAATAGAGGGAAGACATAGGTGATTTAATATCCTTTCGAATTTTGAAAATAATTTTGGGACGCAGCGTATGGTCAGGTAAGTTATAATTTGATCATCTTGTGAGTAATGGACAATGACTGCACCTATTATAAACATCTGTGAATGTGAAAGGGGAGTTCTGAAGGACTGAAGCCTAGAGGACTTCTTTACTTTTTGTAAGGAATCACTCCAGTTTTTCTGTTCTTTGGTGAGGATGATCAAGTTTGCCTATCAAATTATTTTTGGAAAGGAGCTCCAGAATTTTGTTTGAGGATTGTTGGATCAGTAGCTTATAGTTCTATATGTGTATATTTTGAATCAAAACTAAATGCCAGTTAAAAGAGCCTCCTGGAGGAAAGTGAGTTAAGGGCATACTGGATCTCCCCGTGTTTCTTACAAGTTTATGACTCTACAATTACCTTAACATTAAAAGCTATAAAAAAAGGTTTTTTTTTTTTTAACTCAAAGAAACACCTGAAAATTATATTATTAATGAAAGGACACATGAATTATATTTCCCATTCATGTAAAACAGATATTTTGTAAATTTATAGGCATATTCTTGTAGTGAAATTCTATTATTTATATTAAGTTGTAACTATATTAGTTTTTATGTCCCTTAAAACATGAATAGCCCAGGTAGTATTGTGAATCTATTTAAGGGTCTTTGGACAATTTAGTTCAATCACTTAGGAAGACCTAGGAGGAGAAGGGTACGCTTTTAGAAAATGAAAATATAAAGTCAAATACGTAATGGCTTTTCTATTGATAAGTCTATGTACTATTGGGAATAAAAGACAAACACAGATAATTACAATAAAACATGTTACATGGCAGTAAGTGATGACTTAAGATGATGACAAGGGGACTATGGGGCAAAGGTAAAGGCAGGTCATACTGGCTGGGGTTCCACGATCAAATTATTGTTGGAGATGAGACCTGAACTGAGTCATGAAGGTTAAGAAGTGTCCAGGGGAAGGCTGGGAAGGGTGGGAAGGCAAGAGCAAATTATTAAGGTAAAACAGTATGGTGTTTTCAAATATCATAAGAGGTTTGATTTACCAACTGGAGTACAAGGAACAAGTCAGGAAGCTGGGAAAAGTGAAGTTGGGAGATAATGAGACTCAGTTTAGTAAACATCTTGTGCAGATTCTAAGAATTTTGGCAACTAGGAAGGATTTTGTCTACAAATATAAAATTGTTTAAAGAATACATTAGAAATAAAGTAATATTTAGCAAATTTCTTCAGTAAATAGTAGCAATCTATAAAGCTTATTTTAGATTATATTTAAAATCTTAAAAAATAAAGTTTGATAGTCAACATTACAAAAGCGATTATGACAAAAATCAGTTCATATTACTTTGCGAATGTTCCCTCATGATGCATCATCACCTTAGTAATGGAGAAAATTTTGTGACTTGATAATCTCTGAGTGGAAATAACTTAGAAGTCACAATTTTCGTGTAAATGCATTTTTTTCTTTTAATACTCATATATATAATTGTTTGGGCTGGTAATGTTTTGATGAGTGACTAAATAGTTAATCTGAGAAGGTGGCCATTCACAAGCATCTTTCCCAGCTGCTGCTTCTCATTCTTCTCCAGAAGAGGAGCATCTGACCTATTGTCCCCCTAGCAATCATGTTGGACAAAGGCTTCTTCTGTTTTGGTGCTATTAGAATGAAAAAGCTATTGGTCTGGAGGGTAAGTTTCTCACTAAATATTTTTCCATAAACACAAAAGGAGAAAGTATATGGCAAATAAAACTTGTATTTAATAGAATGGATATAGACAAGGAAAACTAGATGTGAAAAATAAGTGCAAAATCCTTCTATCCACTCCTAGATAAATAGAACATAAATATACAATGGAATTCTATAGACTGAGTAAATTAATTCAGCTAATGTGTATTAAGCACCAGTGTGCAGGGTAGGTGTTAGCTCTCATTCTGAAGGTTACAAAGGCAAACAAGATGTGGTCCTTGCCTCAAGGAGTTTTAAAGCTCAATAAAATAAAGACCCAAATAAGTAATGACAATACAAAAAAAAAAAAAAACCAGAAAGAAAATATATTAAGTGTGGTATGAGAGATAAAATATGTTATACATTACTTTAAATAGTGAAGCCATCCTGAAGAAGACAGCTGGTGTTTGAGGTGACTTTTCAAGAGCAGGGTTTTAATAGGGGGGATTTGGGAAGTTGAGAAGGAACATTCCAGGGAGAGAAAGTGCATGCATAAAAACAGGCTTGGAGAGAGAAAGAGCTCAAGTGCTTGAGCCACATTTCTCCCCACCTCCCCCAATGGCACTTTGAGGTGGCCACTAGCTAAAACTAAAGGTTCTGCTTCATTGAGTGGTAGTGGTGCTTTTCTGGGTGAGGAATGTACTTTCCAAAAAAAAATTATTGTGAAACGTGGAAAGTCTCATTAATTCAGAATCAGTCACATCTATTTTTCTCTAAACATTTTAACTTGAAATTGATTATAATGCTATATAGTTTTATAGTTTTAATCAAGGTGCTGAAACATATCATAGTTAGCACAATGTAAGACACAAATACTAACCTCTCTAAATGAAACCTCTCTCTCCCAAGAATTGTTGTCAGTGTCCTAAGTTCATCTATTATATCCTAGCACAGAAGGACTTAGGGAGCTCCTTGGGGTTGTTATCACATTTTCACTAATACCTCTGGGATTATGTGGCCATACCATAGTGTGAGTCTAAATGGCTCTAAATGTGGTTTTACCTCTCTTTAAAAATGAAACAAAGTTAAATGAAGTGAAGCCTCAAAACATTATGGGAACTGTAATGTCCCATGGACCAATATTGGAACTGGGCCACACAGCGGGAGGCAAGCCATAGGCAAGCGAGAGCGAGGTTTCAACTGTATTTAGCCACTCTCCATCACTAGCATTACTGCCTGAGCACTGCCTCTTATCAGATCAGTGGCAGCATTAGATTCTCACAGGAGTGCGAACCCTACTGTGAACAATGCAAGGAAGGGATCTAGGTTGCACACTCCATATGAGAATCTAACTAATACCTGATAATCTGGGGTGGAACAGTTTCATCTACAAACCATCTCCTCATTCCCTTTCGTGTAAAAAATTGTCTTCCACGAAACCAGTCTCTGCTGCCAAAAAGGTTGGGGACCGCTGGCCTATAGCTCATAGGGTTGCAAAGAATCTCAGAGAGTGGGTGCTAAATATATATTTACTGTGTGCTCAATCAGAATAGTGGCAAGTTAACCAACCTTCTATACCAATAGTTCTCAAATATGAACGTGCATCAGAATCATCTGGAAGACTTGCTTAAAGACAGATTGCTGGGATTTTTGACTTAGTAATTCTAGATTGGAGTAGAGAATTAGAATTCCTGGCATATTTCCAAACAGTGCTGATTCTGCTTTTCCAAGGACCACACACTGTTCTATACAATATGATTCAGAGACAAAGCACAGCTTTGATGCAAAAAAGCATTGACAGAACGTGTGCATAGAAGCAGAACCACAGACAGGAATACACACAAGTAATAGCGGCAGCTTAACAACAAGAAAAATTTTAAACAATGTGGAAAATTAGTAACCTCATTTTTGAACAGGTATGGGATTTTTAACATCTACATAACTATGGTATTGTGAATTTGGGATTTGTGTACAGATATACTGCATTGTTGTTGATAGTCATCAGAATCTTTATTTTCTTCTCCATTTTAAAAGTGTGGAAATGTTGGTGGAAACTTAAGTGCCTTCAACTACTCATAAGAATTTTATGGGCTTTTTCAAAGGGCTAACTGTGTTAACACCAAGAATTAAAGGACTATATGGCCCCCTTAAATATATGCACATGGTCAAGAAATTGTCTCAAAGCAATAGGGCTCCACTTTATCCTTCACCCTACACCCAGTGTTGAAAGCATGTATTAATACTTGCTCTAGAATGATCTCATTGCCATTAAAAGGAGGGTACTAGACTGGGCTAATCAGTAATCTATGTCTAGTCCACCTCCTACCATTATACACTCTGGTTGCCTTTTTAGTATAATGTATTTGAGTTATTTAGTTTCTCTATCTTCCACAGTTCTGTCAATACGCTTGACATGCATTTGGAATTACAGATAGAAATGAGATCTGAATTTGCAGAAAATCCTTTCTATCTCTGGATAAGATGATATATCTTTCACAGTATGCTAAATACCAAAATGACATTTTACATTCTCACCTGATAATTCAAGTCATAGGATAAATACAGTGCCTAGCTTAGCCTTATTGATGAGTACAGTGGCAGATCCCAAAACACTTGTCAATTTAAGACTATATTTAACCAATATTGTCATTCAGCCATTGTCATTGATCTAACATTAAAAGTATCAGAAACTTACAATGCAATATAGGGACAATATTCTTAAGTGGTAAATTAATTGTTAAAGTGTGTTAAAGATCAATTTCTTACTGCATTTTTATTACAAATGAAATATGACTCCAGATCTTTCACAGTGATCATAAGTGAACAAATATTTGCAGATGACCATCTAATAGGTTTCTTCACAACACTGTGCTAGATCAATAGATTTGGTAAACTTGACTTTTTTTTTCTAATTTTTTCCTCACTGGTAGAGATTTTTTAAATGTATTTAACATTATGGAAATATTTCAGGAAATAATTACTTATCAATATTGTAATAATGTCATGTTTTCAAACATTATCCTCTCTGTTCTTAGGATACATTCACAGTGAGACACAAATGACACGTGTCTAGGACAGAAATGGATTTGTAATTCTTGAGAACTGTTCATAATAAGTGCTGATATAAATTGAATTCACAAAGTGTGAAATGATTCTATCGCTAGTTTTGGGTAAAATAAAGATCTAGAAAAGCTTGTGTTCCCCTGGAGATAGAAACTCTACCCTTATTCCCAACTACCAGCAATCCAGCAAACAAACAAAAAAACAACAACTACTGGAAACACTTACATGTTTGAGTCATTTGCTGTGACCCAAGATAACTGACTTTTGATCCCATTTTGCAATGGGATAAATTGCGGGAAATGGTACAAGACAGAAAAGTTAAGAAAAGAAGCCTGAACGATTACGTTAGAAAAGTCCTGCACAATTCATTTGAATGGTAACAAAGCCATGAGCAAGGCAGAGAGTAATTCTTCCCGATAGGTAAACATTTCTGTATCAGAAAACATATTTCTATATAAAGTTTTATGTAGCAATTTATTGGTTTTTCTTTCCCCTCATTTCCTTTAGTAGATAACTCAACCCTTCAAAAATTCTGAAAAGTTCGAAATCCTGGCTTTTTGCCAGAGCATCATGGCCACATCCCACTTTTGTCTCTATTCTTATCTAATGCATTTCATATTTTAAGGAAAATCCCAAGGGAATCTTTGTGTGGTTTGTGTCTTCTCGCGAGCATTGGAAGGACAGAAAGTCTGCCAGTCTGTACAGAAAGTTTCATATACTGACCATGCAAAAATAAGGCACAATCATTGCAATGTTATCACTTCTGGGAAAATATATCCAGAATGCAAAATAATGTTAGAAACATGTTATGCATCAGTAGAAGCCAACTTACTACCTAGATTAGATCTATTATGATACAGAAGCTTTGGCAAGCATGTCAACTGTCATATTTTTCCCCAAAGTACTAAGTTATTTTACATTATTTTGAGATATCTTCTATGTTCAATCAAAACCTCTGATCAATCTAATTTGAGCTAAAATTACTAAATTTAAAAAATACTTGTTATTTTAGTGAGAAAAGTTCAGATCATTTAAGGCTTGGTCTTAGCAAATTGTAGAGTCAGAGAAGATTTCGAAGAAATCTAGATATTGTCTGTTTCATATCCAATTCTCTTTCGTAATAGATGACATTGGGAAATCCAGAGAGATTGAGGGACTTACCTGTAAAGGTTACTTAGAGCCTTAAGTAAATACTTAGTCTACCTCACCATGAGGCTCCTGCTAACATTTACAAACAGTTGGCAGCCAGGCAAAGATTTTATATCTTGTTCATTACACAGAAACAATTCATTCTATTTGGGCTTGGCCACTGCATTTTATTTATAAAGAGAGAAAAAAAATTAAGCCACATAAAGGGTTAGAGGAGTTACTGCATGGCATATTTTAATAAATGATCAACATGTTAATATAGACATTTACCCTAAAGACATTGCTATAAACTGTCTACCACATTTACTCAGGTTTTTATGAATTTCTTTAATATAACTAATTATAATATAGAGTATCTTTTCTCCTCAATTTAAGGAAAATAATAAAATGGGTCAGTAGAGCACATCTTGATATTGGGTTTCCTGTAAGAAAAAGTCTTACTTGATGCATTAAAGTGTTCACAAATTTGCTAATCATGAACAGCCCTGAGTAGTTTTAAATACTTAATATGGAATAAGTTTGAGGGGTTCAAGCTGTAGGCTCACTTTGAACATGTGTATTGTAAATTTGACAAGCTTCCAACATGGTATAGAATAATACATAATTGGCCTCTTAATTCCTTCAAAGATTATTTCCATGATTACTTAGTGGGTAATCATAATACTTATAAGAAATATATATTCCACTGTGTGGTATGTGAATTTTGATTTGATTGTGCAGAAAGACAATTTATCTATTTATGTATACTTGACAAATGGCAACATTGATTCATTTGCCATAACTATATATTTATGTAACTCAGGGGCCTCCAACCACTGGGCCATGGACTGGTACTGGTCCATGGCCTGGTAGGAACCAGGCTGCACAGCAGGAAGTGGCCGGTGGTGAGTGAGTGAAGCTCCATCTGTATTTGCAGCCACTCCACAGCTACTGCCCATCAGTCGTTACTGCCTGATCTCTGCCTCCCATCAGATCAGCAGCAGCATTAGATTCTCATAGGAGCTCGAACACTATTGTGAACTGCATATGTGAGGGACTGGGTTGCATGCTTCTTATGACAATCTAATGCCTGATGATCTGAGGTGAAGCTGAGGTGGTGATGCTAGCACTGAGGAGCAGATGCAAATATAGATGAACGTTAGCAGACAGATTTGACTGCACAGAGACCATCATAAATCAGTTGCTTACAGACTCATATCAAAACCCTATCTGTGCTGCATCTGGTGTCAGGCTTTAAGTCAGAATCTAGCACTTAATTTAGTCCATGTATGGCCCATCCATTATTGTATTTACCACTTCCACCCATGCTTCTTTCCTGCACTGTGCACTTGTTTCAGTCACAGTTTTGGTAAGCCCTCAAGCTAACCCAGCCAAAATGAGTAAAAAACAAACATCACTGGAGTGCTTCTTTGAAGGAGGGAAAGACCCAGTGATGCAACAGCGGAAGACTTCTAAGACTGCCTACAAAAATTCAGCATTTAAAAGAAAATAACAAGAGTCCCACTTAAATTATGGGTTCACTGCAACAGGTGATTCACATTCATTCTGCAAGCCTGCTTTGTATAATATGTGATGACTGGCTATCCAAAAAAGCCATAAAACCTTTAAAACTTCTTCACCACATGCAGATTAAGCACCCTGTGTCAAAAGTCAAGTTCAAGTCTTTGGAGGTTTTCTTTTTTTTTCTTTTTCTCTACTTTTTTTTTCTTTTTGAGGTAGGGTCTCACTCTGTCACCCAGGCTGGAGTGCAGTGGCACAACCTCTGCCTCCCGGACTCAAGTGATCCTTCCATCTCAGTATCCCTAGTAGCTGGAACCACAGGCATGTGCCGCCATGCCTGATTTTTGTATTTTTTGTATATATGGGGTTTCACCATGTTGCTCAGGCTGGTCTCAAACTCCTGGCCTCAAGCAATCCACCCACCTAGGCCTCCCAAAGTGCCAGTCCATTTTGAAGTTTTTCAAAAGAAAAAAAAAAAGATGAACATGAAGAACAGAAGCAAACATTGAAGGACACCACTTCATCAAATGTGTCTAAACTGAGAGCATCATTCTTAGTGGCTAACCACATTGCTACAGCTAAGAGACCCTTTACTATTGGTGAAGAGTTGATCCTTCCTGCTGCTAAGGACATTTGTCATGAACTTACAGAAGAGGCTGCAGTTCAAAAGTTGGCACATGTTCCTCTTTCAGCTAGCACCATAACTAGACCAATTGATGAAATAGCAGGGGATATCAGGGCACAATTGTTAGAGAGGACTAATGAGTCACCATGGTATGTAGTCTAGGTTGATGTGTCTATTGATGTTGACAAGGCAACAATGCTTGTTTTAGTGCAATATATTTTTCAGGAGGATGTGCATGAGGATTTGTTATGTGCACTTTTGTTGGCAATCAACACCACAGCTGCATAAACATTCAAGTCTTTGAATGAATATATATCAAGAAAACTGAATTGGTCATTTTGTGTCAGTATATGCATAGACAGAGTAGCTGCCGTGACTAAAATGGCTTTCTGATTTCACTGCTCGGGTCAAAGAGGTCGCTTCTGAATGTGAGTCTATGCACTGTGTCATCTACAGAGAAATGCTGGCTAGCCAAAAAATGTCACTTGAACTTAACAACATTTTGCAGGATGTGATTAAAATTATCAACCACATTAAAGTACATGCTCTTAACTCATGTCTGTTTGCACAGTTCTGTGAGGAGACAGACAGAGAGCACACACATCTTCTCTTTTTTTTGAGACAGAATCTCACTCTGTTGCCCAGGCCAGAGTGCAGTGGCACGATCTCAGTTCACCACAACCTCTGCCTCCTGGGTTCCAGTGATTCTCCTGCCTCAGCCTCCCAAGTAGCTGAGATTATAGGGTGCCCATCACCATGCCCGGCTAATTTTTGTGGTTTTAGTAGAGACAGGGTTTCTCCATGTTGGCCAGGCTGGCATTGAACTCCTGACCTCAAGTGATCTGCCCGCCTTAGCCTCCCAAAGTGCTGGGATTACAGGTGTGAGCCACTGCGCCCAGCTACATCTTCCCTTATACACAGAAGTGAGATGGCTTTTTAAAGGTAGATCCCTGGCCAGAGTTTTTGAGTTATGAGAACTACTCCAGAGATTTTTAGAACAACAATCACCACTGGCAGCACATTTCAGTGACACAGAATGGGTCCCAAAACTTGCCTATTTGTGTGACATATTCAACCTAGTCAACAAACTCAATCTGTCACTTCAGGGGAGAATGAGAACTGTGTTCAAGTCAGCAAAAGGGTCTGCATTAAAAGCCAAAGTAGAATTATGGGGGTGATGAGTGAACATTGGGATTTCTGATATGTTTTAAACATTAGCTGTGATTTATAAAGAGGCTGAGCCAGGGCCTTCTTTCTCACAGCTGGTACATGATCACTTACCTCAGCTTTCAAAAGCATTTGAGTATTACTCAAAAGACCCCAAACTGGGAAGAAATGGATCCATGACCCATTTATGAATAAGCCAGGTGAATGGACTTTGTCCATGTTAGAAAAGGATCAACTGCTTGAGATCACAAATGACAGTGGACTTTAAAATATATTTGAGACAACTTCAAATCTCCATATGTTCTGGATTAAAGTCAAGGCAGAATATCTTGTAATTGCCACAAAAGCACCAAAGAGCCTGCTTCAATTTCCAACATTCTATCTTTGTGAAGCAGGGTTTTCTGCAGTGACAGCAACCAAAATGAGATTATGGAGTAGATGGGACTATCTAGTTGCAGGAAAACAAGCTCAGGGCTCCCACTGATTCTACATTATGGTGAGTTGTATAATTATGTTATTATATATTACAATGTAATAATAATAATAGAAATAAAGTACGCAATAAAAGTAATGTGACTGAATCCCCCTGACACCATCTCCTTCACCGGTCCATGGAAACATTGTCTTCCACAAAATCAGTCCCTGGTGCCAAAAAAGTTGGGGAACACTGCTATAACTTATAATATTGGCAATAAAGATTTTTGGCTTCTGCTGTAAAGGAGATGTTTAATCAATATGTTTTGGAAGGTCCTGGCTTTCTGGACTACAGATCACCCCCTTTGGGATGATTACCAAGACTGAAGTGGTTCTTTATCCCTAAAGTCCATGGAAATGTCCTATTTTTGCCACAACTCACACTTGGCAAAGAAAGAAAACAGAACCCATAGGTTGGAAATACAAGAAGAGAGCATCACACATCATTTCTGACTACTAAATACAATGTGACTACTAGTAAAGCATGCAGCCAGTATTTTGTAGGAAATGTTAGAGAAAGTACTTTCATAGAAATTAGTTTAAAGGGTTTTCCTGGTGCTTAAAAATTGTATTTTAAGAAAGTAATTAAACAAATATTAGAACTCAGCATGAAAATCTGACATTATAGTACAGATAACATGGGAAAAGCAACACTGGGCTAGAGATGGTCTAAGAACAGGTACTATTACCTTAACCACATGTGGGGAGGGAGCATTACTCATTCTTTAGTAAGATGCAACTAAGGATTGATATTAGAATCCAACATATATGCATTATTGTTTTTTGTAATTAAATGTGGGAAATGGATTGTTAGGTAAGATGTTTTTCTAAAGCTCATGAAACACTTTTATTAAGTCTTGAGTTAACAAACTATCTATAAAGAAATTCCTAGAGAGGATGAGTGCAATCTGGCACATTATGATCTGTTTCCTCTTGATAGAAAAGACCAGAAATTATCCCATTATCCTGTTTTACTTTTTAAAAATGCTTACATTGTTTTAAAGTAGTATGTTCTTGAGAAAGTGCTCATGCCCTTTAAGAAAAAACATGATCTATCTGATCCAATTTGAAAATGAAAACTGATGGGTAAGGGACACATTTTATGTGGGAATTGGTGCTACAAAATCAACAGGAAACATTAAGAGAGTTTTAAAAATGCAAAGAGAATAGTAAGTGGATAAAAATAATGTATATCCCTATCTATCTACCTATCTATCTACACACAAACAAGTGTTATTTCATACTCCTCTTGGTGTCTTAGTAAATGATTCTAAATGGAATATGTTGAAATTTCATTATTTAAGAATAGATGATAGATTAAAACTACTATGTACTTGAGTTCTCATGCACATAAAATATTGCTGGGATCCAGATTAAAGGACAAGGGACATAAAGGGAAAGGCAAAAGCTAAAAGTTAAAAGAGAAGAAACACTGAAAAAAAAGAAAATTATTGAACTGACTTGACTTTGTATATATTACATTATTAAATGCATTATTAAAATATATATCCAAGCCATGTTAACTGTAAATGTCTAACTTTCCTCGTCAAATTTTATCTGAAACTGTCAAAACTTTTAAAACTTAGAAGAAGAATATTGAGAAAAACATTACCTTAAACTTCTTTTTAACGTACCTGGGTTCAGCTAGATAAAACCGCACAATATCATATCTTGAAGAAATGTTTTTATTTACATTTATTCGTCAAAATCTGAAGGCATTCCTTCCAGAAGAAAGACTCTCTTAATATTATTTATTGCATATAATGAATTGTAAGAAGGACTTTAAATTGATTTTCTCAAATCTGACTAGCTTATAAAGTGTTGTCAGATAATTATTAAATTCAACTGAAATAAAATAATTTATAATAATGCATGATGATTAAAATGTTGGTACATAAATATGAGACAGGGAAAAACAAAGGCTGGAAAAGACTGGACAAATTTGAAAACAACTTTTCAACTTGCCACCAAAATGGCAAAACCTAATTCTAGGTAAAGTGGTTGACTTTTTCAAGTCAGATTAATAAATTAATGTAAACATCTATAAGGAATAAGCAACATCCAACAGTTTCATACTATTCAATTTCTTTTGCAAATGTTTCCTCTTTTTTTGCTAATTCTTAAAGATCAGGAAAAAAACTGTGTGTAACATAATTTCAATGTAGATTATTCCTTGGTAAAATTCAAAGTAAACCCTGTTTATTTGTTTTTATATAAGGATCTTATAAATGATATCCAAATAGACATCAAATTTAGTGTCATAATAAGTGGGCGAAGGATATGAGCAGACACAAAAGAAGGCATTTATGCAGCCAAAAGACACATGAAAAAATGCTCATCATCACTGGCCATCAGAGAAATGCAAATCAAAACCACAGTGAGATACCATCTCACACGAGTTAGAATGGCGGTCATTAAAAAGTCAGGAAACAACAGGTGCTGGAGAGGATGTGGAGAAATAGGAACACTTTTACACTGTTGGTGGGACTGTAAACTAGTTCAACCATTGTGGAAGTCAGTGTGGCGATTCCTCAGGGATCTAGAACTAGAAATACCATTTGACCTAGCCATCCCATTACTGGGTATATACCCAAAGGATTATCAATCATGCTGCTATAAAGACACATGCACACGTATGTTTATTGCGGCACTATTCACAATAGCAAAGACTTGGAACCAACGCAAATGTCCAACAATGATAGACTGGATTAAAAAAATGTGGCACATATACACCATGGAATACTATGCAGCCATCAAAAATGATGAGTTCATGTCCTTTGTAGGGACATGGATGAAGCTGGAAACCATCATTCTCAGCAAACTATCACAAGGACAAAAAACCAAACACTGCATGTTCTCACTCATAGGTGGGAATTGAACAATGAGAACATTTGGACACAGGAAGGGAACATCACACACCAGGGCCTGGGGAGGGGGGAGGGATAGCATTAGGACATATACCTAATGTAAATGACGAGTTAATGGGTGCAGCACACCAACATGGCACATGTATACATATGTTACAAACCTGCACGTTGTGCACATGTACCCTAAAACTTAAAGTATAATACAAAATTTTAAAAAAAAGAAAAGATATATTTGAAGTCTCTATATTTCAACAAAATAGACTCAAATTCAGTACCCATCATACAGCATATATTTCACAGTCACTATTATTCAATAGGTATGTATATGAATAGATACACATCTATCTTATACAAAAACAGGTCAAAAAGCATTTAAAAATAAAAATAAAACTTAACCAAAACAGAAATAAATAAAAATAGACATGCCCTTAAAAAGCTTGAGAAACTTAATTAAACTCTGGCAAACCATGGAAATGGAACTCAGGAATAGAACTCTATTAAGCAATTTTTCCTTATGTATAGATTATAGCTACTGTGTAGCTGAGCCTATTTCTTAATGCACTGATACAAGAACTAGGTATCTTTTAGTTTAGAGGAGAAATGTTTAGTGTGCAGATTTCAAACTCTTTCAACATTCTGATCTCTGATCATGTAGTACAATTGAGAAGTATGATGAAGAGGATGGCATATTTAGCTTGAAGTTAAAAGAGATCCAACTTGCCCTTAGTTTATTACGTATTTATTGTTGAGACAGGGTCTCACTCTGTCACCCATGCTGGAGTGCAGTTCCATGATCATGGCTCATTACAGCTTCAACCTCCCAGGCTCAAGCGATCCTCCCAACTCTGCCTCCCAAGTAGCTGGGACTACAGGCACAAACCACCATGCCCAGCTAATTTTTTTTTTTTTAATATTGTTTGTAGAGACAGAGGTCTCACTATGTTGCCTAAGCTGTTCTCAATCTCCCAGGATCAAGCAATCCTCCCATCTCAGCCTCCCAAAGTGTTGAGACCACCCTTAGTTTATTGAAAGCATACTTCTTTCTTCATATGGACCTCATCTGCCTCTCTTACCTGATGCTGTACTACCAGCACCGGGATCATATTTCATATGTATATATGTAAACAAATTAATAAATTTATCTGAAGAAACTCATGTGAAAAGTACTTGTTTCAACTTGGCAAACTCATTTTTTCCTAGAAAAAGGAAAGAAGAAAGAAGTGCTCGGTGTTCTTTCTGTTCAATTCTCAAGTTGAAAGGGGACACTACAGGAAAAGGGAAGCTGTTCCTCTGTTGGCAGGTATTCCCTATTTAATTGTGTCTCAACTCTGCCCAGGGTACTCAGTGGGGTAAAATCAGAAGCCCTTCCAGGGTAGGCAGGACTATAGAGCAGCACTCCCCACCCACTGCCCCAAGTTTTCTTCAGTCTTCAGCGTGGTTTCCAGCCTGAGGCTGAATCCTCCCATTATTTAACATATGCATATTCAACTCAAAATAATAAACGTGTACCATGAGGGACTGACTGCTAAATGTATCCCTGTGAAAAATCACACTGACAATATTTGATGTTTACTGGGTATAAAAGCCATCTACGAAACATAAGAAGGATTTCTTGTGACTTGTATGCTATAGGAAGAGAACTAATAAAAGAGTCCCAAGCCTAAACCAGAATTATTCTGCTCAGTCTTTTTCTTCTAAATTCACTTGCTTCAACCACAACAAAAGCCAAGGACCACTTTGGCTCCCTTTTCTTACCCAAGTTTGCAGTCATAATAACCTTTTAAAAAAGGTTTTTAAAAAGAGTCCCTTAACCACAAAGTCCAATATCTCAGTCCACACCCTGGATATTCTTTGTCTCACAAACTTGGTCAAGGATGTTAAGGTAATAAGGTCCACTGCAAACATCCAAATATAAACAACTGCTTGTTGATTCTAAAATCCTGATGAGTGTTTTCATCTTGAGTGTTTAACAGCTTTCTGACATGGTAGGATATCCTATCTTTCTTCCTCTAGACAACAAACAGCTTTCTCATCCCTCTTTGCCTTCTCAGTCATTCAACACTTTAGCTAAAGGGAGGAGCACAAATTCTTTTCTGTATGTGGAGACTTAAAGACTACTAGGAAGCACACAACCATTTCACACCCTTCCTCTTTCATCATCACCAGCTCCTCTTTTTATTGTTTCTCCAACTTGCCTGTTGACAAAGACAGCTGCTAACAATTGCATTTGTGGTACTAGGATATGCAGTCTAATTGCATAGGCTTGTGGCCAGGGGTCTTGTCCAGTTAAGATTGATTTTCAAAAGGAGAGCTACAGAGACATTTCCTTAGATGTCTTCCCACTCACAAAGTTCAAGGGACATTCATACTATACTCTTAAATGGCTGCACTTGAAAATTGTTTTCATGTTTTGTTTTGTTTTTTTCCTTTCACCTTTATGTAACCCCTCCAAAAATCCTGGCATAGATGTTGAGTGAAGAGAGTACTGCTCATTAGAATCAACAGTTTTCTTTTGTTCAGTTGCCCTTGCTGGCTAACTACTAAACAACGTAATCGCATTGGAAAGTCAGAGATATTTTTGCCTTTGAAACTGAAGCAAAATGGTGACACAAATTCTTTAGGTAGCAAATTTGCTGGCAAATTTATTACAGACATAAAAACATATAACCAGTTGTTTTCTTTACAAGATACTTATTTATCAGATTCTGTACATTTCCCTTAACCCTTACAATTATCTTATCTATGAGATCTTAACCCATACTGACAATCTCATGTATATTCCTAAAATACTTTTAAAAAGTCTAATGGTCGGGCATGGTGGCTCACTCTTGTAATCCCAGCACTTTGGGAAGCCAATGCAGGAGGATTGCTTGAGCCTAGGAATTTGAGAGCAGCCTGGGCACCATAGTGAGACCGCGTCACTACAAAACACACACAGAAAAATTAGCTGGGCATGGTGATGCATGCCTGTGGTCCCAGATGCTCAGAAGGCTGAGGTAGGAAAATCACTTGAGCCAAGGAGGTAGAGGCTGCAGTGAGCTGTGATTGCATTACTGCACTCCATCTGAGTGTCTTTTGCAGCAACGTGGATGGAACAGGAAGCTGTTATTTTAAGTGAAACAAGTCAGACACAAAAAGACAAATATGTATTCTCACTGATAAGTGGAGAGGATACAAAATTATCTGGGTATGGCAGCGCACACCTGTAGTTGCAGCTACTGAGGAAGCTGAGTTGGGAGGATGTTTGAGCCCAGGAGTTTGAAGCTGCAGTGAGCCACGATTGCACCATTACAATCCAGCCTAGGTGACAGAGTGAGACTCTGTCTCTGAATAAATAAATAGCCTAAGAAGAGGAAAACCTTATAAGAAAAATTATTTCAAGTGGATTCCAACCCAGAATAACTAGTTGACGTATTTGAAGAATTAATAATGTAGATTGTGCTCTTACTGTTAGTAAATAGGTGCATTTCATTGATTCCTTTTGGTTTTACCAAGTACAGTCTTTTGTTTTGTTTTGAAGTGGAGTCTCACTCTGTCTCCCAGGCTGGCCTGGCTGGAGTGCGCTAGTGCAATCTCAGATCACTGCAACCTCTGCCTCCCGAGTTCAAGTGATTCTTCTGCCTCAGCCTCCTGAGTAGCTGGGATTACAGGTGCATGCCACCACACCTGGCTAATTTTTGTATTTTTAGTAGACGCGGGGTTTCACCATGTTTGTCAGGCTGGTCTCAAACTTCTGACCTCTTGATCCTCCCGCCTCGGCACCCCAAAGTGCTGGGATTACAGGTGTGAGCCACCGTGCCTGGCCTAGTCTTTTCTATATTTGTAGAAGTAGATCTTTCTCATTGGCTGGCATAGATTGGTGATAGTTTCTTAACTTGGCATCACTATCTGCTATTTCATCAACACCTCCAACCTAAACTAGAACGCATATTCACATGAAAATTTAAATGAAAAAAAATCACAAAAATGAGCATGTACCCAATATAAGAAACATTTGCTTTGAAATTGATGGCTTGGACCTTTTAAGTGGTTTTGGCAAAATTACCATCTGGTCTCCAACACAAAACAGCTGTTTTAGGTGGCAAAATCTTGTCAAGCTAAAGCTCCCAACCCTTAAGCACGGGTAATTGGCAAGACCTTGTTCCAGTTCATCTTTAGTCCCTACTGAATCTGGGCAAACAACTGTGAATTTGCGCTAAATTCCTCTTCCTATAATAGGCAGCCTGGCTTCCCATGGAGACACAGAGTTTTCAGAGCCTTAGTGTCCTCAGGGTATCTGCCAGTACAAAGCTGGTCTAGGATAAGCCACATTAATAGCAGTTTCCTCTTTTCATTCATAAGCTGTCCTTTTATATTTATGAGCTCATTCTTGTGAGTTAAATATTTTGGATGTATTTCTGCAACTTTAGTATTTACCCAATACTTACTCAAAAACAGTAAGTTGTCTAATCCTTTAGTAGTTTTTCAACATTTTCAAAAGTATTGCATTTTCAAAAGAAAGTTAAAGGAGCATTATAAACAAGGTGCAAGGAGACAGTGGCAGTTGAGACTTCGCTTTCTCAACATATGGCTTATGTTACAACTGAGCAAGCCCCCAGCTTTTATCTCTGGGAGCTGTGAAGTTGACTGCTTATAAGGTCTCAATGTCTAATTAATCCTTACTTAAAATTCACCTAAGTAAGTATAACAGGGATAGGAAGTTGGTTTCTGTTAGCAGTTCCACCTTTCACCCTACCAAACATCTGGGAAATATTCAGTTTAAGATCAGATCCAAGCCTTTTGGCATTAACTACCTTAAAACATTAAGATATCACCAGCAATTTGCCTCTGTTTCAGAAAATTAAAAGCATATTTGAGATATAAACATGAGTGTGTCACTAATATTACTGGCAATAATTGAGAGCTATTCTTTTATTATAATGAGGGGAAAACAGAGGATATTCTCAGATGAAATAGGTAGAGTAAGTCCAAATGGTAACATTACTTTCCTAAAATAACTGTGTATGTAATGAATGCTGAAGGTAAAGCATATTAAATGCTAGTGTTTTCTTTCATGGCTGTTGCACTATTTGTTAGGATAGAGAGCATACATAGCTTATGTAAGCAATATAAAGCCTCATCTGTCTCTTAGAAAAATGTCAAAATTACAATTTAAACTGTTCAAAATATAAACTAAGAATTATCAACTTCATTGATCAGACGTCATTTTTTGTGAGATTATTGACTGTTTGCTTAAAATTAAAAAAATGGACGTTTTCTTCAGACTTTGTCTCACAAACAGTAATTTGCATTCATATTCTTAATAATTAATGGTGAGATCATGGGGAAAAGACATCATAAGTAATGATTCCTGGTAAAATTATGATGGTTATGACTTCATTTATATACTAAAGCTAATGGTAAAAGGAGAGAGAGACAAATGAGAAGTGCTTTTCTGTGGTTTGAAGACATAGTTCTGAAAAATTTCTTTGGGAGCTAAATTTAAATTTCTGACAAGCCTCTTCCTTTTGTCCAGATACAAATTAAGCCAGACTAGATAGTGCTTAAAATTTTTGTGCACTTATTTTAGGAGCTCCTTTTTTCTGGGGCCACTCCACCAAGACTTTGCTTATTACATTTTTCACTTTGGAGCTTTGCTTAACAATTCAGTCTCTTTCTTAGAAACTGTTTGTAAACATCTATCAGTATCCAAATTCTTACATCCATAAACTTCATGTGATTTTAGGCTTTATTAAATAATTCCATTGATAATAAGAGAAAGAGGAAAAGGAAACTGGAAATGTGACTGTGCCTTTAATTGGAGATTGCAAAATTTTTCTCAAGCAATTTTCATGTTTGATTCAATGTTTTCTAAAAAAGCATTGACATTTAAAACATTCTTTAAAAGGTCATTTTAAAGACATGTGAGCAAGTTGTACTGAGGGTGTTGTATGTGCAATTAGGGTTCTTTCCTCTGTAAAGCCTTGCCAATTCCTTAGATGAATGAGAATCCATCAGCTCAGTTTTCATCACCTTTTGTGTCTCTGAGTCTGACACAATGTTGTTGATCCCATTTTGCATGCAAAATACATGTGGGATTGAAAATTAAAAGCAGTTACCAGCCGGCTGTTAATAACACATAACCAAAGATCATCGAGAGCAGAAATCATGCTAGCATCATGCTAAAAAGAATGTCTAACAGTGCCATGAATATTGTGGTTACTCAATACTTAGTGATTGGTTGATATTTAATGTGGACACTTTTGGGCTTGAGATGGAGACATGCAAGCTGTGTTCTGATGGCAGTGCAGCAGAATATAAATAACTTGAAGGGAAAAAAAAAACCTACCAATTCCTCCCTATCTCCCCACCTCTTCAGAAACAACGAATACTATTAAACCCAATAGATGTGTAAAGCACAAGTATGAACCCCAGTTTTCCATTTAAATAATACAAAGAGGTGTTTAGCATCGTGTTAAAGTCTCTCTCTCTCTCTTAATCTTTGGGTAGGGATTTTGTTGGTAGAAGTTCCAGCTTTGGATTGGCAAGTTGGAAGCTGTATGAATTTGAAACAGCCAGTTAATGTCTAGGAGTTTCCTTCCTCATCTGTAAAATAAGTTGGTTGCCCCAGTGAGTATCAAAGACTTTTCCAGCTTTATAATTCTATGATCTATGAACAAGAGCCAAAATCACAATTTAGGATTTGGCACCTGATTTTATACTATGCTAGTGCCATGGAACTGCTTATTTCATTAATCTCACATGTTGAATTTCTCTATGTAACCTGGTTTGACTTTGTTGTTTTTTCCTTTAAAGGAACCAAGCATACTATCCATTTGGCAACTGAGAGTGGTTCTTAAAAGAGCTTTTAATTGGGAAATAAATGCAATGCCAGTGGTACATATGTCCTACTGCCCTCTAGTGGATAAAACCATATCTTCCCTAGAGTAGTTAACAAGTTTGGTTAAAATAGCGCTTCTCAAGCTATACACATCACCTGGGGTGACGCCTTAGCTTCTGCATTACAAACTCCCAGGTGATTTCAGTGCTGCTGGTCCTAGGACCACACTTTGAGTAGCATGAGTTTAAGTGATTTTCTTTGGTATATAATTACTTTAAGTAAGGAAGGAAACATATTTGGCACAGGATATGAAAGAAGTTTCTAGTTAGCAGAAGATGCAGAGGAAGAAAAAGAAACAGAAGGAGGGGAAGGAGGAGGAGGAGAGAAAAGGGCAAGAGAATGAGAAGGAGACGGGGAAGAATATGAAGAAGGAATTAAATCCACCAGATTGAAAGGGCTCATGTGGCAAAACTACATAGTTCTTGATCACTAGCAATCTCTAGAAAGTTTCTATATCTAGGCTTAATAGGACAGTATATGCATTAGGACTTACATTGTGTTCCTCTTATCTTTTATTATATTTTAGTAAATTTTAATTAAAAAGAAGTCCTGACCCCCCCCAAAAAAATTACAACTTCTTGAATCAAAGTTAAGATTTTACAATTCTATAATTATGTAAACATACATATTAAAATCAGTCTAGAGAGAAAATACTCACTACTTTTGTGTATTTTATTACAGAAGTAAGCTGTGTTGGTGGAACACTGAGTATATATAGCTAGATGCACTTAACTCTTGCATAGTGAGATTTCTTCCCAGACAGTAGAATAGTCAAAGTTTAGCAACAAAAACCTGTATGTTCAAAGCACTGTTCTGAGTACTGAGAATATAGACCTAAGCAAGGAAGCCAACCCAGCAGTGGCATTTTGTCATGAGTTAATTCCAGAGAAGAAGAGAATAAACAACTATGTTAAAGTATAACAAAATTTATAGAAGATTAATAGTCATCCCATTTATGGAGCATCACTATGTCCTTGACCCTATGCTAAGCAAACATCGGCCATTATTTTGATGGCCCCATTATATTCTCCATTATATACATAAGGAAGCTGAAACTAAAAGAGGTTAAAGTCAAGGTCCAAACTCATGTATGACATCAAACCTTAACCACTGGATTGTGTTGCATTTCATTGATTTTCAAAATGTTAACTCCAGCTAATCAACAGATGAAGGGGAATCCTTCCCCTCTGTGTTCCATATTTTCAACAGCTGCCTCTTTAGTGCAATGGAAGGAGATAATGTGAGGCTGCCAGTTTGAGTAATAAATAATGTGTGTTGGTGTCTCAGCATCTCTTCATTTTTATTCGATCTGTGAGGAGCGTGGCTGTAGGAAGAGGCAGCGGGAGGGAAAGCAGAACCTGAGACTTGTATCT
Source organism: Homo sapiens (assembly GCF_000001405.40). NCBI lineage: Eukaryota > Metazoa > Chordata > Mammalia > Primates > Hominidae > Homo > Homo sapiens. The sequence goes on from NC_000005.10 coordinate 44,333,923, forward strand.
CTGTTTTAAGTTTGGTTCCCTACTCTACCCCTTCAGCGTAGCTTTCATCCTCTTCAGTAGATTAAATCTTCTGGCCCACACCCTCTTTATTTTCAGAAACAAATGGTCACGTGGGGCAAAAGGTGATTCTCTTTTGCTGCTACAACTAGGAGGGGCATCATTTCCTTATAATAATGGTAAATATTACTTCAAATTTACCTTCCCAGTTTTCCACTTCCAGGCAAGCATCAGTTACTTGTCTTGAAACTTTGTTATGCCCCATTTTTTTATTTTGAATGAGGATATAGTGCCCTATCCTTATGTCCACAACCTTAGGCCTTGTATCCGTTCCTGTTTTGCCATATCATCTCTGTACTCCAGAGTAAGAATCCATTTTAAAATACTGCTTCTTCTCATTCTTTCATAGAATATTCTAAGTTTGTTTCTGGAATAGTCTCAGGCATTGTCTACAAAGAAATCTTGAAATCCAAAACCAACATAAAGGCTCTCCCAGGTCACTTAAAAAAAGAAATGTAAGCCACCTTCTTATCCCAACTACATAGGGGAATATGGTTACTTCCCACAGGGAAATTTTTTTTTTATTATACTTTAAGTTCTAGGGCACATGTGCACAACGTTAGAAGCTTACCAATGGAAATGTCTTTAGAGGTCATATTAAAGAATGTCAGTAATTTGGATTGGACACAATAAATGTCCTAATGGTTGAATGAATTACCTAGCTTAACACAACTGGTGGTTAAGCCAGCTGAAATTCAAACTCATGTTTTTTTCAATATCAGCCAAATGCTCTTTTCACTAGCTCTAAAAAAATGATACTATTGCAGAGTAGTTACCACCTGATATGGTAATGCCTAGCGAAAGCTGGTGCCTGACATTGTTTAGTCAGCTGACAAATAAAGATACTTGCATAAACAAGCCCAGGAAAGGCTCAGTGGAAATTGATCATGAATGTTGGGAGAAAATCATGAGTAAGCATAAGATAAATCCCTGTATCACAGAAGAACTTTTCCCTTTCTTTGTCTCCCTTAATCATTCTCACTTGAACATTTTCCCCTACTAATGTTAGGATTTTAAAAAGATATAATATTGTATTTGATTTAATTTAATCTTTTCCAAGTACTTCCAGACTCAAAATTTAACTTCATCATGAAAGAGTGATAAATAACAGCAAGACAGGAACATATAAATCTGAATAGTCTTTTTCTAATCATCAGTTATAAATGAAATTTGGTTTTCAAACTAGGCTTACAGGTAGGAATATGTGGCTCATAACATAACAATAATCACTCATAACAATGATCACTCACCAAGAGGCATTCATGCATCTTTTCTTAATGGTGAGAAGAAATGACCTACTCTCCCTTCCCTTCCCTCAAGCATGCCCAAGTAGACTGGAGATCTTCAGATTTTCCTTTTTGTATCAAGTTAAACTCTAGTGGCTGTATTTTCCATTCTATTTATAGCTAGTGTTCTACTTAGTATGTATCTTAGTATAAAACAAAAAACATACTTTCATATTAAGGGTACTAAACAAAAGTTCTCTTGGGAATTCTACTGGTAACAATCATTCAGATTTTATGTTCCCAATTCTATGTGACAAATATAATGTTTGGCATGTTAAACATATTCATTGATTTACAACCTGAGTGTTATTAAGAAAGGCCAATTACATTCTATTTATTTAGGTTAAATTATTTTTTAGCACATGGAAGCTAATTATGGAAAACACATCCTTTGTACCAATTCATACAGGAGTCAAGCCATGATTAGAGTTGCCTGTCTAGCTTTAATATACTGCTTTCCACTTTATTGACTATACAGATTGGGAAAGTACATATTGAAAATGAAAGACAATCTGTAAACAAATGTTATAGAATATGCTACTTTACCTAGGCATACCCATTTTAGTAACTCATATAAACATTCATATTATTGAATATTTAAAATATCAGAATATAATTGGTAAATATTAATAACAGTAATAACTTCAACAGAGGTCTAACAAATAGGACAATTCTATGGATTCAAATGTTTGACCAACTAGAAAGTAAAAGGGAAGAAAACTGAAATAAGATAACATAAAATATGTACCATTTGAATCACAAATTTGTAGATGAATAAGGTAGAATTGTTTTATCTTTATCATTGTATATTAATGAACTTGCATGTTTTTCATCATATTTTAAAACCAAATTTTCATCAGTATTTCATTAATGTTTTTGGAGAGCTGTGCTTTTTATAACTGCTAATTTTTAAGTTCTTTGTAAGTTTGATTCTCTTTCTTTTTTTCTAATTCATTTTATCTCTTTAATGAGAGTTACTCAAAATATATAATTTTTGTCTGAAAATGATTTAAATAGTCTAAGAAATACTGGTGTTTTTCAAAATTTCTTTCATGGTATTTAAATGCATAATTTTGTGCTAGTTTATATATTTTATTCTCGTCTTTTTGTGGTTTGATTTCATAATATTCAGAGATAATCAGTTTCAAATACTTACTGTGATCAAAATTACTGATTGTCAGATTCTATGTTTGTCTTCTTTGTTTTGTTGTAATCATATCACTTCATTTCCCCACACCCTCCTCCTCCGGGGAGAGGTGGAGAAGAACTGTCTCATGGAAAGATTTCTCTAATGAGTACCCTAAGTGACAGAAAGACCATATAGAGCAATGCTTATACATTTGGACTTTGGAAAGCTGGAGTTCAAATCCTGGGTCCACAAATTATTTAAGCTTGCTAAGCCCAGTTTTTTCATCTGTAATATGAAATAAAAATAGAATTTAGAACTGTGGTAAGAATTAAATGAGATGATGCCTTAAAAGTATATAGAAGAATGATAAAAGAATATGGTAAAATGACAGTTACTTTTATTAATCTCCTTGTTTTGCATATTTCAGAAGTCAGCAACTTTTCATCTTAGTTACGTTCCATCTAAGGTGAAATCTAGATAGAGGAAGTGACATGGAAGACAAAGAGCGCTTACTAACCAATTTGGGGAAGTGGCAAGGCAGAATGGTAAACCTGAAAATAACCAAAGATGAGCCTCAAATTTTCTTAGATCCTATATTCCCTGACAGCTGACTCAAACTGAGAAAGAGGCTATCTTAAATAAGATAGAGTACCACTATTTCTGCCACTACTATTATAACAAATTTTAATCCCAAAAATAGGCTTTAACATCTAGTGGTTTCACCTGTGAATGTTATTACATTTTTTTTCTAAAATAGGTAAGCTTATGTTATATTAGTGATCCCAATTTATTTTGCAAAAAAGTAGCATAACTCTGATACTGAAATATTAAGATAACACAAAAAGAAAGATACTATTGAATCCTAGATAAAACATTAATTAATTGAATTCCACAGTCTATTATAGAAGATCTCATTATGATCAATTGAGGCATATCCCAGGAATTCAAATGAAGTTCACTCTTAGTAAACTACACCGACTGACGCAACTAGTATTTAACATTAACTCACTAGTCCAGGTTAATGCAATGTAACATTAAACAAAAATTAGAAAGATAAGTATTAAAAAGAGGAAACCATACCATCATTACCTTTTGATGATAGAACTGCCTAGCTAAAACACAAAAATAATCTACTGAAAACATTTATTTCAGTTTGTTGAATTAAAAGTACTTTAAATCAACATTTTTCTATGCGTGAAGCACTATTAGAAAATAAAATGGTCAGAGATGCCAAAAACAGATTTGGACATTAAAAAGCATATTAGGGCCCAGCGTGGTGGCTCACGCCTGTAATCCCAGCACTTTGGGAGGCTGAGACAGGTGGATCACGAGGTCAGGAGATCGAGACCATCCTGGCTAACACAGTGAAAACCCGTCTCTACTAAAAATACAAAAAATTAGCCAGGCGTAGTGGCATGCGCCTGTAGTCCCAGCTACATGGGAGGCTGACGCAGGAGAATCACTTGAACCCGGGAGGTGGAGGTTGCAGTGAGTTGAATTGTGCCACTGCACTCCAGCCTGGGCGACACAGCGAGACTCTGTCTCAGAAAAAAAAATGCATATTACAATTATTATGTGTAATGATGACAAAGTGAAAACAATCTAAATGTCCAAATAAATGTATGTATTAAATAAATTATTATTCTAACATGTAATTATTATGTTTCCACCAACAATCATATAACATGTTAGAAAAAGGTTAAAAATAGCATTAATGAGTTGAGGAATTGCTAATAATGTAAGCTTTAAATTTGATATTTTATGCTCACAATTCTATAAAAGCTACCATTTAATATATTATCTTAAATAACACATATAGTTTTTACATATCTGAAAGAAGGAAGATAATCTAAAATAATGATTGCTTCTGTGTGATGACATTATTGGTTATTTTTATTTTCTTTGTACTCTTCTGTATTTTCTACAACCAATATTTAGTACTTGTTTTTCAGAGTACAAAATTGATTTTCAGAAAATATGACAATAATCAAATTTGAGGGATACCAAAAGAAATTATGAAGCTCTGTGTAGACCTCCTGGTTTAGAGTCCCTGCAGTGACCGGAGGTCTTCTGCCATTTAGAGGAGATAAATGCCATATCTACATTGAAAGATGCGGCACAGATACTATTCAGGTTGACAAAAGCATCCGTCCAGCATGTTTAGCTTCCTAAGGCTTTGATGTGTTTAAAAGATCAGCAAAGCTTTTCCCTTGTCTTCCCTCATCACAACACAAGTTCAAAGAAACATTTATTATGAAAAGGCTAAATTCTAACAAATGTATCTCCCCAGATTTGAATTACAATTTAAGTTTCTCTATAACTTTATCAGAATTTCCCCAACAGCTGAGTTAAAGTACTCTATTAATTTTCATTAGCTGTTTGTGATTAATTTGTTCTGTTTTAAGTATCAAAGTCAAAAGAATGAGACATGTTATTGTTATTGAGCGAGGAATGTAAGAAGATAACAGAGAATTAATGTAGAAAAGCAAACTGTATCTAGATTGAGATTGTCTAACTAGCTACTTAGTAATGAATTTAAGGCATGTTAGGAACATCAGTTAGAATGTGGGTAAATGGTCATGTAAAGCCAAATCCATGAATCTGATTTCCTGTTCATTTAAGACCAACTATATTTAATTTTAAACAGCTTCTTTCCTTTTACTATTTTTTCTAAAAGCGATCAAAGCACACAATGAATATGATTTAAAGAGGGTATTTTATGAAAATTTCCAAAATATCTAATCTGTCTTTAAATAGAGACTAAAATCCAAACACAAAGAACATTTTAAGCTTTATTTAATTATTTTTATTTGAAGTCTTTACATCTCAGGTTCTAAATGTTGTACAAATATGACCAGAATAGTTAAATTATTTTAGAGTTCAGTAGTACCAGTAAGTATAAACTAACCCACTACTCAAAAAATGTTACACATATTATAATTTAATTGGCTTTTAACTTTTGAATGTAGAAATTATGATAATTGTTCTCACAGTATATTAAAGACATTTAGAGTTGAGGACAAGAGAAAAACCCCACAAATTAAAAAAACTTTTAGCATAAGGCGTTCTGTTGGGGATAAGAGCTTTCTTTATATAAGTGGGCTTTGTTCTGGTATAGCAAGACAATTTTCCTTGCGTATTTGCAAATTATCTAAAATGCAATGATAACCTTCTATCAACACTCTATTTGTGAAACAGTAACCTATGAGGCCCATACTGAGAAATTTCCACTTCTTTTTCCACTTTGCAATTCTTTGAATGATGTCTTCTTATCTTCAAGGTTTCCTCTGGCCATTTGACCCCTATCTTTAATGTCATGCTTTCTGTTCTGTGCTGTTCAGCTCCTCACCTTCCCACTTTTGGTTAAATTCTTCCCTTCTTTCAGAGTCCTTATTATCTCAGACAAAGGACTGGCACTTCAGGCTATATGCCCCCATTCTTTTCATGTTCCTATCAATGTCCATCTCTTGCATCATTCTTATACATTGCTTTAAATTAAGGTAGAACTTTGCTCATTTCTCTTGAGTTGAACTTTCTTTCTCCACTATTTGGTTAGTTAATAGGACAGGAAAACGGTAAGAAATCAAGATAATCAAGATTTATGAGAGGCTGGGAGTGAAGAACTTTAGAAAGTAGCCTCATCTTTGTCCCAGTGACCACTTGCCACTACTAAGCCAAAGTGGCCATGAAATTTTCCATTTCGCACACATCTACCACTTTGGACAGTTAAGGAGAAATGGAGTTAAAGAAGAAAGGAGTGTATAAAAATGACGGGAGCAGATGAGACTGAAATAGCAGTGGAGGGGAAAAGCAGGAGTTGGCATCAACACAGAATTTGGGAGGTGAATGAACTGAAAGTAGCCCAAAGAATAGGAATAACACTCCTTTCCCTGTCCCTTCAAGAATTGCCCAAAAGTTATACACTTTAGTGAGGGTTATAAGCCTTTGAAATCTACCCTTGTATCCATAAAGTGCCAACATTTTAGCTTCTTGGTGTACTTTCTTTAGCTTTTTAAAAAAGATACAGCACCAACCTAATAGAAAAATATTATGAGATATAATAAAATTTTGAAAGTTCAATGACATTATATGCAGCATGAAAAGAAGTGTTTAATAATAGGACACAGATAAATGTTTCTTTGTTGTGATGGCTACAGGTATTGTCTTTTATCAGTATAATTTTAATTTTCATTATTCTGACAATACTGACTTAAATGATTGATAGTTGTTGGTTTTCACTTTAGGACAGCAGAGTGTTACTTAACATGAAATTCTGAAAGAAAATGCTTTTGAGAATTTAGACTCTGGTGGAATAACTTTCTTGATACACAGCTAACCTTTTTTTCTAGGAATTTAAAATCTACCGCCTTTGGTAAACTCAGAAATGTTGAGAAGAAAAGAGAATTAGGAATGTATGTGTTGTCCTTTGCTCAAAAGAAAAAAAAAAAAGAAAAAAGAATTGACAGTCAAAGAAAGAATCAATCCAAGGTGGAAGGGGAGAGACAAAACAAAAGAAAGAAAGAAAGAAAAACCATGTCCATGTATAAACCTTAGAAATTAACATGAGAACCACCCCCAAGTTAAGGATTGGTTTACATGATGACTTGAAATATACTTTCCATTTAATATGAGAAAAATATATTCTAATCAAGTCTTCCTTTGTTCTTATTTTTTAGCATTTCTAGAGTCTATCTGATTTCTCAGTTCTAGCGTAAAAGTTTGCATATGAGTTCTAGGTGAAATAAATGGCAGTAAATGCTTGTTAATCTAATAACTATTATAGCATAATGTTTTACAATGGAAAACATTATGCTTGCTTCTTTCCTACAGATATTATGCAGATTCATTGAACATGTCTTTTTGAAAATGTGGTATACATAAGGAATGCTGCATTGGATAAAAATTGGTAAAATTTCACTTGTAGGGAATACTTAGGAGCAAGAATGTAAAAAAACTACACCACTCCGTTATACTTCATTAGGTCATGTATCTGGTTTACTGAATACAATGAAGAAGAAATATGATATGGTTTATTATTTTATATATTCAGATAGATAATAGATAGTCTGAGCTATTTCCATAATTCACTGCCTTGTTATTAAAAAAAAAACATAAACCTGATGAGTGTTTTCAAGTAGGTAAGTTATTTTAGTCTATTCTTTGAAGCAGAGCAATGAAAGCTCTATAATGTCCACATAATAGACCAACTTACTGTAATGTAATAATCTTGGAGGAGATTTAACACCCATTATCTGAAGACCTAAAACCTCTAGGGAACTGTTATGGTTGCTCAGCACTGCTATAGGACCTAAATGTAAGAACAGAAACATTTCTGAATAAGATCCAAAGTGACTGGGGAGAAATCATGGGACAGTGGGTTCATCATGGAATTTAAAATCAGACAGAGCTGAACCAGGTCTGCCTTATACTCTTTTGATTGATATTGAACAACCCTACTTCATAGAATTTATGTAAGTAATACATTATTTAAGGTATGGAAAGTATTCAACAAATAGTGGTTATTTTATTTCTAAATTCCAACTAATCTTGTATGCTTTGCAGAAATACCATTTGGTGATGATTGAAGGTAGAGAGGGGAAAGCAATATTGTCTTTTCTATAATATTCTTTAAAAAGAGTGTATGCATATCTTGATAACCTCACTCTAGCAATAACATTTGTGAATTTAAAACTATCTGGAAGTTAGTAAATTTTTATTCTCAGTCCATGCTACCACGTATTCCTTAATTAGCTGTCTCCTTTATAAAATTATATTATTTTAGTCTTAAATTTGATCTTCATGAGTATCACAAACAAATCAATGCACACTTATGAAGTAGCCCTTATGTATTATTAACTATAGGATACAAAGAAGTAGAAGTCACACTCCAGCATCTAGACCTTACTTTTACTTCAGTCATTGAAATTCAGTGTACATTGTGTTAGGCACATTCTGTCAAAGGACAAAACAATTTGTGAAAGTTAATAAATATTAGATATAGATGTCACAAATTCTTTTATAACATATAAGTTTCTGAATAAATTGTATCAAAAATAACTTCAATTGGAGTTCAAGGGAACAAGGATTTTGGATTAAGAAATTTATAGAAAGTTTTAGGAAAAAAAAAAAAACTAACCAGAATTCATTTTTCAAAGTGCTGTGTTTACTGATTGCCACGTATAGGTTAAGCACTCTAGTAAACCACAGGCAGGAGGAAGACAGAGTACCCTTACATAAAGGGAATGAAAATATTTAGGAAGTTCGTTACCTTGCCCACACTAAAGTTCATCTACATTAAAAAAAATAAGTTGCTTGCTTTGAGATATTTCAGTAATTTAAGTTGGAGAATGTTGCCGTCTAAAGGAAATCCATGATGTCTCCAAATTTGGGGATGTCAGTCTCTCTGTTTTACATGAGTAAACAGAATCTAGAACAGTAAGCCAATTCTAGCGGAGTAAAGTGAGTCTCTAGATTTTATTGCATTGTCTACTAGCTCCAAAGCATTAATCCTCTTCCCCAAATGCATCACATAGTTTGGTAGGATCTCATTAGTTATATAATAATTTCCTCACCATTCCATCAAAGTTCCGAACTTCAGGAAAGAAGCATTTCCAGAGATGGGTGCAGATTCAAATAGAGGTGGGTGGGTGTGTGTTGCCCTTACATGAACAAATAAAAATAACTCGTCTAGAGTTTATAGTTCATGACAGGCATTTTGTTTACAAAAATAATTTTTCATTTAAAAGCTCTACTTAAAAAATTTTTTTGAATTTAAATTTCCACTTTATGTACAAGTTAGGTACAAGTACTTATTCCCCACTGAAATCTATGCTATGAATCCTAAAGTCTTATCAAATGACAAGAAAACAAAGAATCATTACAATCATAACTTATCTTGGATCCCTTAAGTCTAAAGATCCTTAAAGCCTATTGCTAATATTATAGCTCAACCATAGGAAATACGACTGAAGATCATGCATTACCTGATTGTATTATCCAGTTTTATTCATGTTTAGCACAAACTCTCTGATAGCTAATTTTACATTAAAATTCTGTCTTCTAAAATGTGGGACACATAACATTCTAGATGTTTCATGCTATGTTGAGGGTATATGAGATGCTTCTGAGGTGGCACATACAAGTAGTATGAAATAACATTAAATCATAAAATGAAACACTTCCTGTTTTTCAGTTCTTCTGGTTATGTCAAGGAAAATCTCAGTTTATTACTAATATGTCCTTAACACCTCTGGAAAACTTGCTTATCTCCCTTTCCAACAAATGAAATCTGAGGCCTCAGACTTAGATTCTTTTGCCAAAACATAGCATATAGCCACAATTTAACCATGGTATCTTGTTTTTATTATATTTAATTATGTGATCACCTTCTATTTATGGCAACAGATATTGGCTTTCCCTTTATTAGAGTGATATAATAATTTGTCTTTAAAAATACATTAATTTTAGTATACAAAGTGAGTCAATTTGCAGGAAAAGAATTAAGGAAATAATAGGATAGGGCCTGACAAATATGGCAACATTTGTAGTAGTGGTATGTGAATGACTGGTGTTGAGAAAATACTGCTAATGATGGTTTAACAACCCAGGAAAGTAAAAGCTCTTGCTGAATGCAGACAGATCAAAGCACAACTCTGATTAAAGAACTAGAGGTGAACAAATGTGAATCCAGACATAGGGGCCAACAGAACAAGCCAGGTTGGATGGCCAGAGATCTGGTCAGAGTGCAAGCAAAGAGACGTCCATAGAGAACAGAGAGACAGGTGAGACTGAAAACACAGAAAAGCTGTCAGCTCCAAGTCTGAGGCAAGCTGCTAGTCCAGCCCAAGTACTTTAATGCATCCCATTGCCACAGTCCAATTTTATGGATTCATGCTTGAATGGGGATAAATTCAGGCAGATGATAATACCATGTCTGAATAAAGACAAACTGTTAGGAAAATAGCATTTTAAGCAATTGTATTTGTTACTAGGGTACTATAAAAACCACAAGATGTGTCATTTGAAAGTTGTTAAAAAGATTAAATGAATTTTTTTATTACAAAATTTCAAACAAACAGTAAAAATATCAGATTTGAGATGAGTTATAGTTGGGGCAAAAGTTAACCTTTTTTTTTTCCTTTACCAAAATTAGGGTTTTACTGTTTTGTTTTCTCTGTGTGTGTGTGTGTGTGTGTGTGTGTGTGTGTGTTAAACCAACTCTCTGACCCACTTCTGCTTCCAGGGTCAAATATTTTGCATTTCCAATACTCAGGATTGAGAGAGTACAAGTTTTCCTTCATGATGATTTTCTGTGGAACATTTGCTAATAATAACTAAGTTTCAGCATTGTTATGATTTTATAGTATGTACTGGGTCAGTGGTTTCTAGGGGTCAGTAAAAGAAAGGAAGTTTTGGAACTTTCAAAGGATTTCATTTGAAAAAATAACTTTTCGAATTTGGATAATAGCACTTGTATATTCCTTGTAGTTTCCCTGATTCAAGGCAATAAGCAGTATATACAATTACTTGTTAGCTCCCTTCTTTTCATGTTGATAGGGACCACCCATCTGTGGCCTTGGGTGCCTAAAAAACTTTAGTTATTACAATCGAGAGTCACATTAGAGATTGTCTGTAACTTAAATCAGCATATATTATGTATATACACTATTTTCAAATATATTTGGATATTTTTAGTGACAAAATAATAAAATTTATTTTAAAGCATCCACACTAGCTTTTCATCATAATGTAGGTATAATGACCCCATGTGGGAGTCTGCAAAATATCTTGACCTTAAAAATAGTCTTCAAATTCCAAAACAAACAATATACTGCTGGAAAATAATGAATATAGAATGAGAAAATGGGAAGACTTGATTTGAAGATACCTTGAGGAAAAAAATCAGTAAAATAAAACTGAACAAATAGAATTTAACCAAGAATATAATACTTCAGCTAGGTTTTATATTTTCTGTTTACAAGACTATTAATGCATTACAATTTTCCATTATTATTGAACTTCCATTCATCTTAACCAAAGTGAATGACCATTACCATCATCAATATCTGACAATGTACAGGATCATTCTCTGCAACATGCTTGGGGATCTCTTCACAAAAACAACCTTATTTTGACCTCAAGCTTTCCTCAAAATTTCTCTCCTTTTTTTTCTTTGCTTCCCTTCTCAGAAATAGAAAGTTTTTCCCCATTGTTTCACTGTTCATTCCCTTTCTCAGCTCAAAAAAAAAAAAAAAAAATCGAACTTCTACTTGCCTTTCATCAGGCACCAACAATGCTGCTCAATTTCAACTGTCTTTTCTCATCTTACCCCTCCTTGCATGGCATTCAACATAGCTGACCTTCTATACTTGGAAAGTTTTCTCATCCATCTTCTGAGATATCACTCTCTTGATTTTTCTCCCATCCCTTTAGTACTTCTAAGTCATTTTTCTGTTTTCTTCTCTTGCTCTACTCAGTATGAAAATATTGGGTTGACGTTGGACTCAGGCCTAAGTGTTCTATGCTGCCTCCACAGGCACTTCTGTTTCATGACTTTAAATTCAATACATATGTTGATGATGCCCAAACATACATCTCCAGCCTTGACCTATTCTCTAACCTCATAAACCTCTAATCACTTAACGGCTGCCCTTGAAATTCTAATAGTGATCTTATCTCCAAAATTAACTGATTTGTCCTCCTGAAGCTGTTCCTTGTCCCACAGCCTTAATCTCAGCACAAAACAACACCACTTACTCTTTTCCTCTTATCTATGTACCTCCCACCCCCATTTACAGTCAAACATGAACACTTACTTGTTCTGCCTCCAAAATGTCTTGACTCTTTCACTTCTCTACAGCTCCACTGTCAGTGCTATCCAAAACCATCATTTTTTTCTCATTTGTATATTTCCTTCATTTTTCCCAGTCCCCAAAATAAAGTGAATTAAAAAAAACAAATATAAAATTATATCATGTTTTTCACTTACATCAATCCATTCACTAGCTTCCCAAATTAACATGTCAATTAATTTTGGAGATAACATCACTACTTAGTTAGAATAAATGTCAGATTTTCTAGCATGGCCTACATGACCAGGATCTACTTTCCAAACTTCTCCCACTACTCTCTACTTCACACAACATTCTCCAGCCCACTTGGCCTTCTTTCTTTTTCACACATTGATTTCATTCTTCAGAACTCATGCACTCTGCCTGAGCTTTATTTCCTTGATTTTTGTATAGCTTACTCTACACTTTGTCATTCAGGTCTCAGTACATCGCCTCATAAGTAAATAATCTGATACAAATAATCGGTCTCAAAGTAGCTCCATCTTGAACTTTTTGCAATAATAGAAATGTTTGATAACTTATGCTATCCAATATGTGAGTGTTGAGCATTTAAAATATGACTAATAATATTGAGAAACAGAATAATTTTATTTAGTTTTCTTTTACTGTGTCAACTAATTTAAATTAAAATAGCTATGCTTGGCTAGTGACTACTGAATTGAATAATGCAGTTCTAGCACAGCATCTTATTTTGTTTCTTAAAAAATAAAATTATAAATTATAAATTTCAAAAAATGAATTAATATGCTTTTGAAAAATTTATTTCTGTTCTCTACAGCATAATCACCATGAGGGTGGGGATGTCTTTGTTGGTTTGCTTTCATATAATCAGTACCTAGAGGAAGGCCAAGAACATAGTAAATACTCAATAAATATTTGTAGAAAAAAATAGATAATTGAATGAATGGATGAATCTATCCCTCATGAAGTTAAGCATGAGTCATAATATCTCCCTTTCAGACTAGTATAACTGCGTCCTCCCTATGCTTCCTGGGATGACTCCTGCCTCACTCGACTCTCTCCTTCACGTCACTGTCAAAAGTGATCACTCTGAGTTACATATGGGATCAAGTCACACTCTCCTGCCTAAAACACTTTGGTTTTTATGTCACCATCATGAAGAAATGCGAGCAACCCTTTATAATATGGTAACTTTTGCCTAGTCTGGCTCTGCCCACCTCATATTTTACTCAAGCAATATTGATGTACTTGCCATTTTTCACACATCTTAGGGCAGTATGAATAGAACTTCTTTTTGTTTAGCAAAACTATATCCATCCTTCAAAAACTCTGAGGGCTGTTCTTTGTGATGCTTCGTCCCTGGCAAATCTTTCTTCTCTTGCTAAGAATCACTCTTTTTTGGGGGGCACCTTTTATACTTTGCCCAAATATTGATTGCCACATGAATAAATCATACAGGACAGCATGGACTGACCTACTTTGCAATTTTAGCACAGAGCAAAAGGTCTAGCTATAGCACAAAATAAGTGCTCAATCAATACTTGCTAATTAAACTCATCTCATGCCCTTATAGTAGGATTCCATTGTGCTGGTGGAGGGGACCCAATGGCTCTGTCTCAAGGTTTTTATTGTTCCTATAGAAAAACTATTATTTTCTTTTTTACCATTTGTCTTATATAGAACAACTGTTTTTAGTGTCTATAATATGATTTTCTTTATGTTGGGAACATGCTATATTTTTATTTAATTTAGAAGGTCAGTATAGGAGTCTTACACACAATCCCTCTGGAATATGTCTTTTCCTAAGACTGCCACGATTTGCTATAAAATGTAAATAGAATGTGTCTGGGCAAAAATGTTTGACAATATGTGGATGGTTAACAGAAGCTCCTGAGGATTCTACCTGCCATCTCTCTATACCATGAATGAAGTAGTTAATAAGGCACAAGTAGACTTGCAACTTTTTTTTAAAAGAAATGTCTCATATGTTCTGAAAAGTTGTGCATATAAAGGTGGGTTAACAGTGAGTTATTAAAAATATAATTTGCTTTTGTGAAACCACTGGCAATAGTAGGATGAAATATTCCATAAGTATTAAACAAAGTTAACACTAATAAAACTTACTAATGGGATAGTCTTGCCATACTTCCTTGCCATAGTAACACAACTTACTAATGGAGTAGTCTCACCTAGTTCTGAAAACAGAACTAGGGACAGAAGAAAGGGCACTTAACATGGGATCTGGATTTTATAATCATTTTGACACTAATTGTGCATATTTGTGTTCACCAGACCTTCTGAGTTGTAAAGAAAGTTCAGTGCAAGTTTCTATCACTCCCATCCCAGATAAGGTGGAACTTCCAGCCTTCCCATTATCTCTAGAGGTTCTTAGGAGCAGGTTCCTAGACTTAGCAAATAAAAATACAGAATTCCCAATTAAATTTGAATTTAAGATATATAACGAATGGCTTTTTATTTTAAGTGTATTTATATTACATGCAATATTTTGGACATATTTATAAAAAGAATCTGTTATTTATCTGAAGTCCATATTTAATTGGAAGCCATTTAATAGAAATCCATATTTAATTTTTATCTGGCAGCTCTACATGGGGAGAATTCTGGGAAGTGGTGACTTATGTTTCCCCTCATCACCTCTGATTCTAAATTCTGGCTTACCCTAAATGCTCAATCTTATGTGTCCACTACAATTCTGATTTCATTTTCTATGACTCTTCTTCCTTATGCTCTGCACTAGTTGCATGGTGAACCAGGGTTTCTCTTCTTTAATGTTTCCTTCCAAAACTCGTTCAAGAAATTTATGAACACAGCAGACTTTGCTTAACATTTGCAGCTAAAAAGAGACTATAGATCTGTCCAGCTTAAATAATTTAAGATTAAATTAAAGTTGTGTTTATTTTCTAGGATACTTTGGTTACATTCTCTGCCCCTCTCCCACTTTCTACTTTGAGCAAATTTCTCATAGGCACTTGTCTCTATAATCTTTTGCCTCATTCTGTTTTGTTTCACCTCCTATTTCTTCAGCCATCTCATCTGTCTTGCTGCTTACCCCAGCAGCCAGATAATTATTAAATTCATATGGAAAGCAATTTAGCTATCTTTTTTTTACCACCACTTTACAAATTAAGGTCTTTGTGGTCTTAATACTTTTAACAATGATAATTCTTGCCTAAGAAAATGGGAAAGCATTTTCTTTATATATATATATATATATATATATATATATATATATATATATATATCAGAATATATATATATATCAGAATATATATATATGTGTGTGTGTATATATCTCTATATATGCCATTTTATTTGCTCTGCTAGGCTTTAGTCTCTTATTTTGAAATCACTAAGTTAGATATGGCCAAAGTGTACATGACATATCAGTTTGACTCATACTTCATTTTGAAAATAGCTTGATATTCTACTTTTGCTAAGGCTAAATATATTCATAGAAAACTAAAAAAACTCTTTGGGAATATCTATCAATAACTTAAAAATTTTGAATACTCTTAGACCTAAACAGTTGGCTTCTAGACAAGTATTTGAAAGTAATAAAGTTGAGTAGTTAAGGTCATAGTCTTTGGATTCCTACAGACCTGGGTTCAAATCCTAGTTTTGCCATCTAAAGTTATGAAAAGTCTAAGTCTCATTTGTTTAGTAGTTTGTTATTTGGATGTACTGTATTGAATCATGTGAGTGTCTATTTTTCTAGAATATATTTGGAAAAGTATACTCAATAGTGTATGGCTCAGTGTAATAATTTATGACAAAAGATGAACAACAGGTTCATTCCTTTTTTAAAATTAAACAAACACACACACACACGCACACACACATACACATCTAGAGTTGAAATTGTCCACGTCAAAAACTGAGATAATAAGAATATCAAACAGGATTATTGTGAATATTTTAACTATTGATATGTATCTCTTCTAAATATATATAATAAATGTATATTATCTATTATATACATAAATGGTTAAGTAAACTAAGATATAACTAGAAGTCAGAATATAAGAATCTTAAACTAATACATATGAATATTTTAATGATATGAAAAAGTATCCATGAGAAAAGCCTAAACCCAGGATAAAATGTACTGTATACAGTATGATGTCTCCTCAGATTATCCATTTAATGTGTAATTATATAATCATAGATACAGGGAAAAAAATAAAAAGAAATTCACCAAAATAGAACAACAGGTACTTCTAGGTAGTAGAATTATGAGTAGCTATTTTAATACCTCTTTATCTACATATTTCTAACAATGGGCATGCAATACTATTAGCAATAAAAAAGTAATGTTTACATGTATAAACATATGTATGCATAACATATACATACATACAACACATAGGTGTGTGTATATATATAATATACATATATGTCCTTAAGTTTTATATATTATTGCTGTGTATTATTTTAAAGAAATGTATCCAATTTAAAATGATGTATCAAATTTTTTTAAATAAAAATGTTTTATTCTATCCATCATTCATTTCATGAAAAAAAAAATCAGTATCTAGGTTTAGCAAAGAGATTATTAAATTACTATGGCTCATTCTTGGTTTTGTTCCATGTATTAGATAGCACTTTGGTTATTTCTTTAAAAGAATGTGATTTTGGTAACTTCCAGGTTGAAAGTTTCCAAGTTCAGAAAACTTGTTTTTATTTGTATCATTTGGTAGCTTAGTAAATAATGCCCGCTGATAATTATTATATTTCACATGGCTAAGAATTTTAAAAGTACTTAAAGTAGGTAAATATCTATTAATTAAAATTAACCTTCTTGGGTAAGACTGCTTACTCTGGCATTGTTAAATGAAGAAAAGTGAGCTAATTAAGTTTAGCCCGCATTAAAATTTGAATTTTATTGTGTCTAAAAATACTCTTATTCTCTTATCCTTTTTCTTTAGGAAGAAGATGCTAATCTATGGCAGAATTTCTTATTTATCTCATTCAAAATACACTAATCAGATACAAAAGACATGCTTTAAACACATGACAGTATGTGTCAATTTTCTTATATAAATAAGTGGTTTGATTTCTCACCCAACAATAAACAGATAATAAGATAGATAGACACATAATTGGCAAAATGAGTCAGCAGTTCATTCTCATATTTTTGATAATTAGAGATTATATTGAGATGTCCTATATCAATAACAGATGTCACCTTCTCTGATTTATCCCATTTGATAGAATCTTTTTTTAACAGTTCAGTGGTTTTCCAAAGATTTAAAAATAGAAATATCTCTGACGATTTGAGAACTATAAGTAAAACTAAAGTTAAATGTTAGATCAAAAATACCGTTTAATTAAACAAAGAAACATGCTACTCTGTAAACTTTTCCTCTGAAAACCAGAAATCAATGCTTTCCAAGTCAGTCCCATCGTTGGAATCTTATCTGTAAGGAAGAAGACTTCCAGATTACCTGTGACTACTTTCTATACTAACATTTCTATTAATATTTTACTACCATTATTAGTTTGAACCCTATGAATTTCCATTCTTGCAGGATAAATTTGGAGAGATGGAGTCAATAGTTTATGATTCAGTGTAATAATTTTTGCCAAAAGATAAACAACAGTTACATTCCTTTTTTAAATTACACACACACGTGCACACACATCTAGAGTTAAATATTTACTGATTTATATCTTGATTTTTACGTTTAAGGTCTGGATTTTCCAAGTGTGAAATTCTAATACTACTAATACTACTACTACTAATTTTAATACTACTAACTCAGTAGTAAAAGAAACTAATAAATATTTATAGAATCAATCAGTTATGCCATTATCAGTGATTCCATCTCAGACTAAGTAGGGCCAAAAATTAATTAGAAGCATAGTCCATGAAAGAGGAGCACATTTGGGGATGCACTGCATGGGTGACCATCATTCAGCACTGGGCACAACATTGGGACTGATAAAGATAACGCCATGCCACTTACACCGTTAGCAGGGTGAGGATTTGAGGGACTTTCGATGCAATTCTTTGATTGAAATCTTGTGCTCTGACAGTAGATTTCAATGGTTTAGTCAAAGAGTTGCTTGTACACAATGCAAAAGCTGCCACAGAGGGAACTCATGCCTGGCCCTTCATACCTCTAAAAGGGGACACCAATACAGAGGTAGCATGACCCTTACCAGGGCCAGGGTACAAGCCTAGCTCTTACATTTTAGGAACAAAATATCCACTGTGCATTTCGGGAACTCCACCTGACTCCTACTCAGCTGCTGACATAACTCTGATTGAGACAGCTAATTTTTGAGATCAACAGTCTAAAGCTCAAAAACATCTATGAAAGTATCTTAAAACCCACCCCTGTGCTAGTTTAGATTGGCAGGAGTACATGATTTGGACATTCTCCTGGGGAAATGTCTAAGTTCTATAATTATGTTTACCCAGGCTTCTTATGCTGAGAAAACATTTTCCAGGTACATTTGATTCTACCAAGAGAACCTTTCAATTTAGAAGATACCTGAGAAGCTCTCATTACGGTATTTGAAAGTGCTCCCAGGATTCCCTCTGTGACTCTTTTTCCTCATCAATAAAATATTATTTGTACCTAACAGAAGGATTTTTCTGAGATTTGAACGAGTTAATTATAATATGTCCTCAATAAATGCTAACAGAAGTTGTTTTTGACACTATTAAAAATAAAAACTTTCAGTCTTCCTAATATTATATGCTAGGCTTCTCACAAGAATTGTTGAGATACGTTCTTAGAGAAAATGTTTTGTAATTTAAAAAAGATTTCTTAGTATGACACAATGCCATCTGTAGGTGCAATGAAACCAAATAGTCTCTGTGTTCTCATTTTTATTACAGAGACGCAACTGATTTCATAGCGATCTTATGATGATTATGAATGAGATTATGCAGGTAAATTTCCTAGAACAGTGTCTTGTGAACACTTTCTTCTTAGTTAATATTAGATTCCCAATGCATAGTCCATAGTCCCTCTTCAATATCCATGTAAGAATCCAGTGCCAGGATATATTTGTTTATCGTCTAAATGACCTGTTTGTTATTGTTGTTGTTAGTTTTCATGCTTTGCTTGCTGTGCTTTGTTTTTTTGTTGAGAACTATATGGTTTGTTCTGCGTTTTCTTTTTTCTTTACATTTCAATAAGCTTGGAGCTAAATGTTATGATTTATAGCAATCTCCAGTACAGTTTCCAATAAAACTGTTGTAACTAAACCCTCATTATTTAGCTTTTATTCTCATTTTCTCACTTCATTAGTTTTGTTTTGTGTTTGTATTTTTAAATTGCGTCAAGCCCCTTGGTAATTATGTAGAAATAATAAATTTTAAAAAGTAAATCCTGAGGGTACATTTCAAATATTATGAGAGCTCAGGTACCTTCTAATTTAAAAGATTCTCTTAACAAAATTAGAATGTATCTAGAAACTTTTTCCTCAGCAAAAATAGCTGGTAAGTAAGGAAAGTGGTAGAAGTTCCACCATCTCTCCCTATTTGCTTTAAGATTAAGTGACCTATCTACTAAGCCATCAATGGGAAGAGAAAACTCAATAATTTAATATGAAAAAAGCTGGGGGGCGGGGGCTCTTCTTTTCTCTGCTAGAATACAGCCAGACTTGAAAGAGTAGTTCCGGTTTATCCAGCCAGCTAACATGCTTCCATTTCTGAAATAAAATAAATTTGCAAAAAGTGCACCTATTATGTCATAAGTAATTTGAGGATTTTTTCCTCTATTTTTTTCTTTCATATTGGTAGCAATACAACCAAGTAATAATATAAAGATAGAGTAAGATAGTGAATAATAAGCTATAACTCTCTCTGGAGTTCTTAGTTTAGGTGAATTAAAATATGATGGATCTACCTTGCCTTTGAATATCAAAATGTTCCCTTTTCTTAAGAGAATACAAACAGACTCCTTAACAAAGAATATACTAGATCCTTAAGTTGCATCTCTAGTAACACCTTTGTAAGTAAAACTCTTAAATAGAAAGTAGAGAGTGGATGGCATGTTGAACACTCATGTGTTCTTACTAAAATGCTTTTGTCTAGCATATATGTTGCCTTAATATTATAATTAATGGCATTTCTCACATGGACTAAGAGGAAGGCATATTTTTAATTAAAAGTGCTTATTAAATCATTAAAATAATATAATCAGTAGTATATTATAGTTAATACTCTGTTATATCTTCCCTGTCTCTACAACTATCTCATACTAAAGGACAGTTATGTGGGCTTTTTTAGGTCAAATAATCAACTTACTCTTACATCTAATTGCATCTGAAAATCTTCAGAGACACTAATTTTGTTCATTGTTACAGCAGAACCATAAGCATCACCGCGCAGATGTAAGTAAACTTTCTATCCTGCTCAGAAAGTATCCAAATAGAACCTGTCCTCATACCAGGGTTAAAATCTCTAAAAGCAGTGGTAGGTGTGTTTGGCTGTTGCAGCAAGTCATGTGTTGGAATTTGCTCCATTAGGAAAGTTATAACACAGCTGAAGTTTTAATACTAAATTTGTGATGGATAAAACCCAGTGCTACTGATTCAGCTGCTGCCTACCCTGAGTCACACTATCTCCTCTCCAAGACACATGTAATATAATAACAATCCAACAATTAGTGCACAGTCCTGCCTGCTTCTTAAAACCTCACTCCCAGATGCAGCTTCGATCAGATCTTGGTTTTATTAGCTGTCTTAATTAACTACCATTATAATACCAGTTCCCTTTTTCATTCATCAGGCTATCTAGCTAGACAGTGTTGATGTAAACACAGAGCTTTAAAAGGCAGTGACTTTATTCTCTTCGCATGTACCTAGTCTCTAAATTATGTGTGCACATAGTGTATAGAACTATGGTCTAAAAGCCATAAAAAGAAAGTACAATTTACAAGAACATTCATTTCACTTGTATTTAGAGTTGGAAAAATGGGGTAGGAAAGAAGACAATTTGATTCACCAAGTATAACCATTCTCTCCTGGACTTTTCAAGATGTGTAAAATCTCATCTTACCAAACCACTCTGATGTATGTGGCTTCAAACTAGTATTAAAAATGATCTTCAAAAGGCAGTATATAAAGTCAAATTATATTCCCTTTGTACATAGGTTAAACATCTTTGTTGTAGACATGATAAAAGAACAGATCAAACACAAAGAGAAAACAGTATAAGGATCTGATATGAAAAGTCTCAAGTAGAACAGAGAGCTTATAGAGGACTCTGAGTATGCATATATATTTCTATGTATTTATAATATATATTTAAATATCTATGCAATATATATTTACAATCTATTTTAAATGGTACCATTTACTAAGAAAGCAGAGAACTAACAAACGTTTCAGACTCATAGTGCAAAACAAAGGAAGACTAATTGTTAGTGCACAGAAGGTAAAATAAAAACAGGGAGAATATAATGGTCCATATTTTTCCGCAATACTTAAACAAAACTAAAATGATAAAAGTAAAATACAATGCAGCGTGGAAGAGAGGACCTCTTTCATATGACTCTGCAGGAATATGCTGAGAACAGAGTGTATTTATATTTAAAGCGTCATGATTCAGTTTCCTATTCTGCATCTTATAAATAAAATAAATTCAGATAAATTATCCTAAGTGGTACTGTGGGTCAAATGTTCAAAGTACATTGCAGCTTTTCCCAAAAGACTTGATCCACTAATACTTTAACAAGAGAGTGTTGGTCATACAATTCTTAGTGTCAGGAAAAAGAGCGAGGTGAAATTGTTACAATTTCCCTTAGGAAATAAATGATGGGAATCTAAGCATTTAATTCCAGCTCCATTCCTAAACTTTCACCAACTCTATTCCAGCTCATAGTCCATAGGTCAGCCAACAGGGGCAATAAAAAATATTCTTTGCCAACTGCATTTTAACAAATTTGAGAATCAAAATCAATTAAATAGATGACCATTAGCAATTCAGTTGAGAATGGCAGGCTTTTCCCACTGAAAGGGAGTGGTTCCCGTGGGTAATATCTAAAGGCTCTTACACTCTGTTATCAACAAAAAGTTGGGTATGTTTCAGTTTATCAGAAAACCAACTCACTTTGTCCCCATTGGGTAGTGAATTAAACCTAAATTCAACTTATCTAAGTCTAAAATAAGTAATTTTATTAGCTGATCTACCTAACACTTTATTACACAATGCATTCAGTGTTGTAAACATGGTTTTTGGCAATCTCTTACTTTAGCTCAGGAACTTAGTTGGAAAACACTAGACAACATTTGGATAATGACAATTTCATCTTGTCTTCTTTGGAGAGTAATAATGTAAACAAAATGAGCTCTTTACTGGCAGCCAAATGCAATGGAGTTTGTGTCTGTTCCTTTTCTAATATCGGTGTCCCAGGGCTATTTTCTGACTATGTTTCTCAAGGCAGAAAGACTCCACGCCTTTATTCAATATAAGAATATTGTACAGCATTATCAACTTTGTTTCTCAGTCAGACTCTTCTAGTGAAAAGTGTTACTCAAGAACATCATTAATTTATCTGCTATTTTTAAAAGCAGTTCTAAAGTTCTGGTGCTTTAATGGAGGGAGTGTCCATGAAAAGGTGTCTAGGATGGTTTTAGTTGTTAGGAAGGGCAAGGCAGCCTTATCAAACTGATGCAGTATTACCCAACTGCCATTCTGAAGAAGCCAGAATGAGGTGAGAGAGAAAAGAATTACACACTTCAAACTAACCAGGTGACCTTACATCCCTTTCCCCCAGTACACTTGGCTTTCAAAAATCTAATGTTTCACTTCTTTCTGCTTCAACTGCCAAAACTGTTTGAAAAAAAGATTATTACAAAAAAAATATGTATGTGTAGGTAAGAGATGCCATTTAGATCACCGACACTACCTCCAATTTCCTAAGATTTTCATAAAAAAAAAACAACATTCTAATGTAATTTCGAAACATGATGAGTTATTTTTGTTTAGCAACAACAAAACCCTAAAGTTGGAAAAACTTAATGTTAGACCAGAAAGGGGCCATACCAGTGATCTACTTCAACCTTTCTTTTACAGAGGAGGAATCTTAAACCCTGAAAGATCATGTTTTTGCACAAAGTCACAGCTTCCCAGTGTTGGGCTAAGAGCAAGAAGTTATCTTGTAGTTTTGTCAGGTTTTTTTCTTATTAGTTTATAGATATAAAAGTTGATCTATACATAAATGACTAATAATGAACTTTCTATCAGAGAAATGGATGGAATTGAGAATTCACAGTTGAAACTGTTTAACACTTACCAAGTGACAAATATCAAGTAATTTAACCATCATGATAGCCTTGAGTGAGGTACAATTAGTATCCCTGTTTTACATTTTACTGAGAGGTAATAGGCACATGAGGCTCAATAACTTGTCTACGGTCACATACCTCTTAAGTGGTGAAGCCAGGATTCAAACTCAGCATCTGATCCAGTGTCCTTGCTCTTAACCATTATGCTATTTTGCCTCTCTTTGTGAGGTGCTTAGGTAGTTTAGAGACAAAGATGCCAATTGGGGGCAAAATTCTCCTGCTTTTCAACATCTTGGTGAATACAGATTTCTCCTTATAGCTAAGTATAGCCAAATAAGTGCTTTTTCACTTAAAAGGCCATCAGGACCCTCAAGCTTCCTAGTCTTTTCTGCCATGAAGGTTCTTAGGAAGACCTGTTGGAATAATGCATTCCCCTCTGTCTCCTCCAGAACTTACCAAACCCACCACATTATAAGATGATGCAGAGTTCGTGCCAGGTAAAGTAGAAATCGTGTACCCAAGAGGCTGAGTGACTTTAAAGTCAGGAGTCTTGAGGGGGGCAAGGGCATTTCTGGATTAGCTTAGACTAATGTTCTTCCACCCTACTTTTGTTTAGGAACAGAAAGAATATTATACATAAGAACATTATGGTTAATTGACAATTAGGAAGATTCTACATGGCAGAAGTTCCAACAGATAAGATACGACATACACAAGGGAGAAGATCTTTAACGTATGTTCATTGGCTAATTTCTTCATAGCACTTCTGCAGGTTAGGATGGCTTCCAGTGCCACAATGTATGTTGAAATTCTGGGTAAACATTGGCATGCTTTCCCCCAGATTCAGTGGGCTGCTGTCCTGGGGCACATAATCTTAAATTAAGAATTGTTCTTAGACATAGGGAATTTATGTTCAAGATTTGAACCTCTTGACTCTTCATTATTTGGCTTAATAAGCACATATTTGATTAAGAATACATTAAATAAAACAGAAGGGCTACATGAGTCAGAAGCTCTAAAAAACAAAGGACATTATAGAACACAGACAGCTAGCTGCTTTCTTGCTCTGCTAATAAAGGTCTCCCTCCAGACTGTTTATGTAGTATGCACAGAGTGTCAACTGATGTGGATTGTACTGAAAACTTTCAGACATAATTAACCCCAGTAGCCTCGTAATGCAGTTTCACCAATAATCCACAGCCCAGGCTGTACCCCAGAAGAATCTAACAGCTAGCTCACCCCAGGCTTGCAACATTTCATGAAGAATCTGTGATTAAAGCCAGACATGTAGACAGTAAGAAACCATGTGGTGCATATTACCTCCGCACATCAGTTTTAATGGTACATGCTCTACTCATGACAACATAAAAAGTCAGTACATTGTATCTAAAATTGATACATCTACTTTAGAAGCCAAGAGAAAAATGGAAATTAGATAATTAATAGGATTACCCTCCTAAAATAAAAATCTCAGAATAACATTCTCCAATAAAGACCCTCTGCTTTTGTGGTACATTTGTTCTCTATGTGATGCAATACATATACGCTTATCCTTGGCATACACAATGGCTCAAGCCTTTTAGCAGTTGATTATGTGCAGTGTTATACCCCAATGAGAGCCTCCTAACAAGATCTGAAGTCAGCAAAGTCAAATTATCATCTTGTACTTCTTTTGCACCATCTAAGCACCTTTGGAGAGTGCTTATATTTAATTTATGTGCCAGTAAAGTTTTGAGGATTGCTACTAGGTAATGCTATTAACTTGCATATTTTTGCATAAAAGATTTTGGAAGAAAAAGTTATATTGGCACACAGGGAATGGGATAGCATTGCAAAAATCACATGCATATTCAAAGATAATGACATATGATATTCTGAATCCTACAGGGAAATCAATTCTTAATTACTCTTCCTGACATTTGTCATTGCATAGCATTCCAGGAAAATCACTGAATCTCAAAAACTTCCACATTACCTGGAAGAAGGAAAATGTGAATTAGATAAATCTTTTCTAGACCAATCCTGCAGATTGAATCTGAGGGAGGGTGTTGTACAGTGGACTTTTCAGTCTAATAGACTGGGCTAAAGTGTTAAATTATTAGTGGGGTAACTTCAGTAAATTGGCTTAATGTCTCAAAATCTTATTTTTCCTCATTATAAAATGGTGATAATGCCACTTTCTTCAGTGGCTTACTGTAGGGACCTTACTGGACTGGAAAATCTCTTTTTGAAAAATTCATATAAATTTATGGGATACAAGTGGAATTTTGTTACATGTGTAATGGTCAAGTGAGGGCTTTGATGGTACCTATCATCTGAATAACATACATCATACCCATTATGTAATTTCTCATCATCCACTCCAACTTTCACCCCCTAACCCTTCCAAGTCTCATGGTCTATCATTCTACTTTCTACTGGACTAGAAAATCTAATTCCATCTTGAAAATATGTGATCCAGGGTTAGTCCTGTGATTGTTTAGAAAATGCCACCTTCCTGAACTGAATCACCTTGGAATACCTATATCCTTTTAAGAACCCTAAGAGTTGCCCTTCAAATCATCCCCATCCTGACAGCACTGAAAAACAGAAACAAATTTGCATTGACCAGTATTCATTCAATGCTTTGGTTCTTGACGACAGATTATGACTTCATGGAATAGCTTTTGCCAAAATGCACTTGGAGAATTTTGAAGTCCAAGTGTTACAATTCATCATGCCACTGTAAAATGACAGCTTAATCACATCAGAAGAATCTTTAATTAAAACAGGTTTCACTTAATTGTTTAAAATATACTCCATCAAGAAAAGTAGTTTTAAAGGGCAAAACATTTAATGTGTTAATGAGTTTTCCTACTTATCCTGACATTTGATATCTTCTGATGGCTTTTGATATGCCCATTTAGTTTTCCCTGCTAATCTTTAACACTCCCTTCCCTAGGGCAATCATTCATTCAACCATAAGCATCTGATCCTTGATCCCTGAACAGAACAGCAACATTTGTAATTTAAGTCAAGGCCATCACTTTGAATTCCCTGCAGCCACTTCTCTAGACTACAGGCTTCCTTCAAAGAATACCTCTTGTCTACCTCATGGCTTCTCATACCTACCTCTGTATTAATTTTATATGTCATTTCTTTTGCATCAACAATTAGGAATTTTTATAGGTACTTATCAGAATACTAGCTGTCTTGTTTTCTAAATTTAATTGCAAGACTTTAAAGCATGGGAGCTGAAATCTTAATGTCTCTTTATATGATGCCTGCAAGGATGTAATTAATATTTGCAAGGCATGATGACAATCATTAACACTACCACTAAAAAGAAGCAAGTCACCTGTAGCAACACAATCACCAAGTGAATAATTGTGAAAGAATATTAATGGCCTGACTACTTTATCGACCAAATATTCTGTCCTAATGATATTTCAAAATTTGGATCTTTTAAAGAGGCCTGCTGCTGCAGAAAGCATAGGTAAATTCTCTAATTTTCCTAACTTCAACTTCTAACTTTTCTGAATGAATGTCATCCTTGTTATCTCATTGACCCAATAAAGAATTCAAACCAAAGTTCCCAGAAATGTCTTTGTTAAAAGGTACTCTGTATACTTAAAAGGAATAGTAAACATTTTATATGATAAGAGTTGCCTTGCAGCAGCAACTCTCAAGGTTATTCTTCAGTGCTGAAATCTTGACTGGAATGATGACAATCAGAGGGTTTGCTAGTTCAGCTAAAAGCAGCTTCTGCTGCCCCACAGAAGCTCCTTGGGTCTTCTTAGCTTGTAGTTTATTGCTTTCTGAGTTCAAACATTTTTAAGCTGGAGAAATAACAGCTGAGATTTTTCAGGCACTCATGAGAGCTTTCTATTTTAATGCTGAGGCATTTGAAGGCCACTCAAGGGGTCCACCCATCCTTCTCCTCCCTAGAGGCAATGTCATAGATATGAGAGCCTGACAGTCCAGTCTCTAAGAACTACTGGGTGCATGGGGATGACCCACAGTGTTAATTAGGAGAGCAAAGTTTGGTGCATCACTCTGAAACCTCAATGGGGAGTAAGAGTTCCACTCCAGATGACTGATCATCAAATAAGAATTTGGAAGGGGTCAGAGCATCTGGAATTATCTCTGCAGATAATAGCTCTGTTTAGGAGCTGAGCCAGGGAGGAGAGAGAAGTCTGTCTTGCATAGTCTGGCAAGATTTGGAAACACTGGGCTTCTACAGATTCTTTATGCCTTACAAACTCATTATTATATTTCACTTAATAAATCTGCATTTGCTATTTTCTGTAAGTTTGCTTGAAAATTTTCCCTGATTTTGGTTTGCCTATTCAGCAGTTTTGTAGTCTCTACTTCCTAAGCACCTATATACCATTCTCATTTCCTTTCGTCTGCATCTGCAAAAGGTCTCTTTCTCAAATCCATATGGACACAAAGTCACCTCCTATCACTCTCTCAACTGCTCCCTTTACCAGAAAGGTGATCTGTATTTATTTTTCCCAAACAAATCTCATGTCTTTATGCCTCCTGCTTCTATTCCCTGAAGATCCCTTGAAGAGACTATACTCTCTAAAAAGCCATGCCAAACCAGATAAAACACATAGAAGAGAGATGATATTTCATGAAAATCGGAGTCAAGCAGACCTAGCTTGGCATCATGGCTCTGCTATTTACCATCTTTGTGAACTTGGACTAGTTACTCCTTAATTCTTCTGAAAAATGAAAATAACATCATCTGCTCCATGATGTGTGCTACTTTCCGTCTTCTATTCACAATGTCCCCAATGTCTTGGAGATAGTCCATATATCTTTTATCCTTTGCTAAAGAGATTCCTTCTTGAAACTTGAATTGACACCATTCCTTTCCTAGTATTCTTGCTCCAAACACTCAGACCTAGGCAGGGTTAACTCTTCTCTCTTTTTTTGTACCTCTGCTGCCCTGTTATTCTAGCACTCACTGTAATGTTACAATTTTTGATAAAATTAACTAGGACATAGGGAGAACTCCTATAACCCAGCAAACAGCACAAAGCAACTTACTATATTTCCTCATATTTGACAACACTAGTGTTATTCACAGGAGCTAGTCCTGTATTCCTTTTGTCCTCTTATCCCATATAGAGATATCATAGAGTATCAATGGATACTATATGTTAGAGAACAAATACTCCCTCAGCATGACAAATTGTTGTAATCTTATCTGCCCTTATAGATGCTGCTTCCCTCCTCTACTCAAAATGTCCCTAATGTCTTGGAGATATCCTATATATCCTTTACCCTCTGCTAAAGAAATTTCCTCTTGGAGAAATTTGAATTGACACTATTCAGCTCTGAGTGTTCCTACCCTAAACACTCAGACCTAGGCAGGGTTATCTCTTCCCCTCTCTTTTTGTGCCTCCACTGCCCTGTTATTCCAGCACTTACTGTACTGTATGATTATGTGTTTATGCGTCTGTCTCTGGTTTTAGTGGGAGACAGCAATTATTAATTATGTTGTCCCCAAAATATTTCACGGGGCCTGGCATGTAGTAAGTACTGAAAGTAGTTGTTGAATAATGAATGTACTTCTAAATAGTGTCCTCTGTAACTTTTCCAATATTCTACAACAATATCAATTTTCCTGGAGTTAGTTTTTGTGAAAAACAACAGATGAATATGATTTCCTAGGTATTGCATGTCATTAAAAAGTTTTCATTAGCCTCAGACCTCTAAATTTCCTTCACTGAATTCACCGTTAATACAGTTTTCAACTTGCAATATAAAACATAACTGCTCTTTAAGTGAAAACTTGTATTAAAGCCACTGGTAAATCTCAATTAAACACAATCATTTTTAATGGCTAATTGTGAATGACACCTGGAAACTTAGATAAATGGAAGAAATGAAATGGGAATTTTAACCTTCATAAGGAAATACAATTATACTTACAGTGAAGCAACAGGACTCAGCCATTAGGCATTCTTGAACTCAACAGTAATTTTCAAAACATAGATTGGAAAATTTAAAGACATTTCAAAGCTTTATGCTCTAAATTTTCTGTTATTTGTACAAGCAAATTTCACAGAGTTTGAAACTTCCCATGAAATGTCTTATACACTCAAGAAGCACCAAAAAAGATATGTTTGTTGAAGGGCAAAAATAGAGCATGAAGGATTCACCCACCTTAAATGTGACTTTCCAATAAGGTCATTGATAATATCTTTCTTCATTGAAACAGCCTCTTTACAATATGGAAGAAGTAACTTTCAGCAACCTGGTATTTGTCCTATGTCATTAAGAAATCTATTTTTAACTTAGAAGGTGGGCAATCACTAACTACATATTCACGTGAAATTATTCATTATTTCATATACACTTTTGGTCTCCACATACATTTTCCTTCATAGTTGATATCTCTCCTATAACCTCAGTTACACAAATAAGATAGCCCTGGATCACATGGTAATGAAGCAACAAGTTTGCACCTGGTAATAAACAAGACTTCCTTATATTTGAATTGCATTGTAGAATTCACTATATATTTCAGACACTCACAACCTCAGGGACCACCATAAAAAAAGAAAGAAAACACCAGGGCTGAGATCCTGGCTATCCACCAAGGCTGAGGTGGCTGAGACTTTCAAAACCCATCTGAGTTACATTTTCTTCTTTTGAAAATTAAATTTCTAAGAAAAAAAGAAATAGCATTTCTTACTGTGACTCTTTTTAAAGCAAAAGTGGAAAATTACTTTTTGATGGAGAACCAAAGCCCTTAGACGTATTAAGAAAACGTATTGGATGATATCCTCTGTGAGGTGACAGGCATTGTCATAATCAAAAAAATGATAACTCAGCAATCTTATGTATATTAACAGGAAGATGCACATCTTATATTTAGAGAATCTCATGACACTCAATATTAATTGAATGCAATTATTCTCCAAATATAGTCAGATTTTCAATTCCTCAGCCTACAACAGTTTTTGACTGTCACAACTGGGAGGGAGGTGTTACTGGCATTCAGTAGGTGGAGACCAGGGATGCTGCTAGATGTGCTACAAAACCCAGGGCAGGCTCCTACCACAAAGAATTACCTGGTTCGAAATAGTGCTGTGGCTAACAAATCTTTATTTAAGATTAATATGATAGTGCAGTGGAAAGATTACTGATTAGAAATCAAAGAAAGAGAATTCTAGTTTAAGTGAAATATGATGAGGTTTCTCACATACATAATGAAGATACTACCACATATGCTACCTAATTGATGGCGTTATGGTGAAAACTAAATAACATCATACATGTAAAATGATCCTGTAAACCAAATAAAGTATCAAAATGAATTGAAACACAGTGTGAATCCTTTGAGTTTAAGGAAACCAAGATAGAAATCTGATAATATTATCTGTGTAGGTGGTTTTCACATAGAATATGTAAAGATTTTAAGTAAGTTATTTAAACCCAATTACTTCTCATGCTTACTGAGGAGAAACCAAGGCAAAATGAGCTAAAATGAGAGAATAAGAGATATGAGTTAAAAAATATATAGATAAAAATAGGTATAGCCAAACACTAGAATTGGAAATTAATGGATACTGTCAAGTTTCCAATTATAGTTATTACTGTAAAATGTCGGCATGGTTGGGAGCTGTCTAAAATAACAAAGAGTGTGATTTGTGGAGAGAGATTGAAGTGACCTAAATGACCTCTGAAAGCTCCTTCCATACCTAAGACCTCCACTCAGACTTTATACCCCAAGATGAGCTGTCAACAGGCTTTGGTAGGTTGTCTTGTAGGATTCCAGACTTTGCCACATTCAGGAGCTCACTCTTTAATCAGTCAGCTCCTTTTGGTCTCCTCATGTCTCTTTTCTGGTGGTCAATTTCATCCTCAAATAATTTGCAAAAAAAAAAAAAAAAGAGAGAGGTAAAAAGCTCCTTTTTGTTATTGCTTCTTTCTTTATAAATCCTGATGCTGTAATGCTATTTAAAAATACATTTAGTAGGAAACTCAAAACCTTCTTCTTGCACCTCCCCTTTCTTGCTCCATAAAATTCCTATTGCAGTCTGAGCCATGACTAACACGTACAGTATGCTTGCAATGAAAATGGTTTTTTCCCCTACATGCCCTAACTCCAGATTTTCAATCTTATGACTCTACGCTTTGATTAAGACTTAGGTTGAAAGTAAGACTCTGTTGTCATCCCAGTCTCAGGTCCTTTGCCACTGAAGTCCTTGATTGGAAGATCTAACCTTACTGCATATTACAGTTCATTTCAGTGTGGAGAACCACAAATAGCTAATGCTACTAAAAGGGGAAAATGCACATGGTTAGAAGGGGGAGAACTAAATACAAATATAGTTAGCCACAAATGTGATTGTGTGTATCTGGGCAATAAGAGTCAGAGAACATTTGGCTCTTCCTTCAAAGTACAAAAATACATGTAAATATGAGAAGTGTTAAAAATAATATAGTTGGGGCACCACTGACCACAGTTGGAAAATTTCTGGGCGCATAAAATTAAGATAAATTATTTCCTCCCCATTTATTGGTGTTATATGAATCACCTTTGATTTGATCTTTTGAAATTGCTCTTCTATTATTCTGATTATAATATTCCCAGATTTTAGCCAATCCAATGTTAAAAGTTCACTCTCTCACCTCTATATCAATTATTTCCTTTTTTTTTTTTTTTTTTTTTTTTGCTGTTTTACTTTTCCCTCCCTCCTCCTAATGGAAACCAATTAGAATAATGAGGGCAAAAGGTTATATATACATCTGGTCCCTGCATTTAACATCCTGATTTATCTTTTATGCTTTGTTGAGAACAATGGTGAAAGGTGGGCAAGGATACCCCCTTGCATATATTGTCAATGAAAATTTTTTTTAAAGGCATCCTGCATTTTCACAATTTTCACATATGTGACATCTGAAATAACTCAGACATGGCAACATTAAGGAAAGCATTGCTTCTTAGTTTCATGTTTAATTGTCAGAGCCAGGAAAGAAGGAGGTGAAGAAAGAAGGCAGGACTTGTATGGGCTGACGCTTTAAGGGACTAAGCTGGGGCAGGCATGGCTTTCATTATATTTAAGTGAATTAGTCTGTTTCCTTTAAACAGGAGAGATTAACAAGCTACCAAGGGCCTGCTGTGGGATTCTGACACTTTTAGTGGCTTGTGACATATGATTTGTGAATATCAATTTGCCTTCAAAAGCAAAAAAGCAAATCTTCCATTAGTACAAGGTTCGCCAAAAGCTGATTCTAGGTTAGTTTGGTTGAAATTCATTGGAAAAAGCGTTTGCTAAGATGGGGATTTTATTTGATAGTGTCTGGATAATTTTTAATTTATACTTTAGACTTAAAAATGGCTACATATAGATGTGGGAGTTTAATATGAATACTTTCTTTAATAAAGATAATATTTCAAGTTCTGAACTTGGGAACTATGGGAAGATTAAATAAAGAAGAAAATAAATGTCAGCAACCCTAAGTTAACTTCTCTTAAAATTTTGCTTTCTTTGTAAAAGAGTATGTCTTCAGGCAGTTTGGCATCAAGACAAATATTTCTCAAACTGCAAGAAAATAAAATAAATAGTGTTCCTCATATGTGAGAAGGTTAAAAATCTTTGATATTAAACAAATAACAAAAGAAATTTCAAACTGAAAGAACTGATAGAAAATGAATTCACACTATAAAAGTATTTTTTAAATGTTTCCATTTATCATCCTTTGAAAAGTAACTACTGAAAAAAATCCATTTTTTTCATCTGTTTCTTTTTTAGCCATCAGGAGTTTCAAAATAAAAGTGGTCAGGAGCCAGACTTTTTTAACTGCAGGTAAACATTTGTAGATGGCAAGAAGAGATCTTTTTTTGTTCTTTATGTAGGCAAACTTTGTCAAGAAAGCACAGAATACTCTATGGAAGTTTCCTCTAGCTATAAAGTTTAATTTGCTGATGTAGCATAGTGACTAATTTGCCTCTGTCTAATTGAAGGATTTCAAATTAGACTAGTTGCATCTTATCAAAGGGCACAATAGCTTAGTGATTAAGTGCACAGGAACTGAAGCCATACTACCTGGGTTCAAATCCTAGTCTCATCAATTATTAACTACTCAGTGAAGTTACTCGGCTTCTCAGTAGCTTCAAATTTTCCCATCAGTACAATAGGATAACCTAGTATCCACACTCTAGGATTGTTTTGAGCATTAAGTGAGTGTACATATAAAGTACATAGGCCTAAGCATTCAATATCATTAGTTATTATTATTTTCTCCTATTCTAAAAACAGAACTGAAACAATATCTAAAACCAGGAGCTAGATATCAGTAGTTAAGACCATTCACCCAGTTTGCATTAATCATTCAATGCTGCCTAAGAAAATTTTGTATGCTGTTTTTTTTTTTTTTAAGTCTATCTGTTTTTTAAATGTAATGTGCTAATACACAAAGTAATTTAAAAAAAACACAGTGGCACATAAAGAACACATATGTTGATTAAAACTGAATTGCCTCAAAACCTTGCCCAAGATCAACATAGGGAAACAAGGATTTTTTTATAGTTAATGTAACAGACTATAAAAATATGACTTTAATAACAACCTATTCCAAATTCTAATTTTTCCCTTTCTAGTCCCCAGTCTGCTTCTTCACAAAATGTCAATGTTACTAATTTAAAATTTTACTAATTCAATCAGAGTGCCAGTCACTAATAAGGACATGAGAGGGTAGGATGGTCTAGGACTGAGGCAATATATTTCTATTCTATCTATAATCATAGTCACTAATAGGGGAAAATATATAATAAGACAATTGATGGATGGCATTTTTCAATGAGTAAAATTGGAAGTATGCAATTCAGATTCTTTAATAATAATTTGATGCCTTCTTTGGAGCACAAAACATTAGGAAAAAGATGTCTTTGGCTAAGTGCCTCATACAACATAGCACCGCATATAACAAATAATTTCAAACCTCCACACCTCCATGAAGTCTTTTGGGACTGTGAAAAACCCAACCACACTACTTTAGGTTGTTCAGTACAATAATCATCTCAGACTAATTAGTTATGGCCATTGTCAGTGGTTACATACTGCTAAATTCAGCTGAAACTATAGGTCAAGCTTATTAAATGACTTTGAAGCCTTTGATATGAAGAAAAAATATTTTTAAAAATCTGTACAGAAGAAAAATGCGTCAGTGTGTATTGTGCTGTCAATTTTTTTGTTGTTTTGTTTTTTTGAGACAGGGTCTCACTCTTGCCCAGGCTAGGGTTCAGTGGCACCATCAGGGCTCACTGCAGCCTCATCCTAAGTGAAAGGGATCCTCCCGCCTCAGACTCTCGAGTAGCTAGGACTACCAGCAAGCACCATCATGATTGGCTAATTTTTTTTTATTTTTTGTAGAGATGAGGTCTCCTTATGTTGTCCAGACTGATCTCAAATTCCTGGGCTGAAGCAATCCTCCTGCTTTGGTCTTCCAAAGTGTTGAGATTACAGGTATGGGCCACTGCTTCCAGCCCATGTGGTCAATTCTTTATTAATATTTTCATATTCATGTTTCCTATGACTTTACAGGAGATATTCCATGAATTATATGGAATATGAATCTGGTATTATGTGTATTTTGTAGGTATAAAGAAATGTCACTTACATAGACATGAGCCTATAATTTGTATACTCATGAAACACCCAAGGTGGACAGAGTCACAGCTTTGACTGTAGTCCCAGTTCACTCGTCTGAGAAAAGGTCATCTACAGGAACTGAAACTCAAATAATCTCCACAGCTGAAGGAAAGAATTTCTCACAATAGAGGACTTTTTTCTCAATAAACCATAAGACATTAAAGAACTCTTTGAGTTCAAAAGATGGTTCCTGAGGAAACTATAGAATCTCGTCAATATTCCTTCTTCATGTTTCCAGTTTTGGAGGCTGGGCTGCAAATTCAAGTGATCACTTTGAGGGCTAGGTTCCCGCCAACACTCTTGGGGTTAGACGCACATACGCATAAATTCCTGTGGCTTAAAAAAGAAGAAGGGAAGAGCTCTCAATCCCTAAAAGTTTGTTTACACGACTGTCATTTGGTGTAGCATCCCCAGCTCTTCCTCATAAATAGCAGTGGCGGAGCACTCTGACATGGTGAGAAAACAGCCAGCTTTTGATGAATATCATATCTTCTCTTCCCTCCCTCCAGCTTTAGCACACACGCACTCAGACACTTACAAGAGTGAGCTGAAAACTGACCTAATCTCAGATTTATCAGAAAATCTCTTTCACCAAACAGGGAGCATTTAAACTTAAGCATGTGTTTTAACTTACTTTAAAAATTACCCCCTTTTTATAGAATATACTGGAACTTTCTCCCTTTCCAGAATATGTGCAAAAATACAAAATGTGCAAACCTGGAATATGTGTATGAAATTCATTCTGCCAAATTTTTCAGATTATCTCAAGCTCAAAAGACCTTTGTCCTTTCCTCCCATCACCTCTACACTTAATTTAGTGTTACTCTTAATTTTATTGTTTTTTAGAGATTATTAAAGTTCAGATTTCTATGTGTGAACATATTTGCCCCCCTCCTCCACCGCCAACTGTGTGCAGTGCATCTAGAATGAGACTTTTATAATTTTCATTTTGAGCAAGCACACTAGTTCATTCTGAGCATGTGGTCCATAGACCCAAGTTTGAGAAATATCTATTACTGCCTGTTATTACTACCTATTTCCAATCTGGCTTTCCTCTCCTTCTCCAAGCCTGTTTTCTAAATGCTCATTAGAAAGAATCTTCTTATAAAGAGAAATAGGTAGGGTATGGATCTCAAATCAGAATGCACAACTCTTATCTGTGGGCATTCTATCTCTAAGAAAGTTTCAGAAACCTCCTGGGGATTGGAATGAACATATGCATTTATTTGCCTAGTCTCAGATAATATAAGTAAAAATCCTTGAATGGCACTGGGGTTGGTAGAATTGATCCTCATGTGCTCTTTGTGCTCAAGGTAATCCTGGGTCACATTTCTTATCTCGTTCCCTTGCACTGGAGCCCCATTCCTAATTGCACCACCTTTCCCAATATCACAACCATCATCTCTCTTCTCAAATTACTATAGTCCCAGCACTCAGTAGACAAAGAGTGTTGAGGAGAAAAAGAAGTAAGCTCCATAACACTCTAAATTAGCAGCTGTTTCAGTCAGCCTCAGCTCCATAAAAGCTCCATTACCCTAAGACTTGACAACAAAACATTTGTCTGCTGTCTCTAACTTCATAGCCCCTATTACTATGAGAGAAACAAATTTTCTGTAAGAGGAAATGCCAGTTTTAGAATCTTATTTTTTTCCAAGCCATAAAAATTCAAGTGATGTAAACAAAGATGTTAATAAATTTTAGGAGAGTTGTACTATGTATTATGGAAACATTTTGAGATGTGAGAGGCTTAAAGGTAGGATGTTAAAGGAAATCTACACATAGTGAGAGAAGATAGATGATAAAAGATGTTAGTTTCAAAGAGTAAATACACAGTAATGTCAACATAAATGTTGAAAAATCCTTCAGAATGTACCAGTTACTGAAATTTAATTACATTTGCTATGGTTTGAATATTTGTCCCCTCCAAAATTCATTTTGAAATTTAATCCCCAGTATGGCACCAGGAACCAAAAGGTG
This sequence comes from Homo sapiens, assembly GCF_000001405.40. Taxonomy (NCBI): domain Eukaryota; kingdom Metazoa; phylum Chordata; class Mammalia; order Primates; family Hominidae; genus Homo; species Homo sapiens. The sequence continues at coordinate 44,371,109 of NC_000005.10, forward strand.
ATTGGTTCATGAATGCTCTGCCCTCATGATTGGATTAATTCATTGATGGATTAATTGATTAATGGATTATAATGGGAGTAGAACTGGCGGCTTTATAAGAAGAGAAAGAGGAACCTGAACTACCACACTCAGCCCCTTTGATGTGTGATGTTCTCTGCTGCCACGGTGCCCTGCAGAAAGTCCACAGTAGCAAGAATACCCTCAACAGATGCGGCTCCATGACTTTGGACTTCTCAGACTTCAGAAGTATAAGAAACAAACTTTGTTTCTTATAAATTGCCCAGTTTCAGGTAGTCTCTTACAAGCAACAGAAAATGAACTAAGGCAACACTAATTACCCATTTTTAAAAATTGGTCTTCTCTCACCTTTAAATATAAAGGGGCTTCTTTAAATAGGAAAGGTTCCCATTGGTTTAGCGCCTATCTTCAGAAAAGGGGCTTTTGGGCCAGGTTAATGGAAACCCTTTAATCAAGTCAGATTGAATGTATCGCCCAAAGGAAAAACAGGCTACTTTTATGGATAGGTTCTGTATCAAACAACCAAAGCCCTTTGCTTTTGTAGTGCCTAGCAGTCAAGGTATTGTAAGCAAATAAACTATATTTTAAAATAACGTTTTAAAAGCATATAGTCAACTAAATTTGTTATCCCTTTAGATTCAACTAAAATTTGAGGTTCCATTATAAGCCTGATACTTTCCTAGATACTTTTCATAGATTATTTCATTTAATCCTCATAGACGGAATGAGAAAACAAAAGTTTAGAGACATTTCTGACTCACACCATTCGTTAAGAGGTTAGAACTTACATCTATTTGAGTCCATGCTTAGTACTATCTACCACAAGATAGTGCTTTGTTTTTGTCAAATTATCCTTAATTTGGGCTGCACAAAGTTGTCTTAGATTCCTGTATTACTTTTCTAGGGCCGATATAACAAATTACTACAAAGTTGATGGCTTAAAGCAACGGAAATTTATTCTCTCACAGTTCTGGAGGCCAGAACTCTAATATCTGTTTCCCTCGGCTGAAATTAAGGTGTTGGCAGGGCTGTATTCCATCTAGAAGCTCTCCAGGGGACAGCGTCCATTGCCTGCCTCTTTCAGCTTCTGGTGCCACATTCCTTGGCCACATTCCTTGGCTCATGGCCTTACCACTATGTTGAAAGCCAACAGTGTAGCATCTTCAAATCTCTGCTTCCATCCTCAAATCATCTTCTGCCTTCTGTGTGTACATCTAATCTCCCTCTGCTTCTCTCTTATAAGGACATTTGTCATGGTATATGAGGCCCACTTGAATAATCCAGGATAATCTCCTCATCTCAAAATCCTTAATTTAATCACATCTGCAAAACTTTACCATATAAGGTAATAGTCACACATTCCAGGGATTACAGCCTGATATTTTTGGGTGGCCATTATTCAGCCTTCTGTATCCTACCTAAATTAAAGCCCAAAATCTCATTTAAGTAACAGCAGCTCAAAAATCTCAAATTGTGTAATGTAAATAATGGAATTCAGATATGGATAAGACTCTGGGTATGATCTATCCTGGGCAAAATTATTCTCCATTACTGAGTCCATAAAACTAGAAAAAAAGTTATCAGTTCCTAAAATGCAATGGTAGAACAAGCGTAGTATAACAGTTATAAACATTCTTATTCCAAAAGGAGAAAAATGTAAAGAAGAAAGAAGTCACTGGTCCCAAGCAATTTCAAAATCCAGCAGGGTAAACTCCACTAGGTTTCAAGGCCTGGGAATCAGCCTCTGTGACTTGAGGGTCCTGCCTCAGGGCACATGGCTAGAGTCTCTGCTTCTATGCCTCTGCACTTCCTTTGTACCCAAGGCTCTGCACTCATGGTGATCCTTTTTCTTTAAAGCTATCATGTGTTTGCAGCTGAATAGTTTTATCAACTTGCCTGTAGAATTTTGGGAGTCTGACAGCCTTCCTTCAACTTGCTCTGTCTTTGTCTATTTTAGTTCCAGCTGGCAGTGTTTCTGCTGATACAACATTCTCAAAAACTCTGTGGTCCTCCCATGTATGTCACAGGGATTCATGCCATGAGAGGGTTCTCTACAAATCTTTCCTAGGTAACCTCATCTCTATTCCTGACTTCTGCTGAGGTGGCTGAGGGAATCCATCCATCACATGTTTCATTTCTTCAGCACTATCATAAGGTTGTCTAGTCGTACCCTTAGCCTTCTCTTCAGAGCATGCTTTCCTAACAGTGAATCTCCCAACTTAGCATCTTTTGCAATCTGGATAGGCTGAGAATTTCCCAAATCATCAAGTGCTATTTTGATTCTGCTTAACAGTTCTTTTTTCACTTTATCTCCTTCTTTTTGCATTTTACTATAAACAGGAAGAAGAAACCAGGCTGATCCTTCAACACTTTGCTTGGAAATTTCCTCAGCTAAATATCCAAATTCATCACTTACACGTTCTGTTTTTCATACAACGTAGAACACAGTTCAGCTACATTTCTGTAGCTGAAAGGATTGCCTTTCTTCTAGTTTTCAATAACATATTCTTAATTTCCTTCTGAGCCCTCAAAAAAAGCACTGTTAATATTAATATGTCCACCAGCTTTCTGTTTATGATGTTATATGTATTCTCTAAATGAGGTAGGCATTCTCTACTGTGCCTCACACCTCCTCCTAAATCCTCACCTTAGCACCTTTTATCCTCATATTTCTAACAGAAGTCTGTTTAAAGAAATCCAGGTTTCTTTATCATGTGCTTCAAAATCCATCCAGCTTATGTCCACTGTCCACGTCCCAAGCCACTTTCACATTTTTAGGTTGAGTTACAGCAGGACCCTGCTCTAAGTACCATATCTGTATTGGTTTCTTATGGCTTCTGCAACAAATTACCACAAAGTTGGTGTCTTAGACTAATATAAATCTATTCTCTCAATGTTCTGGGGACTAGAAATCCAATATCAATTTTTCTGGGCCTAGAGCAAGGTGTCAGCAGGGCCAAACTCCTCTGTAGGTTCTAGGGAGACAATCTGTTCCTTTCCTCTTCCAGTCTCCTTGGCTCATGACTCCTTTGTCCATCTTCAAAGACAACAACATTGTATCTTTAAATCTTTCTGTTTCCATTTTCAAAATGCCTTCTGCCTTCTGTGCTTCTACGTATGTCTAATCTCCTTGTGTCTCTCTTATAAGGGCACTTGTGATGGCATTAAGGGCCTACCTGGACAATGACAATAATCTCCTCATTTCAAGATCCTTAACTTGATCACATTTGCAAAAACTTTACAAATACAGTAACATTCACAGGTTCCAGGATTAGAACCTGATGTCTTTGGGTGCTCATTATTCAGCATAATATAGCTTTATTTCCTAATATAGGTACACTCCAGGAATCTGGTCCTTAGTCTGTGAAATAAATATACTAAACTAAAATATTTTAATAATAATGTAGTTCAATACACTCATATTATAGATTAAGTCTCTGAGGCCAAGATAAAGTAAATGACCTGCTTAAGATCCACAGTAAATGTTTTGACACAGACAAGACCACTCCCTTTACTCCCACTCTTTACAGCACTTTATTCTTCCTCTCTAAAATAATTACTAAGAATTGCTCATTTTTTAATAACCACCAAATTATCCAAGAATCCATAAACACAACTCTGAAACTAGAAATAACTGTCTCATAGTCAGCAGGAATTTTAAAGGGGATAAAGTAATTTTTAATCCCCACTGAATGTTATCAGTAGTAACCTTAGGAAAAGTAGAGAAACATGAAAAATGATTCACTTCATGATTACACATTTTTTTAATTCAGAAATTTTAATGAATTTAAGTACTTAACAGTCTCTTAAATAATGATAGCCCTACTAACTTATTTTTCAGGTTCTCAGAATTGTAGAACTTAGAACTAAGTGAAATTTTAAGAGCTAATTTACTTCAACCATCATTTTAGGTAGGTAGCATATTAATCACCTTTCCAGACCAGGTGACTGAACTTTGAGAGTCTAAGTAAGTTGACCAAGATCATATGGTTAAAAGCAGTTATTTACCTAATAATATATAGAAAGAGGACTTATTATATGCCAAATACTATCTTAAGTGCATGCATGTAAAAGTCAGTGAGGTGTGGTTCTCACTCTCAACAAGTTTTCTGTTTATGAGGAAACTAGATGGGTAAACAGTCAACTAATCAAGTGTGGTATTGCATTATAATGCTAGGTATATGGTTTTTGGAAGCACAGGTTTTGAGAGGACAGCAGGAAGGTTTCCCAGAGATGACATCTAAGTGAAATTTGAAAAGAAGAAGAGCTGGGAAAGAGGGCAGGGACATCATTCCAGGCCGACCTAGCAGTGTCTGGCAAGGCTGAACAGGAAGGGACAAGGCAGGTTCTAGAACTGAAATCAACATAAAATAGCTATAATGGGCACTGTAGTAACAAACGAGGCCAGGGAGTTGGTAGGGAGTAAATCATGAGGGTCTTATATGACATGTGAAGGAATATAGAGATTACATGATATTATATGACATATGACATGGGATGTGATGGAATGTAGTAGTATCTAAGAGGGAACTAGCTTGTGTGGATTTGTGCCTTACATAGACCACACTGATTAAGACTAGGATGGTCTTGTGATAGTACACTGAGACTGAACAGGTGTTAATAATAAAATGCCAGAACAAGAGACATTTACTGGGACTGTCCCAGGCAAGCAAAGATAGAAGATCACCATCACTAAGACTGGCCTAGGTTTTATCCTCAATTATGTTAACTCTATAATGTCAGTCTGGCACAATAACTTTTAGGCCTAATTTTCTCATCTAAACATAGTATGGGTATAACAACGATGATCTTACCCATATTACAAAATTTTTTTGAGAATCAATTGATGAAAGCATTAATCTGCTGAAGTTTTTATTATTCAATGATTTAGGGAATTTTTCACATAATGGAATAATTAGTAACAACACAAGCAGTCATGGCATAAAAGAGTAATGAGAACTAACATTGTCAAACTCTTACATGGTGTTAGGTCCTATATTTAATACAACTTTACATTTATAGTATCATTTGTAAATTTATGACTCATTCTTCCAACAGTGGTGAGGTTGGTTTATCTAAACTTAAAAGATGCAGAGACCAAGACCCAGGGAGTAACTTGGCTACGATCACACAACTATGAAGTTTTATAAATAACCCAGATTCTACACCAAGAAGTCTGACTCAAGAGCTCATAGTGTCAGTAGGGGGGTGTAGTCGTATATATGCTGTCTGTATGTTTCTCCTAGTTTGTTTAAAAAACACTTACATGTACTCCTTTTCCAGAAAAAGAAGTTTAGCATACTTTGTTTCTTTTTCTGATTATCTAAACCAAGTAAATCTAAGACAAGTTAGAATACAAATGCCAAAAAAAAAAAAAAAAAAAAAAAAAAACAAAAAACCCACAACTAGAGCAAGAAATACTGATGCTTCAGGTGTTCCTTTTGGGGATTTGCTGGAAATTACAAAACCTCTTCACAGTGAAATATACATATTAAGAACTTTTGAAGTTCCAAGTATTTTAAATTGTAAAATAATGATCATTTGGCAAATCAGAAATATGAAGAATAATGTCATTTTAGTGAAGAGCAGAAGAACTCTTCTTTTCCATGTCCCTAGTATAAAATTAGTTCTTTTTTCTTTTGATTAAGCTACAATTTCTTGCTACTTACTATATTTAGATTGTCAATTATAATATAGATAATACTCTTTTGAAATATTCTTCCACTTTCTTTCTTTTTTTACTTCAAAAAGTAAAAATGAAAAAAAAAAGTAAAGGGCAAGTTTAAATAAAAATCATGTCAATGTAATATTTTGCCAGAAAGTTTAGATCCGCAAATGTAAGGATACATTTACAGACTTCCCTCTCACATGATACCACCTTCTACTGTACTTTGCTTTGTCTGTCAGAAGATGCCCACCTGCATGCAAACTTTGTTTCCTCCCTGTGATTTCCTGAAAACTTCATGTTTGACTCTGCACCCACACACTTATGTGCCTTCGTTTAGAATATTCTTCCTTCTCTTGTTTTATCTCTGTCTAGCTGGAGTCCCTTATCCTCAGTGTGACCTCCTGATGTCATGCATCTCTCCCTCAGTTAGAGACTGCTGTTTACTTAAATTCTGCCCTGCTTCTTGGCATTGAGTAGAAACTGCCTTATATGCTCTTCCAACTCCCTGTGATGATCTCCTCTTTCTACTTCTAGACTACAAATGCTTTAAGGGTATGAGCCAAAAAGGTCACAGTAATAGGATGAGAAACAAAAAACAACTACCAAGTTTAATAAGAACTAAGTATCTGTGATAATGCTGTCTCGAAACTGTAAGTTGAAATATAAGACTTATTCTGAAATATTTAAAAATTAAGAATTACTTTTCTTTGTTGCCTTTTATTCTATAGTCATCAAATCTCCACGGTTACCTATTTCGCTATTCTTTTTTTCTTTCTTTTAACCTTTTACAGCTTGTGTCCTTGAAAATATTCATCTTCTATTCTTTATTTTAAGCACCTTGTTCTCTCCTCAAGTTACCTTCAGTTTTCAAATACAGGTTGAGTATCCTTTATCTGAAATGCTTGGGATCAGAAAGGTTTCAGATTTTGGAATTTTCAGTTTTTGAAATATTTGCATATACATAATGTGATATCTTGGGGATGGGACCCAAGTCTAAACACAAAACTAATTTGTGGTTTACATACACACAGCCTGGAAGTAATTTTTTAAAATATTTTAAATCATTTTGTTCATGAAACAAAGTCCATATACATTGAACCATCAGAAAGCAAAGATGTCACTATCTTAGCCGTTGATGTAGGTAATCTGTGGTTGTTTGGCATCACCATCATTCCTGACTCTGAATTTAAATGCTACTGATAAGCAATCATTTTCTTACACTTATTCATACATAAGTACTTAAGAGTAAACAACATGACATACCACTATTACAGTGAAAAAATCATGTGTTGGGGGTAACTAGGCAGCACAGTAGCATCACCAGAATACCTGTATCAGCTGTTAAGCAACAGCAGCTGAAGGGGGATGGGAGGGTCTTTTTTCCCCTTGGGGATGCTGAATAAACTGTGCCCCTGTGTTTGGACTGTGATCTGTTATATGAGGACAGGTTTGGAATTTTCTACTTGTGGCATCATGTTGGCACTCAAAAAGTTTTGGACTTTGGAGCATTTTGGATTTGAGAATTTTGGATTAGAAGTGCTCAATCTGTTTCTTCTACCAATTTCTTAAAGAACCAGGCCTCTAACTTTTTCCCCAAAACTTCAGAACAGTATGAATATTACAATTCCAAATCAAATTTCAGGTAGTTCTATTTTGAGACAGAGTCTCGCTCTGTCGCCCAGGCTGGAGTGCTGTGGCACAATCTCGGCTCAGTGCAAGCTCTGCCTCCCGGGTTCACACCATTCTCCTGCCTCAGCCTCCCCAGTAGCTGGGACCACAGGCGCCCGCCACCGCGCCCGGCTAATTTTTTGTATTTTTAGTAGAGACGGGGTTTCACCGTGTTAGCCAGGATGGTCTTGATCTCCTGACCTCATGATCTGCCCTCCTCGGCCTCCAAAAGTGCTGGGATTACAGGGTCAGCCACTGCGCCTGGCCGATATTTCCCTTTTTAAACAAAAACCAAGTATATTTCTCCTTCCTGCCTCTTTCCTCAATTCCAGCATTGTTAATTTCCACTTCATCGAATAATATAATTGTTGCTTTCCTGATGTTTCCCCTTGAAATAAGAGGAAGCATCGTATTTACTTTTTCTTCATATAGTATCCTTTTGATTAAGGCTTATGATGTGACAGGCACCATTAAGCTGTGTGTGTGTCAATTCAGATTTCAAACTTCTGCCACATCCAGCCTCAATGTGCCTTCTCTGTACTTCTTGAATGAGGCACCAAACTCTCCCTTTGCAGTTCCCTTCTCACCTCTTCAAAAGGCTTCTCTAGCAGTGCTCTTTGGGGTAGTTCCCTTCTCACCTCTTCAAAAGGCTTCTCTAGCAGTGCTCTTTGGGGTAGTTCCCAGTTGTTTTCTATTAAAACACTGTACTTGTGTCATTGATAACACTCACTTCAATTTTTCATCATATCACCTCTTGGTTAACGTTTTTGACATTATCTGTGGAGAGTGTAAGCTCTATGAGAGCAGAAAGACCAACTTTTTTCAACAATGCATTTATTCGTGCCTCACACACTATCTGACACAAAGCAAGCACTCAAATTTCAGATGAATGAATCAATGAATGAATATACGATCTCATTTCATCTTTACCATGTAGTAAAAAGGTAGGTATTGTTAATATCCTTGTTTTACTGATGACAACTTGCCCAAAGTTATCAACTCTTACCTCGCAGTTTGCCTACAGGTCTGCGGCTTCAAAGCCTGCTTTCACTCCGGGACTATACTTTTTATCCCTTTGAATCAAAGCCCATACTTTTAATCACTCTATCATACCTCCTCTTTAGCAGGAACTGGGACTTAGCTTTCCTTACTTTGATAGCCTGGCTGCGATGACTTCTGTGGGACTTCTCTTAGATCATAGGTTCTCATTTCAGTTAATTTAACATCCAGTTGAATGCCAGGGCTTGGGTTATATTTCCCTCACACCTTTCTTGTCATGTCAGCCCTTTCGCAGTGCTACTCATTAGCTTGATCTCTTTCCTGAGAGTTCAAAACCCTTGTCTTCATCACTCCAGCAAAGCATCTCCTCCTCCTTTCACAGTATGTGTCTAAACACTCTAGGGCCTCTTCTCTTTTTCTACTTTTCCCTCTGGCTTCTAAAAAATTTCATTATGTGATCTTTACCGTCTCTCTTGCTTCCTGGACGTCAGCATATTTGAGCTCTAAAACACTATTTTTGTTCATCAAGTTTTTATACTATAATGTGATTAACATCACTAGCACTTTTCTTTAATACTTGTGGAATCATATCCTTCTGCAGAGATATTCCCAAAAAATGACACCCAAAATCTGGTAATTACTGCTATGAATACCATTATAAAGGTATCTTACTTTAGACTATCAATAGTATGTAAATCAGTGTCCATATGTTACCATTTACCCCATGTTACAGAATATTAATTCTTCTTTTAATAATTCTATCAGTAAATTAAAGTTACTTAAAATTTGGAAACAATTGTAAAAACAAGCTTGACTTTTATTATTATTAAAACATAAATTTAACATATGTCAATAGTCAGATTCTGCATATGATAGACTTAAATCTAATTCATCAATCAGTGCCAAAAAATTCTTAGAAGTATATGAAAACACTTATGGAATTAATTCAGATTCTAACTCCTGTTGGTGTTTCAAAAATTCCTAGTAAAGGCATACGTATTTCTATATTTGTTTCACCTGACATACATATACCTATTTTACATTGTTTCCTGATTTAAAAAGTTTTATTGAGAACCTAGGTTTTATTTTTAAAAGCCACATATATTTGACAGGGGTACACAGAGAAGCTTGATAATCTAAGTGCCATTCTGGAAGTTGGGAATATCAAAGACCTCCAAATCAGCATTCATCTTTTTTAAAATAAATGAAAACTAAAGTAGAAAAATATAAGTGTTCAGGCTGGGTATGGTGGCTCACACCCGTAATCCCAGCCCTTTGGGTGGCCGAGGCTGGAGGATTGCTTGAGCCCAGGAATTTGAGACAAGCCTGGGCAACATAGTGAGACCCTGTCTCTACAAAACGAACAAACAAAAATCAGCAAATTATCCAGGCAGGGTGGTACATGCCTGCAGTTCCAACTGCTTGGGAGGATCGCCTGAGCCCAGCAGGTTGAGGCTACAGTAAGCTGTGATCATGAGTGAGACCCTGTCTTCAAAATCATCTTCACTTTCTTTCTTTCATGGTAGCCCAGACAAAGGCAAAAATGTGAGAAAAATGGCAAAGTAGCTAGTAAGTGTTATGTATGCAAATAATTTAAAAGAAAATAGGAAAAGCAGGAAGAGTTATTGGGAGCAAAAATTTAACTTGGAGGAAAAATGCAGAATGATGATCTAGTAATGGGATAATCAGCACTCTGAAGGGGGCTTATCAGTGGTTTGTCCACTTCACTTACAGCAGAGCTTAAAAGAAATTGACCTGGAATGCTGGGATAAGAAGGAATTCACTGCAGAATCGAAATGAGAAGACGGTCCTGATGGAGTATATTGAATTTACACCATTGAAGATTTTTATGCAAAATAAAAACAAAACTATCAGCTTTAGATGCTACGCATCTGAAAATGTCTAGGCCTCTGGCCCTGAATGTCACCTTGGGTGCCAAGTAATACTAATGAATGACTTTCCCTGGGCTTAAAGGTATGTAGCCAGTTCAGAAACCAGATAAAAGTAATAAAAAAAAAAACACACACAAAACCAAGAAGGTGAAAATAATGGAGTGAGGAAGGGACGATAAACTATTAGGGATTTACAATGGCTCAGAAGCAGGGTTGTCACAGACTAACTCAAAACAAAGCTATTAGAAAGAAGTCAATGAGCCTTGAATTGTAAAGACTCTATGAACATGTCAAGTTGTCCTCAACACAGGAGCAAAAAAGGTTAAGGATGAAATAACATGTCTGCTTATCAGTAAAGCATGTTAACACAAGGTCCTTGAAGAAAAGTAATAATAATTACAGAAAAACATTAAAAATACCTTTTTAAAAAAGTTCTAAATCTTGCAGCAATCCCACACTATTCAGAATTAGATGGAATTTAACCCACCCTATTCAGAATTAGGTTCTAGTTGTGGTGCAATTATTAGGTTTAGTTGACAATTCTTTGAAATTTGGGGTATATCAAGTTAATCAATACTTTGCCTTCTATTAGGGTTAGATGATTCCTTAAGAGCTCAATGACATCATTCTTTGCAGGAAGCATGCCAAAACTTTGAAAATTATTCATTAATAATGCACATACTGACAGAATGGGTATAGGTAAAGGTGGACAGGTTTAGGTTGAAGAATTATTAGGTGAACTATAAAATAAGGCAATGCTTTACTGCCAGCACTATGAATCTATCAGATAGTAATTGGATGCACGTGTTAGCGGCAGTAAAAAGTCACTGTCCAGTTGTCCACCTTACATGGGAATCTACTCTGAGTGTCTTCTTTGATGTATTGTGCCAATTAGAACACAGCGTTCAAAGAAAGAACACAATTGATCTGATTTAAAAGGAAGGGAGCCTTTAAGGTCATTATTTTGTGGGTGACCTGGCTCCCTTTTAGATGTCTTGAAACTTTCTATTTGTGTAAAATCTATACAAATTAAGTACTGGGTTTTAAACTGATTCTGTAAAACATCAACATTTTGTATTCATTAATTCAGTATCAGAGTGTCACTAGTGGCTTTCCAAGATGCAGGTATATTTCCTTTCGCAAATTTTAAAAGTACATTTCTAAGCTATTCTTTGTTGTACTGACTGACTGACACAGATAAAGGTAACATGCACTGAGAAGAAAGAGTGCCGATTACAAAATAATGTTTTAAATCTGTGAAACAAAGTAATAAACACCCTTGGTCAAATGTCAAATGTAAATTATCTTAGATCATTGCAATATACCATGAAAGATTTAAATCCTTCTGCATAAATGACTTGAGACAAAATGAAGTTGATTACTTGTCTATATTGTGATAAAACTGTATTAAAATTACATAAACATGAATTGTATATTCCATCTTACTGTAAAATAAAATAGATTTATAATTTCTGGAAGGAAAATTCTAATATTTTACTTATATTAAGCAAACATCAACTATAAATGTTGACAGATGTTGGAACAGTAATACTAAAAATGTCATCTGAATTACTCTTCATTGCAAAGTTCACAGAATTAATGTTAAGATAGATTAAAATCACTTTGAACTAATACACATATATTACTCTTCTTTCTGAAGCATAATAAAGAAATATCATTTGCACTACAATGTCAGATAAGCATACAGACATTAAGGCTTAGGAAAGATGTAGTTATTCACAGGCAGCTCATAAATGGGAGGAACATTAGTTCCATTTCAAATGAGCTGTCAACTTTTTTTCAACATTTTGGCTTGTGGAAAGTTAGACATTTGGATAATAAATGGGGTTTGCTTCTGGACATTAAAGTAATTGTATAGAAATTTAAAGTGTTCATTCATGTTCTACTATCAGTTCTTTAAATTCTAAAGAAATGCACTGGAATAAAGCTTTTCACTCTAAACTGGATAGCATAAATGTAGAAGAAACTATGAAGACAGTGGAGTTTATTTGATCCTATAAGACACGCTTCTTCTACTTCTTTTTCTTTTGTTAAAATTCTGTGCCTAAACATCATTTTGAAAACAACTGCTTTTAAAGAGTCATTCACACCTTTAGGTAATAGGTTACTGAAATATCCAAGACCTAGAATTTGGTGTCTCTGAATTCTCATGCTCCAATACGGGCATCTGATTCCTGACAACTGTTTCCTTAGGTTTCTCCTCGTAGGAGGTTATAAATCAGGTTTATGAAGAGGAAACTCTCTTGAATTGTGCATTTTTAATAGATTTATGATAAATCCATCAAAGTGGAGGGTCCATATGGTAGGAATGCAGTAAAGGTAACAGGACAATGTCATGTAAACATTAAATACAGTGTCTTCCACCTTCATAAATCCTCAATGCTCGTGATTAAATGCTGCCGGTTATAAATTATGCAACCAAATTCTAGAAACAACCACAACTGAAATAAGATACCAGTGGAAGCCATAAATTGTTTTTCTTCACAGAAAACTCTTGTGTCGTTATTAGAAGATCACTTCTGAGTTCCTATTTTCCTCAACAATTATTTTTTTCTCACTTCATTTAGCTTCCTACAATAAGCTCTAGTCCTGGTTAAAAAGTAATAATCCCAGATAATAATCTATCATTTTATATGGTAAAGTGTCTTTTTGATTTGCAGGTTTATTTTAAAATTTTCTTAATATGTATGGCTTAAGTCTCTAAGACGTCGCCCTTTTTAGAGTCATATATCAGAAGTTTCTGCAACAGTCCAATTTATCACAGGTATTTACAATCAAATTATTTTATTACACATGGGAACAATTAAACATTTGGCCCTCAGCTGTAAACAATTACTATATAAAATGACATTCATGGATTTTTCTTAAATAGTCATGTATTCCTAATGACCTCTGTTAACATGAGTGAGATTGATGTATGTGTATTTTGTGTGTATCCATAAGCAATTATATTCCCAAATATCAAAAGAGAGAGTTTACCTAGAGAATACACTAACCTTGTCTGATATCATGTGGCCACCTGCAATGACACGTTTAATGTATTTGTTTTTCTGCAATTGTCATTTTATTTCTGTTCCAATTTAATTCTAAAGAACTGCGGGTGTTCACAGCAAGAAGCAAGTAAAGATTTGGATAATTTGTTTTTTAGAGATTTGAGGTGTCAAATTCTAATAAATTGATATTAATGTTGGAAGTAGCAGAAAGGTACAATAAGAAAGGAGAGATACAACCAATAGGCTGGGGCTTGAATCCTGGTTCTGCCCATGTCTAGTTGAATGACCTTGGACAATTTACTTTTTTCAGTATGAGTTTTCAAATTTGAAAAATGTTGATAGTTGTAGGACTATTATGACTATTAAATGAAGTGTGTATTTAAAGAGATAAAGCCTATACTACATACTCTTTACATATTGATTTCTCTATTGCCTCCCATTCTTCTTTCCCAGAAAGGCCCAGGAGCCTTTTTTGTGAGTTTCCCTTTTTGGAATATCTATTCTTAATTGTCTCAAGTTTAGGGTACATTTTCCTTTCACTAGATCCCTCTTTTCTACAAATGACAACCATGGGAGAAGCTCACAGCTGTTTTACTCACATCCAGAAATAAGTCAACTGGTCCCAGTTGCAAGGATACCTAACAGCTGTATCCAGCCTTTCTAAGAGGTCAGAACTAAAGCCGAGTGGTAAGGTTTCAAGGGCAAAGCTCTAGATGTAAAGAATGATAAAACAAAACCTAAATGAGCCTACACATATCTAGTGACAGATACACCACAGCTATTCTAAATTATTCAAGCTTTCTCAGACTTCTAGCAGGAGAAACATAATTCATCTCTGCTCTCTTTATTCTACTCTCATATCATGGCAAAGAAGCAAACAAAAAGTATAGCCCCCCACCCTCAAAAATTATAATAATCACCCATATAGAGAAGAGCTTTGTTAACGCATGTAGTCTTTTTAGAACCATCGAATTTCTGGGAACTAGCTTTGAAAGTAGAAGTTAAAAATGATTTTGCAATACTTATGAATGATTGTCTTACTTCCCTTTTGTTAGCATTCTGCTGGCAAAAAGCCAGAAAACAGTTGTTTAATTACCCAGGACAACAAAAACATATAACCTCTTAGATAAGCTGTTACTGTATTTTAGCAGCAATAATACTAGGGTCAAAAGTAACAAAGAAAATTAATCTTCAAATAAGCAAACCTCAAAAGAACAGCTTTGTGTATTGAGAATAATTAATAACTTGTTTAGGAAAATGTTACTGAAATGTGGTTTTTGGAAAAGGAATTGACACTCTTCAGAGGTTAGAGATCCTAGTATTTAACAAGCTACCATTTGGTGGACAGCTGGCTGGCTACCCTGTAGGCATGGTAAAAGTTTGTTCACATGTTATTATGCAACGTTTAGACAATATCTTAATGATACCATGTAGTTCAGCTGAATCAGTCCAGCTGGAAATCGTAGCAGCATTTAGATTACCTGGCCACATGTGAAATTAAGGCTTTTTCAATCTCTAATTTTCACTTGCTATGTTTTGACACAGATGTTCTTGGAAAGCCTAAATTATTTATGGTTTGACAATATTTAGCAGAGTGAACCCCTCCCCTTTCACTGTTAACCGTTGATTAAGATTGCATTACCATATAAGATATTTAGCTTGTCATTATAACAAGTAATATATGTTATCACAGAGAAAATAAAATATTAGTATATTTTGGACAGTTAGGATGGAACTTTTCTACACCCCTTTTATACAATATATATTGTATACTTTTCTTCTTTGCAGATAGTTCTTATTGTAAAGATGAAATTCAGTGTGTACTGTGGAAATCATTTTACTCTGCAGCTAATCACACGTGATTATTATTCTAGAAAATAGCAATTTAGGTTGTGTAAACTAAAACAGAGCAGATTTGACCTTAAGTCATATCATAAAGACATTTAAAGTATAGCACAAACATTTTTTAAAAAGAAAAATGTTTGCTCAAGGATAACACTCTGAAACTTTATCATATTCTTTTGAGTTTTCTCCATGAAAAATAAGAAATGAGTCCATCAGAATTTTTTGTTGTTGTTGTTAATTCCCAGCTCACTCTGTCCAGCCCAATGTTTGGATAGCTTCTTCCCCATCCTGCTAACTGAATGACACCACAACTATTTTATTTTAGAAGTAAATAAAGTTTTTAAATTTTTAATCGAAAAACCTTAAAGGTTATATACATAGGATCTAATGAATTCGGGTAACAAATGATTTTTAAGCAAAAATAATTGTCATCATTATGACATTATTTCAGCTACTTTCTTTGAATCAGATAATGTGGTACTTAATATCTTTAGTATGAAACATAAAATGAAACACTTTAAAAGCACCTCTACACGTATTTTTATTACTTATAAACATATTGTGAATTTTAGTAAATAGAACCAGTGGCTGAGGAGAAACAGAAGTTAATGTTGAATGTGTGTGCATCCCCACAGAAGAAAACTAAATTCTTAATTCTTGTAAATTTGTATTCAAAAATAAAATGCTAAATTCTGGTCAACTGTCATTCCCATTAGTACCTGGTACTTTCTAAACCAAGGAATCTTGAAATGTTTGACTGACGTATTTAAGTTAACTGACAAGACAATCTATGCTTAGAATTCCTGAACAACTAACACAAAAATGTCCCCTTTAAAGGTGACTTGGAATTTACCATTGAGATAATGCCAAATGGTCACTAAAGATGTTTAAACATCATTGTCTACTGTCTTCAGTGTGCCATTACAGAGCCTTGGGTTCCTTTCACATAACAATCAATAGTGGATGAATAAGTCTCACCACTTGAAAGTATCTGAGAAAGGAAGTCAACAGAGTAATCTGGGTTTGCTGGGTTGATTCAAGAAGAGACACAATATCCACCCCTCTTCTTCTAGTTCTCTTCCCCCAACCAGCCCACACCCCTGCAAGAAAGAAAGAAGGGAAAGAGAGAAAGAAGGAAAGAGAGAGGGAAAAGGCAAGACCAAAATGTAGGGATCCCAGGCATAATTTACGCTGAGGAGAAAATGTCACACTGTGGGATAAAATATAGCCATGGAAACAGACTTATGACTTTTACTTTGAAAATAAAAGAATGACAATGAAATTTGTGTGAGGTCTGTGTGAATCCAGTCCCAGATGTTTACAATGCTGTAGTAGTATGGCTCTGCAATATGAGAGGTTTCAGAAGAAACAGTACAACAGGACACCACAAAGCAGTGCATACGCTATTGACAATGCAGACATGAGCATCATGTTACCAAGAGGGAAGGCAGGCAGAAGACAAATAGCAGCGGTGGTGCCTGAAAAGCTAACTTCATGGACTGCAATCACTCAAACTAACATAAGGGACCCAAAACAAAACAAAACAAAACAAAAATCAAAACCAGAAAAATGCTTTTCGCTCATATCTAGAGGTAGTGGGGTAAAGGGATGGGGGTGGGGAGAGAGTGGAATTGACTTTTCTTTCTTAAATAAAGTTCCCACAAAGCCCCTATAATTGACAGCGGATAATTATTTTCAGCTTGAGGAGCCTGTCCCAAAACTCTTAACAAGATTGCCAGGGAAAAGAAACAAAATGTGTTTACTTGAGCCATTTCCAGAAGGAAGGAAAAATTGCTCTTTGGATGAGGTGGGAAAGGCGGTGGAGAGAGAAAGGGGCATCTTTGCACTGCAACAACTCTCTTGAGCGCCCTGCGTGGTCCGGCTAGTGACAGGCTGGAGGGAAGGGGTGGGTAGAGCGGCAAGGGGTGGGGGATGTGAAGGGAGCGCGCTTAGGGGAGGGGATGCGGCAGCACAATGTATACACGGGGGTTGGGGGGTGAATTAGTGTGAAAGTATTCCACTTAATCATTTTACAGGGGTTGGGGACGTAAATATTTAGCTGGCCACATCTGGAACAGATTTTTCCCCCCCGTGTGGGCTGGGGGTGGATAATTGGAAGGAGGGGAGCATGCATTTGTTACTTACTGTACGGGCAGTTCTCCTTCTTGGTCCCGCTGACCTTCCCGTTCTTCTCAATCTTGAGAAAGTACTTGGTGAAAGAGAATAGCTTTCTCCAGCGGACATCTCCTTGAAGGTGATTGTAGCTCCGCACATGCCTTCCCGCGCTGGAAGGAGAGGAGAAGGAGGAGGAAGAAGAGTTGGTGGCCTCTGGTGACACCATGTCCTGACCAAGGGCTTGGCAGGTGACAGGGACGGAAGACACCAAGAACAGCAACAAAAAGCAGCAGCAGCAGCAGCCGGGCAGGTGGGGAAAGGCTGAGGCACAATGTGTCAGTATCCATTTCCACATTGTACTGAAACTCTCGGCACTGGAAATTGTCTCATCAGAAGGAACATACTGGAAGGGTAAGACCCGATGCAAGGCAAGGAGAGAGCTCGAGGTGGTGGCTGCTGGTTAGCTCCCTCTGGGCGCGGATCTGGCCAGAAGTGAATGCACCAACATCCATAACTCCTCGGAAAAGCCGGCTGACTCCCCTCGCTCCTTTCTCGGATCCGCTGCCTACGCCTCTGGAGCCTCCCGGTAAATGGTGGACGTGGGTGGCCGCAGCAGCAGGAGCTGGTGGTGGCGTTGGTGGTGTTGGTCACCAGCGCTCTTCGCTCCCCCAGGAGTTACTTTGTTCTCTTCTTTACTCCTTTCTTCACCATGTTAGATGCCAAAAAGGTCTGAAAAACAGATGACAGCACGGTGAACAAAACCCAAGGGAGGTGGGGTGGGGAATAGGGGGAGATATCTGCACCCCTCTGCGGTTGGCACCTTCTGGTCTCTCTCTGCGGAGCCCCAGCCTGCGAGCCACTTCTACAAGTATATCCCTTTGGAGTTGTCAGAAGTGGAGGCAGCTGCCCAGTCGCCGTTGTTTTCTTCCCTCTCTTCCTTTCTGTTTTTAGTGGTGCCTGCCGATTTGAAGGCTGCCGAAAGTCACTTTTTGTTTTGGGGGACGGCGGCTGGTGTTTTGTATGGCCCTATCTCCCACCCCCTTCCTTTGGAAAGTCCGCTTGTAAACAGGTTGAAGCCTGGAGTCTAAATGTCAGTGATTCTAAGCCAGAGGTGGGCTCTGCCTCTGCTGGTCAAACCTCATTTGCAGGGGTGGAGAAGAGGGGGGAGGGGGTCAACCGGCGGTGGGACATCTGAAACCCTAGGCTGCTGGGAACGCCAGGGAGAGGGAGGGTGAAAGGGGCAGAGAAGGGGGTGGGGGAGCAGGGGAGCGAGGAGAGAGCGCGATGCCTTTGCACCGAGCTCGGGGGCTGCCAGGTCCCTTCCTCGCCGCGGCTGTTGCGGCCGCAGCCTCCGCCGGCGCCTCTAGCTCTGTCTAATTCGCTGCTAAAGCGTCCTATGCTTGCAGCGCGGGCCACGGCGCTGACGGTATCTTCCCGCTTTCCGAATTTTGCTGTCTTCCAGCCTGAACCAATCCCTTCTGGGGAGCCCCTTTCTCACTTGCTTTCCAGCGTAGGATCTCCTCCCCCCACCCCCATTTCTTTTGGCAGTGAAGTACTTGAGAGCCACCTGGAGCCTGGTGCTTGGCTGACTTTTCCTCCCTTCTCACTCCCAGAAGAGGAGAGGGCTGGGAGAAAGCAGAAGATGCTGAGGATTTTAAACCGTCCAAAGCAGCAGGTTATAAACTGGTCAGAACGAGCACAGAAAAGGAAGACATAATTAGTGTCCTTTCCTCCTCTGCTGCCAGCTTCCAAGGAGGTCTCCTCTTTAATGAATCACTGATTTCTCGCTTCCGTTGCTGAAGTAAAAAGTTCACACTTTGGCCCTCTCTGCCTTTTAAGCTCAGGGAGATTTATCGTCACCCTTAAAAGTTGCCTCTCTCGGCGCAAATGAAATCAGGGACCCAAATAACCGATTTCTAATTGCTAACATGAGCCCTTCACTGAATCATGCGTGCACTTCAAAGCAAACGCACTTTATGGCGATCGCAAAGATTTTACCATATAATTTGGCTGAATAGCCTGCTGTCTGTTTTCTTTTTTATGCAATTTCCTTTGCACTTTGTCATAAAGGGGAGGTTTTTTTTTTTTCTATCTTCACATTTAATGTTTAAAGGGCTCTGTTTTACAATATCACTGCACTACTAGTCCTCCTCTCCTTTTCACACTCTTTCAGGCCACCCCAACTCCTCCCTTGCTCGCAGAAACTAGCTCACAGCCCAGGTATTGACAGAACTAAGTCCAAGGCTAAGAAACCTTTGCCAAGAGTTAAGAGGCACAAAAAAGGAAATACTGTGATAATCCATTCCAATCTGAATAAGAAACAGCTCCTAGAGGACCACTTCTTTAAGAATGACTCTAAACTAGGGAACGTTTAACTAGAAGGAATGCCTAAACATGTACTGGAATGAACTATCTATGTCACATAGGACAGTTAGACATTTGTGTTTTGTTGAAGCCCACAAAATTGCCAACATTTTAAGGTTTTGTACCTACAAAAGTGGTAATTTCATATGTTTCAACCTAAAATTAGGCTGCCAATGTAAGACAGAGAAACACTTCAAGGTGAACTGGGAGTTTAACAACAGCAACTGTAATTTGGAGGGAACTAATTAGAAGAGTCTGTGTTCACACAAGCTAGGATCCCTATGATGTGCGTTTGACCTCCATATTGGTTGTGAACCAGAGGAAATGCAAAGAAAAAAGAATTAGCGTTAGAGATGAGCATTAGGAATGATTGCTCAATTAAGTATTTAGTGACTTGAAAAATGAGTTTACATGAATGTTCTTATATTTTTCTGTGTATTCAAATCCTTTGAAATAGAATCATTTAATACTAGAATCAGGATTTTAATTGCATTAGTTATAACTCATGCAGTGCTTATTTAGAAGAGTTCAACAATGTGGTGAACATTACAATAGGTTTTTAAAGTTTAATATAATTAGCTCTAATTTCTGTAGATATTAATTGGAAAGTTAAGCAAATAAAGAGCACACATCAAGCGAGTCTTTTTCTTTAGGATACTGAAAAATGAACCAACAGTGCGAATTTCAATGTTTTAGTTCACAGTTTTATACCTGAGAGGACAAATGCCTGAAAGACAGTGTAGTGTTTCCCATGGATTTGGGTTTCAGCCCAATGGTCCAGAAGAATCCAAATGTTTGATTTTACAACTAATTAAAACTACATTTTTTAAAAATTATGTTTGATGAAACCATACAATAAAGATTCTGCTGTGAAAAGTTACAAAACACAGGAAGTTATTATTTTGGGGTTTCTGTACAATAGGAACCAACACTATTGATGCCACTTTGGGGTTTAAGAATTTTTGTTAAACTCACCCTAGACATGTGCCCCTCCAATCCAAAGCTAGTCTCTCTTTCTCCCTCTCTCTCTCATACACACATCTACCAACTTTATGTTCCAGTAGAAGAAGCCATTCAGATCTTTTAGCTAGGAGTTTCTTTGTTTTTTCTGTCTAAAATGAGGGAAAAGATGTCTTTAAACTTTCATATTAAAATCTGGTTGCAGCAGGTGCAGTGTTTGAAAGTTCTAGAGCCCCTTCGCTGCTCTTCTGTACAGCGTGATGACAAGAGGGCATTTACAAAACAGCCCAAAGGAAAAGCTGACATAGCTTTTTAGATTATATCTCATTCTTCTTTTTCTTTTCTGTGCAGCCTTTCTTTTACAGCACAGTTGAATCCCTAAATACCCGACTACTTTGCATTGTTAGGTCACCTCTTAGGTTAGCCCGAGAAAGCCTGAGAAAAGTTCCACAGGAAAGATGCACTATTTAACGGAATTCAATCTCTCCCAATAGATTTGAATCACTAACATAAATGTATGAATGTAGATTATATCTCTGTAATGAGGCCTGAATCATTCTCAGTTACTTCAAAGGACTGAAATTCTACCTTCCTTTTTTAGCTGCAATAATCAGGTCTTAATGGGTTCCTTTATTAATTGTTTCTTTGCTAGGATTGAAAAGGACAGTACAAGCTTCAGATTAGAGTGGTACCTACTAATTCTCAAAGGCTGTTTTTCTCTTTTATCCAACTTCTGGAAGGCATACTTTATTTCTATGCCCTTAAACATATCTGCTACTATCAGGCTAGCTCTGTATTGAGAGAAATAGATGCAGCCTTTTGTTACGTGTGATGTCTTGAGAAATGATTGAGGCTTTTTAAAACAAGACCATGGCAGCAGCCATTGAAGAATCCTAAAACCTGGCTCTTGAACCTCAGAGAAGCAATCAGTGTATGTACTAGCAGATCCTTCAGTAGCTATTGTGTTTGAGCAGTTTACATTTTACATATGTATTGCCTGGATTCTTTATGTTGCTCAGCACTACCTATGGTTCAGTTACAAGATGTGTGCCCTATTATGTATGATGTTATTGGCAGCGTCAGTAAGCTGCTTCAAGTAATGCTAAGTAAGGTCAAAAGTCAGCCACGCTGTTCAAAAATTTAGACATATGCAGGCCTCATTTTTTCACCCTGTGGTGCAGACCTTATGAGTATGTGTCACAGCCCATTTTTCCCTTTTGGACACAGAACATGCCAGTTTTAAGTCATCATTAGGACTTGTGCACTTCCCAGGCTGCAGCTAGAAATGATGCTAATAATCACTCACATTTGGGTGAATGAAGGAGTGATATCTTATTGTTTTTAAACCAGGAGCTTCAAGTGAACAGAAAAGAGGTGTTATCCCACAGATAGTGGTGTGCATTGCTTCAGAGCCAGTGGGAATCTTAGCTATAACTGAATCCAACACATGTATTTTATAGATGAATAAGCTGATTCCCAGGTCACTCCATGGTAGACCAGAATTTGGAACTCCTGTGATAGACCTTAGGCTATTACCCTAATTTTTGCAACACCTGTCCTGTTTATATTCTTTTTCTTCCTCCCTACTCCCTTTCTTACCATTGACCATTCATCATTCTAATATGTCTAAGATGGCAGAGTAGAAATGATAAAAAGAGTTAGGGGTTTAGTTATGGAAAAGCAATTATATCTTTGCTGCAATAGATTAACCAGAGAAAAGTAATAAAATAGTGTTGAATTATTAAGTACCAGCTGGGTTAGCTAAAATAAATATTGATATATACTTGGCAAAGGGGGATATTTTATCAATGCTTCCGAGATGAGCACAATCAAAAAGTAATGAATACCCCATATTTTCAGAATACCCCAATTTTTTAATAGAATCTGAATTTATAAGTTCACCTCTAGAAAACTGATGAGACTTTCTAGAAAAGTAGATTTATAATTTGATCCGGGTTTCTGCGTTCTAATATTAATTTTCCATAAAGTATTGTGATATTTCAAAGCATAGGTTGCTTAAACAAGTTTTTTTCAAAGTTTGAAACTAAGGTTAATTTTCTGTTCCCTCACTTTCAAACAGACTCAATGATCTGTTATTAGGAAGGAAATATGGCCAAGATGATAAAAAGGATCTTTTGTAACAAGAAAAGAATTCTATATAAGATTGTTTAAAACATACAATAAATCACCACAAATTCCTGGAAACTGAACTTTGCATCTTGGCACTAAACACAACAAACATATTTTCACAAAGCTGCTGTTTGTCCCCTCCCAGCTGATGGTAAACAGAACCTTCCCTTGACAAAGTTGTGAAGTCTCTGAAAAGTTTTGTTTGTTTTCTGTGTTCCCAGCTGTCCTTTTGTAGATCTGTGCCTCTTCCTACTTCAAGCTCTCTAGGCATCTTAGTCCTGCTATCTATGGCAAAATTGTAAACATTCTGATATTAGTCATTTATGTTTGTGAATTAACTGACAGATTATAATATTTTCTTTAAAGTTGTAATGTCATGCCAACAGACATTTAACTGGTTTTTATTCAATTAATGTTTATTGAGTGCCTACTATATGCTAGGTAGGCATTGTGAATGGTGCAAGGTTTTTCCAATAAATTAGACAGAGAAACTTACCCCATAAAGAATGTGCATGCATGATTGAATGCATGAATTTAGGCAGTTTATCATTAATGATGGGCAAAATATGGTTATCTTAGGACTCAGAAACCAGATATTGGAAAGACAGATATTGAAAAAGAAAGAAGAGCCCCTGAAAATTCTTTTTGATTTTCCTTTTCTCTACAACAAGAGCTAAGGAAAACTGTGACTTCTATTTATGGCTTCACGAATGATTAAGACTTGATTTTTCCCTATTTTATGTCCCTGGCACAATCCTTTTTTCTAGATTTTCTCTACAGTGTGGAGATTTTGGTTGCATCCTTTCTGTCAACCCAACCCGACCTCCTCTCTTTTACTCCTGCTCCCAGACTCCTGGAAGCATATTTCTTGCTTTCTAGTTTATTATTTTAATTACTTCCCAATAAAAGTTCCCTAATCCATTTGCTGTCCTCTGTGCCTCTTATTATGAAATATAATTTGACCTGATATCCATTCTATTTGAAAAATTTTGCCTCTGTTAAGCAAATTTTGACAAAAAGAATGTATTTTCTATGAATTAAAAATTATTGTGTTGGGGGCAATGCAATATTTGCTGTACTGGATTTCCTTCGATTGGCCCCCAGATCCATTCTTTCCCCTCCTCTGCTCAGCTCTGTGCTGACATGTGTGAATCACCGGTCCTTTTTAAATAGAAGACTTTGAGTTTGTTTTGTCAATGGGAGAATGGAATCCTTAGATCAGCACACAGAAGGCGAGAGAACTCTGGATATTTCCTCCTCTCCTCCTTTATGTTTCAGTGACACTTTTCTGGCAGTGTCTGTATCCCTTCCCACTGGGTGACCCCTCCTCTAGGACTCTGGCTATCACTGGCAACCCTAAAATAATATTTCCTCCCCATCTTCTTAAGCTCAAGGACTGGTAGCAGTTCCTGTCTATTACTTGCCTATCATCATTATCCCTTGTTTCTTTCACAGTGCCTGCACCTTTGTAACTGGTTACTTTATTAAAGTCTCTTCACTTAAATCAACTGGGAAGAATTCTGTCCTACTCAGGACACTAACTTCAAACTGCAGTATATACCATCACAGTAAGTAACCAGTTCATAAAATGTGGTTTTTTGGATATCTGAGATAACAGGGAAGTGCAAATTACTACAAAGCAGGTTGTGAAGCATCTAATGCTTGCTTGGTGATGTACAGGATTCCTTAAACCATACGAAAGGTAATGCCGCATGACATTTGCCCTCTAGAAATGTATAATCTAATATTGAATTTTGATTGATCATTGCAGAGTTTTTTATTTAGCTAATGATTTTGAGGTCTAAAATCAAAGAGTAATTTATTTTGATTGCTGACTGTTCAATAAAATACATTTATATAAATGACTTCAGAAAAGGAATCCAAGAAAGTAGAAATTATGTTCATAAATGACATACATTTATGGAAAACTGTAAAGTTCTAAATTAAAATCAGCTTTTTTCTTTTTAGTTTAAATATTTCCTAATATTAATCTTTACTAATTTTTAAAATCATTAATGTTTTTATAAGGAAACATGTTATACTGATGTTTGTTAATAGTCTGGTGTATAAAAGAATGGGGGAAATTAATATTATTTTCTAGCCCACTGAGAGGTATTGTTTGAACATTTTCGTTTCAACTAAAGACAGATCTTTAAAAATAAATAAAGAAATATGCAGCCCTCAATTGTACAGCTAGGTGCTAAAGCTAGGTAAAGCACCAAAAACCCCAAGATGAAATACATTTGCAGATAATTTTGTGTATTGCTCACTGTCTAGACAGTTTCACAAATTTCATAAACAAATGACTTCTTATAGAAATCAATATAGCCTAGAGTCTATGAAGCCCAGATCAGGGCTTAGTCTTTCATCTTCTAATCTTATAACCCTGAGAATTTATAGAATTTTGTATCTTTATAGCTAGAAAATACTTTAACTCTCTTAGTTCTACTGCCCTTACTTTACAGGTGGAAAAAAAAAAAAAGAGAGATCTGGGATCACGAAGTGAGCTGCCCAGGATGACAGGGCCGATAGTGACAAGCTGCTTCCTGTGCACTAAACTAGTGAATGGCAAGCACTTCAGCCTTACATACTTACAGATATAATGCACTTCCAAGAATAACAGTGGCCCCTTCTGAGGCTGTGGGGCAAGAAGGAAGAGAGGGAACATTTCAGAATCTCTGGGGCATTTGGCACGTGATGTTTGGAAAATTCTCAAGGTGTATTGCAATGTTTGCCTTCGGAAGGTTCTGACCTTGTGGTTGAAAACTTCTGGGCTATCGCTAAGTTAGGACAGCTTTTTGATAAATCTCTTGAATCTTAGCTAGGGGTGAAGGAGACTGCTTTTAGGTTTATGGTTCAACAGTAGGCCCTTTTGAAATTCATTTCTTCTTAAAAATCTATAATGTCTCCTTCTTTCCTATATGTTAAGTATAAATTCTGGCTTTCATATTCCTATTGCAGTGATATGGTTTGGCTGTGTCCCCACCGAAATCTCATCTTGAATTCCCACATGTGGGAGGGACCCAGTGGGAGGTAATTGAGTCATGGTGGCAAGTCTTTCCTGTGCCCTTCTCATGATAGTGAATAAGTCTCACAAGATCTGATAGTCTTAAAAAGAGGAATTCCCCTGCACAAACTCTCTTTCTTTGCCTGCCGCCATCCATGTAAGATGTGACTTGCTCCTCCTTTCCCTCTGCCATGATTGTGAGGCCTCCCCAGCCATGTGAAACTGTAAGTCCAATTGAACCTCTTTCTTCTGTAAATTGCCCAGTCTAGGTTATGTCTTTATCAGCAGCATGAAAACAGACTAATACATTCAGTTATCAGCAGAAGTTTGGCTATTTTAATTTGACATTTGAATTATATTGGCAGAGGGAGAAAGAACTTAGAAATATTTCTTCGGCCAACTTCTGAGAAAGAAACATTCTTTTGCTTTACACCATTGTAGCCATGTTCATCTGTGGGTGAATTAAGGTAGAGTCTTCCTACCTTACAGCACTAGATAGTAATGTTTATTTATTTAGCTGGTATGTTTTCAGTGTTTCGCCTATACTTGCTGTTTTATATATTTTTTCCCTAAAAATAGGAAAATATATATAAATATATAATTTCCTAAAATATATATGAGAAATATTTTAATCATGTATTTTCTACAATTTGAAACTTAGTTGTGGGAAATCACCCAACTCATTCCTGTCATTTTATAAACACACACACACACACACACACACACACACACACACACACCCCTTCAAGGACCTCTTATTAGACATCTAGTCTTGTTTTGAATTTGAAAAATAAAGCTTATCAGATCATTAGGAATAGATTGAAAAAATAATAAGAAGCTTAAAGACTTACATATACAATTTTGGCACTGTTCAATATCTATCTATAACAGATAAATGTTATTTCTATTAATTATTGCTAGATTCTGTTTTAGAGGTCAACTTCTAGACTGACAGAAATAATGCTAGTAAAAGAATTGCATAGTAGAACAATAAAAGTAGCCCACTGTAACTGGAAGGCAATTAAGAGCATTTGATTTATCAAAGAAATTTAAGTGTTATATGATTAGATGCGTAAGTTATTTGCCCTCCAGTCTGACAAGATAGGGGAAAAAGTAGAAAGGAACATGGACCTTAGATATGAAAGTCCACATCCAGGCAGGTGAAGTTACTTGCCCAAGTGGCAAAGCCAGCATTTATTTCCATTTTCTGACACAATCCTCTGCCTAGAAAAGCCCTGGGCACCCAGATTCAGTACTTTGAACCTCAGAAATGCCAGTTGGCAAAGTCTGGGGGACTCCATGTTGAGAGAGCCTAAGGAGTAAGGACAGTGGTACTTCACATTATGTCTTTTTATATTTTTCTCTTTCACGTGCCTGATTTTATTGCTTATTCTAGAAAATTCTGGGTTCTGAAGGCATACTTAAATGAAAGCAATACCTCTGCTTCTCTGTTTCATTCCCAAATGTAGAGGTTTGTTCTGCAGAACCACCTGCTCTGTTTGATTATTGATACTACAACAGTAGCAGTAAAGAGAGCCCTTGTCCTTGACTTGGGACCCTGCTCTGTGTCAAGTTAACCCTTCTTCTTTCCTTTGGGGGCAGATACCTAACTTCTGGGCTACTTTTCCACCAAGATGAAAAAGAAATTGATTATTTTGCCTAGAAATCTAAGGCTGGATAGTGCACATCCATTCTACATAATTAGTGGAGAAAAAAAACTTTGCAAGCTAGCTGAGGATGTTCCCTGAGAGCATTTGAAGCTTACTTTAGTGAAGATTCTTAAAATGACCTCAAGGGGGGCTATGAGGAAAAAAAATCCCTATTTACTCATTACTTAAGAGTTAGAATTTAGCTAACAAACTCTGCTGCCATTCTCACCTCTGTTTTGGTATTTTGAGTGTGTCAGTTGAATTTTAGCTACTGCATTTTTAAAATAAGTAAAACTTTAAAGTAGTAAAATGAGTCTTAACCTAAAGACAGGATCTCCTATTATCAAAGTCCAAAATGAAATTGTTTGTAAGGTTAAAAAAATTATAACTAAGCAAAGCCAGGGGAAAAAGTGACTAGTTTATCTTTTGGTAAAGAAGCAAGGGAAATGAAATACAGACAGCAAGGAAACCACATCTTTGGTAAAGTTAGAAACCTCAGCCTCAGAGTTTTTTTTTTTCTTTTTTAAATAAAGCAACTTTTAGATTTAGCAATATAAAGTATAATTCGTTTTGGTACTTAGGAACATTTTAATGATAAACACTATCCTTTCAGGCCTACTGAAAATACACACAGTTGTATCCACATGACAGCATATAAAGGTTTTATGAAGAAATTAATTGCTGTATAAAGTTTGGGGAGCCAATTTCATTTTCATCATTTTTCTGTCTCAAACATATTTGCTTCTGTCATTTGGAGGAAAGCTTGTCTCCTGGTTGAATTGTCTTTCTTACAAAATGAATTTTTGAAAGCTACCCAACTGAGGAAGGGTGAATGACCATTAGGAAAAATTAAACATTTATGGCCAACATTTATGATGTTGGTGGAAAGGAAAGAGAAAGCTGTGTACTCCAATTTCCATCAGGAAAGTGCAGAAGCTGGAAACAGAACATTATGTTCAGATAGGAGGAGGGGAAGGTGGAATGTTTTGTCACAGTGCTGCTCCCTACAAGGGACTAGTAAAGGGAGGGATGCAGAGAGCCCTCCTGCAGCATGCAAATGGAAGGGGCTCTGATCCAGATCCCTGCCTTTGGTCAAAGCATCTCAAGACTAAGAGCCAGTGCCCAAGCACTTCCCTCTGTGGTGAAGAGAAGTGGATGAGGCATTGTCCTCAATTTCAGGAGTGTGTGATGTTCCTGTAAAGAAGCTGTATGTTTAAGAGCCTGATGGAAGGGAGTGTGTACCTGGAGCACATTTTCCAAAAGTGACACTATTTAAGACCCTGATATGGTTTGCCTGTGTCCCCACCCAAATCTTGAATTGTACCATAATTCTCATTGTCATGGGAGGGACCTGGTAGGGGGTGATTGAATCACGAGGGCAGGTTTTTTCTGTGCTGTTCTTGTAATAGTGAATTAGTCTCATGAGATCTGATGGTTTTATAAAGGGGAGATCCCCTGCACATGCTCTCTCTTGCCTGCCACCATGCAAGACGTGACTTTGCTCCTCCTTTGTCATCTGCAATGATTGTGAGGCCTCCCCAGCCATGTGGAACTGTGAGCCATTAAACCTCTTTCCTTTATAAATTACTCAGTCTCAGGTATGTCTTTACAAGCAGTGTGAGAACAGACTAATACAGGCCCCTTACCTAAGTTAACCTCTTTTTTTATAATGTTTAATTTCTAGCACTATTGTATAGGTATTAAAGTTAGTACAAGTAACATGATTTTATTTGGGAATGAGTCTTCAACTAATAGATTTTTAAATGATTTTTCATGATAAAATGACCTAAAATACATAGAGTATGGAAGTAATGTGTTTTTAGTTGGACAATATTTTGAAACAGATCAGTGTTTTCCTCAGTGGATGTGTGTGCTGTGTGTTGTTGAATATTATTCTGGATTTATTCTCCAACAAAGTGTATTTCCTGGAACTGTTTCTTGTAGAAAAATATACAGTTTCTTAGTTTTCACTTAGTAGACTTTCACATTGCTGGAGAATGCCAAGTCTATTGAGGATGAAAGGGAGATAGGGAATGATGATATAATATGGAATGAGATATGGAATAATGCCTGATAACCTGTGCTTTAATAAATTCTATTAATAGTATCTTCTGTCACATGGGGAGGAAAGAATAACTCAGAATACTTGTCAGGCTTACATAGTTTATTATATTTTCAGATGAATGGGAAAAGAGGTAAAGGGTGCTAAACCAAAAATTAGGAAATCTACATTATATTTCTGGTTCTGACACTCATAATTTTGTGTCTTAGGGATAATACTTAGGCAAAGGGATAGAGACCATTTGGCTCTAAAATTTTCTAACCTATGAGATCCAGAATAATGATGTATGTATTGTATTAGCACCACTTAATGGCAATAGTAAAAATAGGTGGTCATTAACATGGAAAACCAATCTAGTTACTTGGTTATTTCATGGAATCATGGAATTATGGAACTGAAAGTCCTGTCTAAAATCAAGCTCTGTTTTCATTTTTTTACACAATTGCACATGAAACAACTATGGTCCATAGAGGAAAAATTACTTTCCTGATATTATCCAGTTAATTAATGACAGAATCTTTAGGAGCCGCATGCCCCAACTTTCTAATATTCTTTTTACAATACCAATATTTTACAGCAAACAGTAAAATTTTGTTGTTTTTTGGAAAAAAGATAATGAGTAATATAGTGAGAAAATGCAAATGTTGATAAAAGGGAACTCTGACTAAATGGATTTTTTAAGTCTTATGCAAGTGTCTATAAAAAGGTGTTGCATAAATGTAGGTATTTTATGATGGGAAGGGTTTGGAAGTCAAACCCATGGTACTTGCATAAAGATAAGAAATTGAGTAATAGGAGTTAACCATGATGAGATGATACTACTCTGTTTACATTTTTAATATTTGACAGTCCTTAATTGCACTGGTGTTTTAGGCAGTTTTAGCTAAAATAGGAATTAATTGCCAAAAAACTATCCAAAACTGCATTAATGAACAGAAAAATGATATAATTTCTAGGAATTTATCCAAAGGAAAAAGTCCTTGGCCTTCTCTTCATCTGAAAAGATGACTTAATTTTTAATATGAATCACACTCTTGAACTAACTGGATCTAATTACTGCCTATTTTGGTCCTTTCTTCTTCTAGGAATACTTCTGTAAACAGAGAAGTTTGTCATTAAATAATTGCTTTTATCATCACCCAGTGAAATACTTTTGTGATGGTTAATTTCAAGTGTCAAGTTGACTAGGCCATGAAGTGCCCAGATATTTTGGTCAAACATTATTCTGAGTGTGCCTTCGAGGGCGTTTGCAGATCAGATTAATATTTAAATCAGTAGACTGAGTAAAGCAGATTGCCCTCTCTAACATGGGTGGGCCTCATCCAATCAGTTGAAGGCCTGAATAGAATGAAAAAGCTCTCCCTCCCATAAATAAGAAGGAAGTCCTCCTTCCTAACTGGGTAAACTGGGACATCAATCTTTTTCTGGCCAGGCACGGTGACTCACACCTGTAATCCTAGCACTTTGGGAGGCTGAGGTCAGGAAATCGAGATCAGCCTCTCTACCCCATCTCTACTAAAAATACAAAAACTAGCCAGGTGTGGTGGTGCCCACCTGTAATTCCAGTTTCTCAGGAGGCTGAGGCATGAGAATCACTTGAACCCAGGAGGCAGAGGCTGCAGTGAGCAGAGATCACAGCCACTGCACCCCAGCCTGGGTGACGAAGTGAGACTCTGTCTGAAAAAAAAAAAAAAAAAAAAATTCTTGCCTTCAGACTCAAGCTGGAAAAGCAATTCTTCTTAGGTGTCAAGCCACGGCCACTCAGAATGAAACTTATACCATCAGCTCTATGAGCTCTCAGGACTTCAAACTCTGATTGAAACTACACCATTGGCTCTCCTGGGTCTTGAGCTTTCTGACTATAGATCTTGGAACTACTCAGCCTCCATAATTCTGTGAGCCAATATATAGATGTATTATAAGATAATAAATAAATTTATAGCTATATATATATATATATATATATGAATAGGATATATATATCCTATTCATGCTATTTCTCTGGAGAACTCTGACTAACACAACTTTATTTGCTTTTTTCCCCCTGAGAAAACTTACTGTAGACTTTTTACAAAATCTTAGTCTAATCATTTCTTTTTCCGTATTTTTGTCAACAATGATTATATGCTAATCTATATACCTTAGAATATCCTCCTTGTTCCTTTTAAACTATGCTTAGAGTGTCTATATCATGAATTTTAACCAATACTGATCTCATTCCTGTTGAAGTGGCTTTGCAGTTAGATGAAAATAAAACTGGTTTTCATTTTTTGAATTTCCCAATTCTATTTTTTAAAAATTGTCTAGTAATTAATTTTAACAGCACCAAATTGTACAATTCTGGGGCCCATGATTCTTGTGTTAGTCTATATGAAAATTGTCTTTTGGAATTTTGCAATGCAGAGCTTTATGTAGAAGAGACTGCTGGCTGCCTATCCAAGAAGTACAACCAGCTTTTTCCTTTGTGACAGAGTCTCTAATTTATTTGTTGAACCAACTCTCCTCTTGAAGACCATATAACTCACTAAACCAAAAGTAGTATACCATTGTTTTTGCTGGCAATTGGGCCTAGGATGGATATGTGACATAGTTCTGGCATAGGGGAAGTCTTCTGGCAACGTTACTGATAAATAAAAAGAGATGTCCCTTTTATTCTGCCAGGCATTGTCATATGTAGACACAGTTCCTGGAAGTATGACAGAGTTTGTGACTATGAAGGGAGAAGTGGAACTGGGCATAGGTCAATGCAATTAGGTATCTGAAGAATAGGGTGAAAAAGATTTTTAAAACACAAAGAAACTCTGGGACCTATAGCACAATGGTGTCCCAAAAGAGAGAAGGGAGAGCATGTGGCACACAAACAAAAGAGAATAAATAGTGGCCAAAATTTCCGCAAGTAGGTGAAAGATACAAATTTATAGATTTAGAGAAGTTCAGTGACTCCCAACTTATGTGATAACTGCCTCATATGTCTTAAAGAAATTGGACTTATGTAAAAATTTGCAGGTAACATTTTATAGTGGTAAAATGTTTAATATTTCCCCCACATATCAGGAATAATGCAAAGATGCACACAGTCACCACCATTTGTATTCAACATTGTATTGAAGGTCCTGATTATTGAAATAATAAACCTTAATTTTCTTTTTTCTTAATTGATCTAACAGATCATAGTTCGTTCAAAATAATAATAGCATTGTATTCAGCTATATCAATAATCATCTTAAACATCAAGGTCTAAATAAACAAATTTAAAAAAAGAGATTTTCTGAGTAGATAAAAAAGTAAGACCCAACTATATGTTGTTTGAGAAGAAACTCACTTTATATATAAAGACACATACAGATTAATAGCAAAGGGATGGAGAAAGATACACCATGCTAAAACTGTTTTTCAAAAAGCAGTAGTAGGCTGGGTGTCGTGGCTCATGCCAGTAATCCCAACGCTTTGGGAGGCCGAGGTGGGTGGATCACCTGAGGCCAGGAGTTCAAGACCAGCCTGGCCAACATGGTGAAACCCGGTCTCTACCAAAAAAAAAAAAAAAAATACAAAAATTAGCCGAGTGTGGTGGCATGCACCTGAAATCCCAGCTACTCAGGAGGCTGAGGCAGGAGAATTGCTTGAACCCAGGAGGTGGAGGTTGCAGTGAGCCGAGATCGTGCCATTGCACTCCAGCCTGGGTGACAGAGAGACTCTGTCTCAAAAAAAAAAAAAAAAAAAACCGAAAAAAAACTGGAGTAGCTATTTTAACTTCAGACAGAGCAGACTTATTATCATGGATAAACACAGGCATTACGTAATGATAAAGAGATAGTTCTTCAAGACGACATAACAATCCTTAATGTATATGCACCTAACACCACAACATCAAAATACCTGAGGCAAAAACTCATAGACTTTTAGGAAAAATAGATTAATTCATGATTACTGTTGGGGACTTTCACACCCCTCTGTCAGAAATGGACAGATTTAGGAGACAGAAAATCATTAAGTACATAGTTGAACTCAACAACACCATCAGTCAATTGGATGTAATGCACATCTGTAGAGTACTTCATCCAAACACAACAAAATACAAAATCTTCTCAATCTCTCATGGAGCATTCAACAATATTGACCACATTCTGGGCCATAAATTCCATGTTCACAAATCTAAAGTAAAAATTGTACAATGTCTGCTTTCAGAATACAATGGAATTAAAGCAGAAATTAATAACAGAAAGATAGCTGGAAAATTCCAAAATACTTAGAGATTAAACAACAGACTTCTAAATAACACGTAGGTCAAAAAAGAAATCTCAAGTGAATTCAAAAAATATTTTGAACTAAATAAAAATGAAAACACAACTTATCAAAATTTGTAGAATGCTATAAAACTAGTGCATAGAGGAACATTTATGACACTGAATGCAGATATTTAAAAAAGAAAGTGCTAAAATAAAGTTTCTAAGCATCTGCCTTAGGAAACTATAGTTTTAAAAAGTGCAAATGAAATTCAAAGTAAGCAGAAAAAAAGAAATAATAAGAATTAGAGCATAACTCAATGAAACTGAAAGCTGGAAATTAATAGAGAAAAGTCAATGAAACCAACAACTAGTTCTATGGAAAGATCAATAAAATTGATAAAACTCTGGCAGGCTAAGAGAGAGAAAATATAAATGATTAGTATAAGAATGAAAGAGGGAACATCACTATAGATCCCATGCATATCAAAAGGATAATAAAAATATTATGAAAACTTTCTCCTCACAAATTTGACAGCCTAGGTAAAATGGACCAATTTCTTGAAAGACACCACCTGCCAATCATTATGCAACAAGAAATAGATGATTGGAATTAGGCCTATGTCTATTAAGGAAATTGAATCGATAATTAACAACCTTCCAAAATAGAGAGCTCAGATGGGTTCATTGATGAAGTTGACAACAACACTTAAGCAATAAATTATAGCAATCATCTACAATCTCTTACAGAATATAGAGGCACAGGAAATTCTTCCTAATTCATTATATGAGGTCAGCATTACCTAACCAAAACCAGATAAAGCCATTACAATGGCCGGGCATGGTGGCTTATGCCAGTAATCCCAACAATTTGGGAGGCCGAGGCGGGTGGATAACTTGAAGTCAAGAGTTCGAGACCAGTCTGGTCAACATAGTGAAATCCCATCTCCACTAAAAATACAAAAATTAGCTGGGCGTGGGGGAAGGCATCTGTAATCCAGCTACTCAGGAGACTGAGTCAGGAGAATCACTTGAACCTGGGAGGCAGAAGTCGCAGTGAGCTGAGATCATGCCACTGCAAGCCTGGGCAACAGTGCAAGACCCCATCTCAAAAAAAAAAGACAATTCAAAAAAGGAAACTACAGACCAATGTCACTCAGGAACATAGAAACAAAAATCCTCAAAAAATATTCAATCAAAAAAAAGAATCCAACAATATATAAAAAGAATTATAAACAATGACCAAGTGGGATTTATCTCGGGTATTCAAGGCTGATTGACATTCTAAACCAATGTAATCCATCACATCAACAGGCTCAAGAATAAAAATCACACAATCATATCAAATTCAACACCTATTTATTAAAAAAACTATCAGGAAATTAGGAATATAAACTTTTTCAACCTGATAAAGAACACACACACACACATACACACACAAATCCACAGTAACATAATAACTATGAGAAACTTGAAGTTTTCCCACTAAGATTAGATACTACTGCTTTTAAACATCATATTGAAAGTCCTAACTAATGCATAAAGACAAGAAAAGGAGATAAAATATATACAAATTGGGCAAGAAGATATAAAACTGTCTTTGTAGATGACATGATCACTTATGTAGACAATATGAACAAAATAAACAAAAATGCTCCTAAAACTAGTAAGTGATTATAGAAAGGTTGAAGGGCACAAACTTAATGTACAAAAGTCAATCACTTTTTAATATACCAGCAATGAACAAATGGAATTTGAAATTAAAACAGAATTTTATTTACATTAGCACCCCAAAAATGAAATACCTAGATGTAAATTTAACAGAATATGTATAAGATCTGTATGAGAAAAACTATACAACAGTAATGAAAAATAGCAGATAAGAAATAAATTGAGAGAGAGTCTATGTTCATAGATAGGAATACTCAATATTGTCAAGATAGTAGTTACTTCCAACTTGATCTATATACTCAAGGCAATCCCAATAAAAATCTTAGGCAGATAATTTGTGGATATTCACAAACTGATTACCATGTTTATATGGAGAAGCAAAAGACCAAGAATAGCCAACAAATTATTAAAGGAGAAGAATATAGATGACTGATATTACCGAAATTCAATACTTACTATAAAGTTACAGTAATTAAGATAGTTTGGTGTTGGTGAAGGAATAGACAAATATGTCAATGAAACAGAATAGTAAGTACAGAAATAAACTCATAAAAATATAGTCAACTATACTTTGACAGAGGAGTAAAGGCAGTACAGTGGAGAAAAGATAGTCTTTCACTTGCTGGTGGGAAAAGGAAATGGTACAGTCACTTTGGAAGACAGTTTGGCAGTTTTTTACAAAACTAAACATACCATTAGCATTCAATCCAGCAATCATGCTCATTGGTATTTACCCAAATGAATTGAAAAGTTGTGCCTCTACATGAATGTTTATAGCAGCTCTATTCATCATTACCAAAACTTGGAAGCAACCAAGATATACTTCAGTAGATGAATGGATAAATAAACTATGCTACAATCAGATGAAGAATTATTATTCAGGGCTAAAAAGAAATGAGCTATCAAGCCATGAAAAAACATGGAGGAAATTTAAATGGATATTACTAATTAAGTGAAAACAATCTGAAAGAGCTACAATTACTATATGATTCCAACTCTATGACATTCCAGAGAAGGCAAAACTGGAAACAGTAAAAAATTAGTGGTTGCTGAGAGTTCAAGAGAAGGAAATGATGAATAGGCAGAGGATAGAGGATTTTTAGGACAATGAAACTATCCTATACAATAGTACAATGCGCCTGTAATCCTAGCACTTTGGGAGGCCGAGGTGGGTGGATCACGAGGTCAGGAGATCGAGACCATCCTGGCTAACACAGTGAAACCCCGTCTCTACCAAAAATACAAAAAATTAGCCTGGCAGGGTGGCACACGCCTGTAGTCCCAGTTACTCGGGAGGCTGAGGCAGGAGAATCGCTTGAAACCCGGGAGGCGGAGCTTGCAGTGAGCTGAGACTGCGCCACTGCACTCCAGCCTGGGCAACAGAGCAAGACTCTGTCTCAAAAAAAAAAAAAAAAAAAAAGTACAATGATGGTTACATGTCAATATACATTCATCCAAACCTATAGAATGTACAACTCCAAGAGTGAGCCACTATGTAAACTATGGACTTTAAGTGATAATGATGTGTCAATATACATTCTTAGATTGTAACAAATGTACTACTCTGGTGCAGGATGTTGATAGTGGGGGCGGTAGTTGTTGAGGGGCGGTGGGCAGAGTGTGTATGGGAACTCTCTGTACTTTCTGCTTAATTTTGCCATGAACCTAAAACTCTTCCAATAGATAAAATTTATTAATTAAAAATTCCCTGACACCATACACAAAAATTAACTCAAAATGGACTATTGACATAAATATAAACGCTGAAATCATCTAACTTTTAGATAAAATGTAATTTTCATGATGTTCATGTAAGCAAAGATTTCTTAGTTTACAGAAACAATACCTATAACAATTGAGAAATTATACTTTATCAAAAATTAAAATATGCTTATCAAAGTACACAGTTAAAAAAACGAATAGGCAAACCATAGGTGGGAAGAAAATTGTATACATACCGCTGGCAAAGAGCAGGTATATGGGTTATACAAAGATACCCTATAATTCAATAAGCAAAAGACAAATAACTCAATTAAAATGCGCAAAAACTGTACAGACGTTTTACAACACAAGATATATAAAAGGACAGTAAGCATGTAAAAAAGTGTTCAGCATTATCTGGCATCAGGAAAATGTGAATTAAACCTGATGTGTGCAATTCATTTAGAAATGCATATAAAGTGAAGTGGCTGGATTGCTAAACAGGATGATGGTGACATAGAGATGTATGCAATAAAGCAAGTACAGTAAAATGTATATGGTCAAATATAGGTGATGAGTATTAGGATGTTTATTACAAAATTTGTTCCACTAAGTTGTATGTTAAACTTTTTCCATAAGGAAATCTTGGACAATATAAAGACAAGTGAATACAATAATATTTAAACACTAATAAAAATGATTTACAATTATGAAATATCTAAACTGATCTAGAATGTGGAAATTATACATTTTATTTAAGAGCAGTAAGTGCTGCATAGCAATAACACAGAGAGGACTGGATGGATTGGGATATGGGAGGTGCCTAAAATTTTAAATAGGGTTGTTACAGTCTTCACTCTGAAAATTATGCCCAAGTTCAGAATTAAAGAAGGTGAGGAAATTAAGTAAGCAGCAATTTGGAGGAAGCTTGTTATAGTTAAGGGTGACAAGTGCAAAGACCCTGAGGTGGACCATATCTAGCACATTCAAGAGAGAACATGGAGGTCAGTTAGCTGGAACAGAATGAGCAAGGTGTAGAGTAACAGGAGATCAGGTCAAAGGTCTGGTAAAGAGCTGCAGGTGGACCTGTGGGTTCATGTGTGTAAAGACTTTGGTTTTTATTCTGACAGAAGTAAAGAACTATTGAGATTTTTTAGGAAAATAGTGGCATCATCGGTCTTAGGGTGAAAAGAATTACTCTGACCACTGAGTTAAGAGTAGATTGTAAAAGAACAAAGGTAGAAGCAAAGAGACCATTTTGACAACTAGAGCAGTAATCCAGGACTTTAGCTGGACTTAAGGTTATAACATTAAAAGTGGTGAAATGTGATTGTATCCTGGTTACATCTTAGAGTATAATCAAACTGATTTGCTGATGTGTTGTATGTTCAGCATGAGAGAAAGAATAGTGGAGGATAGCACCAAGATTTTTTGTCTTGATAAAGTGGAAATACTGAGTTTGTGTAAGAGACAGAAGAAAAGGGGAGAAGTGTTGGAGTGAAACTATCTTTGAGTAGGCAAGAGAGAATGAAATATGGTGTATAGATGAAGGGATTAGATTTAGGGGAATAAACAGTTAATTTTACCATGGGTGAGAGAACATGGTATATGATATAGATCCTGTCAAGTGGCAAATTTGTCTCAGGTAGCTTGTGAGAGTTCCCTTTTGATTGCTTCTTATGTTCTTAGTGAAATAAAAATACTTGGTCATCAACTGAATTTTATTTTTATCTTTACATTAAAAAATGTACATACTCTTTGACCCAGACGTTCCACTTCTGGGAATCTATCCTTTGGAAATAAAACACTGGCATACAAGGACATAGGTACAAAATTTATTAGTGTATCAATGTTTATAGTGACATAGAAAAAGCTTCATATTTAATATTCATCATTCATAGAGAAATAATTTTATACATTTTGTGTCATTCCTATTATTGAAAATTTTTCTCTCCTTTGAAAATCCAGTAAATGTATGTATATTTATCAGGACGGATGGTCATGTAATATTGTTAAGTGGGCAAGGGAAAGTAGAAAGTATTGTGTATACTGTTACTGTTTTAAATGAACAAAAATAAATCTTATATACATTTCGCATATGGATAAATATGTTAAGAATAAACAACTAACAATTTAAAATTGGTTAATTGAGGAAATAGAAATGGAGGATATGTGCTTTAGATTTAGATTTTTTTTCTTTATGTATACTTGCATTGCTTCAGTTATGGTAGGAAACACATATTGCTTTTGAATAAATACTTACCAGAGAAAATTCATTTTTTAATAAAAGCATATTCAATTTATTTGTAAAAAAATTTACCTACATATCTGATAATTTTGTGTTGGGAGT
This sequence comes from Homo sapiens, assembly GCF_000001405.40. NCBI lineage: Eukaryota > Metazoa > Chordata > Mammalia > Primates > Hominidae > Homo > Homo sapiens. The sequence goes on from NC_000005.10 coordinate 44,410,445, forward strand.
ATCATTCGATATCATTATGTTCATATTTAGATTTTGTTTAACCGTTAGCAGATACAGCTGAGTTTAACTCCCACTCTATAACTCATCTGTCATATGCTTTCTGAACGTCGTAAAGATTTTGCATCACATTTTAAAAGTTTTATTTAAAATATCAAATCATATTTATGCCATATTTTCATTAATAACACATTTTATCATAATGCAATTACCATTCCAGTATACCTTATATATTTTCTTTTAATTTACCTTTCAATGTAATTCGTGTTATTATGTCTTATGGTGATGCATGAATTTACACTGTTCAGCCATTATAAAATTATGTTACTAGGTCATTATAAAATTATGTTACTAGGTTACCATCATCCCAGATCACTTTTATTACACTTCCTATTTGTATTTTTATTATATCTCTCGGTTTATGGGTTTATTTTGCTTATGATTGAGAAGTAAACAGATTTTCACTTTTTGTTGTAGTTGATTTAAATATTTTCTTATAACAGTTTTAATAAAATACTATTTTCCTATAAAAGAATACTTAATCATATGATTATGTAAAATGTATTTTAATGGAACAGAGTTTATATACTGCTATGGTCTGAATATTGGTGTCCCCCAAAATTCATATGTTAGAGCTTACTACCCAATGTGATAGTAGTAAGAAGGTGAGCCTTCAGGAAGTGATTAAGGCCTGAGGGCTTCATCTTCGTGAATGGGTTACTATCCCAACTAAAAAGAGGTTCAAGGGAACTCCCTGTGCCCTCTGCTATGTAAAGACTTAGCAACAATGCACCATCTATTAAGTAATGAGTGAGCCCTTACTAAACACCAGATCTATTGGCATCTTGATTTTGGACTTCCCAGCCTCCAGAAATGTGAGTAATACGTTTCTGCTGTTTGTAAGTTACTCAGCCTAAAGTATTTTGTTATAGCAGCCCAAAAGGAGTGAGACACATATACATATTAAAATTACTTCTAACACCACCACAGTTATCAATCTTCTGTCCGGCTTCCCTCTGATGCCTTTTACTATTTCACGGAGCTCTGACCCTAAGTTTCCCGCATTTTTGCTTCCAGCAACCTGTACCTATGATTGCTCAAAAGAGGACCTCCACACAGGGTAACTCTTCACTAAAGAAGGTCTAGTGCAGTGCAAAAATATGAAAGCCAGCTCTCTTGCACTGGGGCAGAATAACTCTGACATACATCCTAGACTGCAGAGAACCCTGGTGGAATCAAGTTGCAGCTATCCTCTAGGGCAGGAGGCTTTGCCTAAAATTGCATTGTTGTTTGCGTTGTTCCCCTCCCTTTCCTGCTTGTCTCACTCCCTTACCCTGGGAGTTCTTTCTTCAGAAATCACTTGCACATGGATTCTTGTGTCTGAATTTGTTTCAGGGACACGCAATCTAAGTTACACTCAAACTACATGGCTATTAAATTCCTGTCTAATCAAACCTTCACCTTTAGGCCTCTGCTTTTTATGTCTTTTCTGGAAGATAAGCAATTAAGTTGTTTCAAGAGGAGATTACTGAAAAAGTGCATTCTTCTAGGGTTCTAATATTTTATACAAATCTTCTGGCAATAATTTCTTATTCTACACCAATTACTTTATTGGTCAAAACTGAAAATTCTATTTGAAAGTTGAGTCAATAAAGAATATGTTTAGGAAGAGCCAAGATCTATCAGTTTTTTTCAACTCAAGTTACATTTGTTACCACTTATTTCACATTCCTAGAAATCTGTGTTAGAATTGATTTCTATCCTAGCTATTTTTTAGAAACCATTTTTCTTACTCTCTGCCCTGTTCTATGTTCTTTATATATACTGGCTTATTTTAGCTTATACCCCACCTGGAACAATGATAGTCCAAGTCATTTGATCCTGGTTATTGCCCAGTTCTGACCTGTTGTTTCTTGGTGTTTATTGGCTGTCTTGGCTTTGACTTTCAGGCTTCTTTGGTTTGACAGAACATTTGGACACATTTCTGCAAACGGACCCTTGGCATCTCTTCTTGGAACAAAATTTTGTATTTGGACTCTGGCACCATGCACCACAGATGCAAGCAAGAAGCACTTCTACCTTCTGAGGCGGCCCCTCAAACTCAAGCCAGCTAGGCTAGGCCTGTCCAGCTTTCCTTCACAAAGAAGGATTGGAGAGTTGCCGCTTACTGGCTTTCTCAAATGTCATTACTTAGCCAGTCTTCTGAAGATTGAGATTCATGAACATTGGACTCTTGCCTGTAATTACAATTCTTAAGTATATTAACCTTATTTTCAGCTGTATTTTTAGTTGCTTTCTGACTTCATCTTGAAAATACCTATACTCTTTCTGCATTTATTCTAATCTTACTTCTGATCTTGATTTTAAAAAGATCTTTATCAATGAAATCACCTCCAAGAACTATTTTTGAACTTTAAGATGTATTCTTAAATTTTTAGTAAAATAGGATTTAGAATCAACTTTGTGAAGATTACTAACAGAAAAATGAATAGCTCCTACCATGAGGCAGTTTATAGTTAATGTAAAGAATATTATACTTGTTTATACATGAAAAAGCCATTTTCTTTCTCTAAACCTCAGAGAGCTATATATATTTAATGAATAAATGAATGTATGATGAATGAATTCCTGTCAGTCTTTAGCGAAGTCTTATCTCTTATTTGGAATTCTTTCTTTATCCCCTATGTCTTCATAAATTCCAACCAATATCCAGGATTAATTCAAATTCCTTACAAGGATCTGAGAAGGGTTGGAGCTGTGGTATGGGTATGATTGGTAGATAGTTTTGAGCAACACTATCACCAGAAAATCTCTATTTTTCTCCCAGTGACTTTTTGTTGAGGGTTGAAGAGTTTCCTTGAAGGCAAAAAAAAAAAAACTGTACTCATCCAAAATGTTACAGATGTAACTTATGGTTCAATAGAAGCCTCTGCAAGCCAGGATACAGAAAGAAACTTGAACCTTTGCAGAAGCTTGCAGATTCAGCAACAGAGACTGAGATAAGAATGAAATGGTAATTCTGGGTATGGTGTGGTGCCAAGTCCTGAAACCAGTCCCAATATACCTACCCTAGAAGCATGTGGACATCCTGAGGACATGAAGGGCTCTATGTGTGATCCGGAAAAGGTGTTCCACTATATTCTAAAGTATTTATGGGCTGTGGTAGGCAGAGAAAATTATCCAGCAAAAATTCATGAATTGTTACTGAAAAGTGACTTCTCAGATAAGTATTACATTTCTCAGCTCTCGTCGTCATTAAGCATTACCATGGTGACTCAGATCTATCCAGTGGAATATTGTAAGAAGTGATGTTGCTATTCAAGATCTGGCTCATGGAAGTGCTCCTCTGTGATCTTCTCTCTTTTTTTTCTGCTGCCTATAATAAAAACTTCTCCCAGGGAACTTTGGAAGTCTCATGCAGAAGACAGCAGAAACTTCACCAATCTGGGTCTCTGTGTGACTGAAAGTATAAGAGATGGCAGACCCATCTACCTGTTCTCTCACCTTTTAGTGTCACATGATCAAGAAATACACTTCTATTGTCGAGAGCCATATATGCTTTTGAGTCTACTTGTACTGTGAGTTTACTCTAGTTCAGATCCTTAAGCTCTCCTGCTATGGAACCCTACCCATTGAGCTTAATATAGTGGGATGGAACATTGCAAAGACTCCTGACATACTGTTTGAGCACTGAGAACATTAATGTTGCAAATAAAAAGGTAGGAATATGCACCTTAATGAAATGAGGGGCCTGTGTGAGGCAAGGAATGATGGTGAAGATAGAGCTTGGAGTAGCAGAGGATGGTGGGTAATTACAGTTCAAACTGATATTGAAGTGCATATAAGATCCTTTTTGTTGCTGAAGGGGTGGGAAGTGTTAAGGCATTGGAGTTTCTGAATGAGAAAATGAGAAGTTGGAAATAGCAATATTCAAGTACTACTAACAGTGTGACCTTAGATGTGTCAGATTGGTGAGGCATGTATGCATTGTATTATGCTATTCTACAATGGGGCACAATGACAAATGCTTAAATCAAAGATGAATGAGAACTGTGCTGATGACAACTGAAAGCATTTATTGAGAGAGTACTCAAATAGATCAGCACGTTGCCATATAACCTATCCTCTTAGCCAAATTTAGGCATTCAGATCACTCAATTATTTATAGATGTATTAAAATGTCAAAATTGAAGTACTGGTTCAATCACTTAGACATTCAGAAATATTCATTGGGCATCTGTTATGTCTGTGGCATGGTCCTAGGCAATGGTGATGAAATGGTGGATTAGGACAGACAAGGTCTCTGTTTCTTCCTGGGGATTATTTGCTGGTAGAGAAAATATACAGCATAAAATGAATAAATAAGATGGTAAATCTTGAAATTGTTATTGTGAGTAAAATAAAAAGTGTTTTTTAATAGAGAATATTAAGAAACGTGAAAAGTGAGAAGGAGCCAGACATGTGAGGAGTGTTCTAGACAGTGAGCGCAGTAAGCACAAAAACACTGGCAGGAAAGAGTTTGGGAAGTTCAAGGCACTTGGAAAAGACCAGTGTGGCTGGAACATGGTATGTAAACAGTGAAGCTGCTAGATATAAGATTGCAGATGCTGATAGAGGCTAAATCATTCACGACCTAATAGGTCCTGGTGAGGACATTGAGTTTTTAACCTAAAGGTAATGGGAAAAAAGGAAGAGTTTTTGTTTTTGTTCTGGGGTTTTATTTATTTATTTTTAGTAGCGACAAGGTTTCACTATGTTACCCAGGCTGGTCTCAAATTCCTCAGTTCAAGTGATCCTCCTGCCTCAGCCTCCCAAAGTGCTGGGCTTACAGACGTGAGCCACCATACCTGGCAAAAGGAAGGTTTTAAGCAGAGCAGTGAAATGAAAGAGAAGTAACCAGTTAGGAGGCTATTACCAGAAACCAAGCAAGGAATAATAGTGACCTGGGAAGGCAATGGTAGAGATGCAGAGTAGTAAATGAATTTGAGGAATATTTTGAAGGTAGACTTAACAGGATTTACTGTGCTGATTAATATGAATTTCTTTCTTTCTTTTTTCTTTTTTTAAAGACACAGGATTCCACTATGTTGTCCAGGTTGGGGTGCAGTTTGACTAATCACAGACACAGTCATTGTGCACTATAGCCTGGAATTTCTAGTCTCAAGTGATCTTTCCTCCTCAGCATCTTGAGTGCTCTGTATTTCTTGCATTACAGATGAGTGAATACAGGATTACTGGAGATTAATCAGGTTTAAGATTTAAAGTCAAGAAGTCTTCAATATACATATTTTTGAAGTACCTTCATTATATCACAGCTATTAAGTAGGCATCAGAACACAATGATAGTATCATCAGCCTTGTGCTAGCCTTTCCAGAGAAGATTTAGCTTTCTGACAGTCTGCATTGTGTATCAGCTTCACTCATGTTTGCATTAACTCAAGAGAAAAGATAGATGGATGTCTCAGCTCTCAGTTTCTAGTCCTCTGTCATTACTGCTAGTTCTCCAATTTTATTTCTGTGTGACAACTATCCCCATACTGAGTGGCTTAAAACAACAACCATCTTTTTATATTGTCTTAATTCTGTGGCTGAGGAATTTAGGTAGAACTCGAATCTGTTCCTTGTGGTATCAAATGAGGGCAATCATAATATTCAATCAATAGCCTGGTCTGTAGAGTCTAAGAAAACTTTATTTGCTTGTTTGGTACCTTGGCAAGAATGGCTGGAATGGCTGGGCTCAGCTGGGACTGCCTCCTTCAATGCCTTCAGGTAGCTACTCTGGCATGGCAATCTCAGAATAGTCACACTTCTTATATGGAGGTTAGCCTCCCTCAGATCATCTCAAGAAAACTCGACAGAGACTGCAAGACCTTTTGTAGCCTAGTCTTGGAAGTCATAGAACATCCCTTCTTTTGCCTCTACTGGTTGAAAGAGCACAAGGATTCTCAGACTCAGAAAAAGGGACATAAACTCTACTTCTAGATGCAAGAAGATACAAAAAAATTGTAACCATTTTTAAAAACTGCCACACTATTATAAACACATTTCTTACTTGACTCTGTGCTGCTGTAACAGAATATGTGAGACTGGGTAATTTCTAAAGAACACAGATTTATTTCTTACAGTTCTAGAGACTGAGAAGTCCAAGGTTGAGGGGCTGCATCTGGCTAGGGCTTTCTTGCTACATCACTCAATGGCAGAAGGTAGAAGAACAAGTGATCATAGGCAAGAGAGAGTGCAAGAGATCAAGCATACAGTCTCGATCCCTTTTATAATAAACATTAATCTATTTATCTAGACACCTCCCATTAGGACCCATCTCCCAAAACTGTTGCATTGGGGATTAAGTTTCCAACACATGCTTTCTGGGACACCTTCAAACTATAGCACTTCCAAATCTTGTATGTTCTAGTACAATAGTTATTTAAGTTGTTTTTAGTTTCTGAGCTCCTTAGAAAAAGGCAAGTTCATTACTTTGAAGTGTACATTAACTCAGTAAGTAGAAAGATGATGAGGCAAAGAATAAAATCAAGTAAGTTTTCTAGTGCTAAGGATCTTAGCTAGGGAAGATTCTCTTGATAATGTCACGTCTTCTAAAGGAAGAAAATTATAAAGGAAGAAACGTAGGCCTGAAAATAAGAAAAACTGGTTGTTATTCAGGCCTTTAGTTTGGTCGGTTAGAACACATCGGTAACCAAGAGGTTCAATTTGTAAGTAAGAGAATGCAATTGTGTTTAATGAAAAGCAAGTTGTTCCATTTTTTCATTTGTGGGGTGGTTTGCATAGCATGCTGGTTAATTTTATGTATTAACTTGGCATCCAAATACTTGGTCAATCACTAGTCTAAATGTTGCTGTGAATATTTTTTTTAGATGAGATTAACATTTAAATCAGTAGACTTTGAGTAAAGCAGATTACTCTCCATAATGTGGTGAACTCAACCACAATGAGCCAAAGACCTTAAGAGTAAAAAGGAGGAAGTCTCCTGGGGAAGAAAGAATTCTGCCTCCATACTATCTTTAGACTAAAGCTGAAACGTCAACTTTTCCTTGGGTTTCTAGCCTGCTGGCCTACCTTGCAGATTTTGCACTTGCCAGCCTTTATAATCATGTAAGCCAAATCTTTAAAATAATTCCCTCCCCTCATCTACAAACACACATGCACACACACATACACCATACCTCTCTTTCTACACACACACACACACACACACATACACACACATGTAGACACACGTATACATCCTCTTGGTTCTGTTTTTCTGCATAACTTTAATACACAGTTACAGTTGTTCTGTATGTCTGACTGTATCCCTAACCTCAACTATCTCTCTAATGAATAAATGTGTGACCAAAGACAGTGTAGGGAAACTTCCCACTGGCATTTGAAAAACAGCTTAGTAAATTGGCTTCATTGTAAATATGAAAGTCAGCAGCCTCTTTCTGTCCCATAGGGATTAATATCTAAGCAGAAAAATATAAATTCATGTAATTCAATAAAATCTTTTTTTTTTTTTAGACCGATGGTTCTCAACTTTGGTATTAGTATCAGCTAGGGAATTGTTAAAAGATTCCAGTGCTTTGAGCCCCACCCCAGACCATTTGCCCACCATTTCTGGAGGAAAGTGGTGGGCATGTATAGTTGTGTTTCGTTTCCATTGCTGCCATGACTGTAATTTGCAGCTTGTCTTGAGAACCACTGATCTAGGCTAAATGTTGCAACATGGCAGCTGTTGGGCTGAAGCTATCTCATTAATCTATCTTGCTGGGCTAGCTTTGTGTTTTTTTGTTTGTTGTCTCTATGCTTGCTTTTTCAATAATTTGAATTTGAGCACTCCGGGGTAGGTACCTACTGTGCAGTTCTTGGTAGGTCATGCTCCTTTCTATGACTTTTCACCTGGCTGTTTTACAAAATAGCATTGCCTTCCATGTCTCTAACAGCTTTCAAGGGCATGATCCTTGAATTTCAGACTGTAAAATATTATCGTCAAATATATATTATGACTCTAGGTAGAGGGACTGAGAATAAGGACATGAAATTTGGGAAATGCATTTGGCAGTTCATGAGGAGCACATTCAAATCCAGGCAGGGTGGAATTTAGGAAAACATTGCTTCTGATTATGATCATTCCAAAAGGCAGACTTCAAGAAGAATCTGAATGATGAATAGAAATGTTGTGTCTTCAGGCATTAGAAGAGCTGATAGATGATACTGTAATTATTTAGGTGTTTCCAAATGTGTGTCTAGTTGATTTTTCTTGTTAATACTTAAGTATCTTAGTAGTTAATTAATTTCCTAATTTTTTATTTGATGCTTCTAAGTTATGATAAGGATCTGTAATCCAGCTCCCTTCCCCCAAAGTATGTCTGCGTTCACTGTTTTTAACATTTTGGGAGAAAGAACATTTTTAGCTTTAGAGTCACAACTTTTGTTGTTGTTGTTGTTGTTGTTGTTTCACTTAAATGCTCTAGTTACAACGTCCAGAGAACTTTGGTAATTGTTGATTTGGGCCATGATGTCATTGACATTTTATAGCTGAGGTTCTTTTTTTAAATAATAGCTAACTCTAGACTTTAAGTATTATTTTTGTTGGGGTAATAGAGCTATAAAAGAGGCAAAACACATCTCTAATTTCAGTACACTAACATTAAAAGAAGAATTGCCAGAATAAGGATTTTAAAAATCAAACATTTTAGGAGTAGTCCAGACTGTATTGGACAATTGTCACAGATGTTTTCTAGGATTAAGTTGGTCCAAGCAATAAAATTTAGCTGGTAAGTGACCTATTTTTGAGTTTTTCCTTCCATCTCATAAGCAAGCTATTGCCATTCTACTATTGTTTCCATGGAAGAATGCTTTCTAGGAGGTAGTATAGCATTGTATCGTTCACAAGTAAATATCTTGGGTGAAATTAACTAAAGTATAAGAGACTGCAAGATAGTTTAAAGTAACTTTTTAGTGTACATAAATCAGTGCCATAAAGGCTTTGGTTTTCTGATAATGAAGATGTCGAATATCCCAAAACAGGATTGTGTCAGCTATTAATTTATTCCCCATTCATTATGTAAGTCAAATCTAATGCAATTGTATTGCAATAATGAACATGTCAATTCGGTTGTCTAAAAGAGAATACATTTTCCATAGGCATATGTGGTTACAAATCCTTCTTAATGTATAATGGAACTCAGGGAACATAGATAAAATGGCTTAATGAAAAAACGTGTAAAATCTTGGGTAGTTACAAATCTCACAGCTTCTTCATTTGATCACTTGTTGCCATTTTGGCAGTAAAATCTATCCAAAAACCTTCTGACACTCAAAAGAACTGAATTAGTGATAGCTTTTAGCTGAACATTGTTCACAGAAGTCTTAGGCATACAGAATTTACCTGAGTCACATCAATACTTGTCGTTAATAGCATTTACCCTTAGCACTGCCTTATTCTATTGCTTATGCTCCAATTTAATCCATGGGGAAAAGCCAAATAAAATACTCTTTGTTTGGAAAAACTTAAATCATCCCAGAATTCAGTGAGCTCAGGGCAGCCAAACACAATCAATGACAGTCAGAACTTTGGTTTGGGTTGCTAGTAGTATCAAATAAATATCATGGCTACAGTTCTTGATGTCAGCCCCTTTCCTAGATCTACTGTTGGCAAAAATCCTATCTGCTGTATTTCATTACAAACTAAAATCTCATGGGAATTCTTGGAGGGTTCACTTTACGTTGTTGTTCAATAATCCATATGGAAAGAGTCTTAGAAATACTGAAGCATTTTGCTTTGACTCTTCCTTAATTTAAAAGTTATTCCATTTTGTAACTAATGCCTCTTTTCCACGTTTAAATATCTTATAAACACTGTCATCAGGTTCTGGAGCTTTACTATTCTCTTGCCCCTGACAGCTATAATAACCTCTTCAAAACAAAAGAAATAAATAATTCATAACCTGGAAAATGGACCTCTGAGTAATTGAGTTATTCGTGTATATTTGAATAGATATTAGGAATTATTAGACCACATTCTATTTTAAGGGATCATTATGATATATAGAAATAAATGTACATTATATGACTCAGAGACCAAGTAACAGTTACTTAAACTTAGGAGTACAACCTTTCCATGAAAGGCTATTTCTCCTTAACTGAGAGTTTTATGAAAATTTGGCTACAAAACTACTTGGGAATTTATCTGTTTAATCATGATGCATATTGATTAGCAAATTTTCTGAATTTTATTAATATTATAATATATAATTGAAGCACCATGATATGGTATCTTCTGTCTAGCATTATTTAAAATGTATGCAATATGTTTGGGATTAAGAAAAAGTTTCTCAACTGCACTTATATATTCTATTTTCCTTAAGCCACAAGTTATTTTAGAAGTGCATGAATAAAAACTGATTATTAAAATTCAAATGAATACATCTTTTCATCACATTGCAAATTATTGCTAATAATTAACTCAACTTCATTTACATAATGTGACTGTACTTTGGGTTTGCCCTTTTCAACATGAAGAATTAATAGGCAAAAAACAAAAAAGGAAGAAAAAAAGCATTTGAATAGTGAAGGACTCTAATGTCACTCATATAGAGCATATTTTAAAGAGTACCCCAGGTAATTTTTTTTAACATTACCATTCCACTGTTCCTCTCTAGAGACTAAGACTTTCCAAGAAAGAGGTGTTCCCAATTACAAAATAATTTGCCAAGATCCAAAGAAGTAAGACTAATATACAACTCTTTCTCATCTTTGGATATTGAATGTCTTCTTTATTATCCATGCAGGTACATTTTAAGAAGTATTTTCAGCTTGTAATAAAGCAATAATAATATTACTAGCTTGATTAATTATTTCTCAGTTAGGATGCAATTGGAAGAATCTCACAGCTGAGCATCAGAATGTCTTATAAAGTTTATTTTAAAATATAATGCTTGGCTCCACCCCTAACATTTCCATTCACTTTTCTGGAAGTAAGGAGGGACATCTGTGTTTTTAACACACTGAAGAGCCAAGGTTGACAGCCACTGGGTTAGATTATCTAGGATATGAATAAGTAAAGAGGTAAGAGATGCATTGAATTACACATTTTTATAAAAAGAATAGTTTTATTAGCACTAAAAATATTTTAAAAATTAATTATATATATTCATTATACATACATATTCACTACAAGAGAAAATACTTTGTGAAACAGATTAAAGGTGAAGTGAATTAAGTACAGTTTGCAAATCGAGGGTGGCTCACCATCCCTGGATTCCACGACGCAGCAAGCAGGGAGAGGAACAGGGGTTTCTAGCATATTTGGAACATGATCTCATCAGAAAGTGTTGCTGAAGCAAGAAAGCCCAATGGAAATAGTCTCCTATCTTCAACCATTATGCAAGATAATTCAGGACGGTGAATTTGGCAGTACGGAAGAGGGAAATTTTAACAACTTTATATAATAATCATAAATTAATGTTGCTAAACATAGTTTATGTTCATTATAATTGTTAATATAATTCTGGTCTAAAACAATTGGAGAGAGATTGTATATAAGGAAAGAACATTAACTAGCTCAGTATTCTAGATATTCCAGGCTATAACCTACTTAATCTGAATCTTAATCTGAGTCTATTCAAGCAATAGATGGTAGGGAGTTCTAATAAAACTAGTAAATAGACAACCTAGTATAAAACATGTTATTCTGTGTTGAACAGATCTGTGTTTTAAAAGCCAGTTTGTAGGGTCACTCTCCATTATCCATTGAAGTAGTTTAATTAAAAACAGCTGAGACAATGACATCACAATAGGCTTATTAGAATAAAAGGGAAATATTGAGGCATCCAAGAACACAGTTAAACAGAGTTCAGCTATGACAATCAACGTTCAGGATTGAATTATAAAGAAGCAGGGATGGGGAAGAAAAATAAACGATCGAGTAAACATGAAGGGGACACATCATTTTTCAAGGAACATTTGAGCCTAGGTTCATCCAGAAGGGGTGACACTTCTTTTAAAACCTCAAAAAAGGGCCTATCCAGCCCAAGGCCAGGTTTCTAACTGGAGGGGCGACTATTAGGACAAAAGAAGTCCAGTCTGAAGCTCTCATTGGAAAAAGATCTAACTATAAAAAATGCTGCCACTTCTGCTGATGATGATAGATAAAATTTACCATGCGCCAATCACTATTCCAAGCACTTTACCCACATTAACTTACTTAATCTTCATAACAATGCCATTGGATAGGTACATTATTATATTACAGATAAAGAAACGGAGGCACCAGAATTTCATTCATTTACTCATTTAAACATACCGATGAGAACAGAAAAACATACTAAGAAGTTAACTAAAAAAAATAGAAAAGATGCTGACACTCCTATTTATATTTCTTTCATTCGTCCTAAAATTTTCTTCAATCCATAATTGAGTACCTATTATTTACCAGATACACAAAAGATAGATGCTTCATATATGGTTCTTAGTATTCCTGAAGTTTATGATATTATTAGGGAGACATGTCTACTCACAAATAATTAATATCTCTTTCACTTTTTCTAATTGTTAAATTGAGCACTGAAGGATCAGTAAGAGGGCAGCCCAGGAGGATTGTCAAGTACCTACTTCTCTGTGTCAGTGAATAAAATAATTCCTGTTTGATGTTTCGGCACTGTGAATCGATGTGTTATTTTACTTTTAATGTAATAATTCTTTTGAGACTACACTGTAAAACTCAAAGTAGAAGGCCATGTTTGCCACCAGCAGCAGCAGCTCATCCCTGATGACCTCCAAGTAGGGAATAACAAAGTATAAAAAAACACTTAAAAGCTGTTTTAGGGTTTATCCCAAAACACACCCACATACACACATGATGGAACAGGTCATAACATCCCTGAGTCTAGCAAGATTTTATAAACCAAACTGTGTTTTTAAAGAAAGTTTTAACCCTTTCGATACTTTTTAAGTTTTGTTTTGTTTCTTAAACACATATAATTTGATTTCCTTACATGTATCAAAATAGTCTTGGAAGAAATTTCTTTCTTTCCCTATTATATGTAAATATTGATGGCACTTTTGTCCTAAGATTTTTTCTTTTTTCTTTTCTAAATGTGCACTTGCCAGATGAAATACGGAATGCTCAGTTAAATTTGAACTTTAGATAAGCAATGATTTTATTTTTACTATAAGAAGTTCCTTTTTGTTTGATAAATCTGGTAAAATTAAAGTAGCTTCCATGAACTATTCTTCTCCCTGTTCTATCTCCCTGTTCTATCTACCACTTGTCAATTTGTTCAATTTTTAATTTATGTAATCAAGTAATACTTATCAAGTGACAATTATATGTCAAATATTATTCTAAGCACATGACAGTGTATCAGTGAATAAAACATATACTTTGCTGTAATAGGCATATATTCTGATAAAGGAAAGACAAAGGAGAGAACTCATAATCTCGAACATTTTGAGAAATTAGAGAACAAGGATAATCTTGAAAACATTCCTATCTTTCCCACAGTGAAACAAAATATCTTCTGACTATAAAACTTACTTGGAGTATATAATATAGTTTATTGCCCAGTCAAGATTTGTTTATTACTTTATCTGTAATAAACTTCAATGATCTAATGTTTTATCATTCAGCCCATTAATCTATCTTTTATTCTTCATATGATCAATGCTTTAAAAAGGGAATAAATTCTCCTATGAACCAAATGGGTTTTGTGCAAAGGAAATTTCTCTTCCCTTTTTCACTCAGTTTTGTTATTATTGTTAAAGACATTTAAAATTGGATGATGTCTAATGAGATATTTGAGCATAGACTCACTGACCTCTTGGTAGAAAAATGAAAGAGGGGATTTGATTTTAATTATTTTTTTCATTGAACTGAAACCTAGAATACATTTATCCCAGATGAATAGTTGAGACACATGGAGCAAAATTAGCAAATACATTCTCAGGTTTATATAATCTATACTCATAAAACTTTACATTTCATTAGGCCAGGAGCGGTGGCTCACGCCTATAATCCCAGCATTTTGGGAGGCCGAGGCAGGTGCATGATCTGAGGTCAGGAGTTCAAGACTAGCCTGGCCAACATGGTGAAACCCCATCTCTACTAAAAATACAAAAATTAGCCAGGCGTGGTGGCGCATGCCTGTAATCCCAGCTACCCAGGAGGCTGAGGCAGGAGAATCACTTCAACCCGGGAGACAGAGGTTGCGGTGAGCCAAGATCACGCCATTGCACTCCACCCTGGGCAACAAAAGTGAAACTCCATCTCAAAAAACTAAATAACTAGATAACTAACTAAATAAATAAAACATAATGCTCTGTGATCATGTATACATACAAATAAACCCATGTCTGATAATAGGATACAAAAAGTCACCAGAGAAACCCTAGGGATTACATATCCAGGACTCAATGACTTTATTCTACATGGCTTGCTCTACTCACTTTTTCTCACATACTTCCCTCTGCCTCACTTGTACATTTGCTTCACATTGTTACTTGGAAATACACCCCCACTGGTTCTGGAAAGTGCTTTCTTTTTGCTAACAAGAGGACTTCCTAGAAAAGAACCCTAGAGTGGGAATCTGATAAACTGGGTTCTAGGCCAGGATCTGCCACTAATTTGTTCTCTCTGTGTGTAAGCCTCAAGTTATTTTGTATTTCTAGTCCTCAGTTCCTCATCTGTAAAATGAATAGGATAGAGTTCAAGTCACAGATGAACCAGCTAGCCTAGCCCTCCTAACATTCAATGATTCAACCTCATGTTTACCATCCCTAACAATGAGGTCTTAAAGTCCTGCTTAAATACATCTAGAGATGTTCCATTAGATTTACTCTGTATGAGAAAAGTTTTCCATTATTTGAGCCTAAATCTTCCTCCATGTGGTTTCCAATTTTGGTCCAATTTTGTCCTCTTGAGTGTCCTAACTCAAAGTTATTCACTGCCTTTTTGTTTAGGATAGCTATCCTAATTCTTGTCCCTTCCACCCTTCTCCATCTCAGTTCCAGCCTAACAGCTTGAGATAGTTTAACTTTCCTTAAGAAATGATTTCAAGTGCTTTGCTCTCTTGGTCACTTCTCCCTGGATTGGGCTGCTTGTCACTGGTGCTTAAAGGGCAGTACCTAGAATAATTAATAATCACTAATAATTATAGTAGCAATAACAATAACAAGCTTGTTATGTGCTAGCCACTGCTTTAAGTGTTTTACGTATATAATTGTATGTAATCATTCCAGCGGCTTTATGCAGTAGTAGTGTTATTATTCACATGGAAACCGTAAGCAACAGAGGTTAAACAACTTCCCAAAGTTGTTTAACATGACAGCGCAGGCATTTGAATCCAGGGTAGTCTGGACTGGAATGTATAGCCTATGCACTTAATGACTGGGCTATCCTGCATTTTCTAAAATGTATACTTTTGACATAGTTTGTGTACCACTCAGTTGGCTGGGACTTACATCCTCCTTACTCTGGACACTATATTTTGATGAATGTAATCGAAGACTGAATTATGTTCCATGTATGCATATGCTCTATGTGTGTAGACTCCAATTTTTATATTTAAAATTTTGATTTTAAATATCATGTACTTTGCTGAACACAAAGATTATAATGATAAAAATAAGCCACTCCCTATCAAGTTAGAAAATACATGTGTGAATGAGAAACCAAAATACATTGTAAGTACAGTGACTGAAATTCACTCTAAGATTAATGGGAACATAGAAAATGTAACTAATTTTATCTAAGATAATAATTAATTACTTTACCAACAAAGTTACATTTGGATATGTTCTTTAAAGATGAACAGGATCATTGGTTAAAGAAAAAAATATTGGCAAAATATTTTGTCTGTATTATCTTTTGAAAACAATGTCTCAAATCTAATCAGGAATTAATTCACATCATGTTCATTAAACATTGCTTCTAATGAACATGATACTAAATGGAAATGTTCATTAGGAAATGGAAACTACTATTAAATAAAATGTTTGGTCATTTAGGGTCTTTTAGAACTTTTAGGTTCATCATGATTTTACAAAGATTCTGTCAGTGATCTCTAATTAGTAGGAAATATAGTCTATTTAAATAGAAACATTTGAACCCATTTAGAGGAATTATATGCTATAATACAGTATTTCCATCTCTAATAGAATGGCTTTTAAAAGGAATTTTAGGTGCCTTAATGAACCTTAATATATTTTAAGATTTATCAACTTGCTAATATTGTTCTTTCAGGCTTAGGTCACTTTTTTCTCCTTCCTTAGTTATTTCCTTTTATTTAACTTTCTGTACTTATTCTTATGTTATTTAATTGATTGGTGTGGGTATATGGAAATTCCCTTCAGGTTTACTTCTGAAAACTGTGACTTATGTCATTGGTTTTGGATTTGAGCCATCTTCTTTTCAGGCCTTGATCCAATAAATCTTACCAATCTTTCTGCGGCCTCTAAAATTTGCTTTCTTGAAACCCATGTTACATATCTGACTTCCTGCCATGTTTTCTTTACTCAATTTTGGGTATTCTATGGCCTTTTTACTCAAAGTGTAGTCCATGGACCAGTAGGATGAAATCTCCTGGGTTCTTGTTATAAATGTAGAATCTCAGGCCCCCACGCTAGTCCAACTGAGTCAGAAGGAGCACACTTAAAAGAACTTCATATACTTTGTTAGCACATTGAATCAGAGAAGCCTATTTTAAGATGACACAGCAGAATCACTTTCTCAAGAGGTCCTCTCATTTCCACCCCTCAACAAAGTCTTCCTTGACAGTCAGTTTGATGGACTTTTAGGGGAAAACAATTTACTTCAAGACAAATGAAGAACCTATCAGACTTTGAGAGGCTAAGGCAGGAGGACCACCTGAGCTGAATTTGAGACTAGCTTGGGCAACATGGTGAAAACTCATCTCTACAAAAATGCAAAAAAATTAGCTGTGCAGTGGTAGTGTGCACCTGTAGTCCCAGCTACCCAGGAGGCAGAGATGGGAGAATTACCTGAGCCTGGGAGGTCAAGGCTGCAGTGAGCCATGATGGCACCACTACACTTCATCCTGGGTGACAGAGTGAGGAAAAAAAAAAAAAAAGGATGTATCAGATAATTTACTTTTAGCTGAATATTAATAAGAGTAGACTAACATTTATATACGGATTTCTATGTGCAAGGTACACTCTTTGAATTGGCCATCTTATTAAAGTCTTACTTAATCTTCCTGACATTATAGCGATTACTATTAGAATTCCCATTTTACAGATGAAGAATTTGAGGTCAATGTGGAGATTTTTTTTTTTTTTGCCCAAGGTCACAGAGCCCTCCAGAGTCAGGTTTCATATTAAGCCTATTTTATTCTAAAATCTGTGCTTGACATGATTATATCAAACCGCCTTTTCCCAGGAGAGAATTTAACAGAATACAAGGAAGCTAAACATTTCCAACACCATGATATTTGTCTTTCTTTTCGGGTCTGTGCTCTCTGATTCCTTTATGCTGCTGTTACTGTCACCTGTTAACATTTCTACCCCCACCTCTCGTACACTAAACATCCCCTAGGAAAGTAATACAAACACTCTCTTGCTCTCTGTCAATTGCTTTAATTATGAATTGCTTGCCACAAACTTTTCCATAACATACTAGCTCACCCTTAATCCTTCCGGCTTTGACCACTCCTATCTTCTGTCATGTCTTGATCTTTAAATCTCTCATTCAGTGCTGTTTACCTTTCAACTAAGATCCAGGTTCCCTCTCCAACTAGAAGGACTACCTTCTTAGGTGAATGCTGTTCTAATAATACCTATCCCTGGACCCCTATGTTGAGGCATCTCTTGACACTGTTTCAGGGTCCAAGCTCACTCTCATTCTTAAGAGCAGAAACAAGACCTTCTTTCAGAAGCTCAGTTATGGAACATTCTTTCTACCATTTCACTTCATTCTCTTTTCTTTTATCTTCATGGAGGTATTTTCTTTCATGATAACGAAAGCAAAATTGAAGAGTTCCACTAAAGCTTGTATCTTCATGACATGTGGACTCCATCTACCTCTTCTTCCAAGTCTTTATTTAAACAAACTACATATTTCATTGTTATGATTGTGCATTTCCAATGACAAATCTTAGTGTTTTACTATGTTGAATTATACTCCAAATGTTGCTGATACTCTGTGCTTTGTGTACATAATAGTAATTTTGACTTTATTTTTAGTGATTTTTATTAGGAATTTTTAAAAAAATCTGTATCACTTACATAACTTGTTCTATTGTAATGGCTGATACCCTTCATTATATCTAGTTTTACAGTTTTAACTGACAATGTTTCCCTTTTCCTAGATTTTGATTTTATAGTATAAATTTGGCAGGCTTCCAAATGATTCTGTGCAATATACTCCAGGTGTTCATCAGTCTAGCAGAATAATCCCTAGTTCAGCAACCAGATCCTGTTCTTTATTTATTTTAACTAGCCATTATTTTACTAATCTTATATCTACAAAATCTCTTATCCTAAAATAGAAACATAGATAAGACCACGCTACCAGCAAATATTTTAGTTTCCTGCTTAGGACTTCATAATTTCTTCATAATTCCTAGAAGAAATTCAGATTTCTTCTGTTTATATCATTTATCCCCATTCAACATGGTTATTAAGTGGTGATGAGGCAGAGAATTCATTAATTTATTTGCTCATCTTAAGCTACATTTGTTGACTGACTATTTTGTTCCAGGTACAGTAATGGGCCAGTAAATTTATAAGCCCCAGACAACTCTCTATCAAGATTAAGCTATTCATTTCAGGAAGGGAGAACTACTACTGATTGTCCATGTAAGCTCTACAAATGGCTATCTCCACTCTATTTCATTTTTGTAGTTCCTGTAAGTAAGTTCTTCACATTTCTTAGCTCTAGAAGACTCTTTCACCTTTTCAAAGAAATAGGACATACTGCTTCCTTTCCAGAAACTATACATCTCTTCCCAAAGATCCCTCCAATGGATCAAATTTCTTCTTTCCATTTTTGTTTGTGTAATATTCTGTCATTAATTGTACTTGATTTGGTTTGATTTCCCTCTGCCTTCTCAAAACCTCTTCCCTTCAATTTCTTGCTTAGGTTGCTTTTCTGTGTTATACAAGAACCCATTTTCTCCTTCAATGTGGCAAAGAATAAAAATCAATTAATTCTGGTCTTTCAATTTCTCTGAAGGGTTTATCACCTTGCAGCTCCCGAGATAATTTGTAATTACTTCTGGAAAGAAAAGTAACACAGTTTTTATACCAATTACTCCCCCTCCCCTGCAGGAAAGCTGTATGAGCAAGCTAGAAGGATATGGAGCTCTCTTTAGGTTGTCCTACCTGGTGCTTTCTCACCTCTAGACTCTCCATGGGAATTTGGTCATTTTTTACCCCTAGTATGACAGTTTTTAGATTATCAAATACTAGAGTTAGATATCAGATGCAACTGGAAACTAGAGTGAGGTACCTAACGTTAAAAAGAAAACCCAATATTGTCCTCTTACTTTATTCTTCCTACTTTTCTAGTACCTGTTGCATAAACTTTTAGCTGACCATTAAAAATTCCTTTCAACTTTCAAGTGCTATTTTCTAGTGTATGGTGCCTGTTTATAAACAAATAACTATGTGATTGAAAATTACATATTCCCAACTGAGAACCGATACCTTAAAAGGAAATTTCACATAGTACAGTATGTGCCATGGGACATGTCAAAATTATTAAATCTTTAAATACTGAGACACCAGTTTACTGCAATATTTTGTTTTAAAAGTAGAAAACAACCCCTATAAAATCTGAAATAAGATTAACAATGTGTGAAACTAAAATTTTTATGTGCAAGTCTAGTGGAAATTTGATTCTTCTTTTTGTTTTATGTGGCCTTTTTAACAGAAAAGCTATGCATTCCTTTAGCTTATGTGCTATACACACAACGTGATAGGTCCAGAGAGTTCACAGCACATCAGGTACATCTCGGACTATTCGCAAAGGGCGTGCATGATGTACAAACCAGCTTCCACAGGATACATGTACTTCATGAAGCTTTATCTCCATAATCCCCTGAGACAGCTCATGTTTTTTAAATGAAAGGAAGTGGAAATTACAAAATATCTACATTTGAATAAAATTAAGAATGTAAAATAAACTGAGGCCAGCAAAGCCTTTTTTTTTTTTTTTTCATCAGTTGCAGTTTCAAAGAATAACTGGACTGAACTTAGAGTTCTCTGGACCTTTTTTGTCTTAATTTAAAACATTTTCTTTATTTCAATGAAATAGATTTCCTACGACGTGAAAGGAATAGTTGGGGACGGAAAATTCGGAAGTGTACAAAATAGGAAGTGTTTTAAAATTGGCCTAATGGGGACCTACATGTTTGATTGCTACAATTGGAATTGTGTTTTATTTAATCAGAAAAGCAACCTAAAATGAAGGCAAATGTTTAATGGTTCAAAATATGTTTTGTGCTTTTAAAAAAAAAGTACCAAATTTTACCCTTAGTTATTAGTGTAGAAATAAGTCCAGGATCAAAGTGTCCCTCCCACCTCCTGTTCAAAGTATCTCCCCACTTGTCGTAGTGGTTTTAGTAATATTTGGTTAGAGTTCTCTAGAGTAAATAATGTTTCTTCCCACATGAGAAGGCTGAGTCCTGTGTAGGCTAATTGACTTGTCCATGATTACATAAAAAGGGTATCAAAGAAGACTGTATGTGTGTGTGTGTGTGTGTGTGTGTGTGTGTGTGTGTGTGTGTCTGTCTGTCTGTCTGTCTCAATGTCAGCTAAATTCCCAAAGTTATGGGTAATAGCCATGAGGAACTTCCGTATTTTACAGAGTTTCAAGGAGATACCAGACATCATTGCCAGAGCTTAAGAAGAGATGGCCAACCTGATTCTTCAACTCTCAATCCTCATAATGACTCCTAGACTATATAAACAGAAAAGTAGAGCTTAACAAAGAGTGCATTTATATATTTCATGAGCTTTTAGCCTAGAAAGAAGTATACTAGCATTTCATCATCTTTCCTTTCTAATGAAAGGAGAAGTGCCTGCTCCTCTGCTCAGACAAGAAAGGAACAAGGAGTTCCTCAAAGAAACTGAAGGTTTCCTCAGGAATGAAACACTGGCATCTCATTCCCCAGTCTGACATTTACTGAACATAAGAAACTTCTTGGCCTACCTAATGGTGCATCACAGTAGATCATGATAAGGAAGCTTTTGGGAGAAATAGATTATCTTGAGTTAAAGAGCAGATAGAACATACATCCTAGTTCCTGTTAATTCTGGAAAATGTTAACTATGCAAATCAGGTTAAAGCAGTTCCCAATAACAAGATGAGAAGAGATGGCAGCCGAAGAACAGTATGCCTTCCTATTATTGAACATGAAAATCGTACATGACTCTAGGGCCATGGACACTGTGATCAGATATCGGCAGTAAGTAGATGTATTATAATGTATATTGGAGCCATCTTAAAAAGACTCCACCCAGGAGAGAGGCTTGCTAGTATGAATGTCTCTCAATTAAAATAGAGGGTATGAAGTATATATCCAGGGGTAGAAGCTAAAGACGGATAGGGCCAGAGTACAAGCGATCATGGTGGAAGATTGTTTTATTTGTTAAAAATATTTATTTCCCTACCTGTGGTAAAATTATACGTTCTGCCATATCAACTTCAGCCTTTTCTGTGTGACTTGCTTTGCCAATGGGATATAAGCAGAAGTGGCATATAACACTCTCAATTAAAATTTTCTTTAAGTTGTAACCACCTTGTGGTTTCTTCTGTAATGACAGCAGCAGGTCTCAGATAAAGGCTGGTTTCTTCTTTCAAACCCCAGAATAAAGAAGTGGGAGAAAAGATAAGGCCAACCTGCAGAGGACATGTAATATAAATTAAATCTAAACCTTTGTTATTATAAGCCACTAAGGCATGGGTTTGTTTGTTGTCACTGCAGAATTTAGGAAAATACAACTGATACCATCTAGAAAGGGCATTTGGTGGGTGAATAGTATGGACATTTTCTATGTAGGCCTCTAAAGAATTCACAAGTGTATCTCATAAAAATGCTTATATTTGAGTGCCTGCCTATAAAAGTCATACATGGCTGCCTGTCAAGAACGTAGACATATAAGACTGTTGGCCTTTTTCCTCTAACATTCTTTTCTTTCCTCAACATTCAACTGAAAAAAGAGATCTAGAGGCAGAGGAGTGAGCCAGAAACAAAGAATGAAAGTCGTAGAAAGTCAGAAACAAAGAATAAAAGGTGGAAAGAGCACAAGATCACACCATTCTCCTCTCCTTAGCAGGGTGGTCCAGGCCTGAAGTTGGAAAGCAGAGAAATATGTTATTTGAATTTGAAATAAGAATTGACATTTGAATTGGATTGGACTAAACTTTGTAAAAGAAAATTGAGTCTTGGTGACGAAAATGAAACTCTTCATATAATATAAAATCTAGACAGCAAAGAGTTCTCTTCAAAATATGATTGATCAGTGTAGAATAGAGATCCGGGTAGAGGTTGGAAAAAGCATTAAAGCATTTTTTCAATCTTACCCTACAGGGTAAACCCATTATAGTTAGACAGCTTGTTGGTGACAGAAGCTACAAATCCTAACTCTAAGTACAATACTATTTAGAACATTTATTTCTTAAAGGATAATTTCTATGGAAATTCTATCAATAACAAAAGGCAACTCAACTTTCTACGGTGAATTATTTGGTAGGCCACAGCGGGAAGCACAATAGTGGGCAAAACTGTAACACAATTTTCTTAGAACTGAAACCCCAAATATAATATTTTGTGTACGTTATTACTCTAGGGAGCCAAAGCATACAATCATTGACAGAGAGCTCTATAGTAATGCCAAAACTTTTTATTTAATAATGTGTTTATAATTTGTTTCTTGCCTGAGTCTAAAAAGGATCTAAAGTGTTTTCTTCGGCATACATACACCTTTTTAACCACACATCTATTTATTGAACATGGACTGTGTGTGAAGTACTCTTCCATGTTCCTGTACTCAACACAATACTGAAAGTAAAGAACTTCATATTTGATACATAAAAACAATAGAGAAATAGACAATTCCAGCAACTTTTGATCTCACAGTAATGCCAGATCTTTGAATCCTGATACATAAAATTTTATTAATATCTTCACATATTTGTATTCTACAATGACTGTTTTATAAAAAGGTAGTCAATGAAATGGTTTGAGGCAGGGCTTTGCTTTCTGGATGGATGTTAATTGAAAAGAAAAAACTATAGTTCAAACTACTGTAAGTAGCATTTTAAATAGACATGAGTCAACCAAAGCATAGTTCCCAAACTCATACTCACTGTTTATTATGGTTAATACAATTTTAGATTAGTAAAATGTGCAATCTTGGACTTACATTTTTAAGTAAAATAAATAATTTATGATACACTGGTGTTCTTTGTGAAATCGAAGGATAGAGTATATTTACTCTTTACATTTTTGTTACTGGATTTTCCTTCCAACAGAAGTAAATATACTAAGAAGGAAAGAACACTTCATAAGAAGTTAGAAGATCTGAGTTATAGTCTATTTTTACTTACCAGACAACTGCATGAACTTAGGCAAGTTATTTAGCCTACTCAGACCTTAGTAATTTACTCTAAAAATGATTTTAACTAGATAACCTATGCTGTGCTTTCTGACTTGAAATTTTGTGATCCCAACTGAACATTAAGTGGAATATTAAAATACAATACAATCAGTTGAGAGTCACAGTGCAAAAAATTCAGCAAGTGGAGTTCACAATTTCCTGAAATTAATATTGTATTTAAATTTCTTTCTAAGGAAATATTATCATGAACTATGACCAGAATTGTGTCTACTAACTGTCACAAATATTTGCTAAAATAAATATTACTAAACAAATATTAAATGCAATGCTGTATTGAGTAATTTGTCTCTCCTCTTCCACTTGACAATATTGTCTTCTATAGCAGTGCATTTCTAGCCAAGGACCTTGTGCAATTATTGAATTTCATTTTAAACTTTAGTGTTGCCCACTGCTGTGAGGTACAGTTTCGTATTAAGCTCTAAACCATGGGTCTGAATTGGAAAGACATTTGATAGGCTAAAACCATTTCACTTTATTCCCTTGCCCAATGATTTCCTGCACTGAATGTTCAAAATTTGTGAATCCTGGCCAACAGGACTTTAAAATATGTTTATAACATGTTCTTTCCCCAGCTTGTAAATAAATATCAACTTTGAAGGAAACATATAATCTGATTAACATCTGATTAAAATAATAACAAACAAATTTAGACTTTTAACTATAAAGTAGAACTATAAAAGGATGCATAGGTTATCTAGGCACCCTGCTGAAAAAGAGAAAGGGTTTGTGAAGGAGTAAAGAGAGGGTGGAAGAATGTCTGGCCTCATTTATCTATTCAAAATATTTAACTTCCATTGGTGCCAGATGAACAAGTCAAAATCCTTTCCCTTAAAGAATTCAATGTATGAGAAACTAGTGGGTGGTCAGGGAAAGTCAGTGACATTTGACAGTGTCCTGGTAAACATGGCAAAAGAGTGGAAAAAGGATTCCAAGAGAACAGAGGGATGAAAATCTAACTCCGCCTTGAAATAATTTACAGAGAATGAGATGCCATTGATGCACCGCAATGAACAGGTTGAAATCACCCAGTCAGTGATGGCAGAAAAGCCATTTCAGGTAGAAGGTCACTAAACACACACACAAAATAAGAGAAATATATAGAAGTATAGTAGAGAAAAAAGCAATGAGAAACAAAAGTGAAGAGGTAAATATGACCAAGATCATATTATGTCTTATATACTGTATTATGGTAAGACATTTGTGTTTGAAACAATAAATAATGGATGCCATTGGAAAATTTAAAAATCTAGAGTACAAAAATATTATATAATAATTATTGTGTTAGTTTGCCAAAGCTACCATGACAAAGTACTACAAACTGGGTGGATTAAACAACAGAAATTTGTTGTCTTACAGTTCTGGAGGCTAGAAATATGAAATCAATGTATTGGCAGGGTTAATTTATAAAGGGTGTGAGAAAAAAATAAGTTTTATGCCTTTCCCCTAGTTTCTAGTGGTTACCTATAAATCTCTGGTGTTTCTTGACTGTAGATGTGTCACCCCATCTCTGCTTTCATGCTCACATAGTGTTTTCCCTGTGTGCATGTATGCGTCCATATTTCCCCATTTTGTAAGGATACCAGTCATAATGAATTAGGGGCTCGCCCTACTCCAATATGCCCTCATCTTAATTAATTAGATCTGTAGTGACTCTATTTCCAAATATGTTCACATTCTGAGGTACTAGGAGTTAGGACATCAACATATGATTTTTGAAGAGACACAATTTAATTCATAATAATTGAGTTGTAGTAAACATTTTCAAAAGATTATCCTGGTAATATTATTGCAGCTGACATACTGGAAACAAAGCTGCTACGGGGAAGACCAGCAAGGAATCTCTTGTCATAACCTAAGAAAGAAAAACATGTTGGCTTGAACTACAATAGCAGCCATAGAGAGAACAAATTTTAGAGATATTTAAGATGTGGCACTGACAGAATATAATGAGTAATTTTACATAGGATTTTATGGCAAAAAAAGCTGAAATGACTGAGTTTTCTGGAAAACTGAACAGGTTGTAGAATTATTGATAAAAAAAGGAATGTTGTAGAAGAAAGTTTGAATAAAGATCATGTGCTTAGCTTTAATATACCTGTGAGACATCCCAGTCAACACGGTAAATGGACCAGAAAACATGAATCAAAATCTCAGGTTAGAGATTGTACATTTGGAACTCGGGAAAATCAAGATGGTAAGTGACACTGTGAGCAACTAAAAGAAGTAAAGGGAAAAAGAATATTGGAAATAGTAATATTTAAAAGTTGGTTTAAGAAAAAAATAAAACCCATAATAACTCAGAATAAGTAAAGACAGAAGTAACAGATAATGGGATTCTAGAAACCAACGAAGGATAGTGTTAATAAAAAGAAGGAAAAAGTGGTCAGTAGTGTCAACAGTAACAGATTTCTAGTAACAGAAAATTATCCTGTGGAAATCATTGGTGACTTTAGCATGGGCAATTTGGTGAAGTATAGCAAAGACGCATTATGTGTGCATCACACCTACTTGAATTCAGTTATTTGGTCTCTGCCAAAACAATAACAGTAATAATAACAATAATTTAAATAGTGTGGACAATTCTGCCTGACATTTCAATCAATGAGAATATGTATATGTTTTCAGTAATAAATATCAGGAGAGATAAGACTTTGCTGATCTCCCAATCAGTTTTGGTTTTATATTGGTTCTAAAAATTGGGAATCTTGCCATGCTATGTAATTCTTGTGTTATAAGATGTTTTTATACTTTTGTACATAATGGCCCTTCACCTCCAAGAATACATCATCTATATATCAGATGTTCAGCCAGAACAAAACAAAATGAGCCATCCTTTCAACTTTGAGAGAAAAATGATGAGATAGATTTATAGAGAGACAGCAGAAGAATCTTCTTATAACAGGTTTGTAGTAAATTTGACTCTGACATCTTTATCTTCTGTGTTGACTTTAGAAATTAATCTCTCTATATAACTTCATTTTATCTACAAATGGTGCTATTTATCAAATGGTGGCATCAGAGGAGACACAAACAAAATGAAACAGAAAATGTGATAAAACAAGTAAAATGATTAGTTTGTATATATCAATTTGGTTGGTTGATTAACTTATTAAAACTACTGTGCTTTTGACTATGATTGACAATGTTACTTACAGAAGTGAAGTGTTATTATCACCAATTGCATTCACCTTTAGAAAACCTAGAAGACTTTATTTTGTTAGAATCATGGCTATACCATCCAGTGTTCTGATGTCAGTACCCCAACACCAGAAGCTGTATAATGATACAGAGTACTCCTCATTGCCACACCCTTCCAGAGTCTTAGAACTAGAAAACCAAATAATAATTGAAAATAGATTTATTTCTTTCTCTGAAATTAAAAGCACTTGAGACTTACTCACTCTGGGATAGCTTAATTCCCAAGTAAGAACATGGACTAATAATCTCAGAGGAGTCCTTTATGTCCTTGTTATTCTTCTGAGGTGTTAGAATTTTCTAAAAAGAATAAACAATAATGACTACTGAATGTTCATGAGTAGAATATACTATAATGTTGAAAGACTGCTTTGAATTTATTTCCTTAGAAGAAGTGATGGTTGGTGACAATGGGACAAGAAATAGAGGCCATATTATTGCCTTTGTACTTCTTATGAAATAAGGAGTAAAGAGTAAGAATGAATAGCTAATTCTGAGTATGGAGTATGGAAAGATCTTCTAGTAGTGTTCCTACGGGGTTAATTGGGGTGAGATAAGCTAAATATATTAAAAACATGAGTAGCAAGGGGAAAGAATTTGTTCATGACAAACTAGCCTAACAGAGTAAAGGAAAAAAATACCAGAGGACTACAAAAAGTTATAATTGATCAACACAATAGCAGCTAATTTCAACACAGACAAGGGCCAGGAGAAAATAATCACAGAAATAAAATCTTATTTTAAAAAGTTTATATATGCCGATAGTTTTTTAATGTTCTGCAACCTTTCAGCACAAATATTTATACCTTTTTGTGGTCAATTCAATAAAAGCACTTAGTCTATTAGGAAGCTAACAAGAGGATTGGATGAAATATTTGTTTATAAAACAAGTGTGAAAGGAGCTATAGTAGGCTTTGGTAATATGCCAATAAAGTATTTGTTGATTGCTAATTTAAGAGAAAATGTACAGAAAATATTTCACTAATTCATAGAATTTACAAACTTAATGATTGCTCCTATTAGTCTTTTACTTATTGCTGAGGAGACATCCACAGCAAGAAAGGATCAGGGAAGAAACAGAGAAAAACAGGTTAGCACTGAAGTTTCTCAGAGAAAGGTTTATACAAAGGAAGAAGAAGAGATTATGGAAAAGAGTGTTTTGTTTTCATTTTTCCTTGGTAATACCACCTTTTTTTAAAGTTTGAGATGCACTGAAGGTGTGAATACAAACACATGCTTACACATACAACAACATTCTTACTCCTATTCTTCATGCTTGTGAAAGATATCTCCGTAGATAGCCTCACAGAATCATGGATATTCATATGCACATGCTTTAATTATAGTTATGGGAAAATAAAGAAGAGTTCTAAATGTAACTTGTACATAGGGAAAGTAAAAGAAAGGCTACAGGCTAAAAGCTTGGAAATATAGTTGCAGGAGGAGATTAGAAGATTCAATTCTTCATTCAAAGTAACCACTAAGGTTACTAATATGGTTACATTATAAAATAGGGGACCTAAACAATTGAAACATTTTCTCTTTATCTTGATACATTGCTGATGACAATATATTCTAATTCAGTTCTTACACCACCTGTCATTTTGCATGTGGATAAAGTGGCAGATATTGTGGGTTGGTTGACTAATGTCCATCTCAATCTCCTTATTCTTTGTTGCCTCTAGTTTTAAATATTTTAAACAAAAGCATAACTAGGATTCCCGACCATTTTTGCAGCTACAAGTGAGCATGTGCATAGTTCAGACAATAGGAAGTAAATGGAAGTCTGCTGGGGTTGCCTCTTCCCTTGGACATTGACACTGTTTTGAGACTAAGGGCCACTTTTACTAGCCCTGCACTTCCCATCACTGGACTTCTTAGCATAGCATAAAAATACCTGAAACTCTCTAGTCAAGTTTTCACTTGACCATCACTCATCTCTGAATGCAATTTATAATTGATATAGGATGATAGGAGGAGCACAAAATAAAGAGCAGAGAAAAGAGAAGGAAGATCATGAGACGAGAAGGTGAAAAGGTCCTCGGGAGTGATATACATTCAAAAATAGAAATAATCACTCATTTCCAACTCATGTATCAAATGCAGTATGCCAAGGTCAGATTCATAAATTTGAACTGAAATTATATCAGTGCAGAAATGTAGAGCATTCTTTATCTAAAACTCTTGGGGCCAGATGCATTTCACATATATATATATATATATATATATATATATATACACACACATGCATATATATGCATAGAAATGTAGCATGTTTTATATATTGAATTTAACATTGCATCCCCCAGTAAGGTCCTTAAAATACTTCAATGTTTCTGTATGGTAATGTAAGTGTAGTCACATTAAAAGAAATAAGAAAGACCATAAATAGTTTTGTCGTAGTTAACTTCAGTGCTTTCGAATTAATCATAGAAGTAATTTTGTTTTCAGAGTTCTTTGGAGTTTGAAGTTGGGACTCTCAAGCTGTGATAACTAAAACGTGTGCAGTTTTTATATTGGGTCCTCTACATATGTTAATCTGTTTAATCTTCACAACAATCTTATGAAGTGGGTGCTTATAATCATCCCCATTTTGCAGACTGAAAAACTAAGTAGAAGAGAAGTAAAGTAACTCAGCCAGAGTCATCCAGGATGTATCCATGTTGAGATTTGATCACAACGTGGATATGGCACCACAGTCTATGGTTACACTATATCATAGTATAACCAAAATGCTATATTATTCACCTTGATATAAACACACATGCATCTATATAATGAAAACCGTGAAACAGATCAGTGGAAGCTCTTTTTTCTATATTGCCTCTGAATAATTTCTGACCAACCTTCATGTGCAGTATTATCAATTTTATATCCGCTAATAAAAATGAATTCTTAGTTGGTCAAGTATTTTTAAAGAACTACCAGTTTGGGGAATAAAATAAGACAGTATAGAAAGGAAGGAAAAGAATGGGAATGAAAGAAAGAGAAAGAAAGAAAGAAAAGAAAGAAAGAAAGAAAGAAAAAAGAAAGAAAGAAAAACAAAGCAAGAGAAAGAGAGAAAGGAAAGAAAGAAAGAAAGAAAGAAAGAGAAAGAAAGAAAGAAAGGAAAGAAAGAAAAGGAAGAAAAGAAAAAAGAAAAGGAAAGAAAGGAAGGAGGGGAGGAAGAAAGGGAAGGAGAAAGAAAGAAAAAAGAGGGAAGAAAAAAGAAAGTATAACTCAGGCTAAGCTTAAAGTATGAAAGAATACACAGAAGTAAAATATATTTAACACATATTTATAACAATGATTTAAAAATCAAAATTCACAACTTGCATTTTAAATTGAGGAATATAAAGCAATACTCAGCTCAAGTAGAGCTCATAAAAATGACTTTTAGGTGTGAGTTTTAACCCAAGATTTAAAGGAGGTGATAAAAATAGAGTAGCAGTGAAAAGCCTTGGAGAAAACCTTGGGAGTGGTAAAAAGGGAATTTTGGTGAGTAAAAAACATGTATGTATTATCAGACAGGTTTGGCCCTGGTGTGCCTCCCTACCCACCCTCAACTTTCCCACCCTCTGCTGGAACTGATAGAAGGTAAGAATATTATTATGTACCAGAACAACAAATGTAGAGTCTATGAAAGAAAAAATAATCATGCAGCCTGGGGAATCTGGGGTTAGTAAGAGAAGAAAATTGCTGAGATACTTAGCTTAGTCCCTATTACGATGCTCCATAAATTTTGATGTTATAGAATAACAGAAAAAGGTAAAGGAATTCTAAGAAGGGGTAGACATCTCTATAGAAAATGCCTGTTTTTTTTCCTCAAGATTTCAAAACTTTTGAGAATTACACAAACATGTCTCAATGGATCTAGAGAATGACAGTGAAAAATGTCAGGAGATCAGAAGTTATTTTCATGACATAAAGAATTTAGAGAAGTTAACTCTGGGATTAGAAGGCTCAATTTATTCAGGGTCGGCATCTAAAGAACAATAGGGTTTGGTGATTGGAATTTTTAAGCACGGAAAGATGCTCACACGATTTCTCAATATTTCGCTTTTTAAATCACAAAACCAAAAGACTATAACTTGAAGTCAGCTTAAGTTTTCAAATTAACATTTGCTACCAATTAGTTCATAATGAGTGTTTGTCTGAAATGTTTAATGACCATAAGAAAGCTTTTAAAATTGAAAAACTTTTATGTTCAGTACTTATGTTGTTACCCTGCCTGGCTTATTATTGCAACAAGTTTGATCACCCAAGAGTTCATAAGATTTTAAACAGGAGGACTTGGCCCTCAAGCAGGATGACAGGGCCTTTGCCTCTCTTTAACATCCTGCATAGGAAATCTTTTAAACAAAGAGTAGATCCCAGTTGCTTGTTTTGTACTTAAACCTCACACTAATCCCATTGCCATCAATAGAAAGTTTGTATGTGGATTGAGTATGGGCTGCCCATTCACAGAGCCACTGAGAAAAGGAAATGCCCTTTTATTTCATTGTTAAGTCCAGTTTCCTTAATTTTATTTATTTCAGTCTAATTAGTACTACAAAGAATTTTTCCTAACTTTATTGGGAATACTTCTAAAGTTTCACCATTAAAAGCAATGTGTACTCTTAAGTTTTTTTGTTCTTGGTTACAATAGTTTTAAATCATAAATGGGTAATTTTATTAAATGCTAGATAGCAAACTTTTACAAGGTCATAGTATTTTTTCATCTTAATCCATTCATGTTTCTTATATTAATGAATATACTAATTTAGAATAATATTTGCGTTACTTAGAAAACCCACTTGGTCATGATTTTTATTAACATTTCTGAATTTGATGTGACATTAATTTATTTAATTCTGCTTTGAATATCAGGTTTATACTAGTCTCAAAGGTAAATTGAATACCCTTTTTAATTTTTTTTTGTCTAAAACTTTAAAATTATTGACATGAAGTATTCTCATGTATTTTTTAACCATGGCTTTATCTGTAGCTACATTCTTTTTGATTTGTAATATTTATTTGCTCTTATCACTTTTTCCTTTAATGAAGCTTTCCAAAGATTTATTTTATGAGTTTTTCAAAAGTTAAGCACAAAAAAAAACTCTAATGTTACTTTATACTCCATTAATTTCCATTCTCTTATTTTCTAGCTATCACTTTCGTGATTTTACTGTTTTTCATCTAGCCTCTTGAATTTAATGTTGGCTCACTACTTTTCTCTTGTTCTCTAATATATTAATTTAAGGCTATATATTTCCTGTTAAACCATAATTTAGCTATATCGCATGAGTTTTAATTTGAATTATTTCCAGTATTTTCAGTCTCTAGATATTCAATAATTTCTAACATTATTAATTTTTAACATTAATTTAAAAAATTTTTAAGATGATATAAGCAACTTTACCCTTTCTGTTCTTACATATTAATATATGATCTGCATGATATTATCTCTAAACTTTGTTAATAACCTTATTTTTATGCTGGCATTTCATCAAGTTTTTATAAATATTCAATTCTAGAAAAGAAGGCATATTCTTTATTTTTTAGGGTATAAAAATCCCACATACAACTATAAGATTGATCGAGGATTATGTTATTATTCTGTGTGCTTATTTTTTACATTTTCCTCTACAACTTTCTGAAAAAGCTTTACTGGAATTCTTTATTTTTCCAATTGTCCTTGTAATGCTATTAATTTTATTTGATGTTTTTCAATATCACATTTATGTTAATTGCATAAAAGTTCATGATTAATGTATCTTCTTAGTAGTTTGTTCCATTTATCACTCTATTATGTCCGTCTTTAATCCTGATTAATGCTTTTTACTCAAAATTCTATTTTCTACTATTTATACTAACCCATTTTCTTTTGATTAAAAAATGCCTGCTTTATCTTTGTGAGCTGCTGGTTTGAATTTCCAGCACTGAATGGGGGAGATCAGCGGGGAATAAGAATAAGAGGATGGGGCAGTTCTTTTTTAGCTGAGTGCCATTGCGTTCTTTGTATCTGGCAGATAGTTAAAGCTGACAAAGTGTGGAATCTGAGTCTCTAGATATCTTACCTGTAACTCTCATGCATCAGATAATGCATTCCTTTCCCCAGACTTGTAAGTCCTCCCACAGCCTCTTCTTCTCTGGTAGTCTGGACCACACAGCTCATGCATTCTTTCTCCCTTAAGGCAGTTATCTAGGGTAGGATTTTAAATGGCCATAGCTCTGCTCTCTGTCCACATGGTCCATATTCAGTACAGGGGGAATACTTATAAAGTCTACACTTGTACAAACCCTGAGATGGCAGTCCAGTCCCAGAACAACTGCACACTCCTGGCTATACCATCACCACTACTCAGGCCAAATTGCAACTTTGTGAAGTCCCAGGCAGCAGTCATGTCTCATTCCATGGGCAAAGAGACACTCTTGGTGTCTTGTTGAAGCCAAATCTCTCAAGACTTAAAATAATGAAGGTAAGAATTCCCCATATTACCTCTTCCTCCCATACACACACACTTTGGGAGGAGGAATTGGGATTCTTAGCTCTACTCTTCCAAGAATCCTCCTCAAATATACCTATTGATGCACAACAGGCCCATTTTTATTTATTGTGAGTACTGATATATTTGTGCTTATTTGGGTTATTTTATTTTCATTTTTTTATTGGCTCTTTTTTTCCTCAGAATGTATTGCATTAATGGAGTTTTATTCACATCCTTTGTCTCCTCTTCAAAGTTATACATAGTATTTCCTTTGTTTTAATGGCTTTCCCTAAATACGTAAAAATATATAAATGTGCACAATTTTTTTATTTTTCACAAAGCCTAACATTGACCAATATTTCTATTTTTCCCTTAACAAGTAAACTGGGATACTTTAATTCCCCCCAAAACTTGTCATCTTTCATGTTACTGTTATTACGTGTTGTTTCTAAAAATAAAATTTATTTTTATTTTTTAGTTAGTTATGAAATTAAATGCTTATTTTGTTAAATTTAGCAAGTATTTATAGTATCTCATATAAGCCCTCTTCTTTGTTCTGGTGTCACACTGGCAAAGAAGAAAATTTCCTGCCTTCATCTAACTTTCATTTATCTTTTTTAAATTTTTCTTTGCTCACTTGTGTTTCTTGCTATGCTTTCCTTTGGGTTCTATTTCTTTCTTGTTGGAGGACATCCTTTAGTAGTTTCAGCAAGAGTCTTTAGAAGCAAAGCTTTAAAGTGTTTGTACATCTGAAAGTTACTTTCTTTTATCCTATTATTGAATTGGAAAATATATACATAGTCATGCACTATGCAATGAGGTTTTAATTGATGAAAGACCACATATATGACAGGGATCCCATAAGATTATAATACTACATTTTTACTGTATTTTTTCTCTGTTTAGATATACAAATACTTACCATTGTATTACAATTGCCTACCATATTCAGCATAGTAACATGCTGTATAGGTTTGTAGCCTAGGAGGAATAGGCTAAACCATATAGCCTAGGTATATAGCAGGTGATTCCATCTAGGTTTTTGTAAATATTCTCTGTGATGTTTACATAATGACAAAAATCACCTAGTGATGTATTTCTCAGAACAAAGTCTTATCAAGCAGCATGACTATATAGTTGATCCTTGAACAACACTGGAGTTAGGGGTGTATACATCTCACATAGGCAAAAATCCAAGCATAACTTTTTAAAATCCCCAAAACTTAACTACTAATAGCCTACTATTGAAGGGAGGCCTTACTAATAGCATAAGTAGTTGACTAAAACATATTTTTTATTTTATATGCATTATATTACAATAAAGTAAGATAGAGAAAAGCAAATGTTTTTAAGACAATTATAAGGAAGAGAAAATATATTTATTATTCATTAAGTGAAAGTAGATCATCATAAAGGTCTTCATCCTCATCAACTTCATGTTGTTTAGGCTGATGAGGAAGAGGAGGAGTTAGTCTTGTTTTCTCAGGGGTAGTAGAGGCAGAATAAAATCTGTGTATAAGTGGACCCACATGGTTCAAACTTGTGTTGTTCAAGGGTCAATTGTATATGTAGGTATGTATGCACACACAAACACACACACACCACATATTAACTGAATTGTAAAAAACATTCAATATTTCAGTCAAAGGGTTCCTACATACTTTGCATAAGTAGTCAAAGATAAAATGGAGACTATCACTTAAAATAGAGTTTATGAAGGAAAATTTAAAACATATTCTCTATAAGACTATCTCCAGTGTATGTCTAATAGAATTTGCAGGAGATGAGAAGACTAAGAATGGCAAACAGA
This sequence comes from Homo sapiens, assembly GCF_000001405.40. Taxonomy (NCBI): domain Eukaryota; kingdom Metazoa; phylum Chordata; class Mammalia; order Primates; family Hominidae; genus Homo; species Homo sapiens. Next base: position 44,445,536 of record NC_000005.10, read on the forward strand.
TAATGGCAAAGTTATTTTCTAGGATTCAAGAAAATTATATAACTTGATATGTCTATGAATACGCATATCCAGACAGATTGCCACTGTGGAGAGAGGAGTACTTAGGTTTAGTCTAAATTCCTGAGTTGGTGGAAGAGCATTTCTGGTCTGTTAATTTGAGAGCCAAGGGTATTTCTGATTACTGTTAATGGGACAACCACTCCCTGCTTCTCAGCAGTGTTCAGAAGACCAGTTCCAAGTCTCCTGCCCTGCACAATGACTGTGGCCTAGATCTCTTTAAAGTTTTATTAATCATCCCACCTCCTAAGCCTTAAGTATGGTACAATTGCCAACTTACTACATATTTGACATTCCTCTTCATTTCTAGCACCTAGAAATTGTCATTTTTTTTTGTTTAAAAGTTCAGCTTTATTAAAAATAATTTTGCTGCATTTTTGGCTTTCTATTGTATGTGCTTGGAGTAGTTGGCATACTTTGCATCTTCAGCTTTCTATATTGATCTAAAGTCCCCCAATAACTTATTTCTCCATCGCAGTGGAAACCATTATTTATGTGTAATTGACCTTTGAAACTCCCTTGTACATGCCATTGTGCTTTCTTCTGTGCCTTTGTCCATTTCATTTCTCAGAATGTCTTCTCTGTGCTTTCCACTTTTCCACAAACTATCATTATTTAACGTGAATCCAGATTTCCTCTCCCTTCCAGCTTGAAGTAATCTCTCCTTCCATGAAATCCCCATGTCATTAATTCTCTAAAGATATTATTCTCCACTTATTTAATATTGCAAAGAAGTTTAAATTTTTTCCATGGAAGGTTCAATAATTTGAGTCTATAAAACAAACTGATAACAGACCAGGTTAACAGGAAAAGAAGGCATACAAACTTATTAACATGAATATATGTGCATGGGGTAATACAAAATATGAAAACTCAAAGGGGCCAGATAGTTTACACTTTTATATCATCTTGAGATTACAGGAAACTTAGGGGCTTGGATCATGGTAAGACAGGTTATGTGAGGGAGAGAAAAGGCATGGCTAGTGAAGGCTGTCTTATGCAGATGAAGCCTCTAAGGTAGCAGCACTCAGAAAGAGTAGATGGTAGCCTGTTGTAACAGTTTCTCTGCCAGAACTTCAAAGGTCATACTCTCAGTCTCTCTCTCTCCTCTGAGATAATCTTTCTAGATCTAGACAAGGAAGGTCTCAGAGAAAGTCTGTCTCCTTATTTTGCTAATGTAGACTTTACAGATAAAAATCTGCTCCAGAAAAAAGCAGCTTTGCAGGGCTATTTCACTCAGCAGATCCTCTGAATAGCCATCTAGAAAGATGTCAGAATGTATCTTGGGTTGAGATATTTTTGGTTTCCTTTAGTCTCCCATTTAAAGCTCATTTTTAGAAAGTGCAACATATTAAAATAGGATCGGTATCTGTGAAGTGATTTGGGTTATAGGTTGTCAGATAAGAGATTGGCAGAGGGAAGAAAAAGAACATAGATTTAAACAAGGGGTCCATATTTTCTTGAATCAGTCTTCTAGTCTTGAGAATAGGTCAGTTAGACAGCTGTGTCACATTCCAGGAGGTGAAATTGCGATAGGTTTTCAAAGCAAGGCCTCTCTATATAATACAGGCAAACAGATGTTTAATAAGAAGCATTTCTATGGAAACAGAAGAAAAAATAAAGATTCATGTCTGGAGAAGTCTGTAAGTTAGTTTTTCTACAGACTCTGAAGCATATTCAGTTGGAATAGGCAGGCAGTGGCAAAGTAACTGATTTTTCTGAGTTGTAGTTTGAATCAGATGTTTCAGTGAACTTTCTGAGTATCCATACACCCTCCAGGCATGAAGGTTGTTCATATACAAGTTACTGTAGTGATTTCCCCCAAAGTTTATATCAGGTTTTCCAGCTTCAGTTTGTAGAAAATTTCAGCTTCAAGAAAAGCATAGTTTTAATTTCTAGTGATTTTAAGTCAGAAGGGTAGGAGAAAAACTGGAAACATTAGTCTGGAGAGTCATAGCCAGATATTGGAGGAAACTGAAAGTTTAGAATTTAGTCCTAATTACAGATAATAAAATTTCGAAGTCAGAAGGGTAGGAAAAAAACTGGAAACATTAGTCTGGAGAGTTATAGCCAGATATCAGAGGAAACTAAAAGTTTAGAATTTAGTTCTAATTACAGATAATAAAATTTCAGAGGAAAAAACAAAAAATGAATGAACTAGAATCTAATAATGGGTGCTCTATGAATTTTCTTCTGAAACAATTTTTCTTTCTACATTTACCCTCATCTTTACCAAAAATATGTATTGTAAGACTAATTTACTTGCAAAATTAGTTTAATCTTTGGCCTGATTATTTACATAAGATAAACAAGAATGGTGATTGGCCATGTGGGCTTTTTTGAAGTTGGCTTTGCTGGAAGTTTTTATAAGACATTTTGCATTCGACTTTTAAAAAGCCTCTCAAGGCTTAGAAGCCAACCCAAGGATTTGATTCACCCTCAGATAGTGTCCATAATGCTTGTACAAATTGAGAAAATACATCTCTTTTTGAAGTCCCAAAAATATCTTAAGGTTCTTGGGACTATGAGAAAGTGACATTCTCTACTTACCACAAGTCAGGAACCTTATAAGGAAACCGTGGAGACAAGATACTGACCAGTCTTTTTCCAAGTCTACTTGCTTTATAAAGTCAATCTCTCAAAACTGTCTGGTCAAATCTGAAAAGATGATGTTCATGTCAAAGTCTTGATAACCAGTGCCTCTAACTGTGTCCTGTTACAAAACAGATTCTTATTGGACTTATACAAATATCTATATTGCTATAAAATAAGAATACTCATGACCGTTTCTGAATTCTTGAGGAACTAGATAAAAAGGTAAATGTTTCATTTTTCTCTCACAAAAGTATGTTACTCAATTGCTGTCACCTATAGATAGAAAGAAAAAAGCTTTATTGACTAAGAAAACAAAACATTAAAAAATCAGCAATGTCTCGAACAACAAAAGTCATAAAACATAATTTTAGTCCTCCATCGGTTCAGTCCCATGTAATTAATTTTTGTTCAACTTGATGTTAAGCTAGCAGTCTTATGGGTCTAGTTGTTTTTTTTTTTCAGTTTTTGAAATTTTTATCCAGTGCAATTGTATAATCTCAAAGTTGTCAGAAACATGAGTACTTGGTGTAGCCTTTTCCATGAACCTCTTTAAGAAACAACACTTTAGAATTTGCAAAGAGATTTTAGAAAAAAGCATCCAAATAAAGCAATTTACTACTGACAATAAGACTTAAAATGGTCATGGTTAAAGATGCAATTAACAAAATAATCTGGTCATTTCCTCTGATCTACAGCAATTTAGCATCTCAGATTTTTAGAAATCTCATACACTTTTGAAATATATATTAATAATGTACCTATATAAATACAACTTTTTTTTGAGACAAAGTCTTGCTCTGTTGCCCAGGCTGGAGTGCGGTGGTGCCAATCTCGGCTGACTGCAACCTCCACCTTCCAGGTTCAAGTGATTCTCCTGCCTCAGCCTCTCGAGTAGCTGAGATTACAGGTGTGTGCCACCATGCCCAGCTAATTTTTGTATTTTTAGTAGAGATGGGGTTTCTCCATGTTGGCCAGGCTGGTCTCGGACTCCTGACCTCAAATGATCTGCCCGCCTCAGCCTCCCAAAGTGCTTGGATTAAAGATGTGAGCCACCACACCCAGCCACAAATATAACTTTTAAAGAAGGTTAAACATATTCTATTTCACAATGCTACCCATATAATTTTGCATATCAAATAAATTTAATATGTCTCTCACATACTTCCAAAGACCCTTCCAAAATGACTAAAAGTTTGAGGTAAAACAGAATTAATTTACAATTTAAGATTTTATTTTGGGAAGCCTGACAATATTTCTAAGATTGAAAACACTTAATCAAAATAGGATCACAGCTTGCTGTAAAATTACAGTCATTCCTTTAGTGAAAGTCAAAATTAAAAGATTTCAAAAAACAAAAATATTTACTCTTTGATAGAGAGGAGACTGAGTTTTCCAAATAATCAAAAGACCTAATAAAGACAGCATGCGGTACACATTATCTATTTCTCCCTCCTCTCTTTTTTTGGAATTTACTCAAAAGATGAACAAAATATTTTACTAACTCTTGTTAAGACTACATGAAAATGTGTTTAAAAGAGAAAACTGAATTTTAATTTTGTATTAGTGTATTTTTAATACTAAAACTAATTTTGATAAAATCTTATAAACACATTCAAACTCAGTCAGCTTGGACCACATAAGATTTCCATAAACTTCTTATAACGTTTTACATTTCTTTCTGTTTTCTCTCTTTTTTTTTTTGACTTTTCATACCTTCACTCTCGTTTAGTCTTATCTATATTTTTTATTCTTTGAATTTGAAACAACTCTAAATTCTCCAGACAAAATTACTTTTTCTTTAACAAAATCACATCTTCATGTATTCTATATAAAATTTGTTTTAAAGAAAAACACATTCTACTTTTCTTACACACTTTGTATACAGAATTATTACTCTTATATCTACTAGTTTTATTTGCATATATTAAGTACAGTTTTACCTTTAAGTAACCTTAACTTCTTGTGAAAACCTATGGGGTAAATAATTTTGAACTGGTATGTATCAAAACATTTTATGAACACATATTTTATAATTTCTAGAAACATGGGTTTTTTATAGAACAATTTTTTAAAGTGAAACAGGACATATTCACTAACAAACACAACTATCTTTTGTTTCTCTGAAATAAGAAGCCAAAAGCATATAAGCTTACAGTTGTGTTTAGTAATTAATATTTAAGCATTATACCTTATTTGAAGATGATTTAGATATTTAATTAATATCTGTCATTTAATTTAACTTAAAACTTTCAGAGTATAGTTACAAAAGGCATTTGGAAACTTTTAATTAAATATGTTTTAAAACACAGTTATTATTAAAAGTTTATAATCTTTATTTCAATTTTCATTTACCTAATTTATTCATTTAAACAATTAGATTTGAATTGCTTTGAAAACAAAAGTACTCAGTCTTTTTTCTTTTAAAAAAGCAAAACTAGGCTATTTCTACTTCAGTCAGTCTCATCTTAACCAAGACCTTTAAGATACTTTACATGGAACCCTCCCCAATGTCTCCCCACAGTTGTCCTGGACCACAAATACCCATGTGGCTTCTAGGGAAGCTATGAGGGGCAGGGTCCATCTGGGTCCTGGGTTTACACACCAAGTATAGAGCACACACATTTCACAGTAAAAATGATGCCTGGAGGATTCAATCCCTTCCAATATGGCTAGAAGGCAGAGCTGGGCCAGAGAGGATGGGGTTAGAATGGGCTTGACTCTGGCTTGAAGCTGATGGCCCAGGCACCATGTTTCCAGGCCTCATAATGGCTACCTGTCCAGACACCAGAATCCAGAGGCACAAATCAAAGATGTAAGCTAACAGACAAATCAATCAAGTATCAAAAATATCAGAGAAGCAACAATTTTATGACTTTAACATATCTAACAGAGAAAGCATAATCCTGTTTCAACAAACCCAGGCAAAAATGTCTAAATTAACTTTTGAAGAAATTTTTATTTTATTTTACCAACAGTTTTCAAACCAGCTTTATTTACCAAAGACCACTAAAGTTACATGAACTTGAAAGCATTTTAGCTAGCCATTTAGTTTATGGGCACTCATTTATTTATAAGTCAGTTTAGTACCTGTAGACAATGTAGACATACATGCATAGACACATACATACTTAGACATAACATACAGCACACACATACACACACACACACACACACACACACTTGTCCAAAGATTATTATTTAATGTTAGACCTGAGAGAAACCTGCCCATGACTCTTGGGGTCTCTGTGAGAAAGACAGGAAGTCCCAAAAGATGGGGTCAGTGGTGCCTTTGTGTGTGTGTGTGTGTGTGTGTGTGTGTGTGTGTGTGTGTGTGTGTTCCTAAAGGGATCTCAGAGTCATTAGAAGTCCCCTCTCTCCCTTCATGTGGTATCAAAGATGGCAAAAGGAAGGAGGAGCTGAAGTAGAAGGAAATGGAAGAGCAAGTCTTAGAGCCAATTTAGGAGAGATTTTTAAGTTTCACACACACGAAAATGAAGTTTTAGCTAGCAAGAATTCGAGAAAAAAGATGTGGTTAAATAAGTCCACATGAAAGATATAGGATTGAAAAGAGAACAGAGAAGGATATTAGCTTTTAATTAAGCTGACTTGACCATATAGTTCTTTTTAAATAATTATTTTAACTATAAAAGCAGCAAACTTTTTGTCCTTTGAGCAGCTGGACTTTCATGGAGCAAGAGGACAGTGGTAGCAGCAGCAGTGGCCTTTCCCCACTGACTCTGCTGCCTGGGAGGAGCTTGCCTCACCTACTTATTGGTTTGGTTCTGAGGTGTCTCTCTAGCCCACTAGAAGGAAGATAAAATTTTAAAAAGCTAATAGTTGCTATTACACTCTAAAAATAAACTAAAGTTTTAAATCAAAGATATACCTAAGCAAATGATTCAATACCAAAACAAATAAACACATATGCGACTAAAACCAAGAACCCCTTTATGATTTTAACCAAGGTCTCCAAAGAGGGAGCAAAAGCTAGAAGCCTTACAAAATTAAGACCATTATCACTGACAACTTAAAGAAAGTTTTGCTAGCTGCAAATGGCATACAATGCCTATTTCTGTCTGGTCATATTCTGCAGTGCTTAAGACAAAGGAAAACCAAAGCTGTTTATAGGAGAAGAAAGAATTACAAAACAAATGGGCACCCCAAAGGCTAAGTCATATACATATAAATTTAAAACAAATAATTCAAAGTAATTTTTATAATTTTTCTCCTCCTTAGTTAAAAGGTTTACATTTCCGAGAGACTTGTCCCTTGACCTGGAATCAAACATGAGCTGCAGAGATAAAAGTATGAAATCATATCCCCTAGGCTACAAGGTGGAGTGTCTTTTTTGGGAAAATCTCTCAGGGAAGTCAAAGCAGGCAGTTTGAATATATGAAGAATTTCAATGTTTAAATCTGATTTCTGCTTTCTTAATCTTGCCAAGGGAATTTTCTAAGGTTATGTTTCTTTTGCATCTTTTATAGATACCAATAATAAAGCAGTTTAAGACAAAGAGCTCTCTAAAAAGTTTTTTTTTAAATGTAGCCAATTTATGTTTTTCAAATGTGATTCAAACCCCCTTTTCCCCTTGCTAGTTCAAATTCAGAATGAGAAAGGACAGAGACTCTTACCACTCTCATTTGACTAGGCACTACAGGCAGGGACCTGGAAAATCCGGCTTTGCAAAAAAAAAAAAAAAATTTACCTTTCTTGGCTGGCTTTTTGTCAGTTGTCCCAGGATCCCATTCATTGTCTCCAAAGCGGTGATGTTATCCTGCACACAACACCAAAACTATGGAGAAGTTAAAATTTTTCCACTGAGATTATCATAACTTGAATCTATAAAACAAACTGATAATAGATTAACGGGAAAAGAAGGCATACAAATGTATTAATGTGAATATGTGTGCAAGAGAGTCATACAAAATATCAGAACTGAAAGAAAGGGCAGGGGGTTGATGCTTTATGCCATCTTGAAGTTACAGAAAGCATAAGGTCTTGGAGCATGGCAAAATAGTTTGTGTGAGGGAGAGAAGAGAAAAGGCATGGCTCGCAAAGGCCCTCTTGTTATTGAGATAAAACATCGCAGACAGCAGCTCTCAGAAAGAATAGATAGTAGCCTGTGACAACAGTTTGTCAGATCTTCAAAGTTGTCAGACTCAATCTATCTCTCCTGTGAGTTAATCTGTCCCAAATCTGGGCAAGAAAGGCCTCAGAGAAAGCCTATCTGCTCATTTTGCTAATGTAAATTTTTCTCTACCAATGAAAATGTCCTTCATAAAAAAATCTTTGCAGGGATATTCTAGTCTGCATGCCCTCTGAGTAGCCATCTCAAAATATTTCAGTCAAAGTATATTTTGGAGTGAAATATCTTTGTTTTCCTTTAGTATCAAACATCTGTTTTCTTTACATGCATGCATATTTGAGCTCACCATTTACTTTATGATAAAGATGAGATGCAGGACATTGTACCTCCAAACATGGCACCTTGGAAATTGAGAAAGCAGCAGTAGCAGTGTTGTAGAAAAAAGAAAAACAAAAACAGGTTTTTGTTACATGACCAGGAAAATTTAGGCACAGGGACACATTTGTGAGTAGGGCACGGTTTATTGGGTGAAAAGAACAAAAAAAGAGGAGCTCTCAGCAAAGTGACAAAGAGTTCTGCTATCAGGTCTCCCACCTCACAGATTGAATCCCACGCCACCACACAGTAACTGAAGAGACCAGGCTCCTCCCTGTTGCAAATGGTGCAAACTTCCCCTAGGTCCACCCTCTTCCCCCAGTGCACAGGTGGGCATTATTCAGAGAGAATCAGTTGGGAAAGGGCAGGCTTCATCCAGGACCAGCAGTCCGTTTTTTCAGCCTTCATGCTGTTTTAGGCTTGAAGTTGTGGTTTCGCTAGAGACCCTTGGCTGTCTCCTGTCTCTATCATTTCCCGCTGTAAAGAAGTATACCTAACTGCCATTAGGATAAGGATAAGGATGAAGACTGATCTTAGCTGCATCCTGGTGACAGGGGGTGCTGTTTTAGGAAAAAGGCAGTCAGAGCTCCCTCAGAGGCCTGTGTAAGGATTGCCAGCAAAAGGGGCCATCATCTGAGCTCCTGTTGCATGACCACTGGAAGTTTGATGGCCTGAAGAGACAAATCGGATTATTAGAAAACATATATTAAAATAAAACAAGGGATGGGTAAGGACAGCTCAAAAATCTCAAGGCCTTTTACCAGTTTTAACAGAGAGAGGGAGGCCAAAAGCCCAGCCGGCAAAAAACACTTTTACCCTATGGCCAGCATGTCAGGCTTCTGAGCTTCCTTGCTTTGAGTTCAATCCTAAACCAACTAATTTAAGGCTTAGGAAGTTAACTTTTCCCATTTTGGAGGATGCGTCTGAGGGAAGTGACCCATAGTACGAAGATGCAATTGCCTATCAGTGAAGAGAGGACACAGGAAGAGAAAGGAAAAATGAAGGCTTTTTTTTTTCAAAGGCATTCCAGGGATTCAGGATGCATTTGAAAGGGGTACAGACGGAAGATGAATGACTACTCATCTAGAAAGAGTGGGGAAGACATCCCTGGGTCCTTTCTCTTCCTAGCAAATACCCAAGGTATATCAGGGAAGGAAAGTGAGGCATTCCTCTTTTTTTCCTCCGTCCTTGTATCCCTGATTACAGGTGACTGCAACAGGGTACTGCCCCTGAGTGTCAAAGTGGTTTTCACCCATGTTAACAGGGGGGCCTCTGGGGTGGGAGTATCTGCTCTTACCTACGTATGCCGTATCTCCCTGCTGTTAGTAGCCTTTGAGTTCCCTAGACCTCATTTATGCCATGGATACTAGCATGAAATTTGTCCATGAAATGGGAAACTTGGCTTAATCAGCAAGAATCAGTCATGCTAACCTGCACTGTGCCTTTTAACCTCCGTTATTTTCTGTCTCTGGATCCCTCAGATCCAATTTTCTTGCCTAGGGCTTTTACCTGAAGCTTGGAATTGAGTTTGGGACAAAAATATGTCTTGTGTGGGCATTGCATGGACTTTTTATCATAGGCTGAATGCTAAGGTGAAGCTGTGGAATTGAGTCCCCCTCCAACAAGGGAAAGAAAAGAATGTCTTGTGACATGCCCAGATAACTGGTAGCTACAGTTATGCTTGCTAAGATTTGGGTGCATGGAGCTTGGCTTTGGGTAACTTCCTTGGTCTTACTTTTGCAAAAAGGAAACCTCTGGGTGATGGGCACCCTATTTATTCCCATCACCTGGCAGGATTTGCAGGATAAATTCTCAAAACTAGAATATTAATCCAGATTTTTACATCACCTGTCCTTTTTGTTCTTTCTGAGCTGCAGGTGGAGACTGTTGGTTGGTTCACAGGAATAAGTAGGGTTAGTCTAAAATGTAGGCAAAAACTTGGAAACAACTAATGAGTCTAGAATTAAATGAAAATGTATGATAAGTTTTGAAACATAATTTTTGTCTCTCTAGTCCTCATTTTTGTTAAAAACCAAATCATGATAAGACTGAGTTGTTTGCAAAGTAGACTTTAGTCTTATACTTGGCCTGATTATTTGCATAAAGTGCAGCCAGAATAATTATTTCTACATAGGCCTGTTAGATTAGCTTTGTTGGAACTCTGTTCCACAAGGAATCTCAGATAAGACCTTTTAAAGCCAAACCTGGCCATGGGTTTGTATCCTCAAATATTTGTGAGTTGGGTAATCCTTTCCTCTTAAAGTCCCAAGATAAACTTGGAGCTCCTGGGCCTGTCAGAAAGTGACATACTTTACTTACCATAGATCAGGAACTCTGTACACATACTGCATAGACAAGGGTGTGAGGCCAGTTTCCCCAGGGGTTTTTTAAATCAGCTCTGCAAGTCAAGCTTGACTACTTAAAGGGAATCATACCCTTCTAGTCAAAGCCTTGGTAAAACAACCAATTTATCCAGTTGCATCCTGTTGCAAAAGAAAATGGATTCTTATTGCACTGATGCAAACAGCTATATTGCCATAAGTTAAGAACATTCACAACTAGTTTCCAAATTCAGGAGAAGCCAGGCAGAGAGAGAAAAACAAATTTGCTCCAAATTTTGTTCACAGGAGTATAACTTACTCAATTATTAGAGGCCATAAGTAGTTCAAAATAAGTTTCCTTGATTCTAAAAAGCGAAACAAGGATCAGCAATATTCCAAGCAATAGTCAAAAAGATTGCTTCAGTTTTCTATGAGTTCAGTCCGTTTAGTTAGTTGTTTCACTTGATATTTGTGAACCTTTCAACTCTTCATGAGTTCTGTACCTTTTTTCCTTTATTCCAATATCACAATCTCCATAGTTATCAGAAACCTGTGTTTGAGAGCACCTGTCAGAGTTCTATAGCTGAGTATAAGCCATCTTTTGAAAATGATCAAAACAAGATAATAATTGTCTGTGAATAACAAAATGTCTAGGGTAGTTAGAGTTAGAAATGCAATTGACAAAGAAGTTTGGTTATCTCTGTGGTTTATAATAACTTAACAACCTGAATTATGATTCATAGCATATACTTTAGACATTAGAATTTTTTGAAGTATCTTACAATTTTGGAACATATACTAATATCATTCACCAAAATGTAACCTAAAGAAGATTGAACACCATTTTGGCAATCCCACGTACCTAAACATGTCAAATAATCTTGTTTACCTCTCTTTTGGGTACTCCAGGAGCCTCTGTAGCACCCAAAAGCCAGGCATCAGGAAAGACAATTTTGAAACTGAAGTTTGATTTTGGAAAGCATGTCAAATGTTAGAGGTTTAAAACACTTGATGTTATGAAATAGAATTCCAGAGTACCATAAGTTATTTATTTTGCCAAAACAATGACTCAGAAATTTTAAAAAACAAAACCATTTTATAACCCTTTACAAATTTTTCTAAAAAGAAGATTAGTGCCTTAAGAGTACCTTGTTGTGCTTTTATTTCAATGCTCAATTTACAGAAAATACATATAATATCCTTTTGAATTTAGTTAACGTGAACACACATGAAATTTTTGCAAGATTAATTAGTATAAATATTCCACTGTTTATTTAAACCTTCAGCTTTATCTTATCTAATTCAAAACAATTCTTTAATCCTGGGCAAAAATTTAGATTTCGATGACACCTGCATTCTACCAATAATCTTTAAGTCTGCTTTTATGTCTCAAAGATTAAAGTCCAATGAACTGAATGGTACCACAGCTTTTATCTTCCCTTTAAAACTATCTGATCCAAGTGCTTATTTTCCTTTAGGCCAATTAACTAGAGCCCTTTTTAATAGACATTACACACAACACATATAAACTACACAGACAAGCAGACAAAAACTCAGCAGTCATAAGATTTTTCATTTGTCAATCCCTAATTAGATTATTGGCCTCTCATGCATGTATTAAGAGTTACAAAACAAGAAAGCTACTCAGAGAAAGGAAGATTTAAAACAAAGGCTAGAATTTGTTCATGGAGGGGAAGAGAATCAGCAAATGGCAAAAGTACTCATTCCCTAAGCCAGGGTTGAACCTGGGCACCATTGTAAAATGGTGGATGCTAGAACCAAACATTGCCACATGGTTACAGGTCATGCTCACAAGGTTGTAAAACAAGATGGAGGCCTCTAGCAAAATTTGCTACTGACCATACAGAAAATCATGCAAAGTACACCTGACTGGCTACAGCTTAAGACCAGCCTCACAAATGCTTTTTCATAATTAAAAGTTTACAGAGAATATAAACAGTGATCCTGGACTAGTCAAATGTCTTCTGAAAGGAAAAAGGGTAAAGAAAAGGAAAAAAAAAGTTAAAAAGCAGGATTGGAAAGACGTTTTGTGGAAGAAACTCTTATTCGTATACAAATGGATTCCTTTCCCCTGTCTCAGACTGAGCAGGAGCCTGGACAGCTAGCTGCACAGGGCCCGGGCCTCAGAGGCCATCTTGGGGCCTAGGCAGTGGCATTGGCTCATTCCCATCCTGTGCAGCTGTTGGACACAGCACACACATGCAGCAGACACTGCACCCCCACCAGGATGGAAAGGGAGTAGGGAGTCACCACTTGCACAACAGTCCTGTGAGCTTGCCTTCAGCAGTTGGTTGGGGTGGGTGTGGACCACCTTCTATATTGTAAAATAAAAAAAGATGGATGCTATTACTGTCCAAAGGAAAGAATAAAAACGCCAGAGGACCAAAAAGCCCAGAAACAAAAGTGAGAGGTTTGGGGTCCACATTTTGCTCACCCTTTCTCAGGTCTCATGTTCTGGGAGCCAAAAATGTTATAGAAAAGAAACGGGTTTTTGTCACATGACCAGGAAAATTTAGACACAGGGACATATTGTAGGGTGAGCAGGGAAGGTTTATTGGGTAAAAAGAAAAAAGAAAAGAGGAAATCTCAGAAAAGCGCAAGAAAGTCCTACTAGCAGATTTCCCATCTCACAGATTGAATCCCAGGCCACCACACAGGAACTGAAGAGGCCCGGCTCCTCCCCACTGCAAATGGGGCAAACTTCCCCTGGCTCGACCCACTTCCCCCAGTGCACAGATGGGCATTATTCAGAGAGAATCAGTTGGGAAAGGGTGGGTTTCATCTGGAACTAGCAGTCTGGTTTTTCAGCCTTCAGGCTGTTTTAGGCTGAAGGCAGGGTTTCATCGGGGACCCTTGGCTGTCTCCTGTCTCTATCAGCAAAAATGTCAATCTGATCTTTTTCTGCGTTCTATGTGAGAGCTGGCTAGGAAAAAATTCTCCCATCAATTTCCCCTGAAAGTACATCATAAAACCTAGTTGCTTTTCCCTATAACTGGAGGAAAAGAATGAAGAAGACACAGAGATGCCAAGAAAAATCTTAGCAAACTTGCCCTCCTAAATTTTCCCCAGATTATTAACATTATATCATACCCAATTTTGTCTGATAATATGTCTACGTGACTGTCCTCTCTTTTTCCAAAACTAAGCTTTGGATCTTCATTTCTGAAGGCTCCCAAGTCATGTAAAACTTTTATTAAATAAATTTATTTTTTTATCTTGCTAATATATCTTTTGTTATGGGGATGTCAGCCATGAACCTTGCAATGAGTGAGAAAAACATATTACTTTTTCTCCGCTACACTATTTTTGATTTTTTTTATCCCTTATACTTTATGTGAACTTCGACAAGTCATTTACACTTTCAGGACCTTAGGGTTATGTATAAATTGAAGGGGTGGGAATATACTTCCATTTAGGAGATGTTTTAGCTGTGTCCTTAGTTTCCTGAGTTAGTGTTCAAAAGACATTTGTACTGTGGACAGCATGCACTATTAATACTACATGAGTGACATTGTAAGTTAGGGGGACTTTGTTAGCCTGAGAATTTGCACACTGCTTCCTTGGAAAATCGCTTAAAATTCCAAATGAAATTCTGGAACCTTGCCTTCCCACCTCAACCACATGGATTATATGATCCTGAAAGTCGTCATGGCAAGATAATTTGTAGTTAAAATGCATAAACCAATTATTAGAAAAATGGGTTTTAACAGACCTTTATAAGTACAATTTTCTTTACACAAAAATTAAATAAGCAATAAAACAATGAAAATAAACTGTCATTGGCATTTCAAGTCCTAAAATAACAATAATTGGTGTTGCACCAGTAGTTCCAATTTACCATCTCTTGCTGACTGGAAATGATCCACAATCAGAGCTTTGTATACGGCTGAGCAGGTTGTATATCACACAATACCAGTGGATGCCATTCACAACATAATCCATGAGGCACAAGATTAATGGTCTACAAGGCAGCTTTGTTCAAAATATTTCTTCCTCATCTTTTAATAAAAATAATTGGTCTTCAATTTGTGGTAGGTAACATTCATAAAGTTTTATCTGGAATTTGCTCTAAATATTCAATGCCTTTGAATTTTATGACTCCCAAGGCTGTCCCAGGAGTAATTTGAATGCTTAAAATTAAAAAATAGAAGTTTTGTTCTTCTTAAACACTATTTTATTGAAATATAATTGATACACCCAAACTGTACATATTTAATGTATACATTTTGATGAGTTATGCATACACCTGTATAACCATCACCACTATCAAGGTAATAAACACATTTATCTTCTCCAAAAGATCCTTGTGCCACTTTATTTGTTTGTGGTAACAAACTTAACATGATTTCTACTCTTTTAAAATTTAAGTGCAAAATACCCTATTGTTTACTGTAAGCACTATGTTGTACAACAGGTCTCTAGAATTTATTCATCTTGCAGAACCAAAACTTAATACCTATTGATCAACGACTCCTCATTTTCCCCTCTAAGCACGTGGCAACTACCATTGTACTCTCTGCTTCTGTAAGTTTGACTATTTCAGATTCCTCATGTGAGTGGAATCATGCAGTATTTATTCTTCTGTGAAGGGCTTATTTCACTTAGCACAATATCCTCCAGATTCATTCATTTAGTCATATATGGCAGGAGTGCCTTATTTTTTAAGGTGAAATAATAGTCCATTGTATTTATATTTGTCATTCTTTAGGTACTAAGTCTTTATGCATGTATTTCCTCAAGCCACTTTAATTCTTCCATGAGAGCTTTATGCCAAAGCACATGGTTAAGCTGACTTAAGTGTCTTGATTCTGCTTACACAAGTCTTAGCTCATTTTTTCCCTCACAGACAGGCCCAGTAAACAGAGCCCAAGTTTCCAACTTACTTTGCTTCAGATTACTTTCTCTCTTCCAAAGCTGCTGAATTGGAAAAAATCAAACATAATCTGACATCTGTTTCACCTCTCTGTTTTTAAAACTCCAGATAGGTTGTCAAATTATTCATCATAGAAATGATGTAGAGTTAGCAACTATTTGATTTTCTTTCTTTAATCACAGTGTTAGAAATACTATGCATTATGTAGGAAACAGTTAACTGTACCATAATCGTGAGGCTGACTTGCAGAATGTTAAAGCTGTACTTTGAGGACAGATAGACTTGAAACCTAAGTTTAAATCCCACATATACTGTTCTACTTGCCAGCTATGTATCCTTGACAGCTATGTATTCTTAACTTGTGAAGGACTCAACAATCTGACCTGTAAAATGGGGATGATTATGATAGTTTTCACTGTAGTTAATCATTTTGAGAATTAAATTTAAAAATGCATGAAAAAACCTTAGTACTATATTTTGTTCACATTAAAATTAAAATATTGCTTATTGTAAATTTGAGATCCTTATAAAACCCAAGATTCTTGCTGAAGCATCCATCATTCTCCCTCATGATCTTTTTAAAACTTAGCTTTTTAATCTTATCTATAAAGGTTTTCCACTATCAATCAATCAACCGGATTGATTTACTAATCAACCTGGGCTTCTTTTTGTTTCCCAGGTACACATTATACTTAAATCTTTGTTTTTGCCCTTCACCTAACTCCATTGCTTAAAACAACTTTAAATATTTTACAAATATAGACTTAATAGGTTATTTTATTGTTTGAAAGAAATTATCTACACTTTTTAAATGAAACTTTTCTGAAATTGACTGAGGTATTAGAGTCTACATACCCAAACATCCAACCCTTCTAAATGTATTAGGTAATTTTTAATAAATTTATACAATTGCATCCTAGCACCTCAACTCAGTCTTAGAACTACCTTCACCCCCTAAAATTCCCTTTGTCTATTTGCAGTTAATCCCTGCTCCCACTCTCAGCTCCATGCAAATACAATTTGGTGCATTATATTTGCTTATTCACATTTACATGCAGCTTGTTTACACTTATTATATCTTTCTGTGGCATTGAGCCTTTTATCATTATGAAATGTTCCTAGTAATATTTCTTGTCTAATCTGTGTTGACTGATTTTAATATAGCCACTGCAGCTTTCTTATGGCTATTGGCTGTGTGGGATAGCTTTTCTCTATTTTTTAGCTTTGTTTATTTTGTCTCTAAGTATGTTTCTTATAGACAACAAACAGCTGCATGTTGTTTTTTATTTTTATTTTTTAACTTTTATTTTAGCTTTAGGGGTACATGTGCAGGTTTATTACGTAGGCAAATTGCATGTTGCAGGGTTTGGTGCATAGATTACTTTGTCACACAGGTAATAAGCATGGTACCTGATAAGTAGTTTTTTGATCCCAACCTTCACCCTCAAGTAGTCCCTGATGTCTATTCTTCCCTTCTTTGTGTCCATGTGTATTCAGTGTTTAGTACCTACTTGTAAGAGAATATGCAGTATTTGGTTTTTTATTCCTTCATTAGTTTGCTTAGGATAGTGTCCTCCAGCTCCATCCATGTTGCTGTAAAGGACTTGATGCAATTCTATTTTATGGCTGCCTAGCGTTCTGTGGTGTATATGTACCACATTTTCTTTATCCAGTCTTACTGTTGCTGAGTATTTAGGTTGATTTTATGTCTTTGCTATGGTGAGTAGTGCTGCAATGAACATATGCATGCATGTGTCTTTTTGATAGAACGATTTATTTTTCTCTGGGTATATACCCAGGGATGGGATTACTGGGTCAAATGGTAGTTCTGTTTTAAATTATTTGAGAAATCTCCAAACTGCTTTCCACAGTGGCAGAACTAATGTACATCCCCATGAACAATTTATAAGTGTTCTCTTTTCTCCACAGCCTCATCAGCATCTGTTGCTTTTTTTTCTTTCTAATAATAGCCATTCTGACTGGTGTGAGATAGATGGTATCTCATTGTGTTTTCCATTTGCATTTCTCTGGTTATTAGTGATATTGAGCATTTTTTCATATGTTTGTTGGCTGCTTGTACATCTTCTTTTGAGAAGTGTCTGTTCGTATTCTTTGCCTATTTTTAAATGGGGTTGTTTTTTGCTTGTAGAATTGTTTAAATTCCTTATAGATTCTGGATAATAGATCTTTGTTAAATGCATAGCTTGTGACTATTTTCTCTTATTATGTAGTTTGTCTGTTTACTTTGTTGATAGTTTCTATTGCTGTGCAGAAGCTCTTTAGTTTAATTAGGCCCAATTTGTCAATTTTTGTATTTGTTGAAATTGCTTTTGGAGTCTTTGTCATAAAATCTTTGCCAAGGCCTATGTCCAGAATGTTATCTCCTAGGAGAAATAAGGAGTCTCTTCCTCATTGCTTGTTTTGTCTAAGATCAGATGGTTATAGGTGTGCATCTTTATCTCTGGGATCTATAACCTGTTTAATTGTTCTATGTGTCTGTTTTTGTACCAATACCATGCTGTTTTGGTTACTGTGGCTTTTTAGTATAGTTTGAAGTCCAGTAACATGATGCCTCCAGCATTCCTTTTGCTTAGGATTCATTTGGCTATTTGGGCAATTTTTTTGGTTCTATATAAATTTTAAAATAGTTTTTTTCTAATTTTGTGATAAATGTCATGGGTAGTTTGACAGGAATAGCACTGAATTTATAAATTGCTTTGAGTAGTATGGTCATTGTAACAACATTGATGCTTTCTATCCATGAGCATGGAATGTCTTTCCATTTATTTCTGTCATTTTATTTCTTTCAGCAGTGTTTTATAATTTTCATTGTAGAGAAATTTCACCTCCTTGATTAGCTCAATACCCAAAATTTTATTTTATTTTTCTGGCTATTGTGAATGGGTTTGTATTCCTGAGTTCGCACTCAGCCTGAATATGTTGTTGGTGAATAGAAACATTATTTATTTTTGTGTATTGATTTTGTATCCTGAAACTTTGCTGAAGTTGTATATTAGATCTAGGAGTTTTGGGGAAGACACTATGGGGTTTTCTAAGTATAAAATTATATTGTCGGCTGGGCGTGGGAGTCACGCCTGTAATCCCAGAACTTTGGGAGGCCAAGGCAGGTGAATCACCTGTGGCCAGGAGTTTGAGAGCAGCCTGGCCAACATGGTGAAACTCTGTCTCTACTAAAAATATACAAAATTAGCAAGGTGTGGTGGCAGATGTCTGTAATTCCAGCTACTTGGGAGGCTGAGGCAGGAGAATCACTTGAACCCAGGAGGCAGAGGTCGAGCGAGCTGAGACTGTGCTACTGCACTCCAGTCTGGGCAACAGAGTAAGACTCCATCTTAAAAATAAATAAATAAATAAATAAAATCATAATGTCTGCAAACAGAGATAGTTTGACTTCCTTTCTTTTTATCTGGATACCTTTTATTTCCTTCTCTTACCTGATTGCTCAGGCTGGGACTTTCAGTACTATGTTTAATAGAGTGGTGACAGTGAGTATCCTTGTTTTGTTCTGGTTCTCAAGGTGAATGACTTCATTCTTTGCCCATTCATTACGTTGCTGAGTGTATGTTAGTCACAAATGGCTCTTATTATTTTGAGGTATGTTCCTTCAATGCATACTTTGTTGAGGAATTTTAACATGAAGGGATGTTGAAATTTAGCAGAAGACTTTTCTATATCTATTGAGATGATCATGTGGCTTTTGTTTTTAGTTCTGTTTATGTGATGAATCACATTAACTGATTTGCATATGTTGAACCAACCTTGCATCACAGGGATAAAGCCTACTTGATCATGGTGGATTAGGTTTCTGATGTGCTGCTGGATGTGGTTTGCTAGTATTATGTTGAGAATATTTGCATCTACATTCATCAAGGATACTAGCCAGTAGTTTTCTTTTTGTTGTTGTATCTATGCCAGGTTTTGGTATCATAATGATGCGAGCCTCATAGAATGAGTTAGGAAAGTATCCTGCCTATTCATTTTTGGGAAATAGTTTCAGTAGGAATGGTACCAGCTCTTAATTATACACGTGATAAAACTTGGCTTTGAGTCTGTCTAATCTAGGGCTTTTTCTGATTGGTAGGCTTTTTGTTACTGAATCAATTTTGGAACTTGTTATTGATCTGTTCAGGGTTTCAATTTATTCCTGGTTAAATCATAGGAGGTGGTATATTTCCAGAGATTTATCCATTTTTTGTAGGTTTTTTAGTTTGTGTACATAGAGGTGTTCCTAGCAGTCTGTGAGAATCATTTTTATTTCTGTGAGGTCAGTGGTAATGCCCCCTTTGTCAATTCTGATTGTATTTATTTGGATCTCCTCTCTTTTTTTATTAGTCTAGGTAGTAGTCTATCAATCTTACTTATTCTCTCAAAGAATAAACATCTGTTTTCATGTATCTTTTGTATGGTTTTTCACCTCTCAATTTCATTCAGTTCAGCTCTGATTTGGGTTATATCTTGTCTTCTGCTAGCTTTGTGGTTGATACGCATTTGTTTTTCTAGTTCTGTGTGATATCAGGTTGTTAACTGAAGATTTTTCTATTTGATGTGGTTGTTTAGTGTTTTAAACATGCCTTTTAACATTGTTTTATCTGTACCCCATAGATTCCAATATATTGTGTCTTTGTACTCATTAGTTTAAAACAATTTATTAATTTCTGTCTTAATTTTATTGTTTACCCCAAAGTCATTCAGAAGCAGATTGTTTAAGTTTTATGTAATTATATGGTTTTGGGCAATCTACTTAGTATTGATTTCTATTTTTACTGCCCTGTGGTCCAAGAGTGTGGTTGGTATGATTTAAGTTTTTTTTGCCAAAATTGTTTTATGGCCAATTGTGTGGTTGATTTTAGAGTATGTGCCATGTGCAGATGACAAGAATTTATATTCTGTTGGTTTTGGGTGCAGCATTCTATAAATGTCTGTTAGGTCCATTTGATCAAGTCTCCAGTTCAGGTCTCAAATATCTTTGTTAGTTATCCACCTTGAGGATCTAATACTGTCAGTGAAGTAGTGAATTATCCCACTATTATTGTGTGGTTATCTAAGTCTCTTTTTAGGTCTCTAAGAACTTGTTTTATGAATATGGATGCTCCTGTGTTGTGTGCATATTGAGGATAGTTAAGTCTTCATGTGGAATGAATTGAACCCTTTGCCATAATGTAATGCCCTTCTTCTTTTTTTTTTTTTAATTGTTGGTTTAAAATCTGTTTTATCTGAAATTAGGATGATAACCCTGCTTTTTTTCTGTTTTCTATTTGCTTGGGAGATTTTTTCCATTCCTTTACTTTGAGCCTGTGGGTGTCATTGGATGTGAGATGGGTTTCTTGAAGACAGCACGTAGTTGGGTCGTGCTTCTTTATCCCACTTGCCACTCTGTGCCTTTAAATTGAGGGATTTAGACTGTTTACATTCAAGGTTAGTATTGACATGGGAAGATTCGATCCTGTCATCATGCTGTTAGCTGGATATTATGCAGACTTGATTGTGTAGTAACTTTATAGTGTCAATGATTTACATACTCAAGTGTGTTTTTATGGTGATCAGTGACAATCTTTGGTCTCCATATTTAGCACTCCCTTAAGGACCTCTGGCAACGCAGGTATGGTGTTAACAAATTCCCTTGATACTTGCTTATCTTAGGATAATCTCATTTCTCCTTCACTTATAAAGCTTACTTTGGGTAGATATAGAATTCTTGGTTGGAATTTATTTTAAGAATACTGCATATAGGCACCCAATCTCTTCTGGCTTGCAGAGTTTCTGCAAGAAACGTCTGCTGTTAGCCTGATGGGGTCCCATTTGTAGATAACCTGCCCCTACTCTTTAGTTGCCTTACATATTTTTTCTTTCATGTTGACTTTGCAGAATCTGATGACTATGTATCTTGGGGATGGTCGTCTTATACAATATCTCACAAGGGTTCACTGCATTTCCTGAATTTCAATGTTGGCCTCTCTAGTGAGGTTGGGGAAATTTTCATGGATAGTGTCCTGAAATATGTTTTCCAAGTTGCTTGTTTTCTCTCCCTCTCTTTCAGGGATGTTAATGAGTTATAGATTTGGTGTCCTTGCATAATCTGACATTTCCCAGAGGTTTCATTCATTCTTTTTTGTTCTTTTCTCTTCATTTTTATTTGACTAAGTTAATTAAGAAAAACAGTCTTCAAGCTCAGAGATTTATTTCTCAGCTTGGTCTATTCTGCTGTTAAAACTTGGAAATGGGCTGGGCGAGGTGGCTCATGTCTGTAATCCCAGCACTTTGGGAGGCTGAGGCGGGCGGGTCACCTGAGATCGGGAGTTTGAGACCAGCCTGACCAACGTGGAGAAACCCCATCTCTACTAAAAATAAAAAATTAGCTGGGCATGGTGGCACATGCCTGTAATCCCAGCTAGTCGGGAGGCTGAGGCAGGAGACTCACTTGAACGCAGGAGAATCGCTTGAACCCAGGAGGTGGAGGTTGCGGTGAGCTGAGATCATGCCATTGCACTCCAGCCTGGGAAACAAGAGCAAAACTCCATCTCAAAAAACACAAAACAAAACTTGGAAACGTATCGTGAAATTCTTGTAGTGAGTTTTTCAGCTCTATTAGATCAGTTTGATTCTTTCTTTAAATAGCTGTTTCATCTTTCAGCTGTCCTTTGGATGGGATTTTTTGCTTTGATTTTCTTTTATGCCCTGATGGTTTTACTGTGGTATAGTTGAGTTCACTTAACTGGATTCACTTATGAAAATTTTTAAGGAGCCAAGAGTCAGCTCCAAAATCCTGGGCTGTGTGCTCTAACCCTGAGGGCTGGTACCAGGCCTCCATCTTTCTTCTCTGGCCTCTCAAGGTTAGGAACCTGCTGCGTTGGAGGGGCTGAGATGTTCTCAGTCTGCTTGCAATAACACTCCTATGGGGAGTGCAGGCCAAAGTGCTTTCTCGCCTCAGTAGCAAAAGGATCCATACTCACTCACATATGCCAGCAGCAGCAGCAGCAGCAGCAGCAGCATCACAGCAGAGTTCATGCACATCAGCTGGGAAGGGGTGTTGACTGGGCTGGGGCAGCAGTATCTATGTGTGTGCTTGTGCTGGTGGCAGTGCCAAAATGGAGTGCCCACACGCTGGTGGGGGCAGGGTACTGATGGGGGCAGGGTGACAGGGTCCATGCACACATTTGTAACAGCAGTGGCAGTGTGGAGGGGTGAACATATGCCCTCATACATGGTACAGAATGGTCTCTGTCTTCATGTATGCTCACACTAGTGGCAGTTTCACAGCTAGCTGCATGGGAGAGGAGGCAGGTCCACCCCCAGGTGCATGTCAAAGCAGTTGGGGTAAGTCATGGGCAAGCTTGCACTGGCAAAGTGGTGGGGGAACTGTTCTGGGGGAGGCTGTGGGTGGGTCAGTGCACATCAGCTGAGGCCATCTGCTAGAATTGTCAGATGGCTAGGCACAGTCTGCCAGTAAAGAATCCATGATGATGGCCCCAAGAGGCACCTTGTTGGGCATCTGAGGATGTGCTGCAAGTGGACACAGCCACCTGGGCCCCCAGGAGAGGCTGTCAAACAAGGGAGTGCTCAGACCAAACTGGGCCAGCCCAATACTGCCCTAATCTGTCCAGGTCTAACAGTCAATGAAGATGAAAGTCACCTAGAGGAGCACAGTGAGCCTTGGGTATGAGTGTCTTTTGCCATGCTCCACTGCAGCCATTCCCACACCAAATCCCCTGGACTACACACAGGTTGGAGTTCCTGCCCCTGCCACCTCTCCATGCAGCTCTCCCTGACAGCTCAGATATTTGTGGGGGGTGAAGGGGTTTTCCTGCATCTAGGACTCCAGCAGTCTCTTGCACGAGCAGGCCACTCCTCACCTGTTCAACTCATCCCTTCCAAAGGAGCTACTGGGAGCAAGGTATGAGTCCTGGTGCTTGGCAGCCTTGTGCAGGGTCTCCAGCTTCCTCTTCCTTCAGCCCGGGGTCTGCATCTTCCTTCTGTTTACTTTTAATGCTTACCCTCCAAAGATCTGCTTGGAGTATGCCAGTCTTCCCAATGTCCTAATCTGTTTGTGGGAGACTTTCTTAATGGCTGTGTATAGGCAGCTATGTTGGCTCCTTAATTCCTGCATCTTGCTTTTTATTTAGTACAGCAATACCTGCCTTTTTGTTGACTAGTATAACATATGACATGGTTAGTGTTACAACTATTTTGCTACTTGGTTTCTGTATGGTTCATTCATATCTTGGCTCCTTAATTCCTGCATCGTGCTTTTTATTTAGTATAGAAATACCTGCCTTTTTGTTGTCTAGTGTAACATATTACATGATTAGTGTTACATCAGTTTTGCTACTTGGTTTCTGTATGTTTCATTTGTGTTAATTATTCTGTTTTTCTCTTACTTCCTTTTTTGTGTTAAACAAGTATTTTTTAGTATATTGCTTTAATTTTTTGATTTTCATCTATATTTTAAAATTATTTTATCATTGGCTGTTCTAGGTGTTTCAATATATATTTTAACTTATCAGAATTAACTTCTTAGTAATGTCAATTTAATTTGTTAAACTATAGTAACTGTGCCTCAATGTAGCTTCATTTACTCCTCCTTATTTGTGCTATTATTATCAATATATTACATATATTGTTGTTTAAAACCCAGCAATGTAGTGCTATAACTATTACATTAAATAAAATAATCTTGTTTTTAAAAGAAAATAAGTGTGTGTGGCACATTCCTTTATATTTACAAACATATTTATAATTTCCAGGGCTATTTATCCTTCCCTCTGCATTTGAGTGTTGCTGTCTGTACTATCTTTCAGAATTTCATTAATTTGCATTTATTTTTGAAAAATAGCTTTTTGCTGGATATATAATTTTTGGTTTCCAGTTCTTTTCTACCAATTCCTTTCAATATTTCATTCCATTATCCCTTACATGTATTGTTTTTGATGTAAAATCAGCTATTAATTGTGCTATTGATAACTTCTACTTTATGAGCTCTTTCTCCTCTTTCCATTTTCAGTATTTCATCTTCCTGTTTGGCTTTTAAGTATTTGATTATGTATCTAGGTGTATATCTTTGTGTTAATTCTAACTGATGCTACTTGAACTTCTTAAATATGTAGGTTAATATTTTTCAATGAATTTGGAAAGATTTTGTCTTCCATTTGTAGCTTCTTTTTCTCCTCCTTGATATATAAGACTCACATTAAACATATGTTGGTACATTTGGTAATATTTTGCAGTTTCTGAGGCTCTGTTTATTTTTCTTCAGTTATTTTTGTTCTCTCTAGTCTATAGATTGGATAATTCCGGTGATCTATTTTAAGGTTCATTTATTCTTTCTTCCACTATCTCAAACATGTCCTTGATCCCATATAGTGAATTATTTTTATTATTATATCTTTCACTTCTAGAAATTTCATATTTATAACTTCTTTTTTTGTACTTAGATAACATATCTGTTGAATCATTGTCATCACATTTTTCTTAAATTCTTCAAATATAGTTTTTAAAATTATTTAAATGTTTTTATAATAAATGTATTGAATTCTTTGCCTGCTAAATTCAGTATCTGGGCCTACTAAGAATTAATGTCTATTGACTGTTTTATTTCTATAATTCATGTTTTTCTGCTCCTGTACATGGTTTTTAATATTTTGGTTGAATACTGGAAATTTTAGACAATGTTTTATAGTAATTATGACTTCTGATTTTGTTTCTGAGTACTTTTGGTTTCATGAACTTTTCTGGATTTTTTAAAGTGCAGCATCTGTTTGCCCTGTAGTGTGTGGCTGTGAATGTGTCTTCTCAGTTTTTATTATTATTATTATTATTATTTTATTTTTTTTTTTTTGAGATGAAGTCTCCCTCTGTCACCCAGGCTGGAGTGCAGTGGCACCATCTTGGCTCACTGCAAGCTCCACCTCCCAGGTTCATGCCATTCTCCTGCCTCAGCCTCCCAAGTAGCTGAGACTACAGGCACCCACCACCATGCCTGGCTAATTTTTTGTATTTTTAGTAGAGATGGCGTTTCACTGTGTTAGCCAGGATGGTTTCGATCTCCTGACCTCGTGATCTGCCTGCCTCGGCCTCCCAAGATGCAGGGATTACAGGCTTGAGCCACCGCGCCTGGCCTTTATTATTATTTTTAACTTACCTTCCAAGGGGTCTCCCTTGGGTCTGCATAATCCAATGTTTTTGTTCAAGACTCTGCTCAAACACCCCAACTCCATAAGACTTCTATCCCCTGCTGATAGATCAGTGAGTTTGAAGAGCACATTTAATGTTCAGCAAATTCTGAAGTTTGATTTGTCTTTTACTTCTGCAAGACTACTGTGAATCTTCCTACATATGTGTACACCTTTCTGCTCAGCCAAGGCTTACTTCGTCTTTCTATGGCTTTCTCATTTACATGATCACTTGTTACTTTCCTGGCTTGTACGCTACTGACCACTAACTAGACTGCAACTTCTGGCTAGCAAAGCATTGGACTTCCTCGTTTGTTATATGAAGCTTACCCAATCACCCTGTCATCCTAAAAGGAAGAAATTGAGGCAAAATTAATATAAGTGGAGATTTTAGGAGCTAAGCTTGAGGACTGCTACCCAGGAGCATAGATTCAAATTACTCTTAATATACATTCTTATTAAAAGCAGTTACCAGTGAATTTCCAAAGAGAAAGAAGAGGCAGTTCCTGAGGTCTTTACCAAGAATTTACATTACATTTATATAAGCTATTCATTGGCTATACATTGTTAAGTTATAAGGTGTAGGTTGTAGTATCAGGTGTGGCATTATTGGTTAATTTATAGCTACTTCTGGCAACTACAAGCAGTTTGCAAGAGATGAATACATGGCTCAAAGAGGGGAAACCAGGACAGAATTGTTCTCTCGTTTTAACATCTCTCTGAACCTGGTAATTTAGAAGGACTCGCATTACTTAGATAAAAGTTCTTTTCTCATTTCCCCCCTTTTGATCAAAAATCTTTCTTCTTGAAAGCATTGATGAACAAAATCTGAGTGTCAAGGTATCCCTCATCACTGGGAAGGCTCGATCCTCGATCGTCCTGTCAAAGTGGTTGATCTATAGCTGCTGTCATCTCTACATGTTGTAGTAGCATGAATTTACTTTTCTCAGAAGTAAAACAGATGCATAGTAGAAGTATTCTATACATAAGAATTTTGGTAAAAAGCAAATTTGTATTTCAGAAGTAAAAAAAAAAATTCCCTTGGGGCAGTCAACTAAAAACATCATGAATAAAATTAAAAAGCTGGTCCTTTTTTAGAGATTTGTTGTAGCCAGGATACAATTCAGGTTTTAACCCAAATTGCTGAAAAATAATAAAAACTAAAAAACAATGTACAATGCTAGAATCCAATAATTGATCTACTATAGCTTTCTTCTGAAAAATAATTTTTTCTCTCTCCAGCCCCCATTTTTACCAAAGATTAATTTCAGTAGTATCAATTTACTTGCATAATACATCTTATTATTATATTTAGCCTGATTATTTACATAATTAAGTGGAGCAAGATAGTGATTGATCATACCGGCTGTTTTTATTTGGCTTTGCTGTAACTCTTATAAGAAATTGCATATTTGACTTTTAAGAGTCTCAAGGATAGAAATCCAAACTGAAGATTCACCGTTAGATTGTACCTGTAATACCTGGATAAATTGGGTGAATTCCTTTCTTCTCAACGTCCCTGTATTAGTCTGTTTTCACACTACTAATAAAGACATATCTTAGACTGGGTAATTTATAAAGAAAAGAGGTTTGATTGAGTCACAGTTCCACATGGCTGGGGAGGCCTCAGGAAACTTAAATCATGGCAGAAGGCACCTCTTCACAGGGCATCAGGAGAGAGAATGAGTGCCCAGTGAAGGGGGAAGTCCCTTATAAAACCATCAGGTAAAATGAGAACTAACCCACTATCATGAGAACAGGATGGGGGAAACTGCCCCCATGATTCAATTATCTCCACCTGATCCTTCCTGCAACATGTGGGGATTATGGCAACCACAATTCAAGATGAGATTTGGGTGGGGACCCAGCCAAACCATATCAGTTCCTCAAATATTCTGGGGCTCCCACACCTGTTGGAAAGTGATATTTTTTTATTTTCTGCATGGGCTGAACCTTTGAAAGGCAATTATGTAGACAACATACAAGGCCATTCTCTCCAATATGCTTTTTATCAGCTCCATGAAGTCAACCACAATTCCTCAAAACTATCTGGTCATATCTGAAAATACGCCATTCCAGTAATGCCTTGGTAAAATAGGCAAAGTCTTTAATTGTGTCTTGTTACAGAAAGTAGCTTCTTTTTGAACTTATGCAAATAACTTCAAGACTGTGATAACATAAGAATACTTGAGAATAGTTTGCACATTTTGGAGAGATCAGGTAGAAAGAATGATAGATGTTTCAATTTCACTCACTAATGTATACATTTCCCAATTGTTATAAGCTATAATTGGTATAGCTCAAAAGAAAAATGTTTTCTCGACTCTGGAAAACAAAATATAAAAATAATCAGCAATGTTGCAAATAAAAAGTCATGAAAATCAATTTAATACTCTATCAGTTCTGTCCCATATAATTAACTCTTGTTCTGCTTGATGGTGGGATCATCCTCGTTATGAAAAAACATATTTATTAGATCTCTGAAGGTTTTTACTGAGTCTGATAATATAATCTCCAAAGTTATCTGAAACCTGTGTTTAAGAGTATTTGTCAGGATTCTTTTCCTTACATTTCCTTGAAGAAAAGGCCAATTTTGGACTGTAGCTGATTGTAAACTGATTTTGAGAAGAATCCAAAGTAAAACAATTATTTTTTGCGGATGAAAAAATACTTGGAATAGCCATGTTTAAAGATGGAATTGACAAGAAAAATTTGATTATTCCTGTCACATACATCAGTTTCATTATAACTAAGAAAATAAACAAAAACATATCAGAATTTTAGGAATCTCATATAATTTTGGAACACATATTAATAAAATATCCATACAAGTATAAATCAAATATAGTTAAACACCATTTCTTATTTAACAATGCTTTCCATATGATGTTAACATCCCGAATAAGCCAAAACAGCCGTCTTGGACTTGCAGGGTTTTTTGGTTTGTTTTTGAAAAGAAAATTTTAGAATTAGAATTTGATTTTGGGAAATGTGTTAAATATTAAAAACAGTTGATCAAAATAGGATCACAGGCCACTGTAAAAACAAAAACAAAAACAAGTCATTTATTTATCCAAAGTGATAATTCAAAGATTTCAAAAAGCAAAAAATGTTTATTTTTGACAGAGAACATACTGTTTTCCAAAGAGTCAGAAGACCTAATAAAGATAGCATGAGACCAACAGAATCTTTTCTTCTTTGTTTTTACTCAAAAGGTGAATAATTTTTTACTATCCCTATTAATACTTCAAAAAGTTTTGTTCTAAAGAGAAAACAAAATTTTACATTTTCATCCATATATTATTAATGCTAAAGCTAATTTTAATAAAATGTAAACCTATATGTCCAATCTCAGTTTTGAGTGCACAAAATAATACTTTTATAAACCTTTTATAACCTTTGACAATTTTCTATTGAAGAGCAAATCAAGAAAACCCTGTTATTTTGACATAGGAGCACTGACTGTGGCCCTGCCTCAGTATAATTTTGATATTAATGTTCAACTTTTAAAAAAACTAAGTAATCTCCTTCTAATTTTAGCCAAGGTGATCACTCACAAAATTTTTAGTAGATTAATTTCTCACAATTTTTATACAAGTTGCTTAATACTTGAGTTTTGTCCTGTACTTTCTTTTTCATATTGGCATTCTACTTAAGACAAAATTTATGTTTCTTCCTCCTTATCATTTTGACCACCACACAACATTCTCTTTCATTTAAAAAGAAAAAAAAAAAATTCCTCTCTCAACTTTCACATTTTCTTTTTTCTTTCTTTCCTTTATTTATTTATTTTTTTTCAGAGGTAAAGTCTGGAGTGCAATAGTGTTATAACTCACCGTGACCTTGAACTCCTGGGTTCAAGTGATCCTCCTGCCTCAGTCTACCAAGTATTCAGGATTGTTGATATGCACTGTCATGTCCAACTCATTTTTACAATTTTTCTGAAGATGTGGTCTCACTATATTGCCCAGGCTTGTCTCAAGTTCCTTGACTCAAGCGATCCTCCTGCCTTGGCCTTCCAAAGCATAGGGATTATAAGCATGAACCACCATGCCTAGCTCTCCATCTTACTTTCTCTATATATCCTTTATATAAAATTGTATCTCATATCTAGTAGTTTTAATCATATATGTATATATATATTAATTACAATGTTAACTCTTAGTTATCCTAATTTCCAGTGGAAACCCTAGAAAGTTAGAAATTTTAATTATGCATGAGATGCAGAGCCTAGGACAAAGGACAAAGCTTTGGAGACAATGCATGGAGCATCTGACCCATCCCAGCATGCCCAAGTGGCAAAGTTTGTCCAGGGAGAATGGAGCTCAGGCACTGCCCAAGGCCTCACCATGGCCACTTGTCTAGGCCTCAGAATTTAACGGCTCAAATAAAAAGACATAAACTCACAGACAAATTAAGCAAGTATCTACAAATGTCAAAAAAGCAACAGCTTTACAACCTTAAAACTTTTAGCAGAGACTGTATAAACTTTTCCAACCAATAGACCCAGGCAAAAATGTCTAAATGAAATTCTGAAGCCATTTCTATTTCACTTTACCAACAATTTTAAAACTTTATTTACCAAAAGTTATTAAAGTCATAAATTTGACTTAAAAGTTTTGAAAAGCATTTGAGGTGGTTTTTAAATTTATGAGTGCTTATGTATTATAAATCAATGGTGCAATATAGCAATATATAAACAGATATTTACACATGCACTCATAATACAAAAATACATGAAGACTTTATAGCTTTGATTTTAAAATTTTAGCCATGAGACCAGCAACTCACTAATTTAAAAGGATAGTTGTATTCACACTGTGCCTTTCTAAGTAGAAATGTTTAAAGTTTACCTGTCACACATGGGCAAAGTTCTTACAGATGTTTAGAGAAAATAGGGTAGCAAATTTACACCTCAAAGCACTGACAGAATTTAAGCTTTTTCAAGAAGGAGTTTATATGTGATATATAGAAGAAGATTAAAAATGAATACCAGGCCGGGTGCAGTGGCTCATGTCTGTAATCCCAGCACTTTAGGAGGCCAATACAGGAAGATCAGCTGAGGTCAGGAGTTCGAGACCAGCCTGTCCAACATGGTGAAACCCCATCTCTACGAAAAATACAAAAAATTAGCCTAGCATGGTGGCACACACCTGTAATCCCAGCTGCACAGGAGGCTGAGGCAAGAGAATCGCTTGAATCCAGGAGGTGGAGGTTTCAATGAGCTGAGATTGCACCATTGGACTCTAGCCTGGGTGACAGGAGCAAAACCATCTCAGAAAAAAAAAAAAAAATAGAATACCAAGGTAGTACAAAATCATAGGAATTTACAAAAAGATTTCATAAGAAGACCAATTTTATTGAGGTTAGTAGCTTTTAATTTAGTCTGTTTTGCAACTGGACCACTGAGCTCAGGGTGGAGCCCATTAGAGAAGAAGGCCAGCAAAGCATTTGCACTTTTTAGAGCCTGATAATTTATATATGTGCAGTCTTTAGGGCCTAGTAATATAAATATGTGAAAAGCAGGCACCATTAGAAGGCAAAGCATCTAGATCTTTAAAAATCAAGGATTCCACTTTTACATTGAAAAGAGAATCCCCACAAAGAGTGAAATGCAATGGGACTGGGCCATGCAATGCTGTCACAGTATGCTTCACTACAAAGACATTTATCTAAGTGTTTAAACTATGCCTTTATCTAAACATGCAAAAAAAAAAAAAAAAAAACCCACAGAGTAAACCCCTGCGGTAATAATCATTTATAATAAACAACTACCATTAGCCACCTCCAAGACTGCAACTCTCACCTATAACTCACCAGCCATCACATACACAAAGGTCAAGTATTCTCTCACAGTACAACGTAAACTCTGCTACCTCAAAAGCCAAAGAGATCAGGCAATGCAATACAAAAAGCAGCAGGATTTTAGAGCTGAAAGGAACCTGTCCATGATTCTTCAGACTCCAAGGAGGAAAAAAAGACCTTAAAAAAGTGGTGGGTAGTTCCTTTTTCTGTGTCCTGCAAGGAGTCTGAGTCATTAGAATTCTCACGTAGCTCTTTTCATGTGGTACCAAAGATAGCAAAGACAAAAGAAGAGCTTGAATATCAGCTTTTAATTAAGGTGACTTTTGACCACAGCACTCTTTAAACAAAAAAAAGTTTTTGTTTCAAAACTCTTATCAGATTTTAGCCAGGACAAACAGCTGATATTCCTGGCTTTTGAACATTTTTTTTTTTTAATCAATGATCCCCTTTCGAGCAACTCATCAAAACCAATAAGACTTAACCAAAGTTATAACTTAACCCAGGATGCATGAGGCATCTTCAAAGAAGTGAAAAGCCGTTCTCACAACATCCAAAACCACTCCCAAAACAGCTCAAGGAAAGGTAGCTTCACTAGCTGCAAATGGAATCCAACCCACATTAATGTCCAGCCATGTTTTCTATAATCTCAGCTTCTCATCTGAGCACCTATGCATGAAGGCTCAAAAGCCCCATATGCCTCATAAATGGAAAAAAGACAGGCAGTCAAACGTTCATGGAAGGGAAGAGGATCCATAACAAATAGGTACTTCTAAAAGTGAATAATTATACAAACAATTTCAAACAAATGGGATTTATTCCCTTACCAGTAATTGAACCCAGGCTGCAGTAGTAAAAGTGCTGAATCCCAGCCACTAGATCACAGCGGGAAGTGTTGTTGCTGTTGTCGTTTTATTTTGTTTTTTAAAAATAAGTTCTATAGGGGATCCAAAGTAGGCAGTTTCAGCATCTTAAGGATTTTAACTTGTTTCAGACCTGATCTCAGTTGGAATGCTGCTTAGCTAATTTCCTGGACATTAGCATTTCAATGACATTATACGATTTAAATAGTATTGTCTGATATTGGGTCAATAAATTAGTGTCATTCATTTGTTCTGGTTTAGAAAAAAAGTTATTGAATTGGCATTTATATAATCACAGTGTGAAAGGAAAATAAAACTTGGGTCCCCCAAATCACTAAGCTAAAGAGAAAAGTCAAGCTGGGAACTGCTTAGGGCAAACCTGCCTCCCATTCTATTCAAAGTCACCCCTCTGCTAACTGAAATAAATGCATATCTGATTGCTTCCTTTGGAGAGGCTAATCAGAAACTCCAAATAATGCAACCATTTGCCTCTTTTCTACCTATTACCTGGAAGCCCCCTCCCCACTTCAAGTTGTCTTGGCCTTTGCTTTGAGTTGTCCCACCTTTCCAGACCAAACCAATGTTCATGTTATGTATGTTGTTTGATGTCTCTTGTCCCCCTAAAATGTATAAAACCAAACTGTGCTCTGACCACCTTGGGCACATGTCACCAGGACCTCCTGAGGCTGTGTCATGGGCATGCGTCCTCAATCTTCGCAAAATAAACTTCATAAATTAACTGAGACATTTCTCAGATATTTGGTGCTCACAACAGGAATATTATTCCTATTCTGACATTGTTCCACTTTTCTTCTATTCTAGATTTAAATTTATTTCCCTTTTCTGAAAAGAAGAAACATGTGCATTGTGAATTTCCTAAAACCTCTCTGCCTAAGAGATGCATGGAAGCCAAGGGAACAAGTAAAGAGGGATGAGTTGAGCTCACACGGGTAGAAGGAGAAGGAGCAGTTGAAGGAGTAAGGGAGAAAGCCTCTGAAGTCTTTTTTAATATTTCAAATATCTTTTTGTTTACCTCTTGAATGGAGGCAATTTTTTGCATGATTTCTTTCAGAAGTTTTTAAAGCCAAGTGCTGGTCAGTGCTTCTGCTTCCCAATAAATAAAAAAAAAGTTATTTCTTTAAAAAGACATTTTTAGGTGCCATTGGAAGTCTCCAATTTGTCTGGTTCTAAAACCAGCTATTTACAATGGTGTACACAAACAAATTATTTTAGGTATTTTAAAAATCCCCATTTTTCATCATTGTTGCCTATGACTATCCTGGGTTAGGTAGATCTAATTTCCTAGATATCTACAAGAGGGTGCTTCATATGTATTATACATAAATCCACCTGATGTTTCTAAAAAGAGTGCTCAGATTTTGAAGACTGGTTTTTTCCATAATTTGGGAACTTTTCAGAAGTGACAAAAGCTGAGGATGTGTTGTTGAGAGAGGGGAAAGGAAGAAACTGGTCAGGCAGGCAGTTAGGGTGGGTCCTCAGTTAAATTATTTCAAACAAAAGAACAGCCTGCAGACAGAGATAAGGGAAATTGCACAGGTGGGCTTAGTACCTAAGACATGCCCACAGCTGCAAAGATAAGAAAGGCTACAGAGATGACTTGCCCAGATATGCCTGCAATGGAAAACTCTGTCCCCTGACACATGTGCAGTAAAGGGAACAAAGCAATATGTAGTAAGTCAAGCTAAGGGCCCACATATGCACTATGAGGATGGAGTGGAGCTACCAGAAATTCATGGTTTATGCAAATAAAATACCGAGCCCTCATCAGTTACTTATAAAAGCCTTTGCATTCACTGTAAAAACTGCAACTCTCTTCCAGGCCCCCTGTCTGCGGTGGAGAGATTTCTTTTTCCCTTATTATACTTCCACTCCAACCTCACCCTTTGTGTCCACGCTCCTTAATTCTCTTGGTCATGAGACAAAGAACTCTGGGTGATACCTCACAATGAGAGGCTGCTACATTGTGGTACATTGGTGAGACTGTAACATTTTGAGGTTGAAGTTTAATGTATCTTGGACTATCTCTAACCACTAGGTGATAGCAGAGTGCTCAAGATATGGGGGACCCAGACTCTCATATTATACCTGTCTGAAAGAGCAAAAGGCGGTACACTTCAGTTAGAAACTAACAAAGATTGGTCACAAATAAAGTCTAAGTCTGAATTTTCAAGTCATAGAAAACAGTTGCAATCTTAAAAGTATGCTGTGCAACTGCTATTGTAGTCCCTGACTGCCAATCCTTTGATACCAACTTCTACTATGAGATAGAGGTGGAAAAACCTTGATCAGACTTGACTAGAACCTCTGCTGTGAGAGAAAGGTTGGAAAAAAAGGCAGTCCTCTGTAGAGCTCTTTCCCTGAATATCATATCCAGAGAAAGAAATCAAAGCCTTCACTCTTAAAGGAAAGATGGGGTTTGAAAACAGCCCAAGTAAAAAGTCTAGAGTCAGAATTCCGAATTCAGGAGAACTTACCCCTAACACCCAATGGGACTTTTGAAGACAGAGTTTATGAGGTTACTGAGTAATACTTTCAGAGGCAAACACCAGGGGGCTAAAGGGAGTCACTCCGAATCCTGTCAACGTATGCCAGATGTGTTGACCTGAAAAAAACAAGCTGAGGCAGAATCAATATGAGTAGAGAGTTTTTGTGCCAGTCTTGAGGATTGCAACCCAGGAAAACAGATTCAAGTTTCTCTGAATATATACTCTGATTAGCAGCCGTTACATGTGTTTTTTTAAAGAGAAAGAAGTACTTCCTGAGTTGTTTATTAAGAATTTACATTAAAATTACATGAGCGATTGATTGGCTATACATTGTTAAGCCATAGGTTGTGGGTTGTAGTATCAGGTGTGGCATTATTGGTTAATTTATAGCTACTTCTGGCAATAGTAAGCAGTTTCAAGAGATGAATACATGGCTCAAAAGACAGAAAGCAGGACATGATTGCTTTCTCATTTTAATGTCTCTCTCTGAGCCTGATAATTTAAAAGGACTTGGCATTCCTCAGATAAAACTTCTTTTCTTTTCTCAACTTCCTCCTGACCCCTGAGTCTGTCTATCTGGTAGCTTTCTATGTTCATGGTCAGACACACTATGGTAAAATTACCAGTTTTGCAGGACTGAACTGGGCTGGGAAGTGGCAGCAACAGAGGCAAGGATTCAGATTTCTGCTCTTATTAGCCAAAGCTCTAGAAGACTTTGCAGACAGAATTTGCTGATCTCTTCATGAAGGCTCTCTTAAACCTTTACAAAAGCTGGAATACTTTAATAATAACAAAAGTATTAAAAATAAAAATCAGAAAGGCTGAGAAAGTCATCTATTTTTCTACACTAGAGTAGATCCTGAATCCTGCCTTATAACTAGATCCTAAACCATAAGAGCTTTTTCTTCAAAGTTTTTCAGTATTTAAAAAAAAAAAAATTGGCTGGGTGCGGTGGCTCACGCCTGTAATCCCAGCACTTTGGGAGGCCGAGGTGAGCAGATCACAAGGTCAGGAGATCGAGACCATCCTGGCCAACATGGTGAAAACCCATCTCTACTAAAATACAAAAAAATCAGCCAGGTGTGGTGGCATGCACCTGTACTGTAGTCTCAGCTAACTTGGGAGGCTGAGGCAGGGGAATTGCTTGAACCCGGGAAACGGAGGTTGCAGTGAGCCAAGATTGCGCCACTGCACTCCAGCCTGGCGACAGAGCAAGACTCTCTAAAAATAAAAATAAATTTAAAAAAAAATTGCCAGAAATGGTGTATTGTTTTCTGATTTGCTCTGTGACTTTGGAAAAGCCAACTATTGTTGCTGTATCTTTTTTTTTTTCTTCTACAAAGGGAAAACAATAACATCCACTCTTAGAGAACACTGTATGAGTTCATTATTTCTTGTTAGAGAGTTCTAAAGAAACAGTGTTGGGATTTAGACTTAAATAAAACATTAGCCCTAAATTATTCTTAAAAAGATGACAAAAGAGTACAACTAATCTGGGGCATTGCAGACACTTGTGAAGGAATGGAAAACATCAGAAATTGTATGTAACGGTTGTCAGAGATTCCTGAGAACCGTCAGGTTTTTTGGAGGACTTTTAAACTTGGAGATTTAAGTGACCTAAATTGAATCTTAATTGTTCTTCCTCTGGAGAAAAATAGTGACACCCAGGTGGGTGGTTGCTCTTTATGATGAGAAAATAAGGTAAGCCAGTCATTCCTTTTAGAAAAACATCCTGTTTTGGTTTTTAGTAACCCCAGGCATTAGGCAAAGCTCAAATGGGTAAATTTGTCTCTAAAGAGCATTTAATTTGAAATTTCATTGTCTTTTGCATTTGAAAACACACACATATTTACTGGGCCTGGGGGTGTCTGTGGGAGGTGGTGGGGAGGAGGAGAGAAGAAAAAAGAAAACACATATACCCGCATTTTTTTTTACTTTCTGTAAGCACACAGTGATGAGGGAAAGGAGTGAGCTAACAGATGGTATAAATCTAGTCACTTCAGACTGATAGGTCTTATCTATTGGCAGTTTTCATCTGTGAGAAGGAAAAATCACTGGTTTTCACTCAGGCAAGGGTGAGCAGGTAGAAATACCCCAAACGTCTTTAAGTGACTTTCTGATGAAAGGAATGTCTGTTGGGTAGTTGCACCATTAGAAAAATTTGTTCTTCAATAAAATATTACTAACTTTAGGAAACCAACATCTGGATTAATGAAGTCTGAGGAGTCTTCATAAAGCCCTCCAGATTTTTTTTTTTATTTTATTTTCACGTTCGCAGTGCAGGGCCTGTTAGCTAACTATTACCAATCATAGATTAGACCTGCTTCAGGGAATAGATAAAATTGTATATTTGCTTATAATTAGTGTGTTTATGGTTTCTAAACTAACTGGTTCTTTAGAACTATTTGGAGAGTCTTTGTAATGCTGTATATGATGTTAACTTAATTTGCATTACAAAAAATCAGAGGTCATATGTAACCTGGGTTGAATGGCTTTTCAGAATACTTTAGAGTTGCCAGGAATCTTTCAGGACATGTGACCCCATCTCCTTTCCTAAGCGATTTCTGTCAGATGGTGGTCCACTTTCTGGGGATGCAGCCCAGCAAGTCCCAGCCTCATTTTTCCTAGCTCTCACTCAAGATGGAGTCACTCTGTTTCAAATGCCTCTGACACAGGCATCACATCAAGGTTCCTGTGAAGAGGAGGTTCACCACACATAGAGGCCATCAGTTCCACTCTTAACACCACTGTACAGTTGGCAGTGTGTCATTGGCATCATATAAATAATTAGGATAAAGAAATTGTGTCAAATATGGAGGAACTGCCCTGTCCTATCCCCAGTCACACCTGTCAAATAACTTATCAGGGTGGTTTGCGTGTTTTACCTACATAAAGCTTAGGTTGATTTTGAGAGATAGGACTAGCTGGATTTCCTAGGCGACTAAGAATCCCTAAGCCTAGCTGGGAAGGTGACCGCATCCACCTTTAAACAGGGGGCTTACAACTTAGCTCACACCCAACCAATCAGGTAGTAAAGAGCTAATTAGGCAAAAAATGGGAGGTAAAGTCATAGCCAATCATCTATCGTCTGAGAGCACAGGGGGAGGAACACTGATTAAGATATAAACCCAGGCATTCCAGCCGGCAAGTGCTACACACTTTGGGTCTCCTCCCTTTGTATGGCAGTTCTGTTTTCACTCTATTAAATCTTGCAACTGCACACTCCTCTGGTCCCTGTTTGTTATGTCTCAAGCTGAGGTTTCGCTAGCCGTCCACCACTGCTATTTGCTGCCGTGGCAGACCTGCTGCTGACTTCCACCCCTCTGGATCCGGAAGGGAGTCTGCTGTACTCCTGATCCAGCAAGGTGCCCATTGCTACTCCTGATCGGACTAAAGGCTTGCCATTGTTCCTGCACAGCTAAGTGTCCGGGTTCATCCTAATTGAGCTGAACACTAGTCGCTGGGTTCCACCATTCTCTTCCATGACCCGCGGCTTCTAATAGAGCTATAACACTCACCGCATGGCCCAAGATTCCATTCCTTGGAATCCATGAGGCCAAGAACCCCAGGTCAGAGAACAAGAGGCTTGCTACCATCTTGGAAGCGGCCCGCCACCATCTTGGGAGCTCTGGGAGCAAGCACCTCCGGTAACAATTTTCCTGTTATCTCTAGTTTCAGGGAGGCTGAATTATGTAATGGTTATGAGCAAAGAATCCGGAATCTTTTGTTAGCTTTGTGACAATCTTCTGACTTTTCATCTCAAAATTTCAATTTGAGATTAAAGATTAAATAATAATAATATCAACATTTACTGCTTATTATGTTTCAGATATTGTTTTAAGCTGTTTGTTTCAACTCTTAAACTTTAAAATATTGTAACCACTTTATTTAAACGTACAGTTTTCTTATCAGTTGGGTATTGTAATTATTCCTTTGTAGAGATAAAAACAAGTCAAGTGAAGAGAAGTCCTTTCACTTGCCAAGATCATAGAGCCAGGAAAAGTCTGATTCGGGACATGGAATTAGGTCACCTAGTTGCCTAGGTCTTTCCGCCAGGATTTACATTTTCAAAAGCTTCAGGAATCAGCTGCACTTTTTTAGGGGAGTGGCTTATTTTGTTCTTATGGTCATATAAAAAATGAAATAAAATAAACCTTTTATTCTTTCATGATTTTATTTTTTAATAAATGATGCTTGTTTAGATGTTCATCTAATTACAATATTGATTTATAAAATTATAAGGTCAGAAATTTTTTATTCATAATTTTCTCCCTTCCTTTTAGCCCTACTTTTCTGCTTGCTTTCTTTCCTCCTCCTCTTGTTCACCTTCCATAATATTTTTTTCATATTCTACTTATGTGCCTTAATCTTTTTCATAAAACTATATCTCAAAATGAAATCACATTTTCATCCCTTTAGCACAATTTCCATTAATTTAAAATTTTTGGAAGTTAAGCATCTCACTAATTAGCTATTTCTTATTATTTTTAAAGTAATAAATCATTTCATATCTTAAGTATTTATGAGTAGGTAGAAATTCCTACCACTGAATAAAGTGTTATACTAGAAAACAAAAGAACAAACAAAAACATACAAAGCATAATAGCAAAATAGTTTTCCTAATGACAGTTTGTATGTAGAATGCCAAGTGTTAACAGCAGTTTTTAATATTCGTATCTAAAACTTAAAAGTTACAATAATAATTATAAATTATAATTTATATTATTTAACATGTTTATCATAATATTTCATTGTTCTACCTTTATTATAGAAGATTTATCGTATAGTAGACTTTTGAGATAATGTTCACATTTAAGTAAGTTTTAGAGTTTTTAAATCATTTTCAAAAAAATTTTTTTCTATATACTGTAATGTCTTCTTCATTAAAAAAAGAGAAAGAGATACTGACTGAAACTGGATGTTTTTCTGATGATTCACATTTATTATAATTAAGAATAAACATACAGTGTTGCTTTAAGGATTCAGCGGTGTTACCTAAAGGAAGCAATGTTTCTGTAGATATGTATTTATTTTCTTTATCTTTTCAGCAAATATTTGCTAACTACTTGGTATATGGCAGGCACTATCCTAAACACAACAGATGCAAGGAACAACAAACTAATAGAAAAGCTTTTGTGTGGATTTTCTTAAGTCTTTCATCAGAATATTTTAATTTTTCTGTTCTTTTCACAGTTATATGGAGTACATGAGTGAAAGAATGTGCTGCACACCTTCTGTATGGCTTTGTGAAAGTCACGTAACTTCTTTGGAACTTAGCTTCTTTATCTGTAAAGGGTAGGTAGGTGTTGGACTTAATCAACATCTCCCAATGACAATCCAGACCCAGGAGGGAACAATATCCGGGTTTTGACTTTATTTCTTCCCATTCATTAGCAAGGAGCTGGGGCTCAGCTCATTTGTTTCTATCTCTCCTTCTCTCCTATACTTCTGATGTCCGCAATAAAAATTTTAGATATCATTCAGATATTTGCTGGAAAAAATCTAGGTGGTTTCTATGGTCCCTTTTGTTATGTAGTATTCCAAAATCTATGGTTTTATATATGTATTTATACATTGATACTTGTGTCATCTGGTAGATTTTATTTTATTATTAACAAAAAATAATTTGTTAAAAAATAACACATTAGGAAAAATAGAAGCAACTTCCGGTAGATAAAGTGTAAGGCTGGGTGCGGTGGCTCATGCCTGTATTGCAAGGCCAAGGTAAGAGGATTGCTTGAGGTCAGGTGTTTGAGACCAGACTGGGTGACACAGTAAGACCCTGTCTCTACAAAAACGAGAGAGAGAGAGAGAGAGTGTAAGGGAGGTGAAATCTGTGGAGGGTAAAGAAATTTGATGTAATTTGATTACCAATAGATTTTTGAGATAAGCCATAAGTGAAAAATTGGTTTGTATTAATGATTTTGATATTTGTTATCTGGTTAGAGTAGGAAAAAATTGTGGACTTAAAATTACAACTCTTATTTTCAGAAAAAAATTATTATTCTCTATCTTGTTTGAAATATGAGTATTAGAAAAAAATTATAATGGATCAAATAACATTTTCTTTGAGCTGTTAGAGTGCATCTAATTTTGAACGTCTAATGTTTCAGTGTATCCTTATGCCTCCATTTTTAGAGTTAAAGATGGATACCAGATGGACACCATCTGTATCTATCATTAATGGACTAATATTTCTCTACAATTAGCTTAAAAATGGGAAATTGGAAAGATAAACCAGAATTTTCAATATAATGTATAATAAATGAACTATTTCTCACTATTTGGAACCAAAATAAAATATATAGCTTGAAAGTTGAGCTAGATGCTACACTGTGTACTACTATAAAAACATAACTAGCAAACATTTCAAGAAAATAAGAATTCATCAGAGAATATAATTTGATGTCATCTTTAGTTACTCGGAAGCTCAAAATCAATCATTTAAAAATATAATTGAAATGGCAAGTAAAGTAACATGATTTTATTCCAAGATGTATGAATAACATTTGTGCTAAGACTATCTCTGTAAAAGCATCCAATAATGGGAAGGGAGAGTCACAAATCTTTCTTAGATATTTTTTCCCTGAAATGATTTGTGTATGACCTCATTGCTCTAAGGAAGATAAAGATAACTGAAATGGCTTCCTGCAAACAAAAATCTACTTACATAATAGAAAACATGTGTTATATAAAGACATATAAACTGTTTTCAAAAAAGTATGATTAAGGAAAAAATGTTTTCAAAACTTGTGGACACTCATCTGATGCCTACATTTCTTCCGTGATAGCCCAATCAAATAGTCATCTATGCAATATTTGAATACTTTCATTGATGTAAGTCCAGGGACTCACATTTGCATAGAAGACTTCTAACCTTTAAAGGTCTATACATAAATTATTGCTTATAGCTTTACCCATTAATTCTTGCTTGGTTTTAGTGGTTACAATAGTAATACAACTAAGCATTTTAAAAGTACCTTTTGAAAGTTTTTCAAAATCCTTTCATCTATGTTCCTTTTATAGTATTTGAGCTGAACATGAGCCTTATAGGATAATTTAGTTATTATTATATCTATTTTTAGACAAGGAAATTGAGACTCAGAGAGACAGTAGTTGGTTCAAAGTCATGTAGCTAGCAAGTAACAGATAATAATCATAAACTTAGATTTTCTGTACCAAATTATTCTACATTATTTTCTACAATACAGTATCATATGTATTATATGTAATTTGGTATTCTATACTCTTTATTCTATATTCTATAACAATTGACTATCATAATACATGTGATACTCTATTATAGAAAAATTCTAATCTTTTTTATGAATATTAGTTTCTCAGTCAGTAACACCTGCTAATGACAATATCAGGCAGTATCATGTTTAATAACTCGAGTTCTGGAGTTATACAGACCTAGGTTTGAAGCGTCAACTCATAATTTAGTGACCTTGGACAAATTACTATACAAGACAAACCTCATTTCTTCATTTACAAAATAAAAATTTTTTAAAAAGCAACCAATCACTGAGTATAGAATTATATAATTTTAACATAATGGAATGCCTGGTACATAGGTAGTATTCAATTAGGGTTAATTATTTTTATTTCCTTATATTATCATTACCATTATTATTATTTTTTTAGCATCTCATCCAGTTTTCACTTCTGTAAACAACATAGCGATTCTTCCTATGATATTATTTAAGTTCTCCTCATAATCCTGATTGTACTTTTCTGGATTGACTTTATCTGTATTATTCTTTAAGTGAGGTGTACAAATACATTACTCAAGTTCTTATCATATTTTTCTTAATGTAAGCAATGAATACATTTGATTAAGAAATTATATTAATTTTTTTCTAATTGTTTGCTTTCAAGACTAAAAGCTCCTTGAGCACTGGGTCATGTTGTATTCTACCTTTTACCTCAAAGCCTAGTAGAAATGCAGGCTGATAATTAGCTGTCAACTAAACTTTATTCACCTGTGTACTACTAGCTCTGGCACACTCTATATTTTGTACATGTTTGTTTGTGGACCTATCAGTAGTGTTTTACATTCATTACTCTTCGATAATATACACTGCTTCAAAATCCTTCAAGTTAATATTTATCTTTTAATCATCCATTATGGTCACTAAGTTTTTTCTGTTTTCCAGCATCTGCAGTTTGCAATGACATCTTTCAAGTAACTGTTTCAAATACAAAGAGTTATCAGTGAAGTCTTGCAGCATATTACTAGAAATTTTCCTCTAGTCTGATATAGATCATTTAATTAATGATATGATTTAAGAAGATATTCACCTACTGTTCTCAAATCTATACTGTTTCACTTTGAAATATTTTCAACTGCCATTAGAAAACTTTATTGAAAAGGAAGAGGTAGAACATGAGGCTGGAACGTTAGATAGAATATATAATATCTTTTTTTTTTGTTAACAAAGTCAAATATTTTTAACTTTATTGCATAGGTATTGGAAAGATTCTTTTAAAATTTACACCTGAAAGTGACTTGATCATATTATTATTTTAGAAATACAACTCTGTTGGGAACATGGAACACAGAGTATTATGAGACTGCAGGCTCAAAGAATATCTGGGAGATTAAAGTAGTCATTCAGAAAAGAAGATATGAGAATTAGAACAAAGGAAGCAAGATTTCTGC
Organism: Homo sapiens; assembly: GCF_000001405.40. Classification (NCBI taxonomy): domain Eukaryota; kingdom Metazoa; phylum Chordata; class Mammalia; order Primates; family Hominidae; genus Homo; species Homo sapiens. The sequence continues at coordinate 44,488,888 of NC_000005.10, forward strand.
ATTGTTTCTAATTATTCACAAGAACTCCTATAAGATATATGTCTACAATTTAAAGATTTAATGAAGCACATAAAAAGATGAATATGCAAAATTCAGCACATTTAAAAATAAGATACTAGGTGATCTAGTGTAAATATGTTTACAATAAAAGTTTCAATGAATGAATTTTAGAATGAAGACTATAAGTTTTTGAAAATTTATGAGATGGTGAAAGTAAATCACATAAGGCTCGTACCAAATATAAACTAAATTGTGATTACCTGCTATGTTTTTCTTAGGAAATGCACTGGTTTCTTACTTGCTTTAAGTTTCTTAATTTTTCTTAAAATTTAAGTATTTGAGTAAATTCCTTATCTGATATTTAATTGCCTTTCTTGTAATCATCAAATTGTTCATACATCAAATTGTTACTCAAATTACATACATCAAATTGTTACTCGAATTTTATAAATCTAAGATTGATTTAATTCATGTTAAAAACTATAATGAATCTCTTAGTAACATCTCACATATACATGTAGTACCCACTGATGACAGCTTCTTAGGAAAAAACATGCATGTTTAACTGAAAAAAATATATTTCATACATCTAGGCAATATTGATACTGATAATAATTATAACATGATTCTAAGCATTGCCTAATTTGTCTGGGTAATACCGATAGTACATTTTTATAATGTTAATATATCTATTAAACAAACAAAAGCAAAATCTTAATAAATTATTGGCTTGACTTAAATTATTTTAAAAGATTACAATGTTGAATCTTAAACATGAGAGAAGTGGAGAGAAATTAAAGGAGACATAAAGAGGGCTTAAAGGTTTAGAGAATGGAAACTGTCAGAAAAGGTAAATCAGTTAATGCCACATGCAAGCCACTCCAAAATTCTGTGACATAAAATAGCAAGCCTTTTTTCCTCTCATATCTGTAAGTCAGCTGAGGTTAAGCTAATTAGTCTTGGTTTAGTGAGAGTTGGTCTAAAGCCACTGGGTGTGTTCAGGTTTCCTCCATGTGCTGCTCATTCTTTGCGTATTGGTGGCCTACCTTAAGTATGTTCTTGTCATAGTGACAGCAGAAGTTTAACATATATTTAAAAATGGTTATTTTCAGCCACATTCCACTGGTCAACACAAGTCATATGACTGAGCTCAAAGCCAAGCCATGCAGTATGAAAAGACAGCACTTCTAGGGGGAGGAATTGCAAAATTACATGTCAAAGTGTACAGATAAGGGAAGGAGGAAATATTGGGGTCAGTTATTCATAAATTAACATAAAAAAAGTTAATTGAAAGTCTGATGATAAAATTTGGAGAAGAAAGAGTCATGGATGAATTCAAATTCAGCTGTTCCTCAATCCAAAACCAATTTCTGAAAAAAATTACTGAGAATTATGTCACATCTAAGAATTCTTTGGATACTCACCTAAGCTATGTGATCCTGTTTCATATCTGCCCCCAGAAACCTCTTCTAAGGCCTCTGCAAGCCTCCAGTGCTGCCAACAGAGGTGCAAGGTCATTAACAAATAAATGAAAAGAGCCTTCAAACTTGAGCTAATATCCGAGTTTACTTTATTCATAGTGACTCTTCATAGTGGGAAAATAACCAAGTTATATTTGATTTTGTAGCTCTCCACCACAGACTTACATCCTCAAGCTTTCCTGCTGTTAGATGAAAGATATCTAAAATTTCCAAAATACGATCGAAGCAGGCCACTCACCTGGAAATGAGTCTATTAGCTTTCTTTTTATATCTTATCAGCAGAGGAGTAGGAAAAGGGAGAATAAGATTAGAAAGCAAGAGGAACTTTATGAAGCTAAGTACATCAGCTTTCAAGGATCTCACTTCTAAATTTAAGTGCTTGCTCTCATGCCTGCCCTACAATGCCTAGAAAAAAGTTCTGTATTTCAAATGACTCCCTGTGATTAAGGTAAAATGTATCCTTTTTTTTTTTTTGAGATGGAGTCTCGCTCTGTCGTTCAGGCTGGAGTGCAGTGGCATGATCTCAGCTCACTGCAAGCTCCACCTCCTCCTGAGTTCATGCTATTCTCCTGCCTCAGCCTCCCGAGTAGCTGGAACTACAGGCGCCTACCACCAAGCCTGGCTAATTTTTGTATTTTTAGTAGAGACAGGGTTTCACCATCTTGGCCAGGATGTTCTCAATCTCGTGACCTCGCTATCTGCCTGCCTCGGCCTCCCAAAGTGCTGGGATTACAGGCATGAGCCACCACGCCCAGCTGGTAAAATGTATTCTTATGTTGTTTATTTCCATTCAGGCGATTAAGATCATGGAATGGTAGGGTTGGGACTAGGGATTCTCATATTCTTGAATCTCTACTAGTGATATTTAATTCAATGCCTCTCCTTCCCATTCTCAGGGTCCCATGACTTGTATTGGTCACTCTCCCTTAGTCTAAATCTGGAGCCCAGAAAAAAAAAATTTTCTACAGTCTCCAGAATTTCTTATTTTGGCCACTTAAAATCATAATTAGGGGTATGTGTAATAAACCAGGACTAATATGGGTTGCAAATAAAGTGCTTTTATTAATATTATCAGAGGCTTACACATCTTGAGAAATGGCCAAAGACAACCAACCACAGAAGCAAAAGAAATAAGCTAAAGTCCTGGCACTGTCCTCTGGGACAGAATATTTTCCCTTCTGTGATGCTGTGTTACTTATTTTTCACTGGGAAGTTGAAAAATGAAACTTCTTCCCCTATGTAACTTCACCAAGCTTCTTTGTAATTATCCATAATTCAGAATCTGAGTAAACTTTAAAAGGAGGAAGAGTAATAGTTGTCATAACAGGAGTGGTTCTTGTTTAAGACTATATCATGCTTGTATTACAGATTTGAGAGGTATTCCATTTTGCGGACACCAAAACTTGTATCCTGGGGGAAAAAATAATGAGTGACATATATTATTGATATCAGCTAATTATATCTTGTGCTAAACTATAACCTAAAGTTTAGAAAAAGGATTAAATAAACAGATTGATCACATATTAAATTTGTTAATACAGATGAATATATTTGTTAATATATATGAATTAACATTGAATATATTTGCTAATATATATATAAATATATGAATGTTGCATAGAAAAATATGTTAGAATATTGTAATTTTATCTTTTGGTGACAAATATTCCATATTTATTAAATCAGTGCTATTTCCTCAGTTCCATTAGGCCAGAAACTATGTGTTTGCATATTAGTGGTGAGTGGCTAGCTTCCCAGTCATGTTTAGCTGAAGCTCTTTTAAGACTCTCTACCTAAAGACCCAGAATCATGTAGTTCCTGAGACAAACTGATAGCAGCAGAAGACAGACAAATTCCTAGACAGACAAGTATGGGTCCCTTGTGAAACCTGGCCTTTAAGCCAAAGACAGCCCGAAGACTGAAAACCGAACTGCTGGTTCTGGATAGAGTCCAGTGTGACAACTTCTATTCTTGTTTGCCCACTGTTTCCTGATTGGTTCTTTCTGAATAATGCTCTTTAACCAATGGAATGTTGCCTTTTCCAAAGGCTACCTATAGCCTGCATCTCCTCATTCCTGGACTCAGCTACATAGATGGCTACCTGCTTTCAGGCCCCCTCTCACACAGAGGGCTACCCACTTCAGGTCCCCTGTCATTGTCAGGAGCTTCTCTGTCACTCAATAAAATTCTTCCCTGCCTCGCTCACTCTCTGGTGTCCATGCAACCTCATTCTTCTTGGTCATGGGACAAGAACCCAGAACCCACCAAATGGGAGGTGCAAAAAGAGCTATAACACTGTAACCCTCCCTCTCACTCACCAAGCGACAGGGGAGAAAAAGCTGCTGGGTGCCCCATGCCCCCATTTGCTGAGCTGCAGGCAGCAGGACAGAAAGAGCTGTGACACACCCCTGTTCGCTGAAGCTGTAGGCAGTGGGAATGAACGAGAGCTGTAATACTTCCTGGGTTCTCAGATCTTGGGACTCCCCAAGCAGAAGCTGTAACACCTCTTGGGGTCTGCGGTTGCTGGTGTCTCCAAGTTTTCAGGCGCCACCACATCCCCCTTTGTCTGAATGCCAGCACTCAGCTACAGAAGCCACTTACAGCATGCCTGGTCCCGCTGTAAGCTGAGCATGGGTCCCATGGTGATCGTGGGATTTGGGCTGGGGAGTGAACAGAGCTCAGCCTGCTGGGCCAAGTGGGCAGAGCAAGCCCAGCAGACAAAAGTGAAGCCGAGGCAGAGGTGCCACCAGCCACAGAGGTTTCCAACTGGTGAAATGGCATTGAAAGAATTCTGTGTCAAAACCTAACCTGAGAAGAGAGGAGCAATAATAAAATAATAATAACATATTTTTAGTGGATGTTTACAGCAATGCTGAGTGTTTTCATTTCATTCAGTCATATCCTTGTTGTCCATTTCACAAGAAACTGGGTTGCAGACAACTGATCTAACTTGTCCAATATCACATAGCTAGCAATTGGTGAGGCAGGAAGCTTGCAAAATCATACTCCTCACCATTATGCCATCTTGCCTCCTAACAGGTGAGTTGAAGAGTACTTTTGCTAAAGCCTGGTATGTTTGGGATATTATATGTCACTTGTCTTTAGACATACTGATGCCTAGTGCACATTGCTGGATTCACCCTTTTGCTTTATGAAAGGTATTGCAGTTCCATTCTAGTTCTAAACCTAACCTAATTGAAATCTTGAAAATCTTCCTATTTCTGCCAAGGTTATTTGCCTTGGGAGTCCCACTCACTAGACATTGCACACCTGGGCACTGGTTTGAAAGAAGCTCAAGTTAGCCTTTCTGTTGGCATATTTTAATTTGAGTGGCTGACTACTCCCAGAGGAGTGTGTCCCAGAGTGCGACCTGTCTTCAATGGTTTTCTCCCTTTTCTAAGATAACCACTTAAGTTTTATTACAGTAAGTCCTCACAATGTCATCAGTAGGTTTTTGGGGACATCAACTTTAAGCAAGTTGTTGGAAATCAAGGGTGTCCAATCTTCTGTCTTCCCTGAGTCACACTGGAAGAATAATCGTCTTGGGCCAAACATAAAAACTAACACTAATGATAGCTGATGAGCTAAAAAATAAAATCACACAAAAATTTCATAATGTTTCAAGAAAGTTAGCAAATTTGTGTTGGGCTGCATTCAAAGGAGTCCTGGGCCACATGTGACCCATGAGCTGTGGGTTGGACAACTTGAATGAAACCCGCTTTACCACAGGCTAATTGATATAAACAAGAGTGAAGTTCCAATGTTATATTTCTGGTCACAAAAACATATTAAACTTCTAAATAAAGACCCAAAACACTTTTAATATTAAACATTGAAATAATTGTGATACATCCATACATTTAAGAAATGTTAATGAAAACGATAAATATTTACCCAATTTTTGGTGAATCAGTGAGCGATGGTAGTTGTAGTGATGGTGTGTTAAATCAAGGAAGAAATGTTAGCAAAGCAAAAACTGTCAGGAGCATCTCCTTCAGAAACAACAAATACAGTGGGCTTCCTGAGCACTTTCTTACTGCATTTTTTGTCATGCATTTATATGATTACCATAGATTTTATGAAATTTTATTTTATAATAATTTGTATTCATTCATTTTCCAGCCTGCTTATTCCAGTTTAGGGTCACCAGTGTCAGATCCTCTCCCAGCAGCTCAGGGTGCAAGGTGGGAACTGCCCTGGACAGGAAGCTATCTCACTGCAGGGGGCACCCACACACACCCCAACACTCACTCACATTGGAACCATTTAGACACACCAGTGAACCTCATGTGAACTTCCTTGGGATGTGGAAGGAAACCAAACTACCCAGAGAAAACCCATGTACACATGCAGAGAACATGTAGACTCCACACAGACAGTGGCCATGACCAAGAATTAGTGATTTTCTTCTCATCAAAGTGATCATAAAATGACTTTGAATGAAATGGTGTTATTTGAGGACTTGCCCTATCTCACAGCTAAGTCTATTTGAATTGTGAGAGAAATAGGTCTGGTATGAGCCATCTACTCTCTTATTATTCACTTATCGCCAATAAGAAGCATCTTAACTGAGATGGTTGGAATAGCTGTCCTCAGTTCCATCCAGGATTGAGCCTGTGATATCTTTGTTAGCATTATATTATATTCCAAAGTTTCTAAATTCATTACTCAAAACACTAACAAATCTCAATCAGTTGTTGGTTGCCACATTATTCAAAATACTGATAGTTGTGAATGACTTACTTTTTATTCTATAAATTAGGTCATAGCCAATATTTCAGTACACAAACATTATTTTTATTCATTTGAATCCCAATATGTTTTCTTAAATTGTAGGAAAAACCGGTAGCATATCAGTCAGCAAACCAGAAATTATATCTTACTGCTACATCTCATAACTACATCTTACTAAAACACAAACATTCATAATATGTAGTATACTATCTCTAAAATTACATAGGTTTTGTGTACATTTCTTCTAATTGATCATGTCTGCTTATTTTCCTCTGGATTAAGGATCAAGGAGATAGTATATTAGATGATTTGATAAATTTCCAATGCTTTGCAAAGTAGTTGAACAACTTTTTCTTTGTGATGCTAGGTGGCACTACTAGTCAAGACTTGGTATTTCATAGCTGGCTTTCTTATTCTGAAGGTTGTAAAAAGACATATGAAGTAATATTTAACATTGAAAACATGATAATCAATTTGATTATCTATGAATTGTCCTAAACGTTCAGAGTAAAGTTTCCTTTAAAGTTAAAATCTTTCAAGTGAAGGAAATTATAAAGTCACATGTAAACACCAAAATAAGAGGAATAGAGCAATAGGATATTTTTGGCTTTATAATTCAATTTAAAAATTAAGGTGCATTTATTTTTTTGGCAGCTGGCCATAAAGCTTCAATGTCCAGTAAGCAGTTGCTCTGAAAAAGAAAACAAAAAGGAAATATCAGTCTGTAGATTTCAATGCTCCCAGATACAAGTGTTTTTACACCACCTAAAATACTTCTTCAGAGTATTGTCACATACCCGTTCTCTTAAATCCTATAATCATTATTAAAAAAAAAGCTGTAACTTTCTCTTATTTTATCAAGATTTCACTGCATGAAAGCATTATCCCATTTTCAGGCAATTTATATTGCTACATGTCTATGGAAATGAGTATTTTTTTTGGTAAATGGCAATAGGTAGTAGTTTACACTCAAGGAGAATTAAAAATCTGTGATACAGAAATGTAGGATCCTGAACTTCTTTCAATGCCACATAAAGATTTGCATCTTGAATATATTCGTCCAGTGTTATTGTCTGTTCCTTCTCCATGTTTGGTTAGTATCAAATATGTCTTTTGTTTATTGTATAGTAAGCTTACAAAGAAAAGGCAAATTATCAGCCATTTATGCAGACATCGAAGTCCCATGTTTTAACGTTTGGATCATCCAAACGGAACCTACAGCATTCTGACCATTAGCTGGGTCACTAGCTAGGCACTGAGGGCCTCACCTGGGTAACTCGAGAATCTCCTCAATCTGGCTCTTTGATTTGGCTTTCACAGGCCAGTACTTTTTATTTCTTCTCATCTGTCTGCTATCATGTTAACAAGCTAAGGCATCTCTCAGCAGCTCATTGACTACATATAAAACGAGATTAGAATTTCACCAGCTAAAGAATGGCTTACTTTCGGGGCTTTAGCTTGAGACGAATATTTGTGTGTGCCTTGGTGATCAAATAAGGAAAAAAAAAGACCCAAATACAAATCAAACACACAAGTAAAACCCATAATTGTTGCCACAAGAACTACTTGCTCAAGTTGGCTAAGCCTAATTGAAAACCCAGATAAATTCCAAACCAAAAAACCTAGCATTTTTCATGTTACTGACATATTATGGCTAGACTCATCTAAGTGTTGTTGCAGCACTAATAACCGTTATCTAATTTATATTTTGTTAATATGAACCTTGGTTCAAGAAAAGTCAATTAATGATGTTTGTAGCTGCTGGAAGACTGCCTTTAAAAAAATTAAAAAGAGAATTTATAACAAATAGGTGAAATACGTGATCACTGAGTTACTGAGGTGGATATTGTATTAAATATGGCATGGTTCCTGGAGATTTGGGGAAGTTCTGGAGGCTTTTTTTTCCAATATAAATAAAACTTTCAAAAAAACTGAAAGACAATGTTGTTTATTGTGCAAGAACAGTCAAGACTACTTAAATGGGATATTGTGACGAAGTGCTGCCAATTAATGCTGTATCTAATCTCAAATACATGCAAGACTTTTATCCTTCTTAGTAGGCTGACCAAAAAGACTAAAAGAAGTTGTCTTAATTATGTTTATATTTTCAAGCCACATTTTCCATATACAATTAAGCTATTTAAAATTCTGCAATTGAAGTACTTGTCTTTAATGATAAGGTCTGGGTTTATTTGATTAAAATGTGATTTGGCATAGTTGCATGACTGACATTTTAATTAAGAAAATTACATTTGTTTTTTTTATATTTGTCTGTATTCTAACTAGTTGTTTTATCAGTTACGCATGACACATAAACACATTCTGAAAATTAGTTCACTGGATATTTCTTATCCTGCAAAATTTAAATAGCAGAAAGACATAGACTATGTGTAAATAATATATGTGTGTATTGGCTTGCATGTGATAGGAAGTTAGATAAATAAAGCGACTTTAATGTACTCTATTTATTATTAATTAGTGCAACACAAGAACTTAAATAGCCCAGGCCATTTTAGGAGGAATAAAGATGTTTTTAAAAGACTAGCAGACCTGTAACAAATCCTATTTCTCCGTTATACTAACTGCTTTTATTGCATTTAAATCCTTGCTAGTGCTGAAAGGTAAAAGCAAGCTAGGAAGCTGCATGACTGAGAAAGCCAAACAACTCTTAATTTTTTTTTTTCATTTTCCAGTCCTATGCCTTGAGAATTTGCCATCTGGATTGCATACTGTAGTCAGTGTTTTAGTTCTTGATGTTTTAAAACAATAGCACTGTAGCATTTTAACATGTAGTTTCATGATAAAATAAATGTGTCATGCATTAAATTATGCAGGCATATATTTACAACTCCTCATGTGCCCAAAGAACATAGTGAGGACAGGAGGACAGTCACTTGCTGGTTTGGTATGATACACCACAGTGTAGGGTTGATAATGTATAATGCATATATTATCAACCCGGCATATATTAGTATTTAGGGGAAAATATTTCAGAAAAAATACACCATATTTTGCTTTGATTTGGGCTTTCTCAAGGTTAATTATCATCCAGGGGACTAAGATGCTTTATTTCTCTTCAATACGTTAATCTCAGGGGTACTTGCCTGAGGTTGAACTGTTTTTGATTAACTCTATGTGATAATGAGAACCATGAAAATAGCCTTGTATAGGGAGTTCCTTCTTTCTGATGTTACATATAAAACTGCGGAAGTCTTACAATATTTAACACTGAACTTTTTACTTTTTTCCCTTTCTGCACCCAGACCTCAAACTAATCATGAAAGTGTGAGGAATGATTTTATCTAAAATCATTGCTCTTTTGTAAGGTGTGCCTAATTGAAGAGTTCAACTAGTTTTACTGGGATTAAAAAAAAAAAACACATTCTAATGAGAGTTCAAGGAGATTTTTTTGTGCTCTCCAAGGACAGACATGGAGTCAGGTCAGCAATTGTGGACCTACACTTCCTTTCTTATCATAATCTGCATGTTTTTAGCTAATCGCTAATGACTACTGGTGTTTCCTCCAAGTTCTATATTTATAATAGAGAGACAACTGACTGGATAAAATTGTCAAAGTTGTTTGAGGATGGCTCTAAAAATATACATTTTTTCCTTCACAAACTACATAATAAGATTGTAGATAAAGGGAATTCTTATCTTCTATTTGATTTTACTTCTGTTTTGATGAGCTCATCTTGATGCTGACTTTTATCAAATGAAATGGTTAATGAGCTCATTGTCCACATTAATCTGTGAACATAATCACAAAGAGGCCTGAACATATCTAGAGCCGCCTACAACCTTTCCACCTCTTAATTTATTCTTTGCAAATTTATATCTGAATCCAAATGGGAAAGATAATTTATAAACAAATTTGTAAGATTATTGCACTTTCAAGAAGCTAGCACTTTATATTACATATTCTCTTCAATTCAGTTTTCTTCACCATTGATTGGAGCAATTTTATTAATAAAAAATGTTTATATCCAATGGACTTGGACATAATAACCTATGTGTTGTTTGATGTTTTTCAGGTTGTAAGAATAAATTCACTTTCCACAAATGGTTTGTTGGAAAGGTAGCAAGAGAAGACAAGGAAAATATCTCAAATGTCTTAATGAGGCATCACAGATACCTGTAACATCTTTCATTGCCATTTAGTTAAAAAAAAATTAGGATTTATAGTTCAAGAGCACGTCTGTTGACTCAACAGCAATTCTATTAGCTATTGCAAAAGCATTGAGCCACTTCTCTACCTTTATTCAACCAGTTTACTCAATTGCCAGCTAACTCTATCTTTTTTTCTCTTTCTCTCTCTTAAGTGGGGAAAAAGAGATTCTAACTGGTTTGGCTGGTCACCCAGAGTAGACAGACACATTGGTCCGAGTCTCCCTCATACTCTCCCTGCCATATGGTTGCTTTGACTTATTTCCCATGTCTATTCCAATTAGCTGTAGTCTGGGCAGACCACACATGGTAAATTTAAGAAAAAAAAAAAAGCAATTCAGGCATAACAAACACATCAGACAGGCTATGAGCATGCAAAAATGCCCATGAGTCTGAGATTTCTCACAAGACTGCTATATAACTGGCAGATGATTTGTGTGGCCTGACCATGCATTTGGATCCAGAGAAATAAATGTTTGTTTCATGTTATTATAAATTTTACTATTTTGGTTGCCCAAAGTATAAGAAATAACTATTTGAAAAAATAATATTCAGTTAATGAGAATACATATTATAAGAAATGCAAAACTCATTTCAGATTTAAAGGTACTTGAAATGCATAATCACTTCCCCTCATCAGTTGAGTGCCATAAAGTACTAGTATTCATAAAATTCAATTGCTGAGACCTTCTAATGAAAATTGACATAAGCCTGCATAATTGGATCCTTTAATTTCCTTGAAGAAATACATTTAAAAGAAATTGAATCATAATTGAATAAGCTAATTCTAGCAATTAAGTGGTTATTTAATGGGCTATTTCCTATATAACACAACAAATGAAACATTTTTCAAAAGGAAGGAAAGTCATGAAAATGCTTGCAGACACAAAAGAATAATAAAGTTTTTAACTACAAAGCTAATAAGCTAGATAAACTGATGTCATGCTAAGGAAACCCATCCTAGTTCACTAAAGTCTAACATCTGAAACCATTAAGTGATCCATCCCTTTCCACTACCACAGTACAAAAGTGCTAAGTTATAGGCATCAGATGAACTCCTCACACATTTAGGCTAAACTTTGCTTGAAATGTCACCACACATGTCTAAAGACAGAATATTTTCTTTCAAGAGTGTTTGTGAAAACTCTGATTATATTTATATGCACATACCATAAATGTATACATAATTTTATTTACTTTTTTAAATAAGTGAGTATCTTAAAAGGAAAATCAGATCCAATAGCTTTTTGACAAATAAAAGTTGTACTTACATCTATGATTCATGAGATCATGGGGTTCCAACACCACTGCTGATATTACTGTCAGTAATATTAAAACCGCTTAACTCTTGGAGATCAAATTAACTAGTTTATATTTTGCTTCTGTGTAAAAAAAATTGTAAGAATTAATATTTTGAAATATTTAATACCAATTTAGCACTGATTTCTTTTTTAAAAAACCATTGAAATACACAAACTGATGATTTAGTGAATATTTAATGTTTCCATAATATCAATCCTGGACTAATAAACAGCTGCTTCTATTTTTATGTACACGACATATTTAGGTCTAGTCTCTGATTATTGTGAAAACATTGTGATTTAGAATAACCTGGCTACAAAGTCTTAATTTTTGTTGCATCTTTGAAATTAAATGTTATTTTAAAGCTTTATTGGATTTGTTATTTTAATGAATTAATTACTTTAAATTTTACTTTTTGGGCAATAAGCACATAAAATGGAGAAGCTGCAGAGATAAGACATGGTATACAATTTTAGTACCGAAAATATACTCTTTTAGAAATATTTACCATTTAGAAAAATTTTTGAAAATAATGACAAGAACAAGAAATGTGTTTTTGTAGTTATTGAAATTGTATCATTTCTACAAATATAATCGTCTGAACAGTTTTGACTTACTATACAGTACTGTCCTATATAACTTTTTGCAATGATAAAAATGCTGTATGTCTGCATGTCCCAAAACACTAGCCACTAGTCAAATTTGACTTAAAATATGGCTAGTTCAACTGAGGAACTGAGATTTTAATTTTATTTTAAAAATTAACTTAAATTTGAATAGCATATGGCTAGTGACTACTCTATTGGACAACATAATATAGAATATTGGCTCAATAAAACTGATATTTCCTTAGCATTGACCTTGATTATTACTAGGAAGAGTGAGATGCTACTGTATTTTCTAAATATATTTTTGGAAACCAAAAAATTAAATATGAGGAAACACTTGTGCTTAGGTAATGTAAGAGACACTTCAACCACACTATTGTGGACATTTTTTGTCAGTAGACAAAATTTGTAACTACTGATGTACAAAATGATGTCTGTAATTCTTGTGGAGTTTCCTCTAAGGCTATTACCAGGTGCACTCTAATTTGCTCTTTAAACGCCCAGTCAAGCCTTTAGAAACAGTAAATATGCAAAATATGTTACTGTGAACTGACTATGCAACATGAAATCCAATACCCTGAAAAGATTTTTCAGTAACTCATGCAGTTCTAAACAACAAACTACATTTTAAAGCAAAACCCAGAAATCAACCTGTATCTGTATACAGTCCTGCAAAATTAATGTAGGCAAGTGTTTCTAAATACCACAGTTCTTCATTCCAGTGTGTTAATTCATTAACTTCAGAATAATAATTCAGTGTCAATACTTCACAGCCAAATTCAAATTGCTGTATTAATTCTAACTCCTTCTATACCTGATTACCTCCCTTTTTCCTCTCTTTTCTTTCCAGAACGCTGGTTTTCTGTGCAGGCCCCATTAGCCTTTCTCTTTGAATACATTATTGCTCCCTGGTTTCCAGTAAAGGCTCCTGGTTTCTGTGTTTCTAATCAAGGTCTCCATTAAACAGTCACAGAGGTTATTGTTTGGTTATGTTTGTAGTTAGTAGCTCTTAGCTTTATCTACTTAGTGGTGGTTTACAAATTCCTGCTAATGCTAAATTAGAACAGTAATTTCTGGTGGCTTCTACTCTTATTTTCCCTTTCCCCTTCCCCTATTGCAGATCAGAGATAGGGGCGGAGGGAAGGAAAACCACTGAGAGGAGATGAAAACCTTTAACAAACTCATCCTGTGGGACAGTGGATAAGGAAGATCACAGTTGTTTGGCCTGGGGATCTGGATCTTATTAATGTCACCAGTCTTCCCCGATTCTCAGTGGCAGAAATCTGAATTCTTTCTGCTGTCAATAGGCCTTAACATTAACTGAAGTTCACTAAACTTTCTGTAACTAAATGAATTGAAGGTTGCTGAAATTGTCCTCTTTCTTTTAAAAGTACAGTGAATGGAGTAGTGTTAGTATCACCACCATGTTGCTGTTGATGTCCAAAAACTGACAGATGCCAAAGCATGTCATTTGGGTACCCCTTCTATCAGTCATAACCTGCTTTTCTAAATTTGAGGTTTAAACATGTAGTTTTGTAAAGCAATAGAAGAGATGTGCTATAATATATTTTCTGCATTGTTGTTTGCTCTTGCAGTCTGACTTAGAGCAAACTTCTGCTTTTGCGATTTAGTTGATTCCACAGATATTTCAAAAATAAATAATGAATCAGAGTGAAAGGTAAAGGGTGTTAAATATTATATATGAGGAATGAGCTTTTAATTATTCTCTCATAAAACATTTAGTGTATTAATAAAAATAAATTTTCTTTTTTTCCTTTTTTTCTGGGATATTTTCCTTTTTCAAAAATTATAGCAATGGACAGAGAATAATATATGAATACAAATGAAATAATTCAATTTAATTATTTTCATGTATAAAGGCGAACCTCAAACTTAGTCAAATGCAACTGGTTAATGGGGTATCAATATAGCAGCTAATACTTACAAAGTACTGACTTCATGCCCCCACTTTACATATATTAGCTTATTTAATACTCTTTCCAACTTCATGAGGTAGGTACTAGTATTAGTTCCATTTTTTAAATAAATAAATCAAAATGTCAAGATGCTAAGTAATTTGTTCATGATCACACAGCTGGTAAAAGCTGCAAGCTGATTTAACCCAGGCAATCTAGCTCCAGTATCTGTTGTAGTATTTTTAATTATGACACAACATTCTGTCTCTTTCAATTAAAAAAAGATTTATCTCTTGTTACTTTCAACTCTGCTCTATTACATCCCAATCCCCTTTACTATATATTGATATGTTGAATAATTTTATAACTCTCTGGTGACTTTTGGTTGTTAAAATTAGACTACACCTTCCCAAGTACGACAGAGGTTATGACTAAGAGGGCTCAGAAGAGAGGAGCTATGGCCTGGCTCAGAGATATTTTTTCTCTTTCTTTTTTTTTAAGGCTTGTATTCTCTATTGAGGGAGGTGAAGATGAGGAAGAGGGAGATAGAAATCTCTACTTTAATTTGGTATGCACTTGTGGTGTCCCTATAGGTGGTGTTGATATGGACAGGAGGCAGGGAAATACTGGGTAGAAGAGGGCTGATCTCCTACAAAGGCCCCACCCTCAAGCCTGGAAACCTGCCGCCTTAAGTAAGAACAGGCATTCCTGTTTTCATGACCAAAAGTTGTCTTTTGGCCTGCCACGCCCCTCTATCCTGTACCCATAAAAACCCCAAACCCCTGGCTCCATGAGGAGATGAACAGAAGAACAGAAAAATGGCAGAATGGCACGGCCTAGAGGAGTTCAGCTGGGGAGGTTGGAGAGGAGATTGGCCGCTGGATGGCCAAACTCCAGGAAAAGATTATCTTCTCACTCCCATCCCCCTTCCAGCTCCCCAACCATCCCACTGAGAGCCACTTCCACCACTCAATAAAACACTTGCAGTTATCCTTCAAGTCCGTGTGTGACCTGATTCTTCCTGGACACCAGACAAGGACCTGGGTACCAAGAGGTCACTGAGCTAGTTAACGCTTAAGCCATCTGCAGATGGCAAGGCTAAAACAGCGCACTGTAACACATGCCCACTTGGGCTTCAGGAGTCGCAGGCTCCCACCCCTGGATGCTGCTGTGTGGCCAAAGCCCAGGGGTACTCACCCCAGTTCCTGCACCTTCTGTCTGCATACTCCTTGTCTCATAAGGGGTTTGAGTATGCACTCCAGCTGAACAGATGAGCCACACTCCTGTCACATATCCTGCAAGGGGGTCAGGGAACTCTCCCATTTCAGCATGTGTGATTTTCCAGTGGTGGTGTTCAGAAGTGTGTCTCCCAATGGCCTATAATAGTAAAATGTGCAAAGGGAGAAATAAATTAAAGATGGAATTTATAACCAAAAGAGAACCAGAACTTAAAGAGTTGGAAAATTATCAGCCTGGTCATGTAAGGAATGAAAAGGCAAAGCATGTTGGAGAGAAAAAATCCAGGATGTGGCCAAGCAACCACTTAAGGAGATTGGTATGGATTAAAAATAAAAAAAGGAAGCCAGATGCTATTCATGAAAACAATGGAAGCATGACCCCAAAGATACTTCAGAGATCTTCAGGGCTGACACTCCCATCAAAGGCCCAAAGTGCCAGGGCTTTGAGGGCAGAATGGATTTTGAGTGTGGGGCAGGGGCATCCCAGGGCACCTATAGGACCTCAGGGCTTATTACCCAGGGCTGTCTGAAGTCCCTATTCCCCAAATTCTGGTGCAGCTCTCCTCAGCTGCCCCAGCTGTGGTTCAAGCAGGTGCATGTGTGGCTTAGGCTGCTGCTCCAGAAGGCACAAGTCATAAACCTTGGCAGTGTCCTGTTGGTGCTAATTCTGCAGGTTCGCAGAGTGCAAGAACTGTGGGGGCATCTTTACTTCCACCTAGATTTCACAGGATATTTCAGATAGCCTCGGGGGCTTGGCAGAGACTTGCTGCAGGGGTGGGGCTGCCACAGAGTGTCTCCACTAGGGCAATGCCCAGAAGAACTGAGGGGTGAAGGCCACCAAAGATAGTTCCCACTAGGGCAATATTTACTAGAGTCATGAGGCAGGGCTGCTCCTGAGATTTCAGATCTGTAGAGCCATTTACATGCAATGCTAGTCTGAAAGAGCCACAGACACCTGACTCTAACCCATGAGAACAGCAGCAAGGGCTATGCCCAGCAAAGCCATGGGGGTGGGGTCCCTCAGATCCTTGGAGACTCAATCTCCTCCCAGTATGCCTGGAAGTTGGGACATGGAGTCAAAGAAGATTATTCTCAACCCGTGATATTTAATGATTTTTGCCCTGTTGCGGTTTAGACTTACTTGTAACCTGTTACCTTTTTTTCATCTTGCTTATTTTTTTTTTCCTTTTTGTAATGAGAATGCCTATCCAATGCCCATTCCACCATTGTATTTTGAAAGTACATAACTTGTTTGATTTCACAGGTTCATAGCTGGAAAGCAGTTTGCCTCAGGATGATATCTAGGTGAGACTCTGGACTTTAGACTTTAAATTTCATGCTGGAATGGGTTAAGATCTTTGAGGCTTTGGGATATAATGAATATATTTTTTACATGAGAAGGACACGAATTTTGAAGGGCCAGAAATGGAATAATATAGTTTCAATATGTACCCTCCAAAATTCAGGTGTTGCTTACATGATAGCATTAACAGCTCTTCAGAAATGCAGATGATTTTGTATGTTGATTTTATATTCTGCAACTTTGCTGAATTCATTAGTTCTAACAGTTTTTTTTGTGTGTGTAGCATCTTTAGGATTTTCTACATATAAAATTACATCACCCCTTGATAGAGATAAATTTACCTCTTCCTTTTCAACTTGGATGCCTTTTATTTATTTTTCTTGCCTAATATCTCAAGTTAGAACTTCCAGTACCGTGTTAAATAGAAGTGTTGAAAGCAGGAATTCTTGCCTTATTCCTGATATTAGAGGAAAAGTTTTCAGTCTTTTATCATTACATGATGTTAGTTGTGGATTCTAGCTATTTTTAAGTATTATTACACCATGTCTCAATCTCCTTCTAGTTTGAAATCATGGTACAGTAAGTCTATTTCACTTAAGACATTTTTCTATTGAAAAAGCAATTTACTGGAATGCATCCTCTCCCTTTTTGCAGACGTTTAGCTAGTATGGGACTAGAAAAGCATTAGAGTGTGTTTGCTTCAATTATACCCCTGTCTTATTGTTGATGTTCCACACCTCACCTTCCCAAGGCTAATTAACTACTAGATGCCCTTCGTTCACCACCACTTCCTTCCTTTGGGTCCAAATGGGAGTATCATTTTCCTCCTTTGGATTATTTTATGTTTTATTTGGCCATACTTCAGACACACATACTTGGCTTACGTGGCATTAATTTGTCCCCACTGATATACAGTAAAATAAGTTAGCACCTACATTTTGCATCCTTAGTTGATTAAGTTTTGTGAGTGTGGGGAATTCAGTATTTTGCAAACAGTAGGCTTCAGTAAATGTTGACTGAAGACTGGCTGAAGCCTGTGAAGTAATTTTATTATCACAGCAATTACATCTCAACAGTCATCAACAAATGCTGCTACTTAGGACAGTAGCATTTCACAGCTGCTAATAAGATCTGTGAGACAGCACAGCTGTTGACTATCGCTGGGGATAACAAAAACATTCCAGTAAGAGCAGGAGGCAGGAAAGAGAGCAAGTGCAGCGAAAAGAAAATATAGATCTGCTTCTAATTTTAGAAGTATTTTAAAGAAGATATAATAGGAGAGCACTCAACGTTTTTAAAAGCAGCAACTGCAACAAAATTAAGCTAAAAATAAAAATTGAATTCACTTATTTTAATGTCTGAAATGCCTTCCTTTATTTTAAAAATCTAAATTATGAAAACTTCATAAAATAATTTGTTAGAACTAAAATAAAACAAATTTAAGTAAACTAAAGTTATATATTATCTAAAGCTATAGGACCAGAATATCACAACCTCCAAATATTTTCTAAAAAAAGTCAAATTTTTTTCAAGTCACCATAGAGAAGTAACTCACAACAGTATGTAAGAACAGCAGCCTGGTTTTCCTTTTGGTAATACAGTCACTGATATAATGAATATTTAATTTCTTAAAAAAGAAAAGAAATAGCACCAGCTTTGAGCCAAATCATTCTATTTAGAAGTCAAGGATCAGTAACTGTAAAAAATGGCGGTTACTCTCTAATCTTGTTATTAATTTCAATGAAGCCTTCAAACACATGTTTCTAAGGAAAATAAAAGAGGAATCAGTTTGAGAATAACAGGTTGGGAGTGATGCAGATGACCTGAACATTTTCATTTACATTGCATTATTCCAAAGCAATGATTTTTAAATGTATTTATGGAAATATCTGAGAATGAGTTTAATAATGTATTAAGCTATTGGACATTCTAAGAGCTTTTTATCTTGCTAAAGAGAAGAATTAGTAAGTGTAATTCATTTTTATAGTAACATATGTCATGGATTGTAGCATTTTTAGCATTTGTTAAATGGAGCCATGTTATTACCTTTACCTAGTTTTAGAAAGGATTTTCCCCATAAGTGGCCTCTTGATAGGGGGAGAGTCTATGAAGAAGACAGAGTGCTTTCATTCAATCACATTTCACAGAAAATTCCAAAATGGCCACAATAATTTTCTCTTTTCTTTTCAGAAGGTAATTGAACAAATAAAGTTAAACTTCATGAGTTGTCACAAAGATGGAAGTTGTGCACTGATATCTCAATGACTGTGTTTCCTGGAAAGATGACTTTTGTGGAATAGGATTAAATCTTTCACAGTCTAACATAGGTTACATGCAAGATAGTCTTCACAGCATCCTATGCATAAACAAGTAAATGATGCTTTATTAAAATTTTAGCACTTTTATCAATAAGCATTTCAGTTGTTCAGAGGCAATTCTTCTAGTTTCTGTTCACTTTCTGAGAATCAAAGTGACATATAAATGACCACATGGAGTTATATTTTTCTGTATTGGTTTCTTGGAAAGTTTTTTTTTTCTGCTCTTTACTTTATTAAAGGGAGAAAAATGAGGTAGCATAGAATTGTGTGAGGAGGCCGGGTACGGTGGCTCACGCCTGTAATCCCAACACTTTCAGAGGCCAAGGCGGGTGGATCACGAGGTCAAGAGACTGAGACCACCCTGGCCAACACGGTGAAGCCCCGTCTCTACTAAAAATACAAAAAATTAGCTGGGCATGGTGGCGTGTGCCTGTAGTCCCAGCTACTCGGGAGGCTGAGGCAGGAGAATCACTTGAACCCCAGAGGTGGAGGTTGCAGTGAGCTGAGATCGTGCCACTGCACTCCAGCCTGGCGACAGAGCAAGAGTCTGTCTAAAAAAAAAAAAAAAAGAATTGTGTGAGGAACCATGGGCTTTTGTATGGGCTCTACCACTCTCCTGCAGGGTTTCCTCGGACAAATTACTGTCCTATCTCAGATTTTCCATATAAAAAATGAAGATAATATTACTTACTCAGCTTTTTGAAAGCCAACAAAATTCAATTGCTATGCAACATTGAAAATTAGTACATAAATATATAATTTTTCAAGTAGAATGACATTTGAACAACACTAACTCTGAGTTAGACACTCTACTACACAGAATGTCAACAACATAGATTGGAACTGTTATCCCCATCTTACAGGGGCAAAGTTAAGACACAAAAGGATTAAGAAACTTGCTAAGTGCCTCCTATTACAACATGATGACAGTTCTTAATACGGTACCGTGGGGTCTGAGGCATTCTCTTTGGATGAGATGGCAAATATCACCCGTCATAGTTGAAGACTTGGCTAAAACAGGCCATAACATTTCAAATGTCTGGTTAGTGAGGGTTTTACTGTGTCACTAAAGTGGCAAAACTGATAATACAACTTCTTTTCTCCATGAAGATAAACTACAACAGGCTGTGACAACCTAATGGTCCAGCTCTACTCTTGCCTATTCACTATTTGCTGCATTTCTTTCTTTCTAGCTCCCAAGAATATGTGAACAACTGCATGGCACCTTAACAGTAGACCTGAACTTTTCATTCTGCTTCAAGTGCCTTTCTTTTTGGTTAATTGTGGTTTTCCTCTTGCTATTGGACCTTTTGCAGGACAACTCTGGACTGCTATAGCATGTTTTGAAAGGTCCATGGAAATTTCTGGTCTTTTTAGTCCTGGAAGAAGGAATTTTTTGCATTTTTTGGGGTAGGGAAGAGTTTATTTTAGATTGCCAACTCTATATTGAAGCAAATCTAGATATTTTTGGACAAAAATATAAATATATTGACAAAGATTATCAAGGAAAATAGGGTTACCCAGCATGATTTAGGCTGTAGAATCTATACAGTGACCCTAAGGCATGCCCTGCAGAGGACAGGGAAATGCAACTGCTGCCTTGGTCCTTGCTTAGCAGCCTGTTAAGCCACTCATTACTCCAGTTAGATTTTAAAAGTATACCTAAGTACATTCCCACTAAATGTCCACTCTTTCTTCCTCACTAGGACTTCAGTCCTAAATTCCTAGCTGCTTTCAGTGAGCTGGACTAAATGGTCATACAAAGGCAACAGACTTTGAAGTTTCTCTGTCAAAGCATAGATTAGAACTAACTACTCTTTTTACTGGTTCACATATTTAACCCTTTAGAACATGAAGTGCTTAGAAAATCCTAAGTAGCTTCATGTATCTATTCTAAAAAGGGATTAGAATGCAGGAAAAATAAAAGGAAAGCAAGATGTCTTTTACTATTTTTTTTTTCTGCAAAGCTTTCTCTCATTGATTACTTACTTCTCAGCCTGTCGCAGGTGTTCTCTGGATGGGTCTGCCTTCATGGTGCCTCTCCTCTCCCAGGAGACTGGAGAAAATGAAGCCTTTTCCAGAGTTTTTGAGGTTGCTAATGCCAAATTCTGCAAGGTCATAGCCAATGCATGTGCTGGGTATAAGTACATGTGAAAGCACTGAGTGAGTTGATGAAGACCTTCGTGATTGAGGTCAAGTTTAAAGGAAGCAGCAGCAAATGTTCAGCTCCAGCAGATTTGTGTTAAGGAAATGCAGGCTCAGTTACAGCAAATCTTTAAGATTTTCCCAGAGAAAACCAGGATGCTAGGTTTCTTTTTCAAATATAAAATCTACTTTTAAAAAGTTGCCCTATATGTTATGTAAAACTCTGACATGGGCAAAAGAAAACATTTGTGGCCTTGATTTGCCCAATGGGACACAAATACGTGCCGTCTGCAATAAGACATGACATTTATTATCTGTTTGATGATAGATTAGACAATGTGCTCAGTGCCTTATAGCATTTATCCCAAAAAAGTTCTTTTCAGTGTGTTTGTGTGTGTACTTGTGTGTAGGATGTAACTATGTATATCCTTAAAAACTTTTCCTTTGGCTTAAGTAATGATTCTTTCTCATTTGCATCAATTTGAGCAATTTATATTAGCTTGGCTTAATTGTGAACTGCTCCACACAGACTTCTATAACAGTGATGTCTCCTAGCTCTGGAATTAACTTCCATATATTTTCTATACCATTAATTTGCTATTTAACAAACACTATTTTATGATATCTGTTATAACTGTTACTCTTTTATTGCTCAACTTTTCTTGAATATTATGTCTTGTTTCCCAAGGTAGATTACAAGCTTTTTTAGTGAAAGGATTACATAGACATTTTTCTTAGTCTCTTCTAGAGAAGTGTGTATGTGCAAGGTGGGTTTTTGACTATTTGGGTGAATATGTTTAAAGTCAGTAACTCTACGCCAAGACATCAATGTAGACTTAATTTCTTAATTAAAATGTTATAATAATAGCTATCTATTGCATTCTTGGTAGGCACCATGATAAAGTCTTAAAAACCTTATTAGTTTGGTATTATTGGCTCTGTTTTACGGAGGCAAAAAAAAAAAAAAGCCTGAGGCTTGAAAAGTTTTTTGGCCAAGTCACACATAAGTTGCAAAGTGAGTGTGGACTTTAATATTAAAAACACCAATAATAGGCATTAATAATTGTGTGGAAAGTATAACTGAAAAGATAAAATAATTCCTAACCAGGAGGGTAAGTCATCCAGAACACAACAAATAGTATCATGAAGAGGATTTAAATACAGGTGTTGTAAGTCTCCATCCTCAGATAAATGTGAATACTAATAGACTCATTATTCTGAGTGCCGACAGCAGTGCTTTAGCTATTCTCAACTTTTTAAATATAACATTTCCTCTTCTACAATTACCTATCTTGAAAGGATGAATTAATTCTTTCAAAAACCTGGCGACCAGAGTCATAAAAAAAGAATGTTGGAATTAGAAGAGATTTAAAAAATTACTTGGCCTAACCTATGCATTATCAAATGAGAGATATACACACAGAACGAGATTTGCTCAAGTACATACTACCCAAAAATATTAGAATCAGTACAAGCTTTTCCATATAATAAAATAAAATAATAAAACCATTTTATTCTTAGGAAATTACTACAGTTTATTTTAGATAGCCTGATATGGTTTAGCTCCCAAATCTCATCTGAAATTGTAATCCCCACATGTTGGGGGAAGGATCTAGTGGGAGGTGATTGGATCATTGGGGGCGGATTTCCCCCTTGCTGTTCTTGTGATAGTGAGGGTGTTCTCACAAGATATGATCGTTTAAAAATGCGTGACACTTCCCTGCCTCCTTCTGCTCTGCTACAGTAAGACGTGCTTGCTTCCCCTTTGCCTTCCACCATGACTGTAAGTTTCCTGAGGCTTCCTAGTCACGCTTCCTGTACAGCCTATGGAAACATGAGTCAATTAAACTTCTTTTCTTCATAAATTACCCAGCCTCAGGAAGTTCCTTATAGCAGTGTGAGAACGAGCTAAGCATGCTGGGACCTCATCTCTTGATTGAGAGAGAACAAATGCAAATAGTTGTCAGCAGAGAATTCTTGATCCTGATTGACAATGGTAGTTCTCTACATTGATCTGAGCTAGCTGGATGGAGGAAGATATGGTAGATGATGCTCATAATAATAAAATGATGCAGGAAATATATAGTTCCTAGATTCTAGTAAATATAACTGAACTCTTCAAGAAAAGGAATTGTATTTTGCCGGGTTTGATTTTCCAGCAAACAGCTAAGTGCATAACACTTGTTGCTGAAAGGAATAGTGGAGGTTTTCTTTCTGCTTCTGATCCAATTGTCATTTGATGATTATTTTCTACCTGTCATGCCCTGTGCCTTGACTCTCATCTATATTAATCTCATTTAATTCCCACTAAAAGAGAACAAAACAAAATCACGAGCACAAAATCCCCAAAAAACCTTTTGAGATAAGTATCATTCTCATTTCACAGATAAGGATGCAGATGTAGAGATGGTAATTTTCAGTACCCGCAATTAGTAAAACAGATGCTAAAATACATGATTCAAATTCCAGAACGCTTTATGTTACACTGCTTCCTCTCTCACACTGTCTGTTAAAAGTACTTGTATTTGAAGCTGTTTGAGCAAACATCATGTCATTGATCCTAATATTGTATGTTTGTTACAGTGAATACAATGTTATGACCATCTTAGCAGGAGGTAGCTATTGAAGATGATAACAATGTTAGGAGCTAATTTTTGAACAGACATACTAGACCTAAGCAAAAAAACAAGTATTGCCCCTCTCTGGGAGGTGGTACTATTCAGTCTTGGAAAAGCCACAGAGTCATTAAAATATCAACAAAATGAAACATTGCTTTTCCCTTTACAAAACAGTCATAGACATTGATAAAGCCCAGTGCTATGCCAGGAGAACCGAGCTACATAATAAAAGATCAATGCTGAAGGAAATGTATGGTGCTGAAAGGATAAACAGTATTCCAGTATTGACTCTGACCGAGTTTCCTTTATCTCTATGAAACCAGATATATGACAGATGCTCAACATGCTGGGAGATGAAACCTGTATCTAATTATAAAAACAGCAAAAATTAATAACCAAATTTCCTATGTTCTCTTCCTGTTTCACAGGCTAGGCAGCAAGGACACCTGAAGAGGACAAGATTTTTTTTCAAACTTTTAATCTTAGACTGCAATTATCAGATTAAATGATTATTATGAATTTTCTCTATTTTAAAAAAAGACTCAAATATAGCTTTATTTAAGAGTATCAGAAATGTGTATAGAAAAAATATTCTAAGAGGTTTGTAGAAAGCAATTCAATATTCATTACCAACTAATATTCTGAAGAGTTTGTAGAAAGCCATCCAATATTCATTAAAGCCTGTGGCTGATTTCACTCTTCTTTGACATAGCTGTGTTTTCAGTGATTAACTTTAGTCTTTTCCTTAAATTAATTAGCTATCTTAGTAAATGTTAATGAAAAAATGAAAATAACTTGATTAGACAGCTATAGAGATCTATGTAACATACTATGCGTCCTGACTTTTGAGAGTAGATACAAAAGCAGCACAAATTGGGTTAATTTAAACTCAAACAAAAGGTCAGTTTGCAGAAAGTAAAGACCTGTGTGACCTCTTGTTCAAATCCTGGAAGCTATAAATCCTACTAAATTACTTAGGGCTTTGTTAAGCAGGCCCAACAAAAGATAACCAACATTGTAATTATTGTTCAGTGATGGACTGAATAATAAGCCTGGTTTCTATTTGTCAAAGCAACAGACCTTAAGTCATTTGTAGAGCTATTCTAATGAATAGTGGAAGGCTGTGGGTTACATAAGCAATTAAAGAAAAATCATAAAAACCAAACACCTAGAATTGCTAAAACCTTAAAAGTATCCATCAAGCGTTGTGAAAGTCAAGCTTGCAAGGGTAAATAAAATGCAAAATACAAGAACAAAATCTATTTAGGTTTCACAATCTCCAGTGTCTCATTTTTATCAAAAGTTCAGCCAAATAAAGAAGAAATTTAAAAACCTGTAGGACTCCAAACCACAAGTTAAATGACCTTGGGTTTTTGTTGTGAAGTATCTCAAAAAAGGCAGCAGGATGTTCTGTAAACCAAAAGTTTTAAAATCTTGGTAACATTTTATGGCGTTTTAAAAGTACTTTTAAAAAAAAATAACAATTAACAAATGACTGGAAGAAAATCCTATCCTTAACTATTTTAAGACATATTTTGTGTTTTATTTCTCATGCAACATATAATGCAAAGTGTTTTATAAATGCCCTTAAAATTGACTATTATTTTGAAGTGCTATATTTCTTGAAAGAGTGCTGATTACTTCTAATCATTAATAGAAATAATTTTGAAAATACATTTTTATTGAATTCTAACATTTAATACTGCCCAATTATTGACAATATGTATTTCCTTTGTAAATGAAAATTAGAGAAGCCTTCAGCTAACAATTATTATTTTCTAAATCTATTTGTTATTGATTTAAAAATTACAAATGAGAAGATAAAATGACACCTTTTGAAAAGAATTGGAGTCCCTCTTGAAATGTAAACTGCTTATTTTTTGGTCTGCAGGTCTATGTTTGAATGTCAAAACTCTGTGTTTTTGGCTTTGTATGATAATTTATATGAATAGTTTTGAGTGGGCAGTCTCCAAGGTTATAGAGATCTTGTATAATTATTCTATTGGAAAAATTTTATAAACACAGAGCAAAATGTCAAACCCTCCGGTATATTCCTACAACATGAATTCAAGAGAAAAGAGTGTCATTGTGAAGTAAAAATACTGTCAGCTGACCTGTGGGGTTTGGTTTGGTTTTATGTGAATCTAAAGAAAAAAGAAGCTTTCTATCGTAAATGTGGAAGCCACTGAAACCTCCTGGTTTTGGCATTTTCACCAGGACTCAAATGTCTGGCAAACGCAACATTCTTTTTCTAAGAAAAGGGGTTTACAAAGTTCAGAAAACCTTGGACATCAAATAGCTCTTATGAAACAACATTTTGATGATTTAAGTATAAATGAATGAGAAACATATGATTAAATTTCTCTTAAAATACACATGGGTTTAAAAATTAAGGGCAAAAGTCCTTAGCAAAATGAGTTTTTAGTTTTACAGAATCTATTTGAAAAATAGTGCAAGTTGTTTGACAAATCCAAGGTACGGCTGGATTCTTCACTATTTTGTTGGTAGCACCAATCAGTTCTGACATCAGACACTGTGGGTTTCTGTCTCTTTCAAGAGGTGAGTCAGATGTATTCTTGACATTGTAGTATAATCATCAGCAAGGTGGGTGCACCAATCACTAAGGTCTAATAGTTCAGATTCTATGTTAAATCATCGAATGCTCTGTTTACATCTGCATTTTACAATCGTTCATTCCAGGAAACCAGAAAGAGCTCCCAAATATTTGAAGACAGATCTAATCTCCCCCTACTTTTGCAAAATTCAGAAGTGCTAGTTAGATAAAATGCTAATGTTTTCCAAAGTGTGGAATGCAGACTATCTATGTCAAAAATACTAAAAATGCAGACTCCTAGTCCTTTTCTCAGATTTGCCATACCTAAATCTCTAGAGGCAGAGCTGAGAACTTCCATATTATACAATCTCTGATTCGTATGCCCTCTACAACATTGAGAATCACATTTCTAATATATGAGGTGAGTACTATTAGATTTCACCAGGAGAGGGCCAAGATCATTTTCTGTGGATGACTTGAATGTCACTTTGGTTCAATTTCTAGATTGAAAGATCCCCATGGGCAGGAACTGTCTCCGCTCATGCTTACCAATGCATCTCCAGCCCTGGATCAGTCATACAGTAGGCTCTTGATAGTTGATCAAATTAAAAAAAAAAGAGGTACACATTTTTCTTTAAAACTTTTGCATGCAATAACATATTTTAAAATATTTCAGGTCTAAAACAGACCTGACAGATACTAAATATTCCTCTATTCAACACTTTATTTTCTATCTGATTTTACTATTGGCTCTGAACATGTAAATGAAGGAACATTTAAATAACTTTGTATACCAGAATTACAAAGAAATAACAACATATTATGGACTTTGTCTAAGTAATATCAATCCACCTAAATTGAAGCCTCTTTTCTAAATCTCATGAATAATTCTGTCAGGAGAGTAAATGGTAAATCCAGGACACAGTATCTTTACACAGTTACTTGCTTAATGACTCCCTGTCTGTATCTGGTGTCACAGGAACAAGCAGAAAGTTTATCCCTGGAAGGTGATACTATGAAAGAAAAATAAGTGATGAATCACAATCAGTTAAAAATTTATGCCAAAAGATACAAAGAAATGTAATGACAGGAGAAAAAAATACCTTAACATATGTAATTATTATTAGAAGTATTCTTCTAAGTATAAAAGTTGCACATGTACTCTTTTTCTGTTTATAAAAGAAACTTCATGTTTGCTTAGTTTGGTGACCATCCCCATCATAACACCTCGAGTTGTCAATTTGTTTCTATGTTTACACACACCGGTATACATATCATACAGATGTATTTTTAAATTATATTAAAACTTGAATATATAACTATAACTTTATTTTTTCCAGTTAATCCAATAGTGATATTTTCCTGTTAGCAAATATTTCTTTTTTTAATGATTACAAAATAGCTCATCTAAATTACTTAACTGTCCCCATGTTTTTAGACATCTAGGTCACTTAGCAGTTTTACCATTATAAAAAAGGTTCTCTCTTAATTATTGGCATGTATTTTTAAGTACATCCCTAATTATTAACTTAGGAGGGACTCAATATAGAACTGATAATGAGAGTGAATATATATTGAGCATTTTCTATTGGTCTGACCCTGAGCTAAACCCTTTGTAAGTATTAGCTCATTTATCTCTCACAAAATACCTATGAAGTAGGTATAAGTTACTATCTTACGTTCTCAGGGTCAAGAAGCTAGTAAGGGGTAAAGTCAGAGTTTGAACCCAGGATTGGCCCTTTCCAAGGCCTGTGCTCTTCATCTCAATGAAATTAGTGTGTCAAAGAATGTTTGAACTATTTTAAGGTTTAATACTGAGTGGCTGTGCCAAAAAGCTATGCCAATTTGAACATCTTGTAAGAATCAGTAGTGTTAATTGGTTTGACAGAAAAATAAAAATGTAAATGTTTATAACATACATGAAAATATTTTAACTTCTATATCTTTCTCATTAAGGCAGCTGAATATTGCTGTTTATATATTTATTTCCATTTCCATTTCTGTAAAATCTTTTTCGGCTTTTGCTTTTTAGAAAAACTCACAGTCCTTTTCTTTATTGATTTAAAAAAACTTCATTTTTTCCATTTTGGCATTTGTCTTTAATTTTGCATATATTTTTGATTTACAGAAGAATTCATTTTTATGAAAAAAAGAAATATTGATGTCCTGTGCGCTATTTGGGGGGTGGGGTTATGTTTAATAAGCAAATCCCTTTTCATGTGCACCTAAAGTTATAATTTTATTTTGTTTTCATTCTTCATATTTAACTCTCTACTTCATCTGGATTTTCTTTTGCTGTCTGAGAACCATTTGCTAAATATTAATTTATTCCTCATTATTTTGGATTAATTAATATGCATTTTATAGACTTTCTGTGTATAAAAGAGTATATAATCAGCAAATAGCATTTTATTTCTCCTTTCCAAGTTTTGTTTCAATTTTTCTTTCTTTTCTGCTTGCACTAAGACTTCAGATGCAACAGGCAACTGAAGTAACAGTAGCGAGTGTCTTCATCTTGTTCCTTAGTTTGATGCTTCTTACTGGAGAATACTTCTAACAGCAGCACGTTTCTAACATTTTTGAATTTATTTGTTTATTCTTATAATAAATATTTATTGAGCAACAATTACTTGTTCACTCTTATTTTAAATACTTGAGATATACTTAATGAACAAAATTCCCAGCCTTGAGGAACTTATAGTATGATTATTGTAGATTATTTTTAGCATTTCCAAGGTAAACACAACTGGGTCACAACATATTTCTTATTTACACAAAATTAATTATTGATAATATTTTGATAATTATGAGTGAGACAGGTCTGTAATTTTCTTTCATATTTTAATTTCAATATCTAATTTTGTTATTATATTGGCTTTATAGAATGGAATAAGGAGGATTCCTTTTTATTTTTTCTGTAAGAAGTTATATTAGAAAAATGTGTTCCTTGAAAGTTTGGTAGAACTCACTTATAAAGCAATTTGGGCAAGATATTTTCTTTGTGGGAAGACTTAAAATTATGGATTCACTTTTATGGTTATCAGACTACTCAGCATTTCCATTTTTAAAAAATCAGTTTTATTCCCTTCATTTATTTCAAATCTATTGCTGTAGATTTACTGATAGTATTCATCTTTATTTTTGTAAAAAAGTTTAGTGTTTGTTTACTCTTTCATTCTTAACATTGATACCTCTGTTTTTTGTTTCTTTTTTTTTTGATTAATCACAAAAGAGGTTTATCTAAATTGTAAATTTTAAAAATCAACCCATTTGATTAAATTTATTATTACAAGTACTTCTTTTCTTTTTTCTTTTCTCTTCTCTTTTCTTTTCTTTTGAGATGAGGTCTCGCTCTGACATCCAGACTGGAGTGAAGTAGTGCTATCACAGTTCACTGCGATCTCCACCTCCTGGGTTCAAGTGATCCTCCTACCTCAGCCTCCTGAGAAACTGGGACTACAAGCACATGCTACCACACCCAGCTAATTTTCTTATGTTTTGTAAAGATGGAGTTTCACCATGTTGCCCAGGCTGGTCTCAAACTTCTGCGCTCAAGTGATTCACCCACCTCGGCCTCCCAAAGTGCTGGGATTATAGATGTGAGCCACCACACCTGGCTATATTTTCTTTTATATTAATTTTACTGCTGATATCTATTTTCTCTCCCAATCTTTTGGAGTTTCATTTTCTTCTAATATTCTGAGGTTTCTTATGTTGTTCTTACTCTATTCTAGCTCCTTAGCCCATTAATTTTTGGAGTTTTAATTTATTATTTTATAATAAGTATATAAGGCCACACATTATTCTTGAAGTACTGCTTTTAGACATCCCATTATTTTGATATGCAAGTTTTCATTACTTTTTAATTCTACATAGTATTCTAAAATTTCTATGTAATTTTTTCTTTGAACCATAGCTATTTATGTTTTTAAATATAAAATGTTTTATAGTATCAACCTTATTATGTTGCAGGTAGAAAAAATCTCTGTAGACTACCTCTTCACTGAAATTAGTTAAAATTTTTTTAGTGTCCAGTATGTGATACATTTTTATAAATACTCCATGTATGCTTGAAAATAATGTTTATTTTCTAATTGTTGTTAGGTGTAGAATTTTCTATGTGACCAACAGATCAACCTTTTTGAGTTGTTCAAATATTCTCTATTTTTGT
The DNA here is from genome assembly GCF_000001405.40 of Homo sapiens. Taxonomy (NCBI): domain Eukaryota; kingdom Metazoa; phylum Chordata; class Mammalia; order Primates; family Hominidae; genus Homo; species Homo sapiens. The sequence goes on from NC_000005.10 coordinate 44,519,443, forward strand.
TGAATTATTTTTTAACATATCATTAATTTAGAAGTTTCCTAGTTCTGTAATTATTAATATGAATATCTTTTTTCTCATTATAATCTCATTAATTTTGTTTATATATTTAGAGTATATGTTATTATGCAGGTATGTATTTATAATTATTTTATCTTTCTAGTAATTCATTCTTTAATTGTTTGGAAAGATCCTCCTTAACTTGCCTTTGTAACTCTCTCAAATTCTGCCCTATATGTCTCTTCCTTGGCTGACTTTAATGTATCCTTTCCCCATAATAGCCCGTGACTCTGAGTATACGTTCTCAGTGAGTTCTGAGTCCTTGGTGTATGGATGCATAACTCTAATCTCTGACTCTGTCTTCATATCCCTTTCTTCCCTGTGACTCTGTGTGTCAAATCTCCTGCTTTTTTCTTATAAGGCAAAATATTAGTGCCCACCCTAAATCCAGGATGATCTCATCTTGCGATACTTAGTTTAATTACATTTGCAAAGCAAGTAGTTGGAATTTGGATATATCTTTTTAGGGCTTGCTATTCAATCCATTATAGCATTTCAGTTTGGGACATTTCTATTGACCTATCTCTATGCACACTGATTCTTTCTTTGGATGTGTTCTCTATATAATGATCCCATTGAAGGTATTCTTCCTTTCTGTATTTTGATAAACCTCATTGTGTTTTAATTTTTTATTAGAGTTTATCTCTCTGATTATATTACTCTCTGTTCCTGCATATTGCCTTCTTTTTTCATTAAAGCCTTCAAATATTACCATGTTAACTAACATATTAATCATAGTGATTATATGTTCTTTTCTGATAATTTATAATCTGTATGATATAGGAGTTTGGTTCTAATGCTTGCCTTCTATTCTCTATTCAGAATGTGTTTTTTCTTGCCTTTTAGTATGCCTTGTAAACACGCCCTTAATGAGGTTTTATTTTAATCTGGCTAAGAGTTAAGCTGTGTTTAATATTTGCTGTAGCTGTGGGTGCCAGATGCTCCAAATTCTTCTAGCATACTTGTTTTTGTCTCTCCTGTTGTCTTTGGACTTCCCTAAGTACTCCTCCTGATAGAGTCTGCATTTTGAAGTTCTTTCAGCTGTAACCTTCTGTTTTTACTAGAGTTCTGTTGGTTAGTGATATGGTGTGGTGAAGGAGCAGCATTTTATAATCATCTGATTAAAGCTGTGTTTTAGTGGGCCTGGTCTTTGATTTTCAATGTTTCTTAAATTTCTCCTTTCTCCTTTTTTTAGGTGAGGCAGAAAAACTAGAGAAGGCTAGAGTTGGAAAAATTTCCTCCCCATGAGTGGATAAGGCTCTGGTAAATTATTTGCCTAGCAAATGTCACTTTATTAAGGAGAAGGCTCTGGACATATTTCACAGTGGTTACTCTTCTCCTCCCCACTGTCAGAGCCACAGGAGATCTTTCTCAGCTTTTTCACTATGAAAAACTGGTGAATAAAACTCTACAAAGTGGAAACAAAACCCACAATAGAGTGAGCACTCCCCTAAGACTGTGTTCTGCAGGAATTTCTTCTCCTCAAGTTAGTCCACATTTCATCTCCAGCAATTCATCAAAATTACCACTTAAGTGTCCGTATGAGTTTTATGGCCCTACTGGCTTATTTGCTAGATGAACAGATCTTAGATGTGATTCTGAATTTGCCTGTCTCTCCAGATTTGGGGAAGGTGGTTTGCCTTTAAAATTCAGTTCTCTTATGGGTCCAAGAAAAGCTGATTATTTAATTTGTTCAGCTTTTTCTAGTTGTAAGGACAGGCATGATGGCATTAAAGCTCTTTACATGTTAGAGCTGAAACAGAAATCCAGTTTTTTTTCTTTTAAATATGTGCGTATTTATTTTTTGGTCCTAAATATGGTGTATTTATGTGAGTGTCCTGTACTCACTTGAAAATAATATGTGTTTTGCTACTCTTGGGTGGAAGCCTCTATAAATGTCAATGAGGTCACCTTGGTTGGTAATATTCTGTGGGTCTTTTATATCCTTGATAGATTTTTCTCTACATGTTTTTCATTAGTGAGAGAAACCCAACTATAACTGTGGACTTAGGTTACCATATTGTTATTTATTTTCTATTTCTTCTAATTTCTTTCTTTTGTGCATTTTTCTACTATCTTTTGGATTAATTGATAATCTTGATGATATATTTTTATCATTCTTGGCTTTTTAGTGGTACCTCTGTTTAAATTTTAGAGTGGTTGCTCTACTGTTTACAATATACACCTTTTAGTCAACACAGTCTACCTTCAACAATATTATTTTACCTTTAATGTAAGAACTGTATATGCATATATTTCCATTTCCCTCATTCTGTGTACTTTTGTTGTCATTTATTTTACTCCTACATATATTATAATTCAATAATAATTTGTTCCTATTTTTGCTTTAGGTAGTTTATCTTCTAAAGTAATTAAAAATAAAGAACATACTTTATATTTACTCTAATTTTAATCATTTTCAGGGCTCTTTGTTTCTTTGTGTAAATCCAAATTTGAAATCTCTCCTTTTTATGTACTTAAGAGAGATTTGTTGTTGTTGTTGAGATGGGCCCTCGCTCTGTTGCCGGGCTGGAGTGCAGTGGCGCGATCTTGACTCACTGCAGCCTCTGCCTCCAGGTTCAAGCGATTCTCCTGCCTCAGCCTCATGAGTTGCTGGGACTACAGTCATGAGCCACCACACCCAGCTAATTTTTGTATTTTTAGTAGAGATGGGGATTCACCATGTTGGCCAGGATGGCCTCGATCTCTTGACCTCATGATCTGCCCACCTCGGCCTCCCAAAGTGCTGGGATTACAGGCATGAGCTACCGCACCTGGCCAAGAGAGCTTTTATTTTACCATCATTATTGAAAGATCTTTTTCTGGGTACGATTTCTAGTTAGCTAAGTTTTTATTTTTTCCTTTTAGTGCTTTATTGTTTTCTGGCTTATACAGTTTCTCATGAGAAATGTACTTCAATTTAAAAAAATTAAGCTATTTGCCCTCAATGTGTTTAGTTGTTTTTGTTTTAAAATTTAAACTCTGGTTGGAGGTTTTAGAGCCATTTTGATCTGTGGCTTGTTTTCTATCATTAATACTGAAAATTATTGGCCTGGGCAACATAGTGAGACCCTGTCTCTACAATTTTTTTTAAAAAATTAGCTGGGCATGGTAGCATGCACCTGTAGTCTCAGCTACTCAGGAGGCTGGGGTGGGAAGATTGCTTGAGCCAGGAGGTCGAGGCTGCAGTGATCCATGATTGCACCTCTGCCCTCTCGCCCGGGTGACAAAGTGAGACCCTGTCTTAAAAAAGAAAATTCCTGGCCAGTATCTCCTCAAATATTTTTTGCCTTGTTATCTCTCCTCCTTCATAGATTCCAATTACACATATATTAGACCATTTATATTGTCTCACAGGTTCAAATGCTCTTTTTCTTCACCCTTTTCTCCTTGTGTTTCAGTTTACACACTTTATACTGACTTATCAAGCTCGCCAATTCTTTGCTGGGCCATGACCAGTCTTCTGGGTAGACTGTCAAAGAGATTATCTCTGAGGCCACGTTTTTGCTTTTAGCATTTCCATCCACCTGTTTTATAGTTACACTGTTCTGCTAAAATTCATGCATGTTTTACACATTTACTCTAAATCTTTTATTATATTTAAAGTTATGATAAATTCCATGCCTTGTATTTCCAACATTCATTATCTCAGGTTGGGTTCTGTTGATTATTTTATCTCTTGACAACTTTTTTCTTTTTTTTTTTAATTTATTATTATTATACTTTAAGTTTTAGGGTACATGTGCACAATGTGCAGGTTAGTTACATACGTATACATGTGCCATGCTGGTGCGCTGCACCCACTAACTCGTCATCTAGCATTAGGTATATCTCCCAATGCTATCCCTCCCCCCTCCCCCGACCCCACAACAGTCCCCAGAGTGTGATGTTCCCCTTCCTGTGTCCACGTGTTCTCATCGTTCAATTCCCACCTATGAGTGAGACTATGTGGTGTTTGTTTTTTTGTTCTTGCAATAGTTTACTGAGAATGATGATTTCCAATTTCATCCATGACCCTACAAAGGGCATGAACTCATCATTTTTTATGGCTGCATAGTATTCCATGGTGTATATGTGCCACATTTTCTTAATCCAGTCTATCATTGTTGGACATTTGGCTTGGTTCCAAGTCTTTGCTATTGTGAATAATGCCGCAATAAACATACATGTGCATGTGTCTTTATAGCAGCATGATTTATAGTCCTTTGGGTATATATCCAGTAATGAGATTGCTGGGTCAAATGGTATTTCTAGTTCTAGATCCCTGAGGAATCGCCACACCGACTTCCACAATGGTTGAACTAGTTTACAGTCTCACCAACAGTGTAAAAGTGTTCCTACTTCTCCACGTCCTCTCCAGCACCTGTTTTTTCCTGACTTTTTAATGATTGCCATTCTAACTGGTGTGAGATGGTATCACATTGTGGTTTTGATTTGCATTTCTCTGATGGGCAGTGATGGTGAGCATTTTTTCATGTGTTTTTTGGCTACATAAATGTCTTCTTTTGAGAAGTGTCTGTTCATGTCCTTTGCCCACTTTTTGATGGGGTTGTTTGTTTTTTTCTTGTAAATTTGCTTGAGTTCATTGTAGATTCTGGATATTAGCCCTTTGTCAGATGAGTAGGTTGCGAAAATTTTCTCCCATTTTGTAGGTTGCCTGTTCAACCTGATGGTGGTTTCTTTTGCTGTGCAGAAGCTCTTTAGTTTAATTAGATCCCATTTGTCAATTTTGGCTTTGGTTGCCATTGCTTTTGGTGTTTTAGACATGAAGTCCTTGCCCATGCCTATGTCCTGAATGGTAATGCCTAAGTTTTCTTCTAGGGTTTTTATGGTTCTAGGTCTAACATTTAAGTCTTTAATCCATCTTGAATTGATTTTTGTGTAAGGTGTAAGGAAGGGATCTAGTTTCAGCTTTCTACATATGGCTAGCCAGTTTTCCCAGCACCATTTATTAAACAGGGAATCCTTTCCCCATTGCTTGTTTTTGTCAGGTTTGTCAAAGATCAGATAATTGTAGACATGTGGCGTTATTTCTGAGGGCTCTGTTCTGTTCCATTGATCTATATCTCTGTTTTGGTACCAAGCTGATAAGCAACTTCAGCTAAGTCTCAGGATACAAAATCAAAGTACAAAAATCACAAGCATTCTTATACACCAACAACAGACAAAACAGAGAGCCAAATCATGAGTGAATTCCCATTCACAATTGCTTCAAAGAGAATAAAATACCTAGGAATCCAACTTACCAGGGATGTGAAGGACCTCTTCAAGGAGAACTACAAACCACTGCTCAAGGAAATAAAAGAAGATACAAACAAATGGAATAACATTCCATGCTCATGGGTAGGAAGAATCAATATCGTGAAAATGGCCATACTGCCCAAGGTAATTTACAGATTCAATGCCATCCCCATCAAGCTACCAATGCCTTTCTTCACAGAATCGGAAAAAACTACTTTAAAGTTCATATGGAACCAAAAAAGAGCCTGCATCGCCAAGTCAATCCTAAGCCAAAAGAACAAAGCTGGAGGCATCACGCTACCTGACTTCAAACTATACTACATGACAACTCTTTTCTTGCTTTTTAAATATCTCATACTTCTGGTTGAATGTCAACATTATCTGTAGAAGAATAGTACAAATGGAGGTAAGCCATATCTATACCAAATAATTGGCATGCTATTTCTTCTATCAAAGTATGAGTCAATCTAGTCAGTTTTTGGTCATGTTTGTGCTTGTTGTTGTTGCTGTAGTTATTTTCTATGTACTACAGGCTTCAAATTCCCCCAGGAGTGGTTTGTAGCTTTTCACATGGGGCCTGAAATACTAAAAGGTTTTCTAGTATTCCTATTTTACCCTCAGCTTTCAAAAATCCCTGCTTGCCTGTACAATAGAAGGTATCTCTCGTAGTTTTGTCCCTTTCACAAAGAGTTCTTTCATTAGTTGCTAAATGCTTGTCTTGTGGTGGGGAAAGAGGGATTGTTAGTACTCTTGTTCCAGCCTCAGTATTAGGCAGGCCCTGTGCACCTGGGGATGAGGTTTTTGTAGCACCCCTGCCTCCCAATCCATAGTATCCAAATTCTTCCTTGAATCTGTGAGATACTTGGGTGGTAAATAATTTCCTGCCCCTCTGCCAGCAGTCATAGATCAGTTTTGTATCAGCTTTGTATCAGCACAGAATCTTGTATAGGAGAAACTTTCTTTTCCCCCTCTCAGAGGCAGTCAGCTTTTACTTCTGCCCCTTCCTGGGAATTAGTAGATCTTTGCCTGACTTCTAGGAGTGGTTTGTTTTAGGTTTGTTTTTGTCCTTCCTCCATAAGCAGAAGGGTTTTGCTTCTATCCTATTATCAAAAACAATGAATTTTTGCCTGGTCCCTGGAGGTGAAAGGGTTTCCTGCCCATCACTCCTGGTGTCCTAAGGCTTTTGTTTTGTAGAAGAGAGAGGTCCTTGTAAGTTTTATGGTTTTATGCCAAAATATCACTGACAGTATTTTCCCTCTGTTCTCCTGCCTTGCCCTGAATTTTTCTCATGAGTACCCAGTAGAAACCCACAGGAATGAGCCTGTAAATTGGTGTAAACTCTCCTTGTATCTGGGGCTTCCAGTTACTCTATAGTGTCTTGCTAAATCATGATTGGCCTTTAAGAAATTTTTTTAAAACTTAGTCATTTTTTCTTAGCCATCATTATCATGGTTCCTGCAGCCTCTCATGGTCTGTCAAAGGGGAAACAAAGGGGAATTTATTTACTTGATCTCTCCTTGGAGGGACTTGTCATTATTTTGAATTTAATTAATCTGGTCACTTCCTGATAATTTAAAGAACAATTATGACGTTGTATCTGGCTTTTTCTCAATATTAAGGTGAGTACAAAGTTGTTTTATGGCTTTTTATAAGCAGAAATACAACTCTAACACCACACATATTGAAAGCCTAAAATCGCACCCTATCTTGATGCTCCATTCTCATCTCAAATAATAAAAGGATTGTTGAGGCCGGGCGCGGTGGCTCACGCCTGTAATCCCAGCGCTTTGGGAGGCTGAGGCGGGTGGATCACGAGGTCAGGAGATGGAAACCATTCTGGCTAACAGGGTGAAACCCCGTCTCTACTAAAAATACAAAAAATTAGCCGGGCATGGTGGCGGGCTCCTGTAGTCCCAGCTACTGGGGAGGCTGAGGCAGGAGAATTGCTTGAAACCAGAAGACGGATGTTGCAGTGAGCCCTAGATCGCGCCACTACACTCCAGCCTGGGCGACAGAGGGAGACTCCATCTCAAAAAAAAAAAAAAAGGATTGTTGAACAGTTTAACTCTCATCTTCCACTTTCCAATTCATATACTATTATTGTTTAATACTTAAGTTTTGTATTTATTCACCCCACAAATTGAAAACCATTTTTAGAAGTATCATATTTGTAAAGACACTTTCTCTCATCTTTTACTTCTATGTTTCTGTTTGTGTTCACCACTCAACCTGAATCTCTTAATGTTCCTTGGTGTTATTTTTTTTCCTTCAGAATTTAATTTAGATGAAGCATTTTTGATGTTGTTTATCCCTTCATGTATTTAGTTGACTCTTGTTTTTGAGAAAGAAATTAGTTAAAAACAAAATTCTAGGTTGGTAGTTATTTTCTCTCTTTGAAACTTTGAAAAACTTTAAACTATGTTTTAGTTGCCACTGTTGTAATTGAGAACACTGCCAATCTTGGTAATTAATCCATTCTTTCTATCTGGATCATTTAAAGCTTTTCTCTTTATCTTTGGTGGTTTTAATCCCTAGTTTTCCTGTAATGTGTCCAGATATGAATTTCTTTTTATTTGTATGTCTTGCTATATATTGTGCTTCCTGTATCTGGGCTTCAGTACTCCAAATAGACATATATTAGACCTTCTTATTTGACCCTGCCTATATCTTAAGCTCTTTTTTTTAAGAAATAACATTTTGCATTTTCCTAACTTTGCTACATTTTGCATGAGTTCCCAATGTAGTTTTTCTGTTTATGGATTCTTTCTTCAACTATGGCTAAATTGTTAATGAACCAAATTATTGAGTGTTTGCTTTTACCTATTGCATTTTTTCATTTATTGAAATTCTTTTTTAATATGACAATTTCTGAAGTTTTATATCAGTTTTTAATTGAATACTTTTCTAAAATATGTATACTAACTATATCCATATTCTGTCACTCTAATTTTCAACATTTACATAATATGGGTGTTGTATCAGTCTTTTTAGGTTGCCAAAATGAAATATTATAGACTTAGTGGCTTAAAAAGCAGACCTTCATTTTCTTAAAATTCTAAAGGATGGAAGTCCAAGATTAGGGTGTCACATGGTGAGGTTCTGATGAGCACTCCCCTCCTGGTTTGCAGATGGTGACTTTCTCACTGTGTCTTCAGATGGTATAGACAGAGAGATATGGTGTCCCTTTCTCTTCTTATAATGGCAATAACCCATAATGAGGGCCTCATTCTCATGCTGTCATCAAAAACCAATTACCTCCTAAAAGCCCTGTCTCCAAATACCATCACACTGGAGTTTAGAGATTCGACATATGAATTTGACAGGGATAAAATTTATTCCATAGCAATGGTCTAAATAACTTGCATTTTATTTCTGTCCGTTCTTACAGTGACTTGCCTTGAGGAAACTGAAGCCCAGAGATGTATCCTGGTAGTCAGAAATCTTCCTTATCCATGACTGCTTCAACTCTCTTCAAAACAAGATCAGCTTTCTACTTCCCCGTCATTCTTAGTTTCACTCTCCCCACAACAGTGTTGATGTAATAGAAATTTGGTTGGTTCTGGCTACCTTCTGGTCCAAGTAAGCTTCCTGCTGCTCCAATTCCCTGTACACCAAACCCTTGCTCAGGTCTAGGATCCCAGTCTCCAAAGGCCTGAATTGAGCTCCTCCAGCATATGAGGGAGATATTCTCATACAAATCAACAACAAAATCCATTATAAAGTTACTTAAACTGTACATGCTCAATTAGAAATTATGTGTACAGTTTATTTTTAAAAGTGATCTGGATGATCTAGATCCTTTATCATTACATTATTTTCTAGGTCATTCTTTTTTAATATAATGATAAAATAGAAGAATTAATCATAATAGATTGTTCTTTTAGAATCTTTTTTATTCCAGGCTGCTCTTGAAGTAAAAGGAGGATAAACTGTCAAGTAATTCTTATTGTATAATAGAAGAAATTAAGTTTCAGAATAAAAGATACTTTTACTGTGCCTTTCAGGACTGTAATGTAGCCAGAGAATTACAGTTCTGATATTTCTTTTAACTAGATAGTATCTTCCATTTTTAAAATATAAGCATTCATGTTTAGTCTGAAGTTTGCTTAAAAATGTGTTCATGACTTGGCACATATGGCTAAAAGAGAGAGAATCCAATGTTATAAAGAAAATACAGACATGGTACAATGGTTAATTTACAGCTACTTTTAGCACCTTTTCTCTTTACCGAGCTGAAATTAAACAGGATCTTTTGGTGTTTTTGTGTCATAGATAGATGTATATTTTCATCTGGACATTTTTTACCCTATTAAAATAGAATTTTAACAACAGAGAAAACACTGGTGACATCCATAAATGAGTATAAAAGAATAAAAAATTGTAAAACTCTATAAGATCCTAGCACATTTTCTATTAAATCTTCCCCAAATGCATTATTCTGAAAAAAATTAAAGAATACAGAAGAATTGAAAGAATAGTATCATAAACACCAATGCACATTTCACCTGAATTCAACAATTGTTATCAACGTCACATTTGCTTTCTATCTCTAAACACACACACACACTCAATTTATTAATGTGGTACTATTTGAAAGTAACTATCAGAGATCATGCCATTTCATTCCTAAACAGTTTAATACGTACCTTCTGAAGATAAGGACATTCTCCTATGAAAATAAATAATTCCTCAATAAAATAAGGTATCCAGTATATATTCAAAGTTCAATTGTCCCCAAATGTCCTTTATTGATTTATATTTTCTATCCAGGATCCAGTCAAAGATCCTGATTCCATTTGGCAGTTATGTCTCTTTAGCGCTTTTACACTTAGAACAATCCTTCTACCTTCTTTTCCTATGTCATTGATTTTTGGAAGTTCCCAGGACAATTTTCTTTCATCATTATCCACTTTCTGAGTTTGTCTGATTGTTTCTCATGTTACTGTTTTATTTGGTTCTTTATTGCCTATAAACTGGAGGTTCAGAGACTTCAGATTCAGCTTAAATTTTTCTGGTGGAGATACGTCATGGGCAGTACAGTTCACTTCATATTTCATTGCATCAAGTGACACATGCTAGGTTGTCTCTCATGAACAATGGTAAATTTGGTCACGTAGTAAAGGTGGGGATTTCCAGATATCTCCATGGTAAAGGTACATTTTCTTTTCTTATAAATTGTGTTTGGGGTGGTTACACTTTCACACCAAGTTTACTTTTCCCCAACTGTCTTCCCCAGAATTATTATAAATTACATTCATGATATCTGCTTATATCATGAACCAGCTCCGCGTCTTGCATGGGACCAAGGCCAAATCTCATGTTCTCTTGTGGCTGAAAAATTTCAGCTTCTGGTCATTAGTATATACGCTTGACCACCCCACTGTGATTCTCAGCCTTGTATAACATCTTGCACATTTAAGATACTTTGTGTTATCTTGTACACCAAAAACTCTAGATTTGAATATCCTTATCACTTTTCCCAATTTTTCATTATTTCTTTTGATCTTGGCTATGTTGTTTTATTTTATTTGTTATTATTTCTATAGTTTTTGGGTAACAGATGGTGTTTGCTTACATGGATAACTTCTTTAGTGGTAGTTATCCTGAGATTTTGGTGGACCATCACCTGAGCAGTGTACACTGTTTTCCGTGTTAGTCTTTTGTCTTTCACTCCACTCCCAACCTTCCCCACTGAGTCCCCAGAGTCCATTATATCATTTTTATACCTTTGCATGCTCATAGCTTGGCTCCCACTTATAAGTGAGAATATACAATGCTTGGTTTTCCATTTCTGAGTTACTTCACTCAGAGTAATGGTCTCCAATTTCATCCAGATTGCTGCAAATGCCATTATTTTGTTCCTTTTTTATGACTGAGTAGTATTCCATGGTATATATATGTAACATCTTCTTTATTCACTTGTTGGTTGATGGGCATTTAGGCTGGTTCCATTTTGTTACAATTGCAAATTTTGCTGCTATAAATATCCATGTACAGGTGTCTTTTTCATATAATTGTTTCTTTTCCTCTGGGTAGATATCCAGTAGTGGTGAGAGGTGAATCCAGCTGAGTTTCTGGATCGGGTGGGGACTTGGAGAACTTTTATGTCTAGCTAAAGGATTGTAAATGCACCAATCAGCATTCTGTGTCTAGCTAAAGGATTGTAAAAGCACCAATCAGAGCTCTGTAAAATGGACCAATCAGCAGGATGTGGCTGGGGCCAAATAAGGGAATAAAAGCTGGCCACCCTAGCCAGCAGCGGCAACCAGCTCAGGTTCCCTTCCATGCTGTTGAAGCTTTGTTCTTTGGTTGTTTACAATAAATCTGGCTGCTGCTCACTTTGGGTCCATACTACCTTTATGAGCTGTAACACTCACTGTGAGGGTCTGCGGCTTCATTCCTGAAGTCAGCGAGACCACGAACCCACCGGAAGGAAGAAACTCCAGACACATCTGAATATCTGAAGGAACAAACTCCAGACCCACCATCTTTAAGAGCTGTAACACTTGCTGCGAACATCTGCAGCTTCACTCCTGAAGTCTGAGAAGGAAGAAACTCCGGACACATCTGAATATCTGAAGGAAAAACTCCAGACACACCATCTTTAAGAACTGTAACACTCACCACAAGGATCCACAGCTTCATTCTTGAAGTCAGCGAGACCAAGAACCCACTGGAAGGAACCAATTCCGGACTCAGTGGGATTGCTGGATCAAATGGTAGTTCTACTTTTAGTTCTTTAAGGAGTCTACATACTGTTTCCCATAGTGGTTGTACTAGTTTACATTCCCACCAGCAGTGTAAAAGTGTTCCCTTTTCACCACACCCATGCCAACATCTTTTGTTTTTTGATTTTTTAATTATGGCCAGTCTTGCAGGAGTGAGGTGGTATTGCACTGTGATTTTGATTTGCATTTCCCTGGTAATTAGTGATGCTGAGCATTTTTTCATGTTTGCTGGTCATTTGTATATCTTCTTTTGAGAATTGTCTAATCATGTCCTTAGCCTACTTTTTGATGGGATTATTTTATTTTTTTCTTGCTTATTTGTTTAAGTGCCTTGTAGATTCTGGATATTAGTCCTTCGTCAGATGCTGAGTTTGTGAATATTTTCTCTCACTCTGTGGGTTGCCTGTTTACTCTGTTGATTATTTCTTTTGCTGTGCAGAAGCTTTTTTAGTTTAATTAGGCCCCGTCTGTTTATTTTTGTTTTGTTGCATTTGCTATGCAACAAAAGTTAGTCATGAATTCTTTGCCTAAGCCAATGTCTAGAAGAGTTTTAATGATGTAATCTTCTAGAATTCTTATGGTTTCAGATCTTAGATTTAAGTCTTTGATCCATCTTGAGTTGATTTTTGTATAAGGTGAGAAATGAGGATCCAGTTTCATTCTTCCACAAGTGCTGCCAATTATCCTAGCAGCATTTGTTGAATAGGGTGTCCTTTCCCTCCTAGCAGCATTTGTTGAATAGGGTGTCCTTTCCCTACTCTGTTTTTCTTTGCTTTGCTGAAGATCAGTTGGCTGTAAGTATTTGTCTTTATTTTTGGGTTCTCTATTCTCTTCCATTGGTCTACGTGCCGATTTTTATACCAGTACCTGCTATTTTGGTGACTATGGCCTTGTGGTATAGTTTGAAGTCAGGTAATATGATGCCTCCATATTTATTATTTTGCTTAGCCTTGCTTTGGTTCTGTGGGCTCTTTTTTGGTTCCATATGAATTTTAGGATTTTTTTTTTTAGTTCTGTGAAGAATGATGATGGCATTTTGATGTACTGTATATGTTTATTTTAAACCAGTATTTGTGTATGTTTTGGTGCTAGGAGGTCTATTTAAGCTCATTTAGGACCTGAGATTGTCCCGGCAGGTACATGAGTCCAGGAGAGAAATCCAAGCAGGGAGAAGAAGAAAGGAGGAGAAGGGAAGGAAGGGAGGAGAAGCAGAGGAGCAGGAAAGGAGGAAAGGAAGGAGGAGTAGGAGAAGGAGGAAGAAGAAGAAGAAAAAAAGTCAATGGCCTATTAGAAAGGATTCTTAGATAAAAGCAAGTTTTCTTTGCAGTATTTGTATGCCTTCCGTTGCTTTTGGCCATAAGGACAGTGCTCTGCTGGTGAATTCATTTTCTAGATGCAGCAAGAGCAGGTATGCTATGCTTATGTCAGAGCAGGTGATTGGGTGAGAAGGATAAGCAGAAAGATTTTGAAACTGACTCTCAGGCTTCTCTGTCTTTGCTAGCTGGAGCTAACTCATCTTGGAATAATTAGTTCTTTTAATAAAAGTAATGACTATAAAAATAGAATTTATTCTAATTTAATAGATGTAATAGATATTATTTATGTAAATGGGTTTTGATGTCTCTACTGTTTTCAACTTCTTCAATGTTGAAACATTTTCATTTCCTGAAGATGAACTTGATTTCTGCAAACAGTTGGAATTTGTGAACTAAGCCTGGTGACTAAGAACTGTGAAATAAACAAAGTAATACCAACTTGGTAACATCAAAAATATTTTCACTGAAAGTACATGAAATACCGAAATGAATTATGAGCCAATCATTATGCCATAGTTTGCACCTATTTATGAATATCATATGTTTATGATCCATAAATAACATTTATTGATTTACTGTTTAATAATCATACAAACACAAGAATTATATTTTCATTGTAACTGTGTGAAACTTTGAAAAAGCTTTTTTTAGTTATTATGTTGCAATTGAGAGCTAAATAGAGAGCTGCTTCACTTCATTCTTTCCCTTCTCTCTTTCCTTCCTGTATCACCTTTCTCTCTCTTATCATGTCATTCCTGCCCAAAAATACTTTGTGTGTTGGTAGGGCCTTTGGCTTAAGCCCAATATCCATTACTCAGAACACTATAATCTAGCCCCATCTCGCTTAACATATTTCTTCTTTTTTAATTTTTTTGAGACAGGTTCTCACTCTGTCACCCAGGTTGGAGTGCAGCTGCATGATCATAGCTCACTGCAGCCTCGACCTCCTGGGCTCAGATGATCCTCCTGTCTCAGCCACCTGAGTAATTGGGACGAGTGGTGTGTGCCATCACACTTGGATAATTTTTAAAATGCTTTTGTAGAGATGAGGGTCTCACTATATTGCCCAGGCTGATATTGAACTCTTGGCCTCAAGCAATTTTTCCACCTCTGCCTCCCAAAGTGCTGAGATTACAGGCATGAGCCTCTGTGTCTGGCCTTAATTTAACATATTTCTTATATTGTCTCTTCCATGTATCTAGATAGTCTTCTTACTTTTCCTTTTTGTATATACTAGTTATTAATTTATTAATAATGCTTTTATTAAATACTATGTTTATTAAACACCTATGTGGGACTGTGCTAAAATCTAGCAATGGAAAGATAAATAAGACATCTTTCTTAGCCTCAAGGAGCTCACACTATAGTGGAGTTGCCAGGTAATAAACAATAATTTAACACAAGTTAAGAAGTGCAAATGTATCCTGGTTCTCAGACAAGACTGTGACAGATTATTATTCCATTCATTTTTGTTTCCCAGTACTATCTGTTTTTTTCCAGCCTAAAATAAAATAAAAGATAAAGAATGAGCAGAGCCCCAGTGGCACTTTATGGAACATAAAATCCAACCTCCTAATTTTTCAGTGAGCAAAACTAAGTCTCACAGAGGACACACAATAAATTAACAGGATTAGAATTCAACCTCTAAACTCACAGCCCAGTGCCTATTAAGCTAGATTAATTGGCAGCACATGAGAAGGTAACACAGGGAATATTAGACAGACACCTGGAATGTTGTAGCTGATATTCCTCCAAAAGCAGATATTGTGACAAGAACTTGAATGCAGGTAGCTTTTCTGTTTAGACAGGCCTCACTCTGTTGCCCAGGCTGGAGTACGGTGGCATGATCACAGCTCACTGCAGCTTCAATCTTCTGGACTCAAGCGATCCTCCTGCCTCAGACTCCTCAGTAGCTAGGACAACAGGTGTGTGCCACCATTCCCAGCTATTTTTTTTATTGTATGTTTTGTAGAGGCAGGGTCTTGCTATATTGCCCAGGCTGGTCTCAAACTTGTGAGCTTAAACAATCCTCCCACCTTGTTGAGATTACAGGCTTGAGCCACCAAGTCCAGCTGCAGGTAACTTTTTAGGGAGCTTCTCACAGTAAGTTTGAGTAGAAAGGGAAGACAGAAAAGTGAGCAGAATCCATAGAATGTGAATGTGAGTGAGTTCCCAATGTTAGCACCTGCGGCTCAAGCCTACTGGGAGCCCTCTGAGCCACTGTGCAGAATATGCCTCAGAATTATACCACAGAAGGACAAGGCACCTGAGGTATTTACCATTAACTCATTTTCCTCATCATTTTGAATGTTACTCTTGGTGCTATTAAATCCCCAGATTTAATCCCCACTCAAGCTGTGGACAGTCTGAAAAAGTTCTCCTGGAGCCAGAGAAAGGCCTCAGGCAGTAAAGCAGAAAGATTCCCTGTCAATGGTTACAGGAAATGTCCATCTTAGCTACAGGTGAACTCAGAGGTAACCTGGGGGTATGGCACAGGGCATTCATGACATCTGCTATCTGGATGGATGGTGATTTTTTGAGAATTGAAAAAGTGATATATGTCATTTTGTTTTTATCATCCTGCCCAGTGCCAGATCTAACCATGACTACCCTTGTCATTTCATAGGTCATCATTGGATGTTACTGTTGTTCTTGAAAATTACTTCATTGTGACGATTTTGCTCTATCAAAAAGAAACATTCAGTGCATTTGCTAAATGACATTGCAAAGAGTTATTATCATTATCTTTACCCAAAATTTTCTCATCTATGAGTTATTTTTATATTGCTCTACATTTTTCTGTTATTTATTATAAAGAATTATGTATCTGGGACTTCTTAACTACCCAGGCAATAGTAATATTTTTCAAATTGAGGAGGGAGTAGTCATTTTCATTTTGCTCTAGCAGTGAGAAGACAGACGAAAGATGTTGCTTATATGGTTAAGTTTATGAGAGTTTAGTCACTTGCTGTTCAAGGAAGTATCCAAGCATTCAGAAATGAATCTAAATTTCCTTACTCTGGAAGTTGGCCCTAAGCCCATTCTTTATTTTGGGATATGATTTGAGTTAGAAGTCCTTGGAGAATTGTTTTGTTTCTGTCTTTGTTTGCCTAGATTTTGTTTGTTTGTTTATTTTGCTTGTTTTTTGCTTGTTTTGATACTTCTAACTTGTGGTTTGGGTCGATTTCATAAAATTAGAGGGTATGTGCACTTTTAAAAAACTTTTTCGTAAAAAGTCAACCAGAGTATTTAAAACATCGGAAACATGATTTGTGTTTAAAACTTTTGAAACTTGGTCTGATTCTTGTATTGTGCTAATGTGGAATGGGCTTGGATCTATCTGCCCTCCATTTTTTTTTTTGATATGTGTTAAAAGGATTTTTTGGTGATGAGTTTATTTTCCAAATCTACCTCATTCAGAGAAATGTGAAAATCACTCAAGTAAAACAAAATTTTAGCCAGATCTTTATTCTTACTATACTCTGTATAACTGTATATAAAGGGAAGTGAATCTTTCTAGGCCTCAGTTTCTTTATCTGCTAAACACATAGAAGTAAAAAATTAGCACTGGATCATCTCGTAGATAATTTTATTCCTCAAAATTGTGGATTTTATAGGTGTCGATAACTTTTGCCATTTCATGTTCCTCATCAGTTTTTCAAACTGATTATCAAGGTACACATCCAACTCAATATTATGATGAGAAAGAGAATGCTAGGCAATCTTTAATGCTCTTGTCATTTCCATTGTAGTCATCTAAATTTTAAGGCTAATGAATGTTACAATAGTGCAAAGGGATTGGAGATCGTTTCCTATCCTCTAACCAGCCCTCTGCAATCATTCTCTTAAGGTGGCCAAAAGGCAAGAAAAGAAGAGTGAAGAAAAAAATAGGGCAGGTACTGCAGGAAACCATGTTGCCAGCACTCTCCTAGCCCAAAAAAATTACATCTAGGAAGCAGGGGCCATTAACCTACTGGAATCATTGACTATGTCATAGAAGTCCAGTCACCCCGCAGGAACCAGAATCTTCCCCATGGATATTTAAACCCAATTAGAAATGGCCACCAGGTGGTGCCAAACTGCAGCTAAGGTCCAGGTGAATTTGAACCATGCAATCTTGGATCTTTTGGCTCTCCTGGTGATTTTTATAGAGTTTTTTTCATCGTTAATCCATTTATGAATAAATGCTGTCAGTTTTGATAACTCTTTCTTATTGTCTATAGGTAAAACAGAAAACCTTTAGCATTGTATAAAAGTCTTCCTTATTTTTTACTGTGACCTCTTTCTTTCTTTTGATCTCTAATATTTAGTCGCATGGGAACACCAACTGTTAACTGAATTTCCATTTTTCCATGCCTTTGCAAATGCTCTTCTGTCTGGAGGGCCTTTCCTGCCACAGGCCTTGCACTTTAGATTTAATTAAAAGCTTTTGCTGAAAAAGAGGTCAAACCTGTAATGATCTACCTCAAAGGTGTTGTTGTCTGAAATTTCTTGGATTACTTCCCTCTAAAAAAAAAGCAGGATTATTAATCCTGACATCTCTGGTCTGCCAAAGCACTTTGTTCATATTTGTTAAAGCTGTGATTTCTCACATTAAATATCTTTATTGTCTTACTCAGTTTGCCACTTAGAATGTAACGCAGTCAGTATAGAAACAAACCAAACTTTTCATCTTTATGTCATCATTGACTAAAGACACATATATCATATAACTTCAGGAACTGTATTTGCAGTAAATAAAAAAGTATTTTAATAAAAATATGTATATTTTATGTACACACATTTTTTAAGTTGGATTAAGTTTAATCAAATTAGGATGGCTGAGCATCTAAATGAAGTGGTGATTTTTTTAGATGAGGAAAATAATCATTTTCTAATGTGGATGAGCACTGTATTTTTCCTTTCTTTTGCCTGCTTGCAGTTGTCTTACAGCAAAATATTCATGAGTGTTATGTCCTATTAGTAGTGTATCAGTGGTCCAGAATATATGTGTATTGCCCTTCCCAGAATTAGTAGTTTTATATGACACAGCAAATGTACTTGGTAATGGACAACATCCCTTTAATTGTGGTCTTGGTCTTCTAGAAAGACTAGCATGCCATAGGTTCCCTATTTTTGGCTTTTTCCTAATTCAATTCTTAGCAATACTGATTACTATTGAATAGTCATTTGCATAAGGCTTTTTACTGATACCTAAAATGCTACAGCTAAGATCAAGATCAGAAAATAGTTAATTTCGGCTGGACGCGGTGGCTAACGCCTATAATCCCAGCCCTTTGGGAGGCCGAGGCAGGCAGATCACGAGGTCAGGAGATCGAGACCATCCTGGCTAACACGGTGAAACCCTGTCTCTACTAAAAAATACAAAAAATTAGCTGGGCATGGTGGCGGGCGCCTGTAGTCCCAGCTACTGGGGGGGCTGAGGCAGGAGAATGGCGTGAACCTGAGAGGCGGAGCTTGCAGTGACCCAGGATCGCGCCACTGCACGACAGAGTGAGACTCTGTCTCAAAAAAAAAAAAAAAAAAAAAAAAGATAGTTA